>NC_000005.10:56359807-56984807 GCF_000001405.40 Homo sapiens | reverse complement strand
GAAAACATCAGGCCTCATAACTTGAATCACAATCTCTTGAAATAAAAGTTTCTTCCAAAGTTTGTTACAACTGAAATTCCTTAGAGAGTGAGATGTAAGCCCATCCTGGGGCAGACAGGCCCATTGCTGTTCTTCCACACTTTTCCATGTCTGAGGTCTGCAGGGCAGGATGTGGTTACACACTGAGATACAGATTAACCTAAGTGTTGCATTTAACATTCTGTAGAAACCATTCTGGTAAAGAGGCCTTTTATTTTCAGGTTTGTGCGAGTAATTATTTGGTTAAAAAAAAACCTCCTAAAAATTTGATTATTTCAACTAACACCAGAGTTAGATAAGAATATGAAGGATCAGGTATGATTTTATTTATTTATGATAAACTCATAGAACGTATACTGCAAGTTTTGCTATTTGGAGGTTTTAAAATCTTAGCAGACTGGTAGATTTCATATATCAGCTATCTTAGGGCAAACAAGGCAGTAGTTTACATTTTTTCATTTTGAAAACAACTCTCTACTCTCGTGGTAGCACCTTTTGGCCTCACTGACATTGTGCAACTGTGCAGGCCACACACAGTTGCAAAGACCCTTATCTTCTATCAGCAATGTGTGTTGTATTGTGATTAGACCAGCCCAACTCATGGATGACTGTGTATGCCATTGTCAAACAATCCTGTTTGGATGGGGCATAACCTTGTGATTAATGCCTTTCAACAGCTGGCTTCAAAGATGAAGAACAGTGCAGATGGTTGAAGGCACAGATAATACAGGTTATGCACTGATTTATTGGCATCTGCAAGAGATATTTTTGGAAATACTGTGGCTAAGAACATGCTGCTCTAAACACTTTTTATCAGGATTACACATAAATATTTTCAAAATAGTTTATATGGTAATGATTTTAGTTTAAGCCATTTGGATGGAGGGATAGAGTCTGAAGACAGGTCATTTAAGTACTTCATGGGGCCCAGTTTCATAAAGTGCTTTTAGTATCAGAAGGGTAACAAAATGACTGGGTCATTTGTTTGATAAAGTTGCACTCCCTCCACATCAGACTTCCCTTCCAGTTATGCAACTACCAAAGCACAGTGTGAGAAGATGATTATGCCTCATCAATGTCTTCTCTAGGAGGTCTCTTCATGGCCACATAGAAAGTATTACTCTTGGTAGGAAAGATATATAATTTGTTTGTTCATTTAAAACAGCAATCTACTTTCTAACAGCTGAAAGCCAAATCAATTTATTTATATATCTTCGGAGTGTGATGTATTACAAAGAACTTACCTGCAAGGTTTTTATTTTGGACTTTGCCCAATGAAAATGATGTCACTATTTCCATGCTGAATTATTTATTGGATCTTGACAATAGTAACAGGCAGCTTTTCCCCTAAAATTGGTAGCCGTGTTCATTACACTTTGCTGTTACTGCGTGAAAAGATGTTCTAATAGTCCTGAGGGTCTTCATCGTTGGGATTGTATGTTTCAAAACAGAATCTCATCTCAATCCTTCCTGATTGATGAACATCTTTCTCAGAATCTTTGAAGCACCTGGCACTGAGCTGGCACTCAGTGTTGGTTCCTTTTCTCCTGCTAAGGAGATGATACCTCTATGATAAACCATGCACATCTAGTACACTTTGTAAGCTTGGGGTTGTGAGACAAGGCTTAGTAGGCTGTAGGGCTTTTCAGAATGGGGATGGCAGAAACCCAATGGGACAGATTCATGGCCCATACCCCCTAACAGTGTGATTTTAGCATGTTTTTTCTTTTCCTTTCTATCGGATTGTGTGACCAATTTCCTAAAATTGCTGTTTTGCCCTTTGTAGAAAACAATTATTTTTACTGATTAATTTATAATTTTACGCCAACCACTCTAGCACTGGAATGCCTGGATCATGTGAGATTCTACAAATCTCCCTATGTGATCCTGGTATTTGCTTCCCTCCATCACTTGAGAATTTGATATTCACCCAGAAGAGGTCAGTCACAACAGGCCATTGGCAAACATTTTCCTCCCATAGATTGGTGTATTAGTCCCTTCTCATGCTGCTATGAAGAACTACCCAAGACTGGGTAATTTATAAAGAAAAGAGGTTTAATTGACACCCAGTTCTACATGGCTGGGGAGCCCTCAGGAAACTTACAATCGTGGTGGAAGGCATCTCTTCACAGGGCGAGAGGAGAGAGAATGAGTGCAAGCAGGGGAAATGCCAGACGCTTATAAAACCATCAAGTCTTGTAAGAGTCACTCATTCTCACGAGAACAGCATGGGGGAAACCACCCCCATGATCCAATTACCTCCACCTGGTCCCACCCTTGACACGTGGGGATTATTACAATTCAAGGTGAGATCTGGGTGGAGACACAGAGCCAAACCATATCAATTGGCTAGATGAAATCAAGCTGGAGGTCACCCAATTCTGTATAGCCACAGTTTTGCAACTCCACTGTACAGTGCATATAAAGTATTATTTTAGCCAATTCTGGGTCCCTAGTCTTTCAGAGGCACAGGATTTCATCTGCATTAATGCATTAGTTATATACTCTGTGAGTGACTCTTTCGTAGTGTCAGAGAGTAAACATTGAGACTTCTCAGAGAAAGGGCTGGTTGAGTGAAACATCCTTTGACTTGGGACCTTCTTACTCCATACCCTGTGGTTGGAGGGGGGAAGGGGAGGGTTAAACATGACAGCTGTCAGCTGTGAGGGTGCAGCTGCTATACAAGTCTGTTACCATTCTAGGGATGAGGGCTTCTGAGGCACTTTGGGGATTGTGACTCCTCCTTAGTTTGTCACCAATTCCTCTGTAAGAGCCAGAGTAATACTCTGTATACCTATTACACCCATCAATCCTTTGGCTCTTCCTCTTTCATACACACACATGCACACACTCATTATACCTGTGAACTGATGATGGTACATTGTCATTTTACTATCCTCATTGTTGATTTATCTTTCAGTCCATTGATTCTTTGATCATTCACTGATTTGTTCATTCAGCCATTCGTTACTTATTCATTCCTTTGTAGACTGGTGCTGAAAAGATTTATACACAACAGTGACTCAATCCTAACACAAGATGCCTTGGACAGCCTCCTGTATTTTCTCTCTATGCCACTTCATTTTCAGTGTCTGTGTTACGCCGTTCTTGCATTACTATAAAGAAATATCTGAGACTGGATGATTTATAAGAAAAGAGGTTTAATTGGCTCCTGGTTCTGAAGGCTGTACAGGAAGTATAACAGCATCTGCTTCTGGGGAGCTGTCAGGGAACTTTTATTCATGGCAAAAGGTGAAGCAGGAGCAGGCACTTGGCATGGCACAAGCAGGAGCAAGAAAGAGAGAGTGTGTTGCGGGGGAAGTTCCACACACTTTTAAATGACCGTATCTCCCAAGAACTCACCATCGTGAAGACAGCACCAAGCCATGGGGGATCCACCTCCATGATGCAAACACCTTTCACCAGGCCGGACTTCCAGCATTGGGGATTACAACTCAACATGAGATTTGGGTGGGGACAAATATCTAAACTACATTTGTGTCCTTCCATTTGAGACCTCTATAAGAGCTGATTCCTTCCCTCCCATATTCTTTTCCTCCCGTCCTCCCTCCCACTTTGATGTCCCTGATGGGCTTGTTCAAGGAGACTTCACCAGCATAGGAGGTCAAGGCTGGCTGCCTGGAAAGACCTCTGTGGGTGGGTGACAGGTGCCAGGTGGTACCAAGGAGCAAAAGAAGTTGACTAAAGATCAGTTGCTAAGAATACTATAAATATTTAGAATCTCAACCCAGAGAGTTTTCCAAATTTTCCTTTACCTCTCTAATAGTAGCTCTGTGATACCACCTATGAGGTTACTCCAGGAGCAGCATATGGGAAGAGAATGTTCCAGAGCCCAAGGATTACAGCATGCCTGGTACTGTGATCACTCTGGGGCCACAGAAACAATCAAGGATCCCACGGTCCACTGACCAGCACACTGACCATTGTTAGTCCACTGCCTTTTTTGTCCTGTCTGGAGCCTAGTTCTTTATTTTCCTTTTCCCACAGAACAGTCTTTCGGTTCCAGTTCAGCTACAGCCAACTCTCATAGAGATCCTTAAGCAAAGCCTACTTTGTTTTTGAAGTCTCAGTCTTCTTTCCCATGTCCCATTTCTTGCATCTGGGCTTCGGTCTTTGAGCCTATCCCCATTATTAACCTGGAAGGTATCCCCATATCCTCTTAGAACAGGAGCCTGCCTTTGTCTTGCCAGTCTCGCTCCCAGGGACCAGACCCACAACTATTGATACAGGAGTGCTGGGAAGGGAAGAGCGTGGTCCCTTTAAATGATACAGAACCGGGGAAGGGAAGTGCTGGGTAGAGGACTGCGTGGTCCCTGGGTAGGGCTCTACCCCCATGGACATAGATGAGGTCAGGCCCTTCTGCCTTTGGGCCCAAATGTTGCATTTTCCAAGACCGCCCTGGCTCACCACACCCCCACCATGGGCTAATAAAAACCTGAGACCCTAGCAAGGCAGAGACAGAAGCTGCTGGATGGCAAGAGGAACACATCAGTGGAAGAAAACACAAAAGGCTGGACGGCAAAAGGACGTCGGGACATCAAAGGGAGCACGCTAGCGGAAGAGCACACCGACAGAGGCCTGCAGGCCATCAACCGGCAGAACGACACGGAGTTTGGCCGGGACAGACAGAGGAGAGCCTGGGCTGCCGAGCAGCTGGATTCCAGGGGAAAACCACCTCCCTTCTGGCTCCCCCATCTGCTGAGAGCTACTTCCACTCAATAAAACCTTGCACTCATTCTCCAAGCCCAGGTGTGATCTGATTCTTCGGTACACCAAGGCAACAACCCGGGATACAGAAAGCCCTCTGTCCTTGTGACAAGATGGAGGGTCTAACTGAGCTGGTTAATACAAGCCACCTATAGACAGCAGAATTAAAGAGCAAAGCAAAACTAAAAGTGCACCCTGTAACACATGCCCACTGGGGCTTCAGGAGCAGTAAGCATGCCCCACAGACGCCCTGTCTGTATGCTCCCCTAGAGGTTTGAGCAGTGGGGCCCTGAAGAAGTGAGCCACACCCCCATCACATGCGCTGCGAGGGAGATAAGGGAACTTCAAGGGAACTTTTCCTGTTCCACTATCTCCACTCTTTTTTTTTGAGACGGAGTCTTGCTCTGTCGCTCAGGCTGGAGTGCAGTGGTGTGATCTCAGCTCACTCCACCTCCTGGGCTCAAGCAATTCTCCTGACTCAGCCTCCCAAGTAACTGGGATTACAGGTGCACACCACCACACCCGGCTAATTTTTGTATTTCTAGTAGAGACAGCATTTCACCATGTTGGCCAGGCTGGTCCTGAACTCCTGACCTCAAGTGATTCTCCCACCTCGGCCTCCCAAAGTGCTAGGATTACAGGCGTGAGCCACCATGCCAGGCCACTATCTCCACTCTTAATAGACTTCTGGCTTGGCGACCTGGACTCCTAAGGGTGATCCACCTCGAATGCCCCATTCCTGTGCTACATACACATCCTGGAACTCTTTTTCTCTCCTCAACTGCTTACTCAGACCTTCTGCAATTGCACTTGCCCTGTACCATGCACCAAACCAGAATTAATTGTAGCTGCAGCTGCATGGTTCCTTCTCTCTCCCTTGAGTTTTACCTCTGGGGACAGAGACACTTCCAAGTCTTGGTGTCTCCTCCCCTTCTGTCCATCTGTAAGTATCTCTAAGCCTGGCTGAATCCCAGAGTGGCACAGGCAACAGTCATGTGTGAATTAAAAGTTATGGCATTTGCTGTTCTGTAATTCATGCCACAGAAGGAAGAGCCAAAACTTGAATGAGCAGAGAAATTTCAGGGCCACATGCAAATTCTCTCCAAGTGCAACGTTTTAAAAAGGAAAAGACAAAATATTGTCTAGTTTTACTATTTCCCAATTTTACCTTCTGGAACGTGACTATTAAAATATCCTTAAGGCGTATGCTCTGCAGCTCCCCTTTATGCCAGACTTCCTTATAATGTGATTATTCCGTATTATTATTATTTAAATCATTTTTATGTGTCTTCAAAGGACCCGCTTAGTAGCAGGATATCATAGTGAAAAGAGCACAGGGTTGGGTCGTGGTCTTTGTCTCTCTAAAATGTACTAGCTATTTAAACCATGCAAAACACTAACCTTTGCAGGTTGCAGTTTTCCCATCTGGGATGTAGGAATAGCATTTCTCTACCTGTCTTGTAAGGTTGTGAAGATCAAAAGATAAAGCCTTTTATGAACTTTAAGCATTACGCAAATGTCAGATATGGCTGTTAGAGTACAATAGTGTTAAAGATATATAAAGTTGCTTTCTTCAACATTTTTCTTCATCACCAAAGATGTTTATTTATTTTTAAACCTTCCTGAAAATCACCCTTATATTATGATTTTATTACAAACCAGTTTGTGGAATAGGTTGAAAAGCATTATTGTTTTCATTCTATGGATGAGAAAACAGAGAGTTAAGAAAAGGCAAATATGGGATTTTACCTAAGATACTGCTGATAAACAGTAGAACAAAGGTGAGAAGCAAGTTCTGCTTCTTCTGCTTCCCTGGGCTAGGCTTCTTTTGTTCTCTTCACTTGGGGTCTCTCTCTAACCAGCTCTAACCCCCATTTAGAGGTGTCTAATCATCTCTGTGCCAGGGGTGAAGCTGAAGCAAGCACTTGGGTGCCAGGCAGGAGAGTGAGGACCTGAAGACTAGTGGATGGGTGGAGGGCCAGGCTGTGCAGAGCCGTGGGCCCAGGGGAATTGCAGGGTGGGAGCAAAGTTCAGGGATCAAGCCAGAGATCAGTTATCAAAAGAATTTAAAAATTCTGAGTGGGTAAATATGGCAGGCAAGAACAGTATAAACAGATCAGGATCCAGCCAATTGCAGTTGACCAGCTGTAACACATGGGAGCCAGGCTCAGGCACAGAGTGGTCTGGATCAATTTTCTGAGAAGGGTTCGTTTGCACCCCTTTGAAGTTCTGGGCCTCACTCTGCAGATGTGCCAGACTTGTCTTAGAGGCCTTCTACTCATTTAGTCAGTGTGCATGCATGCATCAACACAGACATTAAGGTTTTATTATGAACCATGAGATGCATTAGGTGCAAGAGATGCAATTATGAATAGGCACATATAAGGTTCATGTTCAGAAGCACTTAGATTAGTGCAGGGTTTTCAACCTGGGCACTAGTGACATTCTGATGAGGGGACTGTCCTGAATACTGTTAGATGTTTAGGATAGGCCTCTACCCACTAGATACTACTTCCACCTCTCCAGTTGTGACAACCAAAAATGTCTCCAGGCATTGCCAAATGTCCCCAAGGTGTGGGGGCACAGGAAAGGACAGATGACATCAATGTTAGGAATCACTGGTCTAGTGTTAATAATGATTAACAATTACTAAGCATTTACTAAGTGCCAGGCACAGAGTTTGACACAACCAGCCAAAAGGTTGATGATGGAAACTCTTAGCAGGCCCTACTTAAACATTTCACCAGATTCTCCAAGGCTCTCCATTTCCTCCACAACCCTAGCGACCAACTCCAAGGGCGTGTGGATCATTTGCAGCCAAGTGCTCTGGTTTGCCTGGGTGCTTCTGCTCAACATAACACATGTTGAGTATGTTGAGTCATATGCTTAAGAGAAAAAATTGTGTTTGTTACCAAACCCTTTGAGCCTATTGTACTTGTATAGTTGTACAATTTAAGAGTACATAAACTGATTAAACATAAGCGTAAAGAGTTGTTCCTAAGAAAATTAAGTGCAATGCTTTGGAAAGATATAATTAAAAAAACTTTCTGTTCAATTAAATCTGAATAAGAACAACTGTAAAAGGCAGAAAAAATTATAAAAATCTAGAAGATGTAAGGTCTTGCTACACTTTATCATTATTTTTAGAGATGGGGTCTCACTCTGTCACCCAGGCTGGAGTGCAGTGACATGATCATAGCTTACTGCAGCCTCAACCTCCTGAGCTCAAGCAGTCCTCCCACCTCAGCCTCCTGAGTAACCGGAACTACGGGCATGCACCATCCTGTGCAGCTTTGTTACACTTTAATGAATACCAAACAGGACAGGCATGGTGGTGCATGCCTATTGTAGTAGTCCCAGCTACTCAGGAGGCAGAAGCAGGAGGATCGCTTGAGCCTGGGAGTTTAAAACCAGCCTGAGCAACTTCATCTCTAAAACAATAGAAAATTAAAAAATAAAGAATCCCAAACTGAAAATTGTCACCAATGTACTATTAATCTAAATTAAGTAAGAGACAAATTGTGAAGTACAGTAAGCGGATCATTCTCAAAAAAAAGACCTAAGCCCTACATAAACATGTATAAATAAGTGAACATTTTTGTATGTTTTAAGTTGAAAGAAAATGTTTAACATATGTAGGGTATTTAATGATTATTTTTATCAGCCAACTACCTGTCTTCCCAGTTGCTTTAGATGAGTAGGATTCTCTCATATTGTCCTTGTTTTTGAGATGAAAAGTTGAAAGAGAGGGAACTTACTGAGGGCTTACTGGAGATGGTGCAGGCCTCAGGCTATTTGAACAATTGAATCCAAAACATGGATATCAGACCAAATTGCTTAATTTATATCAACAATATGAATGACAAAATTAAAGAAGAAGGATTGAAGAGATTCCCACACGCTCTGTTTTCTCAGTTTGGCCATGTGGTAAGTATTGTGGCTCTAAAGACCATGAAGATGGGTGCGGGACACTGGGCTCATCCACAAATGCCTTGAGACAGTTACAAGGATTTCCATTGTATGATAAACCAATGCAAATCCAGTAGGCAAAAACAGATTCTGATATAATTTCTAAGATGTGTGACACTTTTTCTGACAAAAGAAAAGAAAAAAGCCCAAACTGTGGAACAGATAGCAACAACCGCAAACAGAAAGCCTGGTCAGGAAACACTGAATTCAGCTGATACCCAAATCCTCAGGTTCTTACTACCCTCCGAATTCTGTTTTATTTTTAAGTTAATTTACCAGCAGAGACTCGTGAGATGATGTTATCTGTGCTATTTAATCGGTTCCCTGGTTTCAAGAAAGTACGTTTTGTACCTGGGAAGCATGGTATTGCTCTGGTTGAATTTGAAAATGGTAAGTAGGCTGGAGCTCTCAGGGCAGCTTTACAAGGATTTAAGGTCACTTTGTCCCACGCCATGAAAATCACCTGTGTCAAGAAGTAATACTTGGGATAGTCATCATTAAAGGACTCAATATTATTTATAGTGTTTGTTTTAGTAACATTTGGTCAGGTCATTCTAATAGTTAGGGATGGGGAAAGTCAAAGTGAAAAAAAACAGGGAAGTGACTGAACTAGGTAACATCAAGGACACGGTGAGCCAGGAATGAAGTCTGGGTGTGCCTGGCCATGGTTCAAGCTCTGGACCACAATGTGATGCACAAACAACCCGCTCCCCCGCCGCAATGATGCTGTCAATTACGCTAAAACTAAGAATTTCTGTTCAAAGCCATCATGAACAAAGTTATTAGATGGCAAATTGGGAGATGCCTGCAATGTCTAAAAACAACAAGGGATCATACAAAATTGAAAAAGAAGAATTGAAGAGATTCCCCCACACCCCGTTTTCTCAGTTTGGCCATGTGGTAGATACTGTGGCTCTTGTATGTAGAATATACAAAGAATTCCTAAAACTGAAAAGAAAGAGAAAGGAATGCAAACATAAAAATGACTAAAGTGGGCAAAGTAGGCAATTCCTTTGACAGAAAAGGAATCCCTAAAGACTAATATGTATAAGAAGTGATCAATAATTTTAGTAATCAAAGAAAAGGAATTTGAAACAGCTAAGAGGCACTCTATGCCTCTTAGGTGGGCATAAATTAGCAGCATAATGCCATGAATAGGCACAGATGCAAAGACGTGGGAACCCCATGCACTGCTGGTGAGAATCCAGGTGGGAGCAGCCACTCCAGGGGCAACCTGGCCCCACCCTATGACCCAGCAATTTCCCTCCTAGGTGTACATCCCCCAGAAACCGTTATACATCCTCCTCAGGGGATATGTACAAAGATGTTTGGTATAGCACTAGGGTTAGCATGGGTCGTCTAAGAAATAGATGCCAAGATGCAGATTAAACCAATTAAACGTACAAAGATTTTCTTAGACGGAATACCTGTGAGAGAAAATAGGGATGGATGGGAGAACTCATACCACAGTGAAGTCTGACCCCAAGTGAAGGAGAGGGAAGGAAGGTTGGTGGAAGCATCCTAAGAACCTGGTGGAAGGTTCTCCAAATCCACCAGGAAGTCCTCAAGCCCTAATCAGCCATGGGAGGAGTCCCCTGTCTCCCAGGAATGAGCCTGTCTTAGTCACCTGCTCTGCTCAGTCACTGGCTAGGAGCAGCCCACAGGAAGCAAGGCCTCAGGTGAAACCCAGAGATAGATTTCAGAGCTCAGAGCTAAGACTTAGGTCAATTACACTCCTGCAATTGGAGGTCTGTGAGGCATAGTCTCATGGGTTCCACATGTTATTCGGAGTACAGGGACAGGAAGGCAACGTGTATGCCAATCACAGGGATTGTGGATAGGTAATGTGCAATAGACACCACCAGTGAGCAGTTAGAAGCAAAGAAGTAGATGTATACCTAACAGCACAGATGGGTCTTTAAAACAAAGTATAGAGTGAAAAAGGAAGAAACAGAATGGGATATCCAATATAATAATATTTCCTAAATGTGAGATACATATACATGCATGCAAAATGGTTAACACTCAATATTCAAGCCTACACATGTAAACCAAAAGATTCCCACTATGCCGATTAGAATGGTTGCTAAGGTGGAATATGGAGGTAAACAGGACTAAATAAAGGAATATACAAAAAAAAAAGACTTGAACTGAGCCTGAGTAACTCAATCTCTTGACTCTGAGGGTCTAAATAAACAAATCAACATAGTGCTCACCTCATGCTTCCCCCATAGTCATGACACAGGAGCAGCCTCTCTGGAATTCTTTAATAGCAGCAACTATAAAAGCAGTCTTCTGTTGTAAAAACAGCAGCTCTTTGCACGGTAGATGTCTACAATATCCCTGCCCCTTTAAATTCAGCTGGCCCTATCAGTGCCTCACTTTGTGCAGCGCAGACCCAGCACAGCAGCAGCACAAAACAGCTAGCCTAGGAACCGCCTCAAGCTGCCTGCCTGCCTGCTCTCTCTGTCAACTTCTGCCTTCCAGCTAACGTCTGGGTTCTCCATTCCTGCCCCGGTCCCCTAGTTCTATTGTTTGTTTTCGTAATGGCTTTATTGAAATATAATTCACATGCCATACAATTCACACATTTAAAGTGTGCAATTCAATAGCTTTTCCTATAATTGGGTAGCCACTATTTCATAATATTTTCATCACCTTCAAAAGAAACATTGTACTCCTTATCCATCAACCCCTAGTCCCTCCATGCCTCCCCCACCCCCCAGTTCCAGGCAATCACTAATCTACTTTTTGTCTCTATAGATTTGCCTATTCTGGACATTTCATAGAAATGGAATCATACAATAAGTGGTTCTTTGTGACAGGCTTCTTTCATGTAGCCTAATGTTTTTGAGATTTATCTATCTTGTAACATGTATCCTTTTTAGGGTTGAATATTCCATTATAACGATGTATCTTTTTCTCTTTTTTAAAGAAAAGGTCTCACTGTTACCCAGGCTGGAGTGTAGTGATGTAACCGTGGCTCACTGTAGCCTCAACCTCTCAACCTCCCAGGCTCAAGCAATCCTCCCACCTCAGCCTCTTTAGTAGCTGGGACTACAGGTGTGTGCCACCACTCTTAGCTAATTTTTAAATTTTTTTTGAAGAAACGGGTCTCACTGTATTGCCAAGGCTGGTCACAAACTCCTGGATTCAAGCAATCCTCCTTCCCAAAGTGCTGGGATTTACAGGTGTGAGCTACCAGGTCCATACTTTCTTCATCCATTCTTTAGTTGATGGACATTTGGGTTGTTACCACTTTTTGGTGACTATGAATAATGCTGCTATGAAATTTGTGTATATGTTTTTGTGTAGACATATGTTTTCATTTATCTTGGGTGTATAACAAGGAGTGGAATTGCCGGGTTGTATACTAACTCTACTTTTAACCTTTTGAGAAACTATCAGACTGTTTTCCAAAGCAGCTGGATCATTTTGCATTCCCACCAGCAGTGCATGAGGGTTCCAATTATTTCATATCTTCACCTACTCTTGTTATCATCTGTCCTTTTGATTAGGATCCTTTGGTTTTTGCCATTGGCTCCCAGCTCCTCCTGAACTCGCTGACCTTAGCTGACCTGCACGCACTTGGCATCTTCCTTGGCTTCAGTGCTCTTCAGGATTCCCTGTGAAAGGCATCTTTCACTACACTGGCAGAATTAGCCCTTGGCTTCCTCCACTAGAAAATAGGGGTTGCAGATAATGGGGTTCTCAGATTCTGCCCCCAAAATAAAAGAATAGAGAAAGAGGAAAGCTTAATGTAGCTGACAGCTACCTTAGCCCTTGTGGTAGTTAATTTTATATATCAACTTGACAGAAGGGGTGCACAGTTAGGACGTAAAACATTATTTTTGGGTGTATCTATAAGGAGTTTCCAGAAGAGATTGGCATTTGGGTCTGTAGGCTGAGTAAAGGTTCACCCTTTCCAACGTGGGCAGCCATCATCCAACCCACTGAGGGCCAAATGGAACAAAAAGGCAGAGAAAGGGTGAATTATCTCTCTCTTCTGCAGCTGGAACATCTATCTTCTACTGCCTGCAAACATTGTAGCTCCTGGTTCTCAGGTCTTTGTACTTGGACTGAGTTGCATCACTGGCTTTTCTGTATCTCCAGCTCCCAGACAGCAGATCATGGGACTTTTTGACCTCCCTAATTGCATAAGCCAATTCCCATAATAAATCTCATCTTTATCTCTATTATCTATCTATCTATCTATCTATCTATCTATCTATCTATCTATCATCTATCATCTCCTCTTGGTTCTATTTTTATGGAGAATTCTGATTAATAGAGCCCTTTTCTTTTTCTTCTGCTCTAGTTGCTAGAATGACAAGCTGAGGAATCCAGGAGAGTCTGACCTAGGGACAGCAGCAATTCTGGAATTCCAACCTGAAAGTGACAAGAATGACAGCACAACCACAGCAATTACCAATTTAGAGGTAGGCTCTCATTTCCTTAAATCTTTTCGTTTTCTGCAAATGCAAAAATAAGAGAAAGAAGGGTCAGCATTGGGCATGGTAATAATGAATAAATCTCTGTTTTTACTGACAGTAATTTACAGTTGATAATGTTAATTGTTTCTGTTATCAACGACATCATTTTTATGGCTGTTTATTTAGTAACAACTCTTGGCAGTTGTACCATTTCTGTGTTTCAGGCTGAAGGGTCCTAGTTCAGGGTGAGACAGATTTGAAGATTATCATGGCTAAAGGAGAAATGCTGTCATCGCAGAGGAAAAAAAAATACCAGAAAAGTTATGGATTGTGTTTCTTTTTAACCCTCCATTTTGAGGCTGGGAGGCTGGGATCATTTAAGTAGAGGTTTATTCCTTTGGACAATTGACTTGAGTTTGGATTTCTCAAGTGTATTTGAATTTCACCCCAGGAAAGCAGGCTCAGTGAGGATGTTTTCCTAAGTAATGATTCTATGCATGACAGAGCCTTTACTTAACAATCATTTAAACTTGGGAATAGATTAAATCCATTAACTAGGCCAGTGTTTTCCCCCTTACTGTGGTCATTAACCAAATTGCTAGCTTTAGTTGGAACTCAGATAACTATTTAAAGATACCCTAGACCTATTGTTTTAGCATTTTTATTTCAACGGACATTACTAGAAGACTAATTTTCAATATTTAGTTTTACAGACTTCAAGTATAAACTTTCAAAGCATAAATTCTTTTTATTTTTATTTTTTTATTTTTAGACAGGGTCTCACTCTGTTGCCCAGGCTGGAGTGCAGTGGCATGATCGCAGTTCACTGCAACCTCTGCCTCCTGGGTTCAAGTAATTCTCCTGCCTCAGCCTCCCGAGTAGTTGGGATTACAGGTGTGTGCCACCATGCCTGTTTTTTTTTTTTTTTTGGATTTTTAGTAGAAATAGGGTGTTGCTATGTTGACCATGCTGGTCTCGAATGCCTACCCTCAAGTGATCCACCCGCCTCGGCCTCCCAAAGTGCTGGGATTACAGGCATGAGCTACCGCATTTGGCCTCAAAACATAAATTCTTTCTTTTTTTTTTTTTTTTTTTTAGATGGAGTCTTTTTCTGTCGCCCAGGCTGGAGTGCAGTGGCATGATCTTGGCTCACTGCAACCTCCACTTCCCAGGCCCAAGCGATTCTCCGGCCTCAGCCTCCCAAGTAGCTGGGATTACAGGCACCCACTACTACGCCTGGCTAATTTTTGTATTTTTAGTAGAGATGGGGTTTCACTATGTTGGCCAGGCTGGTCTCAAACTCCTAACCTCAAGTGATCCACCCGACTTGGCCTCCCAAAGTGTTGGAATTACAGGCATGAGCCATCACGCCTGGCCTCAAAACAGGAATTCTCTTGTTAAGTGTAATTCATATACATTTAAGTGCCCCTGTTTTAAGGGTACTGATTAATGAGTTATGCATTTGTGTAACTACTATCATAATCAAGATATAAAACATATATATTACCCTTTTCTTCTACCTTTTGCTGTCAATTCCTACCTATTTTCTGGCCCCATGAAGCCACTAATATACTTTTGTTACTAGATTAGTTTTGTCATTTTAAGAATTTAATATAAATGGAACCAGACGTTTTTGAAGTTCATCCATGTTGTTGCATGTATCAGTTTTTTTTCCTTTTTATTACTCAATATTATCTCATTGCATCCATATACCACAAGGATAAAGTTTACCCCAGGAATGAAAGCTTGGTTTAATGTTGAAAATCAATAATTATAATTCACTATATGACCAGAATACAGGTTAAAAAGCATATAATCATCACAATATATTTAGAAGAGTTACTTGACAAAATTTAGCACCCATTAATGATGAATACTGTCAGCAAACTAGTAATAGAAGGGAGTGTTCTCAATATGACAAGGGCTTCTACAGAAGATATGATACTTAATAGTTGCATTGGTTATCAATTGCTATGTAACAAATTACCCCAAAATTTAGCAGCTTAAACAATAAGTACTCATCATCTCACAATTTCTGGGGATTAGGAATTTGAGAGCCACTTAACTGGGTGAGTCTCACTGAAGTTCTCTCATGAGGTTGCAATCAAAATGTCAGCTAGGGCCACAGTCATCTGAAGGCATGAGTGGGGCTGGAAGATTTACTTCCGAGATTGCTCATTCACATAGCTGTTGGAGGAAGGCCTCAGTTCCTTAATTGTTATTTGTAGGAAGCCTCTTGTCCTTACCATATAGATCTTTTCATAAGGTTTCTCGAGTGTCCTCATGGCTTGGCACACAGCTTCCCCCAGAATAAGTGATCCGAAAGAAAGAAAAAGCAAGGAGGAAGCCACAGTGCCTTTTATCATCTAGTCTTTGGAGATCATATACCATCATTTCCACTAGAGTATATTCGTTAGAAGCAAGCCACTAACTGCAGCCCGCATTCAAGAAGAGGGGAATTAGGCTCCACTTTTTGAGGGAGGAATATTAGAGAAATTATGCATGTATTTCAAAACTACCACAATGTGAAAGATGGAATGTGTTTCCCCAGGAAGATCAGAACAAAGAAGGCTCTATAGATTCAGCACAGTCTAAATCAAAATACCCACAAACATTTTATAGAAACTGATGAGCTGATTCACCTAAAATTCATATGGAAATAATGAAGATGTTAAAAAGCCAAAATAATTTTGAAAAAGAACAAAGTTGAAGGGTTTTTGCCACTTGATCTCAAGGTTTATTGTAAATCTACAGTCATCAAGACAGTGTGGAATTGTTTTATGGACAGACATATAGAGTCATAAAACAAAATAAGGATTCCCCAAATATATGTATATAATATAAAATTAAAAATATGATAATAAAATTTATATATTATTTTTGACAAAGGCATCGAGTTAATGGAGAAAGTTTTTCAACAAATGGTGCTGGAACAACTGTATGTTTATATGGAAAAAATGGAACTTGACCCTTAACTAATACTATATATAAAAATTATTAATAATTCAAAATAGATCATAGACCTAAATGGTAAAGTTAAAACTGTAACATATCTTTTTAAATTTAACTTTATTTTATTTATGTATGTATTGTAGAGATGGGAATCTCGCTATGTTACCTAGGCTGATCTCAAATTCCTGGGTTCAAGCAATCCTCCTGCCTCGGCCTCTCAATGTGCTAGGACTACAGGTGTGAGCCAACATCCCCGGCCAAAACTATAGCATATCTTAAAAAAGATTGTATTAGCCAGGGTTCTTCAGAGAAACAGAACCAATAGGAGAGATATAGATACAGATATAAGAAGCAATTTATTATGAGAATGGGCTCACATGATTACAGAGACTGAGAAGTCCCATGATAGACCATCTGCAAGCTGGAGAACCAGGGAAGCAGGTGGCTTAGTCCCTGTCTAAAGGCTTTAGAACCTGGGGAACCAATGGTGTAACTCTTGGTTTCAGGCCAAAGGCCTGAGAACCTGGGGGCTGCTTGATACAAGTCACTAAGTCCAAAAGTCAGAGAATCTGGAGTTCTGATGTCCAAGAGCAGAAGCAGATGGATATCTTAGCTTCAGAAGAGGGAGTGAATTCATTTTTTCCTCTGCCTTTTTGTTCTATATTTGCCCTCAACCAATTGAATAATGCCTGCCCATCCTCAAATTGGGTGAGGGTGATCTTCCTTGTTCAGTCCACTGATTCAAATGACAATCTCTTCCAGAAACACCCTCACAGAGTTACCCAGAAATAATGCCTTACTAGCTATCTGGGCATCCCTTAATCCAGTCAACTTGACACCTAAAATTAACCATCACAAAGATGTAGGATAAAAATCTTTGAAAAATTGGATTAAGAAAAAATTATTATACATAGGCTACAAAAAGAAACCTTAAAAGAAAAAACACTGATACATTGAACTTCATGAAAGTTAAAATATTTTTTTCTTTAAGTATTACTTTAACTGAATAACAGAGCTTAGAGTAGAGAAGGCTGTGTGTAATCCAGGTATTAAGGTTCTGATTGATGAAGGGCACTGGCCAGGCAGTCATTAAGTGATAGTGATCAGGAATCGAGGCAGGATGAGAGAATGCTAGGATTCTTAGCAGATGAAGCATCCTGACTTAGTATCAAAGGAGCAAGACACAGCCCCTTCCTCCTGACCCTGAGGCTTGTGCAGTCTGAAAGGATGGTGTCCCAGGGCATCAAGGAGAAGAGGCAGATTTCAGTTAAGCCAGGCGGTGGAGGAAAATGCCCAGGGAAGAAGTCCAAGATGTAAGGGGCATATTGATCACAGAGTGTCCTTGTTTGGGCGACTATAGCAAAAAGACCATGGATTGGGTAGCTTTAAAAACAAACATTTATTTCTTATAGTTCTAGAGTCTAGGAAGTCCAAGATCAAGCCACTGGCAGATCCAGTGTTTGGTGAGGGCCCTTTTCCTGGTTCATAGATGGCCATCTTCTCCCTGTGTCCTCAAATGGTAGAAGGGACAAGGGAGTTCTCTCCGGTCTCTTTTCTTTTCTTTATAATAGAGATGGGCTCTTGCTGTGTTGACCAGGCTGGTCTCGAACTCCTGGCCTCAAACAATCCTCCTACCTTGGCCTCCCAAACTGCTGGGATTTCAGTCATGAGCCACCATGCCTGGCCAGGGGTCTCTTTTCTAAGGGCACAAATCCCATTCATGAGGGATCTATCCTTAGGATCTAGTCATCTCCTAACAACTTTGCCTCCTAATACTATCTATCACCTAGGGGATTAAGTTTCCAAATACAAATTTTGGGGGAATACAAACATTCAATCTCCAGCACAGAGTCTGACTTCTGAGGCTTTGGTGAAATGACTGGGAGGAAAGTGAGCCATCCTGGGAAGAGGAAGCCCTGAGGATAGAGGACTGGAGAGACAAGTTTTAAACCATGGCTGCCGGAAAGCAAGGACATAAGGCTAGGAAGACTTAGTCCTCTCAGTCTCCTAGAACAGTGGTCTTCAAATATTTTTGCTTGATTATTATCCCAAAATAATTTTGAAAAACCCTTTTGCTTTTAAAAAATTGAAATATAACTTATGTAAAGTACAAAAATCTTAAGTGTAAGGCTTAGTGAACTTTCATATATTTATACATGCATGTTACCACCACCAAGATTAAGGTATAGAACACTTCCAGCAGCTTGAGAGGTTCCTTCATGCTCCCTTCTTGTTGATACCTGCTCTCTCCTTCCCACAGGTAACCACTATTCTGATATGTATTTCCATCTCTCACATTTTTATGTTAACATGTAGGGCTGAGTGTGGTGGTTCGTGCCTGTAATCCCGACACTTTGGGAGGCCGAGGTGGGCAGATCACTTTAGGTCAGGAGTTTGAAGCCAGCCTGGCCAACATAGCAAAACCCTATCTCTACTAAAAATACAAAAATTAGCTGGGCGTGGTGGCAGGTGCCTGTAAACCCAGCTACTTGGGAGGCTAAGGCGTGAGAATTGCTTGAACCCAGGAGGCAGAGGTTGCAGTGAGCCGAGACTGTGCCACTGCACTACAGCATGGGCAACAGAGCCAGACTCTGTCTCAAAAAAAAAAAAGTTAACATGTAAAGATTTCTATTATAAATGTAAACGGTTGCAAAGGATGTAATCCCTGTCATATTTTATATATTATACCTTGCCCTGAAGATTTATCCAATTTGGTTTATAGAAATGTCTGGCATAAATCTTTTTTTTTTTTTTTCTAAGAGACAAGACTCCACTCTGTCACCCAGGCTAGAATACAATGGCACAATCAGAACTCATGGTGACCTGGAACCTCTAGGCTCAAAATGATCCTCCTGCCTCAGCCTCATGAGTAGCTGGGACTACAGGCATGCACCACCACACCTGGCTTGCCCTACAAGATTTTTTTTTTTTTTTTTTTTTTTTTTTGAGATGGAGTCTTGCTCTGTTGCCAGGCTGGAGTGCAGCAGTGGCACCATCTCAGCTCACTGCAACCACCGCCTCCCGGGTTCAAGTGATTCCCATGCCTCAGCCTCCCAAGTAGCTGGGGTTACGGGCACACACCACTACGCCTGGCTAATTTTTTGTATTTTAGTAGAGATGAGGTTTCACCATGTTAACAGGCCAAGATGGTCTCGATCTCCTGACCTCGTAATCTGCCCGCCTCGGCCTCCCAAAGTGCTGGGATTATAGGCGTGAGCCACCGCGACTGGCTGCCCTGCAAGATTTTTATACCCAGATAGTATATTTGGGGTTTGGAAGAGAGGTCACTGTGAAAAGGAGGTGGGAAAGTAGAACTTGCAGAGTGTGGTAAACCAAATTTAGGAGATGGTGCAAATGGAAATGGAAGACATGTTAACCAATCAGCTTAAAGTGACCAGTGCCCACTTGCCCCTGGGAAGCCTATGTGTACCCCTAGGGCAGGTTTTCTCAACCTCGGCACTATTGACCTTTTGGGTCAAATATTTCTTTGTTGTGAGGGCTGGTCTGTGCATTGTAGGATATTTAGCAACATCTCTGACCTCTATTTACCAGAAGCCAGTAGCATTCCTCCACTCAAGTTGTGACAACAAAAATGTCTTCAGACATTGCCAATGTCACCTGGGGGAGCAAAATTGCCCTGGGTTGAGCATCCTAGGGTACTCCAGTTTGA
This sequence comes from Homo sapiens, assembly GCF_000001405.40. Taxonomy (NCBI): domain Eukaryota; kingdom Metazoa; phylum Chordata; class Mammalia; order Primates; family Hominidae; genus Homo; species Homo sapiens. Next base: position 56,965,016 of record NC_000005.10, on the reverse strand, counting down.
GGACTGTTGCCCTAGAAGATAGCAGCGTCACAGAGCTCCTCTGTTACCTGGGATGGGGGCCCACAATTGCAGTGTAGGACCCAGTTTCCCTTCTTTTGTTAGTCCACAGAAGTGGCACCTGAACCTTATTTCCCAGTATGCTGGCAGCGGCAGGAGTGGAAAGGCAGGAAGCACAGGAGTAAGGGCTGAGTGGTCCTCCTTGCAGGGGTGAGCAGAGTGGGGGCAGTGGTCTTCATCTTTCATTCTAGCCTTTGAAGCTAAGGAGAAGGTTGGAACCTTCTGTAAATATGGTTTGGCAACTTCGTCAGAGATAACCCTATGAGACCCCAAGAAATACTAAATAAGACTTGTGGAGGGCTGGGGATCTTTTAACAACAGAGAAGGGCAAGCATTAGAAAAATTCATTTTTAGTCTTAAGCCCATTTTTAAAACCCCATTCAAGTACGGTCTAGGGCAGTGCTGCTCAAAGTGTGTGTTTGTTAACTGTTTCCAGTCTCTGACTAGATAAAGACCTACTGCTAAAATACCAATCAACATACTGCTTCCTTCATTGAGACTGTCTTGCTATAAAAAAAAAAAAAAAGTCAGCTGAAATTAGTTTAGTACTTAATGACTTTAGGGCATAGTGACATCATTTATTTACAGTCTTGCTCAAGCTCCTTATCACTGCAGCAGTACACACTTGCAGTAGCTAGGACAATAAATTGAGGGTTTTTAGAGGGTCTTGAAATCAGTACTGGAAATTTCAATCTTTGTTTTAAAAAATCTAGCGACATAGAAAGATATTAGGGTGCATGCTGTTTCAAAAGAATAAGCATTATTTTAGAAAACTTTTGGTGTAAATGTGCACTATATAAACATTCATGTGTACTGTGTCACAATGTAAAAATATATTTCTAACTGTGGATATTGGTCAGAAAATTTTGAAAAGTATTGGTCTAGGGAAACAGGGAAGTACAACTGTGCTGATTTTAGGTGGGATCATAGCCCCCTATGATCCCAGATCTTTTTCAGCTATACAGCAGCAGTAGCTACTAGCAATAATTAATCTATATTCCTCAGTTTGCCCAGGTCCCCTGTGGGTGGCACCTGTACACACCTGGTTCTTACATCTTATTACCTAAGGGTGTTCTCTGGCTGAGACAGTAGGCTTAGCCCTCATGAAGGGCAGGCCGAAAGTGCCCAGGAGTTAATGCCAGGAGCAGCTTTTACTGTGAATGGGAATTGGCAGCTAAAATTCCAGCTATCTCACCCCTTTTAAAAACTTTACAATTCAAAGTTATTACACACCATTCCCTAAGAGGGTCCTCTGTGGGACTGAACCCTTGTTGTTCACAGTGGTACTCTCTTATTAATACACCATTTGTTGGCTTTCTTCCTTCTCTGTTTCAGTTTCCCATTCCCTTGCAATGGGATCATCCTCCAAATAAACTACTTCATCCAAATCTTTGCTTTTTGAAGAACCAGACTGTATTAGTCAATTTTCACACTACTGTAAAGAGATACACAAGACTAGGTTATTTATAAAGAAAAGAGGTTTAATTGACTCACAGTTCCACATGGCCAATAAGGCTTCAGGAAACCGACAATCACCGTGGAAGGGGAAGCAAGGAACTTCTTCATATGGTGGCAGGAGAGAGAGAAGTGCAAGCAGGGGAAATGCCAGATGCTTATAAAACCATCAGATCTCGTGAGAACTCACTATCACAAGAACAGCACGGGGGAAATTGTCCTGTGATCCAATCACCTCCCTCCCTCTCTCGACACATGGGGATTATAATTCAAGATGAGATTTGGGTGGGGACACAGAGTCAAACCATATCACAGACTAAGCCAACTAGATACTGGTCCCTTGTTATTATAAGAGTTGTCTTTCATTGATTACTTATTAGATGCCAGCTAATATGCTAAGCACTTTACATAAGTAATCTCATATAATCTTTACAACACAGATTAGGAAAGGAAACTGAGGTTCAGATAAATTAAATGACTCATCTAAGGTCACATGGCCAATAAATAGGGAAATCTTCCATTTGAACTCAGGTCTGTTTTATCCTGTTGCCTGCTGTGCTGTAACTGTGCTATTTTTTCTCCCATTGTACACTTCCTTGGCCCATAAAGTTATTGACTATCTAACAATTTCTCCAAGTTAGCCTATCTTGTTTAGTTAGCCTATCTTGTTTTTTGGACCAATCTTCAGCCTATGCTATTCCTTTCCATATCCTTCCCCTGAAGTGCTCTGAGTGACAGAGGTGCCAACTCCTGTAGGCTGCATTTCCCAGGCTCCTAGATCAACCAGCCTCTTCCTGCGTTCAGGCAATGGGAGATGCTGGCAAGAAACTGGAGGGAAGAAGAGAGAAGTCAGAATATTTCTCCCTCTCTCTGTGTCTCCAGTTGCATCTCTAGCATAGCTATATCTTCAGCTCTACCTAGTCAGGCATTCGATGGTTTGTTGCAACTTCCCCCAGTGGCTCTGGCAGCTGGTAACACTGATTCCTACTGTTATCTCTCCAGCTTAGGGGCGGTAGCAACTTTCTGCTTTTACAAATCTCTGGATTGCTTCACAGTCCTCTGTTTGGCATCTCAGCTCTTCCATGACCTGTGTAAACAATTCATGGATTAATTTCCTTTGTTTCAAATTCTTAGGATGGTTTCTGTTTTTCTAGTTAGAACTGACTGATACATTGTCTAGTCCTGTATTTCACAGAGTGATGATGATTCCTCTGATCTGATTATACATAATGCCGGAGTATGTCATTGATGAAATGATAGCTCAGAATCAGCCCCAAAATTGCTTGCCAGTGTTTGTAATGAATAAGGTGTTTCCGTTTTTTAAAAATTTTATTTTCCAGCTAGCAGTTATGCCAATGTTCTAGCCTGGGTTCTCTAGAAAGTAGAGCGTGAAGCAAGGACTGAGTGATGATGTTGTATCCAGGAGTATTTGGGAGGTACAAAGTCAGGGCAGCAAGCGCAAGGGAAAAGGGAACTTAAACAGGGGAAGATGGGAAACCATGCAAGGTGATGCTTACCCACACCGATCATTGCTTCACCACAAAGCCACAGGTGACAGCTGGTCTCTCAGCAGGTACATCTGCTCCCCTACACTATCTCAGGACAGGCTGTGTGGAGACACAGTGCCTCAGAGTCATCGATCCAAGGAATTTAACCACCTGCACCCCTCGGTCTCCATTTCCCTCATCATCAAAGTTTGCCTCGGAGAGTGTTAATGTCTTCACATTTCTCTTATAGCATCCAACCCTTTCAGACAGTCACTCAGGAAGCCTGGTACTATGCTTGGCAGGCTGGCATACTGTGTGAGTACAGAAGAAGCAGGAGAAGCCAGACTCTAGGACACAGCTGCCTGGACAGAGCTGTCATCCATGGTGGAGGCTGCGAGTCTGGGAGGCAGTTTGGATGGAAGGAATCTGAGGGGGCACATGTTATGGCTGGAATTCTGTCCCCCAAAATTCGTATGTTGAAGTCCAAACCCCTGGTACCTCAGAATGTCACTTTATTTGGAGGCAGGGTGTTTAAAAACGTCATTAAGTTAAAATGAGGTTAAAATTAAGATGGGTCCTAATCCAATCTGACTGATGTCCTATCAGAAGAGGAAATTCAGGCACGCAAAGAGACACAAAAGATGCAGACACAGAGGAAAAGACCATGTGAAGAGGCAGTAAGAGGGCAGCTGCCTGCAAGCCAAGGAGAGAGGCCTCAGAGGAATCCAGCCCTGCTGACACCTTCATCTTGGACTTCTACCCTCCAAAGCTGTGAGAAAATGAATTTTTGCTGTTCATGCCACCCAGCATGGTATTTTGTTGTGGTAGTCCAAGAAAACTAGTACAGCACAAAGGTTGTTTCTGAGATAAACAGTTCCTGAAATTCCTTCTTTCTATGTAGAGAGGTTCTTCCGAAGGATTGGCCTGTTCTTATACAACTTTGACATCATAATTTTGGAGAGAAATCCACCCAGTGGTGGGGTGGGTTTATTTGTATGAATATATAAATATTGGGGTTCTGTTATTTCAAAAGCTGTCACGGAAGTTGGTGAGTGAGGAGAGCTGCCTTGCAGCATAGCTGCACGATATATTCCCTTACAGATCCCAGCATAGTGAGCACAATATGTCCCTTTCTATCCCAGATGGAAAGGCCAGGTAGAGCTGAGGTGGCCAACATGGATCTTGTGTGGACCAAGCAAAACCTGCAGCTAGGGGTGAGTGGAGATGTTAGAAGTGACCCAATCATGTCCCAGAGAAAATGCTGAGAGTGAAAGCCTAAGAAGTGTATCCTAGTGAGTCAGACAAGTAAGGGGGCACCAAGGGGCACTGCTCTGTGAAGCAACATTAAGCAGTTAGGTATCGGAGATGGAGGAGGGAGAAGGGGATGAGAGCAAGTCAGAAGAGGTGAGCAGCAGGGCTGACTGCCCACTGAAGCTAGAGGACTAGTATCCATGGCTAGGCTTCCTGGTACATGTATCACATGGGCAGACCTAACCCAACAAAAGGCCAAGGAGAGAAATTATTTCTAAATAGATTAATAAGTGGATGACTGCTCCTGTATAACACTCTCCCTAAGGATGCATTAGGAAGCACTGCCTGTCCTCATCATCCATACCTTGGGTTATTTCTCTCCAAGGAAGTGACTGCTGTTGAACTAGATCCTGATGCATTCATTCAACAAACATTTACCAAGCACTGTGCTGGGTCAAGTGTATGCAAGGAGGGACTGAGATAGCTCTCTCTGCTTACCATCTTTCAAGAACTGTATAACTCTGATTATTTTTCCTAAATGTATTGTTGTTACAATAAAGTTGATCTGATACACATTTTTTAAAATCCAGTTTCACAGTTTATTCCAAAAGTTAGGATCTTTAGTTTAGTACATTTTTCCCCCAAATGAGATTGCTTTTTCTTATTCATAATCAAGATTTCACTTAAATGCTATCTTTTTGTTTTATAATGATTCCTGTTTTACTCATTAGCATCTTGATATTAAGAGAAGAGTCCAGGCTTTAAATTTAAGCAGACTTGGGTCCAAATTCAGCTTTATCATTTTTAAACTGGGTAAATTTTAATATCTTTGAGCCTTAGTTTCCTTATCTGTAAAATGGAGAGAATAACATTCACTTTGCAAGCTAGCTGGGAGATGGGAAATAATATGCATTTAATAGGTACTCAATAAATACTTATAACATGGAATTATATTGTATTTATGTTTAGTTCGTGCAAATTAAATGAAAAACAAAGAAAATGGCATACTTTTTGCTATTCCTGAAATATTTCATAATAATAATTTTTTTAAAAAATGAAACTTTAAAAAATGCCTTAGGAAAGTGCCACATTGAAAGTGAATATACAGCCTCCCAAAAAGTCCGATGCAGCCAATTTTCCTTCAGTATTGGGTGTTTCTTTAGTTGAACACCAGATGATGAAGTTGGCTTGTATTTACAGACCATGCTGTACCAAAAAAAAAAAAATGTGTATCTTTAAACACCAGAGTTACACTCAACGCAGCAAGATGTTCACACTAGGAGAAGCCAAACAAGAGTACAGAAGATTCAAGTCTGCCATCTCATGCTAAACCTGGAGCATATCCTTTGAATGGAATGGAGAACAGAGGCACTGGCATCCCGTAAGTTGTGCATTCTTTCTTCCAGATAATTTAAACAGCCGTAAAATAAGTCTAGTTCTGCTAATAGTTGCCTTGGAGGTACTAATAATCTTTCATTGAGAGAACTCCCTGTTTATCCTTGCCCTTTATACCCCAACTCAAACCCAGTAACCTGCGTTTGTTGCCCCCAGTTTCTTTGTGCTAAATTCTTAAAATTGTCAAGTGAAGCTTTTCCCAAATTCTCTCCAGCTTCCATTCTAATACAGTACAACACAGAACTATGAAGTAATTGTCAGTCTTTACGGTTGTTTGGCTCGAGCTTTTTGGTCAATCTTAGAGAAGTAAATCTTTTTTTACCATTAGAGTTAATGAGATATAAGAAGAAATCCTCAGAGAAGCTGTTTGCAAATACACTTTGAAATCAAGGAAATATAGTAAGGTTTTAGACCATATTTAATACATGTTAAATCTTCCTGTCTTACATATATTTTAGTCAAAGGTTAAGCATGGTGTGAGGAATGGGGTATTTTAGTTCTTGTTGAGATTTTCCAACATCAGATATATTATATTGAGTCATAAAGGTAGTAAAAAGGATAGCACTTTTCATTTAATGACTTCCTCTTAGCCTTTGTCAAATAATACATTGCTCTTGAAGAAGGGTTTGGAAAGAACAAAGTGAAGAACCCGGCATTGGTAAGAAATACTAATCACTATTGAAATCTAAGCAAGTATTTTCAACTAGTCTTCACACTCATCTGTAGGCCATAGTTTTGAAATGTTTTCGGACTTTCACATTTCCATGAACACTGGATAGAAGCCACAAATAAATATCCTTACATGATTTCTCTTGTAATATTAATATTTTTCCACTTCTTATAAAAAATAAAATGATAGGCCAACTCCTGGACTGATGATCTTTAGCAGCAGCATATTCCTTTTACTATCATCCAATACATGTATATAAGAAAAGTTTGAACATAAATACAATTAATGAAGTATTTCTGAATTTTTACTCATAATTCTTTTTATTCCAAAGCAAATATCAGATGTTCAGCAATACCAGATTCAAAAGCAAATACTGCACACATGTTGTCTTAGTCTGCATGGGCTTCCATAAAAAAAAAAAATCACAAACTGAGTGACTTAAACAACAGACATTTATTTTCTCATAGTTCTGGAGGCGAGAAGTTCATGATCAAGGTCCGGCAGAGTCAGTTTCTGGTGAGGGTTCTTTTCCTGGCTTGCAGACAGTTGTCTTCTCACCGTGTCCTCACACAGGTTTTCCTTGATGCATGTACGCAGAGAAAGAGAGAGAGAGAGGGAGAATGTGCACCTGTGAGAGAGCAAGCTTTCTAGTGTCCCTTCTTATAAGGACACTAATCCTATTGGACCAAGGTCACCCTTTTCCTGCTCTGCTCTGGCCCCTGGCATCCTGGAAAGCCTGTCTAAACTTCAGAGTTAATGGCAGGTGTTGTTTGCAGTACTCAAGAAGCAGTGGGCAAGGTCAGAGAACATCTGGGAAAGGCAAGTTCAAGGTGCTGCAGGTTTGCACAGTTAAGCCCCCAAAGTACCAGCTACCACTTAGGAGGGAGCTGAGAGCCAGAAAACAAAGACAACCCAGGAAGCAGGGGCCAAGAAAGTGGCCAAAGTTTGAATATAATGAGAGCAGCAAAGTCCAAGAAGGTAGCATGGGGATCTTAATTACTTCCTTAGAGGCCCCATCTCCAAATATAGCCACACTGGGGGTTAGGGCTTCTACATATGAATTTGGGGAGAACATAAATATTCAGTCCGTAACACTTGTTTACCAAAGAAATACCATGCCTTTTATCATATTCTTTGCAATATACATAACATTACTTGTAGCCACATGCTACATTGTATTATAACAAGCTAAGTGATGAACTGCGTATTGATTACTCTTTTTATAACTTATAAAATGAAAAAATTAATTCGGTTAGATCTGACATCATTTTAATCTTGAATTGCATGCTTTTAGTAATCTATCTTATAATACGTTTTGTAATTTATTTCTCAGTGGTTTAAAATATATCTCAAAATAAGAATTAATAGGCTTCTTAGAACTGAAAAATGAAATCAGACTTTTCAAGTCAGACTTGGCAGTTTGGTTTGACAAAAGGGACAGCGTTTGCTTGTTAGGTTATGTGGCAGACATTTTCCACAAGTGAAAGATTTAGGGCTCCAGTCCAAGGTTTTGACAAAAATGTATTTAAAACGTGTGATAAGATATAAACATTTTATTTAACAAAACTGTATTTGTAAGAGAGTCTTAAAATTAACACTGCTCCCATTTTCCTTCCCTTTTCTGAGCCTGTTGAGTTAAATAATTGCCTCTACGTGAAACAGTACAATTAACAGTCATTTGATAAGTCTTGGCAAAGGCTTTTTTGGTAATCTTCATCAAAATTGAAGTGAATTATAGTGATGAGCTATAATAGCTTTGTAAAAAATCCTCTTTCAAGTCAGGTAGCTTTTAACTCTTAGCTTTCAACAAAGTTGAAGGAACACATTTAAAACATCAGCGTATAGATCATTAAAAATAATGTTTGATAGAAGATCATAACATGATGTATTACTAAGGAGATATTACTAAGGAGATCAACAAATTGAGTGATGGTTTAGTAACAAAACCCTTCCATTTCTATCTATTTGTGTATGAATATGGTTTCTCAAACCTTACTTCTGTATAAATAAAGACTAAGAATAAAATTGATGTTAAACTCCCATTCTAGCATTAAGTAATATTCATCCATGGGTACATGAATTAATTTTTAAAGATCCTATTCATCTTATCAATAGATTGATTTCCAATGCAATTTTTGTTCAAAAAGCTTTACTCAAAACTTGTAATACATGTATATTGCTTAGATCAAATGTAAATTAGTAGTAATTGTACTGATAATTCAATCTGGAGGAAAATTATTTCTCTTTACTATCAATTTACAAGGATATTTTTGTTGCAGATAAAGATTGTAGGGTATCAACAAAAGACTTCTAAGCATAAAGCATATTACACTTCTTTGGAGAAAGTAGAATGGGAATATGAGTTCAAGGAGAAAAAGGAATCATGTAAAATTTCATACCATTCAAGAAACATGTTTATGTCTTTTTAAAAGAATAATGAAATATCAAATTGTTATGGTATTTAGATTCCATTGCATACATTTTAAGTGTTATATAATGGCTTTATTTTTAAATGACCATCATTACGAAAGGTAAGTACATCCTTTGCAGCCATTTAAATTTATAATGACAAAATTAGAAGTCAATTGGAATACATAAGAAGGGATAGAGTTATTACAAATTCTTTTGAGGATGTTCCTGCAATTTAAAGTCATTGACTTGGAAGTTCCAATTGGGTATGCTTGCACAGCTATGTCAGCCTGATGCATCCATCTCATTTTAAGAATGGCCCTGACTCACAGGCTGGATATATGTTCATGTATATGGACCAAGTTCCCTTCTTAGAAACGAACTGAAACCTTTTTTGAACTGTGAGAACTCTCTCTTTTTTAAAGTTACCATGCAGATCATCTTTCTTTTGTTAAGAATCTTTTGTTTAGGCAAAACTTACTATGATCAGTTAGCTTTCTCAGAGAGTGGCCATTCATTCCAACAAAAAATATTTAATTGAATATCACGCAGGAGAAGTAGATAAATTTAGAAAAATGCAAGTAGTTTGGCCTGATGCTGGGTCTAACTGTTGGCATTACAGTCTTACAAGCTATGCTGAGAAGTAACGCTAAGATGATGTTCTAGATCAGGTTCGCAAACTGGAAGCTCCCAGGCTAAATATGATTTACTTAACATGATTTATTTGATCTACACTGTGTTTAAATTTTTAAAAAATTAGTTGACAAAATTTTACGACCAGGAGATATAACATAAAAATTCAGTTTTCCAGCTGTTCTTGGAAAATTGAAACTGGAAACATTGGGCCAGTAAGCTGAAACTGACCCAAGTAGTGCATAGTGGTTTCCATCTTTAAGTAGGACACGTCTCCAAATTTGCTATTACTCCTGCGTTTGTCTACACTAGCCTGCTTCACTCATTCATTATGCCTGCCTGACTACTATGGGCATTTGAGATTGAGACATTAACTTTGGTTTATTAGTTTCCCATGGGTTAGATGGAATCTGCAGAAGCCTAAATATCTATGTTGCATTACTGTGGCCCCATTAACTGCTTTCAGTAGGTCATTCATATTGTGCTCTCAACTTTCATAGACAGTTACCAAAAGAATTTGTATATTTCTCCTACATTTGTATGCTTCTCCAATGAGAAGCAAGCAACTGATTACATTCACCTTTTTTGCTTTGGCTGCCAGAAAGCTCTACATTTATGGCTTAACTATTGTATTGTGTTAATACCTCATAACCTGCAGATCCTTGTCCTTACTTTTTCTTTGGTGTTAACCTCCTAGTCTAGTTAGTTTCGTTGGTCCTCATTTTTTTATATATGTTTTTTTATTTTATTGTATGAATTTACTGGAAGCCTCTAAAATTACATGTTTATAAATAAAGCTGTATTGATTTATTTCCTTTCTAAAGATGGTTGGAGGATCTATGACATTTTGGTTCTCCTTAGGAGGTTACTATGGTTTTTAGTTTTCCTTGCTCACATATCCATTTACCACCTATGGAAATTACTTAGATTGTAAGCTTTTGGGGGACAAGGACATTTTTATGGTGGTCCCACAGTGCCCAGCATCTAGCACTTTCTATATAATGCCCTGTATTGCATAGTTACAGGATAATAAAAGTAAAAAGTAATAGTATTTTAATTTAAACTCCTTGGGTCACAAGGATTTTTAATCTGTACTGACTCATGAAAGTCTTGTCAATCAGAAAGAATGAGAGCTCCATCTACATATAGACTTTACACACTTTATCATAAAGGAATGTGTTATGTAAGACTGAGTGATAAACTTTCTCTAGTGATCAGGTGGGGGAAAGTAGCTCTGCTACCTTCAACTGCTAATAAATTTAGCTTCATTTATCTTTGTCTGAATCCTTATTTAATACCATGGACTCAGACTTCCTACACTACGTTCTATAATAGGGAGCATATAACAATCAAAATTACAAATGCCTATACAAAATCTTTACAATTGAATATAAAGAAAGTCTACAGAAACATTACTAGATTCATGAAAGTGAATAAATCTGTGTATATTTCAGTTATGGCAAAACATATAATCTAAGACTACATTTATAGTTTGGATTAGCCAAGTTTGCTGGGAAGAAAATGTTTTTCCCAGTGTAATGTATGAGGCAGGTTGTTGGAGACACTTTCTTCACGTGGCTCAGACTGCGGTCCAGCTGCTCAGGGCACTGTTTCATGGTTCTGTCCACAGCGCGTGCTCACTGCGTCATTTCTAAAGTTATTCACTTGTACTTAATTTCAAGCCATTTTTTTTTACTTTGAAAACTCTGAACGCCTCATTGAGGACAGTACATACAATGTGTGCCAAGGTCTGGTTTCAAAGTTTAGCTGTTTTTGAGTTATTTGACTGGACAAAAGGTCGAAAGATATCTTTCACAGCAGGGAAAGTGTAATTTTCCATGTCTTTATGATGTTTAGAAATAGTTGGAGTGATTTTTCCCTAAAATTTCCATAAGTAAATAACTTTTACCCGTGGCATAAGCTTGATTTTGAGATGCCTTGGCAAAAAATTTGAAAATAACCCTCTCCCTACCTCCAGTCTCCAGCCTCATCCTCAGTATGCACTCCAGCAATAAGGGAATTGGAGGGACCCCAGGTTAAAATCAAGACCTTTCATGTTTGGATTAAAAGTATGACGTATGGAAAGTTTTAGCTTCTAAAAACTTGTCTTTATCATTTAATATTACGTATGTTTTAGAAAAAAGCTGGGAGAAGAGCTCTGGTGTCTGAGATCACTCTCTCCAAATTCCTGTAGGGTCCTGCTATAATTCCTGATGGTATTTGCATCTCACTTATTCATGTACCTTACAGCCGACTTTCTTTTCCACAGATAGAATTGGCCTCCCACTTTAGGACAATGTGTCCTCCAAATTTGCTAGGGCAACTCCATACCTTACTTTAACTTCTTGCAGGACCTAACTCTCCAATCAGTCGTTAGTGTATATTTTTGTGTACTTGGCTCAAAGTCTTTCAGTGTGGATGTGGACCTTCCGGAGAGTAATCTCCTCCAATGAAGAGCAAATGGTCATAAGGAACATGTACGAGCAGGTATTCCTGTTAAGCCTTATGCTCCGTCTTTCACCCATCCACTTGCACAGGGGACTAGTTTCCTTTTATGATCCTACCCAAACGTTTGGCCTTTTTGGAGAAGTGAGGGAAGTGAGGGGTAGAATTTTTGAGACTCAGTTCAGGGCCTTTGATATGCTGTTCCTGTCCTTCAACAGATGTATCAAGTATCTCTGGGTCATCCCCTAAGACACGTTGGTGATGAACAATTCCTAGAACTGGTCTAATTTTTTTTTTTTTTTTTTTGGATAACAGCACAGTTTATATTTTTTGGGCATCTTCTTGAACTGTACAAGTATATTCAGCATCATTTCTCTGCCCTGTCGATCTTTTGTCTTTTCTTCTGTGCTGTCAATAACCTGTTTGGCAAATGTCTACTTCCATTGTCCACTCCGTGAGCAGTGTACACCGGTCTCCATCTCCCATTCCTGCAGGTCCCTTCGTGGAAACGGCAAAGTGCCTGACTGTAGTCCTCTCATTCTGGACTGACTCTGCCATCCACCAGCCTCTTCTCCCATTTCCCAGGGCTTCCTCCCACATCTGTCTATTTCATAGATCGCCTCCTCCTCTTAGGGAAGTTGAGTCTGTCGAGTTCCCCTGCACATCGCCTGCCAGTCCAAGTCTCCTGCCCGCCTCCCGCACGCCCTCCCGCGCCGCGGTGTCTGTGGGTCGGTTCCCAGACGCGCCCGCCGGCTCTTGGGCCTCCACTGGCTGGACGTGGGTCTGTCCCGCGCCCGCGCGTCCGTCCGTCCCCCACTTGCCTCCAATTCGGCAGGAACTTTACACCAGCCAGGAGGAGAAGGACGGTGCGCGCGGGTGCGGGTCTGGCCGGCTGGGGCCGGCGCGGGGGCGGCGAGGGGCGCCGGGCGGCGTCGGCTTGCGAGCGGGCCGGGGGCGTCGCGGGCCGCCCTGCCCTATAAGGGGCCGTGCCGCCTCCGCCGCCGGGCGGGTGCCGGGCGGACCGCGGCGGTGGCGGCGGCGGCTGCGATTGGCTCAGGCGCCCCATCCGGGGACTGGGCTCGGCGCTGCTCGTTCGCCCTAAAGGTACCAATATGGCGGAGGTGAGCAGGGAAACCGGGCAGGAGCAGCCGGGCTGGAGCGGGCGCCCGGCGGCTCCCCGCGACCCCCGAGCCAGCCTGGGGGATCCGGGGCTCTTTCCGCTGCCCCATGAGGGGCGGCGTGGCGACGCGGGGGTCGCGGGGCGGCGACTGGCCGTGGCGGGGCTGGCCGGGGGGCGGGAGCGGGCGCGGGAGCGGTCTCCCTCCGGGACTAGGCCGCGGCGGCTCCGGCCCCGGTCGGGCCGGGCGACCGAGCCGGACGGAGGTGGCGGCCGGCTGCAGTGAGCCCTGCCCCAGGGACGAGGCAGTGCCGTGTCCCCGGTCGCTGACGCGGGCCGCCGGCGCCTCCGCGCCTCTTCCCCGGGCCCGGGTGGGTGGAAACCGGCGGAGCCCCCCCTCCGCGGCCGGATCGCAAAGAGGGGAGCGGGCTGCGCCACTGCCCTGCGGGAGTCGTGCGCTGTGCCCCCGGCCCACCGGGCCCGGGCTGCGGCGCGAAGGAGCCGCACGCTTCACTTTGCTGGGGGCGCGGAGAAGAGCGGGATGCGGGGCCACCGGGCTTCTCAGAAGAGCGGGACTCCCCACCCCGCAGCCCGGGAGGTGCGGGAGCCCCTGGGGTTAAAGGGCAGACCGAGACCCTCGACGCCCTCTCCAGGAGAGCGGCTTGATAGCTCCAGTTTTCTCTGGGCTGGAGGAAGGAAGGCTGGGCGAGCGAAGCTGCCCCGGCCATGTCCCCCGGGACTGGTGAGCTGGGGGGAGGGGGCGGTGTGGCAGGAGCCCCTGGGCTGGAGCTCGCTGGGGCGGGGGGCGCGCTGACGGTCCAGGGAGGGACTGAACACTCTGGAAGGAGCCAGCATCCCTGGAACTGAGAGGAGCTGCATCTCTGGACTCGAGAGAGAGGATGGGGGGCTCGCGCTTTGGTTTGGGGGCGAGTGTCCGATTCGAGCTGGCCTACGCTGCAGGGGAAGAGATCGGCTTCGGAGTTGGGGCTCCCGGGCCCCAGGGGCGAACTAGGTGCTCAGAACGCGAGTTCGTTCCAGAAAAGGGTGTTACGTTTCGAGTTGTTTGGGGCTTCGGAGAGCCGGGTGGGATTTGGAGGACTCCGGAGATGCCAGGGATGGGGGACTGATGGTGCCAGCCGACTGCTCTGGGTTTTGCTTCTCTGCTTGGAAACTTGCTGAGCTCCAAGAAGCGACTTGGAGTTGCCTCTCAGACTCCGGGCTTCGTCCCGGGTCTGTGAGTTTGTACACTTGGGACTCGGGGAGGAAGGCGAGGCAGCCAAGAGGGGGCCCGAAAGGGGCCGGGAGCGATTCGAGTGAAGCTACGTCTTGCACTTTTGGCAGCTGCGGAGGAGCGCTCGACTCCGCCTCCTCTGCGCCCTGTTGCCGGCGCTGCCTCTTTCCCTGGCTGTGCGATCTAACCTCACGTTTTCTTCTCTCTCTCCTAGGCTTCTTTTGGAAGTTCGAGCCCAGGTTTGTCCTATTTTCTTACGTCTTCGGTGGTTCCCAGTGGGTAATGTGGGCTCAAAGGTCTGTTGCTAAAGGATTCCCAATAGAAATGTATCCTGCAGGTTTTTCTTCATTGATTTTTAAGAGTTTCAGTGTGCATTTAGTAAAGTTTGGGGAAGAAACAGTTATACTGTTCTTTGTTTTCTCTTGCATGTTGAAAAAGTAACTGTTACAAAGTTGCTAAGACAAGCGTTCTTTTAAGGAATATGGCTTTAATTATTACATATCTTATTTTTCCTCCGAGCCTGAAACAGTTAATCCCAAATTAACTTGACACCAACTTTAGCAATTTAGATTTTAACTTCGGTTTCTTCTAGAGATTGAGTAATTTGTCAGAACTCTGGGACTACTTCACTAACTGTAACCCCTCATCTCCTCTTACGTTGTTTCTTTTTCATAATTAAATGTCTATGAGTTGTGTTAAAATTGGAAGTTGAGAGGTAAAGCTACCTTAATAAAAAAGACAGAACTTCCAAGTTTGGCACAGAAAAAGGGTGATTTTGACTTCTGAGCTGAGACGATCTTAGGTCATCTAGTACAGTGTTTCTTAACTTTCCTGAGGTCAGAAACCCCTGTCAGGATCTAATGAAAGCAAGGGATGTGTCCCAGAACTCTGCACATATGCATAATTACACACAATCTGGGGTTTGTAGAATCCCTGTAGCAGGTCCATAAGGACCTTTCCTCATGTGCTAATCATGTAAGGTATCTTTGTTTCAGTTTCTCATTTCCTTTCTAGCTTACCTCTTTGCTGTCTTCCCTCTCCTAGTCTACAGGAAAAGCACCTCTGAACTAGTCCAACTCCATTATTTTACAGTTGAGGAGACTTTTAAATAACTTTCGTTAGTGGTGGAGCACAGATGAGCTCCTAAATCTTCCATTACAACTTGTTTCCATAGAGTGAATAGTCAGTTTCCTTACACTATTACTTTTTGTATCTGCTCCACCTTCAGAGCCTCACTTGACTGTCATTTAAGGTATTATAACACCAAGTAGAAGAAATTTGCAGCTATTTTAAAAATAGCTGTCTATATCTTTAAAATTCTAAAAATTTTTGTTAATTTTGAGATGAACTTTTTTGTTATAACTGATTTTAGGAAAATATATACATGATGTCAAACAGCTGGATTAATGGAATTTTTCCATTTGGTATCACTGACTTCTTTTAAGAAGTTGCACTCTAAATAAGCCAAAAGACAGTGTAACCTGTTTTTAATCAATTAGCCTCTTTTTGTTTTTTGTTTGTTTGTTTGAGACGTTATGCAGGCTGGAGTGCAATGGGGCAATCTCACTGTAACCTCCGCCTTTGAGGTTCAAGCTGTTCTCCTGCCTCAGCCTCCCAGGTGGCTGGTACTACAGGGATGCGCCACCACACCTGGCTGATTTTTTTGTATTTTTAGTAGAGATGGGGTTTCACCATGCTGGCTAGGCTGATCTTGAACTCCTGACCTCAAGTGATCCGCCTGCCTCGGCCTCCCAAAGTGCTGGGATTAATTAGCCAGTTTTTTAAAAAGAGAATTTTAGAGTTGGAAGGGACTTTTGAGGTCCTTTCAGTCATCCCCATGTATTTTGCAAATGGAAGACAGGAGCTAGACCTAGAAAGTTTAAATGACTTCCTTTAGGTCCCAAAAAGCCAAGGACAAAGCTGGGAGTAGACCCTCAGGTCCTTCGATTTTTGACCCTTACTGAATACCTTCCATGTTAAAGGGGAGGCCTGTTGTGCCAAGTGATAGAAGAGTAACAGAAGAGCCCAGAGGAGCTCTGCTACCAAAGAGGTGAAAGAGTCAGCATCTATTTCATTTCTGCCTCTTTGGCATACCATGGAACTTGCCAAGAATTCCTCAAAAAAAGAAAATTTGTAATGGTGGATGTGAGCTAATTAATAAATATTCTTATTTCTTTTTTGTTGTTTTTTTGTTTTTTGAGATGGAGTCTTGCTCCATTGCTCAGGCTGGAGTGCAGTGGTGTGATCTTGGCTCACTACAGCCTCGACCTCCCAGGTTCAAGCGATTCTCCTGCCTCAGCCTCCCACGTAGCTGGTGGTATTACAGGTGCCCACCACCATGCCCGGCTAATTTTTTTGTATTGTTAGTAGAGACAGGGTTTCGCTATGTTGACCAGGCTGGTCTGGAACTCCTGACCTCAGGTGATCCCCCCACTTCGGCCTCCCAAAGTGCTGGGATTACAGGCATGAGCCACCACCCCGGCCTATATTTCTTTTTAAATTAAACCACATGTAAATCAACAAGTTTTTAAATGAGCAGATATTTTTCAACATTAAGGAAGATAACATAATGTAAACCTGCCAAAAAATAAAGTCCTGTAGAAATTGTATTTTTAGAACTAATTAGAGTTCTCTGAACCCAGAATCAAAAATAATGAATTATGTGTGTGGTTTTTCCATAGTGAAAAATCTTTGGCCCAGTTCAGTGTTTTGGTAATGATCTCACACTGTCCTGAAATGTTTGAAATTTTAAAATATTCAGTAGCTTGACTAAGAACAGATTAAACTTTTTATGTTGAGTATGCTTCCATCCACTTCTTCCTTCCCCCAACCTCAGTTTCTGATACTTTCCTTCCTTGCTCTGAGGGTTACGGGTCTAATTGAATTGGATACTAGAGTAAAACAAGTGGAGAAAATCCTGTTTTTTTATAAATTTGATTTCATTTCTTTGGGATTATGGATTTTAGTCATTTCTTCTCTTGGTTTTTGGAGTTTCCTATTGACTTCATATTTGCTATTAAAAGATATTATAGTTTTATAAACAAGTATGAATTATCCAAAACAACTTGCAATGGATATATCTTCCAAAACCTTCAGATGTGATTTTCTGTATTCCCTACACATAATCCTAAGAACTTTGTTAGTAATCCAAAGTAAAGCAAAGTCTTACAGTTTAATGCTTGTCTGATTAATGCTAGGGAACTTGAAGTACTGTTAGAGAAATGTAAAGTGATACAATGCTTTTAAAAGCTGAATGGCTGTATAGCTGCTTCACAGAAACTTATATTTGTTTTATAAAGCAGATTTTTGTTGTGTTTTCTGTCTTTATTTGAGGGTTAGAATTTGAGTAAAATTTATATTATCCTGAAGTGTGCATCTTAGTGTATAGTCGATTCTTGTGAAATCTTCCATTCATGGAAATTTAATCTTTCTGATATTTTGCTATTGCTTTTAGACAGATGTATTAAATGATAAGCAAGTTTGACTTTTTCTATTAGAATGTTTCTTTAAAACCATGCTGCTTAAATCACTTTGTTGTTATCATAAGTTGTTTTCTTGTGGACTAAACCCCTTATAAAAGTGTTTGTGAATAACTTTGCCTTGTTATTTTGCTGATTTAGACATATTTTCAGAATCATGGGGTCTTAATTTATAACCTATAAATTATATAGTAAATTCATTTAGTAAAACCCTCATATAAACATGAAAAGGGACTGGCAGAAGAACACAAATTTTTATTTTCTTTTGTTAATAGCCTTGTAAATGTGTAAAGTGATTCAGTTTGTTTTATTCCAGTTGGGTCTTTGTCTTCTGAGGATCATGATTTTGACCCCACTGCTGAGATGTTGGTCCATGACTATGATGATGAAAGAACTCTTGAAGAAGAGGAAATGATGGATGAGGGTAAAAACTTCAGTTCAGAAATTGAAGACTTAGAAAAGGTATAAGATTTACTTTAATATACAAACTTAACAAAGATTTTGAAATTCTGTTGTAATTTTAAAAATAATCTACCTGAAATAAAAATAGGATCATAATCCTTTTTTTTTTCACTCTTATTTTGGGGGATAGCCTAATAAGTATGCTTTCATTTAATTTTTCAAAATTATTTTGTATCTGTTAACTTAATTTTTAAGCTTATATCAACACAGTGAAGTAGGTACACGTAGGCATTTTACAGATGAGAAAATTGAGATACGGAAAACTATAAGCCCTAAGATTATTTCTGAATCCTAGTCTAGCCCTCTTTCCATTGTAACTACTATTCTGCTAAGGGTCAAACTTGAATTTGTATAAGTACTGTAGTAGATACAGAGAGAAGCCTTTTCCTTCAAATAACTCATAATCTAGTGGAATATTTTAAGAAAATTGAAAAAGATTTACTGTATTTTCAAATATAAATTGGTAATATCCCATCCCCTGCTCCTTTAAAAGTCATCTTTGAAAAGGTTGGCAAGAGTGAGTGTAGTTTGTAATTTTTTAAGCCCCAAGTCAATATAAATTCAAATGAACTGTATTTTCATGCATTTATACCAGGACTGTATATAGAGAGGTCCCTATAGGGGTCACCTTGAAAACGTGTAGGATTTATGCTTACTTAACCATATTTGAAAATTTCTTATCAGCCAGAATAACAAAAGCTTTCAGAAATGATACTTATCCCCTGAGTTTCTTATACCTCTTTTTCTTGAAAAGGGCAAGCACATTCTTATATATATCATCTCCTCTGCTTAGTAGCTTTGTGAGGCAGGAGTGGAGTATTATTTTATTTCCTTCTTCATGTTAATACACAGGGAAACAGAAGAGTGACTTAACTGCCCACTTGCTCTGATCTGTTGTTCTTATCTGTAGTGAAGTACAACTGTATACATGTGGTCTCTATTCTTTTTATTGATGTTTAATGAAACATGAAAATGAATAAAAGAAACAGTAGAGACACAAATATAAAGAGTAAGGATCAAGCTTTTAGAAGGAATTTTAAATTATGTTTTGATTATTTCTATATCACTTGAAATAGTGTATTCTCTTAATCTTTTTTAGTGGAATAGGGATTTAGGTATTGGTGCATGTTAACAGTCTTAGGGGATTGATGTTAATGTTCATTTTCAAGAATTATAAGTTTTTATGTTCATAGTAAATAAACTCAGTTGTGTGTTGACTGTAATGTGGCCCATATTTTGGTGTTTACAAATTTTTAGTACGTCGTGTTATGGAAAATAAGGTAAGTACTAAAGCAATTTTCTCGTAGTAGCACTTTGAGTATAGAATATGTGGCTAGATTTTAGTTACTAAACATACTAAAATAGGGTTTATGTAATATCTTTATATATTTTAATGTATGCATATTACTGCCATCTGAGAGCTTTTAATAGACCTAGATTTATAGGTAGAACTTTTTTTTTTTGAGACGAAGACTTGCTCCATTGCGCAGGCTGGAGTGCAGTGGCACAATCTCGGCTCACTGCAGCCTCTGCCTCCTGGGTTCAAGTGATTCTCCTGCCTCAGCCTCCCGAGTAGTTGGGATTACAGGCATCCACCACCACACCTGGCTACTTTTTGTATTTTTGGTAGAGACGGGGTTTTGCCATGTTGGCCAGGCTGGTCTTGAACTCCTGACCTCAGGCAGTCCACCTGCCTCGGCCTTCCAAAGTGCTGGGATTATAGCATGAGCCACCACACCTGGCTGGTAGAACTTTTTAAAGAGTTCTTATTTCTACTTTTATTAATACATAATTACCCCCTTGATGTTCACTGTGAGAAAAATTCAAAAATTCAGAAAAGCACAAATGAGAAAGTAAAATATCACTTTTTCTACCATTTAACTTTAGTATAGGTTTTTCCTTTTTTGTTAAAAGAAAAAAAGGCATTTAGGCTGGGGGCAGTGGCTCAGACATGTAATCTCAACACTTTGGGAGGCTGAAGTGGGATGATCGCTTGAGCCCAGGAGTCTGAGACCAGCCTGGGCCACATAGTGAGACCCTGTTTCTACCAAAAAAATTTAACAATTAGCTGGGTGTGATGGTGCATGCTAGTAGCCCCAGCTACTTGGGAGGCTGAGGTGGGAGGATCACTTGATCATCCCAGAAGTTCAAGGTTGCAGTGAGCTATGATTGTGCCACTGTATTCCAGAGTATGTGACAGACTGAGACCCTGTCTGGAAAAAAAAAGATCACCAGACATTTAAACAAATTATATGTATATAGTTTTGCAGCCTGTGCCTTAAGGTATCAGACAGGCGTTAGTTACTAACATTAAAATGCATCTCAGCCTCATTTGGTCCATCCAGTGATACCATCAGTTGTGTCAGATGAATACTGGCATTATTTTTCTAGGCTCAGAGGCCTTGTTGATTGTAGGATGTACTGTTGATTTCTTTTTTTTTTTTTGAGACGGAGTCTCGCTCTGTCGCCCAGGCTGGAGTGCAGTGGCGCAATCTTGGCTTACTGCAGGCTCCGCCTCCCGGATTCACGCCATTCTCCTGCCTCAGCTTCCTGAATAGCTGGGACTATAGGTGCCCGCCACCAAGCCTGGCTAATTTTTTTTGTATTTTTTTTTTTTTAGTAGAGACGGGGTTTCACCGTGTTAGCCAGGATGGTCTCGATCTCCTGACCTCGTGATCTGCCCTCCTCGGCCTCCCAAAGTGCTGGGATTACAGGCGTGAGCCACCGCGCCCAGCCTACTGTTGACTTCTAAACAGTGCAGGTGGTGGAGGAACGCTTGTATATGAAGTTTGCACTTTAGTATCAGGCTACATCCTGATTCTGATATGTGAGGGAGTGCATCATAGGATCAAGGAAATGATGGTATGTGAGGAAATGGAGGTGAGAGGGATTAGGTGATTTGTCCAAGATATTGGTTAGCAATTAGTGGATCTTTTGCCCTAAATCTGGTTCTCTTCCTGATATAAATCCTTTGACTTACAGAACAGTTCATTTATAAGTGTGACTAGACTCTACTGTGTCCCTTAAAATGTAAATAGGTTCAACAAAATACCCAAGAAGAGGAAGAGAAAAATCCTTATACCCGGGATAAGGTGATGGATCACACTTCTAAGCTGATTTAGCTACCACAGATCCTTACAGACTTTGAGACTTACTAATTCAATTTTGAAAAAATTGTTTTTATGTTTTAAAGGACTTAAGTGCTTTATTAATAGGCTCTCAAAGAGAGTTCATTTGTGAAGTGCTTCAGAGACTAGATTCACCTTTTCCAGTTTTGCTTTAAAAGTTTTGGTGCAAATGATGTGTGTTTTAGCATCAGCCCTCTGGCCACCCGTGTCATCCCTTGAACTTATTAATGCAGTTTCTACGGAGATGGTCATCTTGTCCCTCAACAGATGGTCATTCCTGTGTCTTTATAGAAAAGCGGGGTTTTCTTGAGTGGAT
Source organism: Homo sapiens (assembly GCF_000001405.40). Taxonomy (NCBI): domain Eukaryota; kingdom Metazoa; phylum Chordata; class Mammalia; order Primates; family Hominidae; genus Homo; species Homo sapiens. The sequence goes on along the minus strand of NC_000005.10, from coordinate 56,943,481 downwards.
GCTGGGAACCTCCTGTCTCCCTCACATGTACAAACTTTTATATTATTCTTTCCCTCCTGTCCTGCAAAGTATCTGTGATATCCCAGGCTAACCTCTAGATTCTATCCCTCCTGCCCTCAATTTATTCTTCTACCTTTTTTTTTTTTAAATTTCCACATAAGAATCCTACTAATGCAGATCCCACATTTGGAAGAAATTCTCTTTTGATCTTGTGTTGCCCTCAGTCACTCTCCTTTTGTAGCCAAGTCTCAAGTCATGTATGTACTTTCTTCCCTCCCGTTCAGTCTTTAGCTTGGCTTCTTCCACCATGCTATAAGGCCACCAATAATTACTTTTTTAGAGATGGTCTCACTCTGTCACCCAGGCTAGAGTGCAGCGGTATCATCATGCCAACTGCAGCCTTGACCTCCTGGGCTTAAGCAGTTTTCCCCCACTCAGCTTCCCAAAGCCCAGGGATTACTGGTGTATCCCACCACCCTGGCTAATTTAAAAAAAAATTTTTTTTATAGAGAAGGGGTCTTGCAATGCCCAGGCTGGTCTCCAACTCCTGGGCTCGAGCAATCCTACCTTGGCGTCCCAAAGTGCTGGGATTACAGGCAGCAGCTACCGCGCTTGTCCCAGGTCACCAATAATTCCTGATTGCCAGATACTAAGATTTCTTGTCTTTCTCTTGCTCAGTTTCTTTTTGGAATTTGACCCAAGTGACCATTCTTGATTATCCATACTTGTTTCTGCCTTAATTTAAGTAATCCTACTTTTTCCTCGTTCTATTTTCTGGCTTCTCCCTCTTTCTTATTTTATGATCTTTTCTTTCTTTGCCCGCATTTTAATTAACATTCTCCAGGGTTTTGGCTATTATCGTCTCACTCTGTGTGCCTTTTCTGGGTGTTCTCACTCAAACCCACTGCTTTAACTTTCACCTTAAACTCATCGTTACCATCCCATCCTTAAGTTTATCTTGTGCTTCTGTCTCATAGTGGTGCTATAGTTACCTAACTTCTCAGGCCAGAAATCTGGCAATCCATTTAGACTCCTGTGTTGCTTTCATTCCTTGTATCAAGTAACTCAAGAAAGGGATCTTTCCCTAAATTTCACTCAAATAATCCCCCTCCTTAGTTCAGGCTCTCATTCTACTTCCCTTACAACATTATTTCCAAAATACAAATCATGTTTAAGAATTTTCAGACATACCCATTGCCCATAGTGTAATACATCTGAAAGTTCTTCTGATAAGCATAGATCCCTTCCTCTTTTCTCTCTACCCTCTCCGTGGGTGAGCTCATCAACTTCTGTGGCTTTAAATATCATCTAGATGCTAATGAATGCCAGATTTATATCTTTAGCCCAGCCTGGTTCTCTGAGCTCCAGGCTCCTGGCCAACCTGACTTTTCTACTTGGATGTTTCATAGTCCTCTTAAACTTAACTGTGTCCTTTGCAGAACTCTTGTTGTTGTTGTTTTTTTCTTCAAAAACCTTTTATTCCTTTAGTATTCTTTATCTTGGCAGAAGTTACCACCATCTAGGCAATTGCTCAAATAGAAAACTGGGGAGTCCTCCTTCCCTTTCCCTCCCACGTCCAGTGACCCATTTGGTTCCACCTCAGAATATGTCTCTTCTCTTCACTTCTCTCCTCTTGTGTATCAGTACCCTCACCTAGCATGAGGCTTTTTAAGTGGTTTCCCTGCTTCTCTTGTATCTCTCCACCCTTCTTAACTTTTCTTCATGCAGGTGTTCAGTATTTTAAGAAGAAATAATGCCATGGTACTCCCTTTTTATGAGTCTCTAATGGCTCCTCATTGCCCTGGGAATGAAGTCCAAGTTCCTTTCCCTGGCCCTGAGGCCCTTTGCGATCTGTCCCTGCCTCTCTTTCCATTCTCTTGAGCCATTCTTCATTCTACTCACCAAACTTTGGCCACTTGGCTTAGCAGGGAACCACCTTCAGGCCTCACATATGTCTTTTTTTTTTGCCTGGAATACTCTTCATGGGACTGGCCTTCTCAGACTTCAGGCCTCCGCTGAAGATTGCTGACTGTCTTTCCCTGCTACCCTCTGGAAGTGGGCCCCGAGTGTTACTCTGTATCTCAGGGCTCTATTTGTTTGTTACACTCATCAAACTTGGCAGCCCTATATTTGTGTATTGTCAAAAGCCTTGTCATCTTTCAAGACTTAGCTCAGTCTTCACCCTCTGTGCATACCTCCATACTCCATACCAGTATTCTTGGGGTGTAGGTCTGCCCTTGTCTATAGTCACAATTGAATATTGAAGCCATCACATTGTATCATAATGGCTAACTCATCCTTACATCCTTACAGACTTTGAGACTTACTCCCACTAAGTTCCTCCCACTAAGACTGAATTCCTTGTGAGCAGGGATTCTTCAGTAAATTTCATTTGTATGTCCAGTAGCAAGTAGCTAGTAGCCCTCAGCCAAGCACTTAGAACTGAGTAAATGATGGGAAGGTGGACCATCAGTGCATAAAAGGTGAAAATTGCCACTCCCCATTTCAGGGAGAGAGTGTGAAACTGTGAGGTTCTGCGGAAATACTACTGACAGGTGCTTGGCAAAGGCTGCAACCCAGGCACCTCTTGTATTAGAACCAATATGAGCCAAAGGGAATGGGCTGCATGGACTCTGCAAGGAGCAAGATAGGACTGTAGAGAGACTCTAAATTTGAGTCTTGTTAGCTTCAATGGATTCTTTGGTTTGGAAGAAAAATAATTCATTGAAGTTTCCCCATGGTGTAGGTGAACTTCACCCTGTTCTGACCATCCAATTCAATTTATGCTGATTCCATGCTCCCAGAGGACTTTTGGTTGATTTAAATCCCAAGCTAAAAAAGATTTTCATGATCATTTATGGTCATTAGAAAGGCGTATGTCTACTACTGCAAATTTATAAATTAGTGTTCTATCATATACCTGTTTGTAAGTTCATTGAGCATAAATCTGTTTTAGTTAGACACAATAAATTATGTAAGTTCCATACCTGCAAAGGTGAAGGCCAAACTTTTGCATCCCCTGTGGGCCCTGTGGGCAGCCAGCTGGCCCTCTAAGGAATCATCACTGGCTCTTCTCAGGTCACTTTGTGATCAACTGTGGGCATGTTTTGCACACTCTGCTTTAGTGTTTTCATGTTGTTTGCTTTACGGATTATTTTATTTTAAAGGGAAAACTAAACCATAAGCAAATTTTAAAAATCTCTTAATTGATGGATACAGAAATCTTAAAAATGTTTAACAGATTAACTAGTTCGTGAGTATATTGTTTTGAGGTTATTTATTCGAATGATAAATAGTTCTTTTTTTGTATTTTTAGTAGAGACGGGGTTTCACCATGTTGGCCAGGCTGGTCTCGAACTCCTGACCTCAAGTGATCTGCCTGCCTCGGCCTCCCAAAATGCTAGGATTACAGGAGTGAGCCACTGCGACTGGCCTTGAATGATAAATAGTTCTATACACTTTAGTAGTTAAAACATAGTCATGTGTCACTGAACAAGGGAATACATTCTGAAAAAGGCGTCATTAGGCAGTTTCATTGCTGTGTGAACATCATAGAGTATGCTTAGACAAAAGTAGTTAATGTAGCCTACTACACACCTAGGCTATATGGTGTAGCATATTATTCCTACCACAGCTGTATGTGCATCCTGGCTGTATATGCAGTCTGCATGTACTGAATGTTACGTTGTGCATGGTAACACTTATTTTCACATGGATTCCTAGAGGGGAACAGTGACTTGGTGTCACTGTGAGGCATGGCGTAGGTATTCATAACATAGGCAGCACTGTAGCCAGGGTATGTAATTTTATTAAAGCAGTGCAGCCAGTGAGATAACTTGGGGAACTGGGATTCAAACCCAGAATTAAGCCACAGTTTTCTCACCTGTGAAATGGTGATAACAGTATAATCTTCCTCAGACAGTTGTTTTAAAAAAACTGGTATAAAGATAGGAGATGTAGTAAGAATATAAAAGGATAATTGTTCTTTGAACATAAATATTGCTGATGTTAGTAAACATTCAGCAAAGGTTTTCTACCAGGTGTCTTCTAATTAACATGAAGAATAAAGCAAGTGGTCAGCTGTTAAATGCAAGGAAAGAAGCTGTGAATTACAAGTTATTGATTGATTAATTGGAAATGTTTTCAGGGCAAATCTTTATGTTAACTTGAAAGCAAAAAAAAAGGCACTAAAGCAAATATTTGAGGAATTTTTAAAATAGTAAAATGCTTCTAGAAAATAAAAACTAAGGTGTTAATTGTTAGGCTGTTGTTTATACATTAATTATAGCTCCAGGTGTTTGGTCCTGTTTTCTGACAACAGCACAAAAAGAAAAACTGAAACTTGCCTTTGATTTGTTCTGCTGTTTTGATAATGTGCTTTCTGAACCTAAGGACAGTACAGTTTACCTGCAGTTCAGTATTGTGACATCTGCTGAGTCCGTGTTTATGCCCTGGCTTGAACAGGAAGGAACCATGCCTCTAGAAGATTTACTGGCATTCTATGGCTATGAACCTACAATTCCAGCAGTTGCAAATTCCAGTGCAAATAGTTCCCCAAGTGAACTGGCAGATGAACTACCAGACATGACACTAGACAAAGTAAGTGTGAGCATTTGAAAGAAAAATTCAGGGTCTGTTACCATTGACTGCTTTTACTTCCATTTAAAGTATTATTTAATAATTCTTAAATGTAAACTTCTTGTTGACCCATTGTGCTTATTTTGGTGGCTGATTTAAACTTTGTTTGGCTTTGATCACCCTATGTTAAGAGTAGTATTAATAGCAGCTTCATGGTACTTTGCATGCCTGAATATTCTCCCATAATGTTTTCATCTTTCCTGTGTAGACACATTGTATCTAAACTTAGATTTTGCCTTAACTTCTTTTGATCCTATAAACACATAAAAGCCTTGATTAATAAATCCCCCAGAAGCCTTCAAACCAAGCTGGCTTAGGCGTGGAGTGGTTGGAGAGAAGTTCTGTTTTCTTGGCTCTGGGAGTGACAGCGGCCGCAGCAGCCAAGACCGCGGTGATCCATCTCTAACGTAGGCTGGTTGTGGGGAGGCCTAGTCCCTGCTGAGGAAAATTCACACGGCCATGGCCTCTGCTAACAGATCCCTGGGAACCTTTCCTTGCCTTTCAGATCTCAGGCAGGGAGAGGAATCCACATCTTGGAACCTCTTCCTGTGAGTTATATTGTTCCCACTTTTAAGTCAATGTGATATTAATGTACCACAGACCTTAATGACCATAGTCATTCAACAAGTATTTATTGAGTGGCTACTTTGTGCTAGGCACAAGGATGACTGTATACTTACATAAAAATTAATTCAAACTTGTTTCTTTTAAAATTATGTCAGTAGTCAGTGCTGTTCATTAGTCGGACTTTTAAATTATTGGAAGAGTGGAGGTTGGAGGCATTTTTTCAGTTTTATTATTGACAGAAAATGAATATAATTGTTAACCACTTAAAAGTCAGACTGTTTTTGTTGTAAATTCACTAAAAATTAGCCTACAGCTTTAGATAAGCTCTCTGCATACCCACAAATTAGGCAATTGTTTTAGTATATGGTTGCACTGATTATCATTTAATAGTATATTATTGAATATTATATAATATATAATATTAAATATTTATGTACATGAAGTAAATCATAGGAGAATTTCATATTTCTCTCATAAGGTTCCAACTGCTTCTTAATGATATGTTATAAAAAGATAGTTTTCTTAATTAATGAGATGTAATCATTTCTAACTGTAGCACTGCCTTCTTATTCTTCCAGGAGGAAATAGCAAAAGACCTGTTGTCAGGTGATGACGAGGAAACTCAGTCTTCTGCGGATGATCTGACGCCATCTGTGACTTCCCATGAAACTTCTGATTTCTTCCCTAGGCCTTTACGATGTAAGAAACCCAGTGGATTACTGATAAATAGTAACATTGATACTGTAGCTTTAGTACATTTTATTGTGTTCAGTAATTTGTGTCAGAATATTCTAATATTTTATGTGGTTGAGATAAAATACTTCTATAATTTAAACAAGATTATAACCTTTCTTTTGGGATAGAGGTGAACTAATATGCCATTTAAAAATTGAAATATTTGGCCAGGTGCAGTGGCTCACACCTGTAATCCCAGCACTTTGGGAGGCCGAGGCAGACAGATCACTTGAGGCCAGGAGTTTGAGACCAGCCTAGCCAACATGGTGAAACCTGTTCTTTACTAGAAATACAAAAAATTAGCCAGGTGTGGTGGCATGCACTTGTAATCCCAGCTACTTGGGAGGCTGAGGCACGAGAATCACTTGAACCTTGGGGGTGAAGGTTGCAGCCAGCTGGAGATCATGCTACTGCACTGCAGCCTGGGTGACAGAGAGAGATTCTGTCTCAATAATAATAATAATAATAAGATAAAATAAAAATGGAAATATTGACTTTATTTTTACAAGGCCATTTTCCTTCTCAAGACTCATCTGTTGCTATGGTAATCATTCTTAGTTTGACCACAAAATTTTATAGACCTTTATTTGAATTTCTATTAAAAGGCTCCTGCTCTCCTGGTTTTGAAAACTTATCAGTGCTCAAAAGGTATTTTTACTTTTAATGATTCATCTTTTTCCTATTAGTTCTTGGTGTTACCTCTTAATGTTTATCAGTAATATTTAAAAGGTTTTGGGGTTGGTTGTGTGGTTGCAACACTTTGGGAGGCTGAGATGAGAGGATCACTTTAGGCCAGGAGTTCTAGACCACCCTGGGTAACATAGCAAGACCCTGTCTCTACAAAAAAATTTTCAAATAAAAAACTTAGCTGGGCATAGTGGCATGCACATGTAGTCCCAGCTATCTGGGAGGCTGAGGTAGGAGGATCACTGAAGCTCAGGACTTTGAGGTCACAGGGAGCCATGAACAGGCTACTGCTCTCCAGCCTGGGTGACAGAGTGAGACCCTGTTTCTAAAAATAAATAAATAAAATGTTTGGACTAAAATAATTTCTTAGATGCAATCTCACTTTTTTTTTTTAGGTATTTTTATGATAGAAGAACTGTTTGGTCAATAAGTTCAAATATCCATGCATTCGTGTGTGTACAAAAACAGTTTTGATGGACCTGATATGCAACTCTGTGTGTGTATCTCCTGGATTAGTATAATCAGAACTCCAGTGTTTTACTTTCTTTTTAAGGTGACCACAGTGGTTTCCTTTTACCTCCCAAACTATTTAATAGTATACCATAATAATTATCAGGATACTATACACTTTTTTTTTTGAGATGGAGTCTCACTCTGTTGCCCAGGCTGGAGTGCAATGGCGTGATCTTGGCTTACTGCCACCTTTGCCTCCCAGGTTCAGGCGATTCTCCTGCCTCAGCCTCCCGAGTAGCTGGGATGACAGGCACCCCCCACCACGCCCGGCTAATTTTTTTGTATTTTTAGTAGAGCCTGTCGGCCAGGCTGGTCTTAAACTCCTGACCTCAAGCGATCCACCCACCTCAGCCTCCCAAAGTGCTAGGATTACAGCCATGAGAGCCACTGCACCGGCCAGGATACTATACACTTTATTAGGATTTTCAGTGTCTCATTTTGACCAATGTCGATTGTGAGAAACATGCAGGTGGTTTAGTATACTTATGCTGATCTCACATATTTAACAACATTTTGTAAAATACAACAGGCATTCTTCCAGGTTCTGCAAAAATAGGCAGTAAAAACCTTTTTAATTTTTGTCTTTTAAGCAAATACTGCATGTGATGGTGATAAGGAATCAGAGGTTGAAGATGTTGAAACAGACAGTGGTAATTCACCTGAAGATTTGAGGAAGGTAAGCTGAGTTAATATAGTGGACTAAATTGGCTTTTAAAAATATTTCTGAAATGATTTATGATAATTTTGTTGTTTTGACTTGTAGAAACTGATTAATGATATGGGGCTTTTTTTCAGTATTTTTTTTTTAATAAGTTATTTTTACCTCTCAATTTTCCTGTAGGAAATAATGATTGGTTTACAATATCAGGCAGAGATTCCCCCTTATCTTGGAGAGTACGATGGTAATGAGAAAGGTAAGGAAAGCTTTTGATTTTGATAATGTTTGGTAGATAAGGTTACCACTTGATAAGTGTATTTAAATATCTGGCTTTATACCAGCCTTGGCAATAGATAGATAGATTTGGGAAACATGCAGAGTTAGGATTTTTAGGCCTGACTTAGGAAAAATGTATCAAAGTTAATCACTAGACTCAGAGTTTCCCCCCACCCCCAACCCTGCCCAAGGCACACATAGTGCTTATTAGCCAGTGTGCTCAGTGCCTGTTCGAATAATGGGGAGCCTCCCACGGTGCTGTACCTTGGCCTTCATCCTGCTTCAGTAGAAGTGGGTAGGATCTCATCACCTGAGATAATGAGAATGTTAAGATATAATCTTCTGGAAAGAAAACTCTTGAGGGAAAAAGAGACTGGAAGAAATTCTCCTTCCCCAGCCCCAAAAGAGCAGGAAGTGAAATGTAAGGATCTGCTTTCACTTGTATACTCCTAATTATGTGTAATCAGTTTTTCCTCATGTTTTTGGTGCATTCCAACTGTAGTTGGTTTTCAAAATATGGAGGGGATAAGGTAGTAGGATATAAAAATATAGGTAAACCTTCTTAGTTGAACTTGGGAATATTTCCATGGGTGTTTGGCCTTTTCCCTAAGTTGATTTATCCTTGTGAAGTCACAAGGGCAAAAGCAGCACCCAACACAATACTTCCTGAGTCCTTCTTTTTTCCTTTCCTCCATGCCAGGTCATCCTCCATTTAAAGGAGGGGAGGAGTGGTTACCCTGGGGTTGTTAGCCATGGCAGCCACTAGGAACACCGTTTTCCTAAACTGCTTTCAAAGTGTTAAAAGACAGTTATCCCAGGGGAAGCAAAACATAGCTGATGATGTTCAGATGTGCCAGCCTTCTCACCTCACCACCCAAATGCCACACTTGGCCTTTGAGCCAAGTACATACTCAGCAACTGTAGGTCCTTAGGTCACACATAGTAGAGGTGATATTCTGTCAGTGCTGCAGATTGGAGGGAAGGTGTACTTTCTCTGTCTTTTGAGGGAATAAACCCAAATTGTTTTACCTATTTCACTTGTGACCAAAGAGTAAAGAAAGTTCTAGGAACTTCTCTCAAAAGTCAAGTCTTACTGCTTCACAGGCACACTTTATTTTTAACTTTCCTTCTAACTGGCAATGACAATGCCTGCCTCCTACAGTTGGGATGATAATGCCCTTATCATGGTCCCTGGTATCTGGTAGTGTGTTCTCGGTAAATTATTTTTATTAGCTATAGTCAGTATTTATTATGCACTTGAAGAACAGATTGCACTTGAAGCACTGGACTAAATACTTGGGCCATTCATATTACTTTATAGTGTAAAGTAGAAGCTTTGAGTAAAGTGGCAGAGTGCATTAATAAAACATAAACTTGTTTTAATGACATTTTGTTCATTAATATATCAGTGTCTTTAAGAGATTGTGGAAAGTTTACTTTTCTTACTGTTTCTCCCTCTTCCCAAAAACCTCCCTAGGGAGGTTTGGTTAATCTATTTTCTCCTTTAAATAAAAGTTATCTTGTTGGGAGAAAAAGTATACCCTTCTTAGGTATTTCCTTATTACCAGATATTTTGGGTTTTATTTATTTGCAATTTTGAACCTCTAGAGATTTCATAGAGCAATTTAGGGATTTCAAGAGAAAAGTCCAATGAGGTTATTAGAGAATTTACACAGGTTATTTTTGCCCCTTCATTAGAAGAGTATAAGATAACCACTATGGGGTTTTATATTAGACTTTACTAGGCATGGAGAGCCTTCAGATTGGTCAGTATATCCAACCACCAAAAAAGCTACTTGCTTTGGCCCCTGGAATCCTTGGCCTATAATAAAGTTAAATTTTCGCTTGTGTGTGAAAGGCCCTACTTAACGGATAATCGGATTACTGGTGTCTTCAAAGTTATTTACTTGTCCCACTGGATAGCCAATCAAGGAAGACAAAGAATTGTTTGTGTACATCTTTGAGTGCGTTCATGATTTTTAATGTGTTAATGGGATTTTCTTTATCAGTATATGAAAACGAAGACCAGTTACTTTGGTGTCCTGATGTGGTTTTGGAGAGCAAAGTTAAGGAATACCTTGTTGAGACTTCATTAAGGACTGGCAGTGAAAAAATAATGGATAGGATTTCTGCAGGAACACACACAAGGGACAATGAACAGGTATACTTCAGCTTCTGTTGAAACAGCAGCCAGTTTACAGTATCTTCTTGATTTCTTATATTTGATACAGATATTTTTAACATGTGAGGTAGATATCTTTTCTGATAAGAGTTTTAAAATATGCAAAATACTGGTTTAAAAAACCATAACCTTGAGTTCTAGAGATAACTTCACTGTAGTTTTGTATCTTTTCTTCTGGTCTTTAAAAAAATACCTTTACATATGTCTTCCTTGAGATGCCATTTTATATCCTTTTAATTAATTAATCTTATTCTCCTTTGCCATTGAGAATTATTTAATACCTCATTCTTGATGTCTGTATAGTCTATCCTATACTTTTTAAAAAAAATTTTTCCCTAAATTTCAACATACTGTGTACTTATCCTATACTTGTAATTCATTTATTTAAACATTCTCTGTGGTTGGACTTTTAGATTTTATAAGTGTATTCTTTGAATTATTCTCAACTTTATTTAGGAAGTGATTAAAAAGTAATGTCTATTAAGACTATATAAATTTGACTTAGGAGCATTTGTTAAGCGCTTGTGTACCTGTAGATTCAGAATACTCTCCTGATCACATGTGGGATGGGGGATGGGAACATTGCCTATTAAGCTTTTCGAATACCCCTAAGTTTTGCCCCTCTGAGATCATTCTGCTTCTTTCATATGCTTTTATCACTGAGAATCACCAACCCTGACTAATAAGTATTCAGAGGTAGGCAGACACAAACTTGAATTCTGAAGTAACATAGGGAAGTCATACTAGCTGTCAAAAAGAAATCCCATTGGGTTTTTGTATTGATATTTCAAGTCTATATTAATTTTAGAAGAATTAAAACCTTTATAACATTAGAAACTCAAATGTTTTTGCTTTTTTGAATATCACATGCATCTCAGTAATACCTCAATATCTTTTATATGTGTGTGTATTCAATGCTATTAGAAAGGGGAGCTCTATTTTATTTATTTATTTATTTACTTTTCCAAGATGGAGTCTTGCTCTGTCACCCAGGCTGGAGTGCAGTGGCGCAATGTCAGCTCACTGCAACCTCCACCTCCCAGGTTCAAGCACTTCTTCTGCCTCAGCCTCCCGAGTAACTGGGATTAGAGGCACACATCACCATGCCTGGCTAATTTTTGTCGCCAGGCTGGTCTCAAACTCTTGACCTTGTGATATGTCTGCCTCAGCCTCCCAAAATGTTGGGATTACAGGCATGAGCCACCTTGCCTGGCCCTCTATTATATTTATAATTGTATATTGTTGATGTTGAGAAATATCAATTTTTTAAAAAATGTATCTTAAACTGTTGAAACTACTTGACTCTTTCAGGTGTTTCTCAGGTTTTCTAGTTTGCTTTTTAAAAAATTTATTGGTAATATAATTTTTGACACCTCATAATTGCATACATTTATGGAGTGGTTTTCTGGTTTTCGGGTCATTATTAAATTACACTTTTGTTCCTTCCTTACCATTATTATTCCTGCTTTATGTCTTAATGCATTAGCTGTAACTCTGAGATATTTGGTAATAACAGTGATTTGGTGCCTGCTTTTGGTGGAAGTAATACATCTAAGGTTTTTACATTAAGAATAATACTGATCCTTGGTTCTACTGTCTTTATTACAGCAAGATAATATCCATCTATTTATAACTATTATGGGTTTTTTCTTTTTAAAATTAGAAATGAATATCAGATACTTTTTAAGCAGCTGTTGATTTGATTTTTTTAAATTGAAATTTAATTATACATATTTAGGTACACAGTGATGTCTTGATACACATAATGTATAGTGATCAGATCAGGGTAATTAGCTCAGAGATGATTTTTTTAAATGTAGGCTATTGATATATTAAAAGTTTTCCTAATATTGAACCATCTTCACTTCCTTAAAACTTACTTGGGAAGGTAGATAGATTATTTAACTTTCAATTGAATTCTGTTATTCCTGTTTATTATGTTCATAATTCCAAGCAGATTTAATAGGAATATATTCTAATTTTGAAAAGTGGCACCTTTCATAGTAGATGGAAATAACGGAGACCGTTATAATCCTAGTCTGAAGTGCCATGCCTATTATTCCAGGCCTGCTGCTGTTCCCTTATATTAAAACTAAAAGAGACAGGGAGGAAATGACATCAAGGGACAGACTGTAACTAATTTTTCCAAACTAGAAAAAGAAACATCTAAAATAGGGGAAACTCTAATCTTAGACCTAGTGTTTTTATTTGTTTGTTTTTAAAAAAAAGTCAAGAATGATACAGGCAGGTGACTTCTGAGAGGTAGCATGAGGATGAACAAACTCACATGGTACCAGAGTCAATCTGCATGATAGTTATATAGACTAAATGCTTGGGCAAATATACCTTCAAATGCCCTGAAATTAGAGAGGATTTCAGTGTTTATCAAGACTCCAATATTTATCAAAACTCTTACACCTGTTTTTTAAAATGCTGTTAGGTATGAACTTTTAATACTTTTTATTGAATATCCATCCCAGGCATTATATGAACTTCTCAAGTGTAACCACAATATAAAGGAAGCAATCGAAAGATACTGCTGCAATGGAAAGGCCTCTCAAGGTAAGAAACACTTGGGTTTAAGAGAGGGACATGACAGGGATGGTCATTTGGGGATCAGAATAAGCAAAGTATCCTAAGGGACAGAGCAATCCTGTAACACTTTTGTAAGATCTGGTTCAGCTCCATAGCAAATAATTTTTCCTTTTCTTGCACTCTATTTTTAGATGTATCAGAGACTGTTCAAACACAAATTAGTCACCCCCCTGCCACCTCTACTTTCTGGAAGAAATAGTTACAGAACAAAGCAGACCCCAGACATGACAATATGTCCAAAGTAATTAAAAAGAATGGTTTTATGATTTCATTGAAAAAAAGATTTTTTCTTTTTTTTTTTCAGCCAGACAGGAAATGAAAAGGAGATTAAAGATTAAAAAAGAAACATGTATAATATATTCCGCTGAATTTATTTCAAGAATTGTATTTTTAGTAATCATGTAATAACATTTTATAGTTCTTATGTTTTGTGTGTGTCAAGGAAAATGGTTAACTTCTATTTCAGTATTTTTTGTCATTATATAAATGGATTGCATGCACCATAGCTTTCATTAAATATGTGTAGAATGAAAATAATACTTAGTAATATTACTAGATGACTTGGGAAGGTATTAAAACTAAAAATAATACATTTAAACTTATGAATTGAGATAGTCTATTAAAATGTCTCCCTTAGAAAAGCTGCTTCTTTGAAAAAAAATTATTTTAGGCTCTCAAAACTCTCAAAATACTGGTTTCTTCCTTAGTTCAAACTATTTTTCACCTTTATTACGGACTGCTATTAATGGCTTTGGGGACCTGGTCTCCCATGTCAAATGAGACACTTCAGAGATACAGATGAGTAATAACTAATCTTAAGTCTAGGCTGTGACTCTTTGAAGACCTTCCAGGTCTCTGCCCCAAGTAGATACGGAATTCACCAACATTAACATCTGCTGGGAAATTGAATGGGATTTATTATTTTGAGAGCATGGACTGTTTCTTATTTCCTTTATATTTCCAGAGTATAGCACTCCACACACCAATTTCAAATAAATATGTGTTGATTATGCTTTACTTATGGTCTCTAATTAAAGAACTTGTGGTTTTGTTTTTTGTCTTTTTTGAGACAGGGTCTCACTCTGTCTCCCAGGCTGGAGGGCAGTGGCATGATCACAGCTTAGTATAGCCTTGATCTCGTGGGCTCAGGTGATCCTCCCACCTCAGCTTCCCAAGTAGCCGGAACTATAGGTGCCCGCCACCACGCCTGGCTAGTTTGTTTTTTTGTAAAGACAGGGTTTTTCCATGTTGCCCATGCTGATTTCAAACTCCTGGGCTCAAGTGATCCTCCTGCGCTGGCCTCCCAAAGTGCTGGGATTACAGGCATGAGCCACCGCACCTGGCTAGAACTTGTGGTTTTGAAGTAAGACCAAAACAGAGCTTCTTTCCCCCAATAAAGGAGGTAGAGTTTTTTTTTCTAATTGAAAAATACGCTCATTGTTTAAAAAAATTTTTTTTAATCAGAAAAACAGGCATGTTATAGAAAACTTAAATTCTCATCCCATAATGTAGTGGAAAAAAAGCAGTGTTTATATTTTTGTATTCTAGACTTGAACTGTAGTATGCATGCTTTTGGTAATTCTAACTGAAATCTCCTGCATACAGAGAGAGAGAGAGAGAGAGAGTGTGTGTGTGTGTGAGAGAGAGAGTGTGTGTGTGTGAGAGAGAGAGAGAGTTTGTGACCTTTTACAGGGAAAACATACTGAAAATCAGTGATTCACATAAGAAAATTTGGGGGCCCATAAATTTTATTTTAAAATTTTTCTTAGAAGGAATGACTGCATGGACGGAAGAAGAATGCCGAAGCTTTGAACATGCACTCATGCTTTTTGGAAAAGATTTTCATCTTATACAGAAGAATAAGGTAAATTAGGCAGATTAGTACAGATAAATTACTAGTTACAGTGAATGTAAGCAACTAATTTATAAGTCACTTAAGTAGGAAAAAAGAACAACTTACTAATGTTCCCTTATAGCATTTCAGATATCATTCTAACATGACTAATTTGCTCAGAGATGCCACAGCCTGCTTATGGAATGGCTGATAGTATATTCACATATCTTTTCACATAAACAGTTGACACAGAAAGTGGACTCACTGTATTTTTTAGGAAGTCTCACTCTCATTTCTCCTTGACTTTCCTTTCTTATCAAGCCATTCAGAGGTTTGTGGCCTCAAAATAATTTCTCTTCAGCAGTGAGAGTAGCTGTTGCTGAAGGAAGAAACATTGTTACTAAAACAACTAGAAACATATTCTAACACCACCAAATGCTGGTAAGGATGGGAAGCAACAGGAACTCTTATTCATTGCCTGTAGGAATGCAAAGTGGTATGGCCACGTTGGAAGATAGCTTGGAAGTTTCTTATAATACCAACCATACTCTTACCGTATAATTAAATAATCCTGTTCCTTGGCATTTACCCAAATGCGTTGAAAACTTATGTCCACACAAAAGTGTTTATAGCAGCTTTCATCATAATTGCTAAAACTTGGAAGGAACCTGTATGTCCTTTGAGGTGAAAGGATAAACAAAGTGTGGCACCTCCAGAACTGGACTATTATTCAGCACTAAAAAAATTGAGCTAACAAGCCGCAAGGAGACATGTGAAATCCTAAATGCATATTATTAAGTGAAGGAAGCCAATCTGAAAAGACTCTATACTGTAGCTTTCCAAATATATGATATTCTGAAAAAAGCAAAACTATGGAAACAATAAAAAGATCACTGGTGCCAGGGCCGAGGCAGGAGGGAGAAGTGAATAGGCAGAGCACAGACCATTTTCAGGGCAATGAAACTACCCTGTATGATGATACTGTAATGATAGAGACATGTAATTACACATTTGTCAAAACCCATAGAATGTACATCATCAAGAGTAAACCCTAATGTAAACCATGGTCTTTGCGTGTTGATGTGTCAGTGTAGGTACATTGATTTTTTTAACAGATACACTACTCCAATGTAGGATGTTGAAAGTAGAACTTCAGGATATATAGGAACTCTCTACTTTCTGCTCAGTTCTGCTGTGAACCTCAAACTACTCTTAAAAACTAAAGTCTATTCAAAATACATATGTATGTTCATTAGAATAGTTTGGAATAATTCTCATTAAAATATGCTCTGTTTATTTCCTCTTTTCATCCTAAAGGAAGGCAGGGTTCTGAAGCATTTTGGTGGGTAGCTCAGTATTTTATGCTTTTATAAAAGCTAATGGACTTTAGTTTTTAGAGCAGTTTCAGGTTTACAGCAAAGTTAACCAGAAAGTATTGAGTTGCCTTATGTCCCTTCCACTCCTATAGTTATTATTATATCTTTTATTATTAATAGTGTGGTACATTTGTTAAAATTAATGAGCCAATATTGATACATTATTATTAATTAAAGTCCATAGTTTACATTAAGGTTCGCTCTTCATGTTGTACATTCCATTGATTTTGGCAAATATATAATGATACATATCCACCAGTACAGTATCATACAGAGTAGCTTCACTGACCTGAAAATCTCATGTTTTATTCTTCCCTCTGTCCCTTCCCCCTCCTCCCTAACAACTTCTAGCAGCCATTGATCTTTTTATTGTCTGTACTGTTGCCATTTCAGAATGTCATATAGTTGGAATTATACAGTATGCAGCCTTTTCAGATTGGCTTCTTTGACTTAGCAATATGCATTTAAGTTTTCACCATGGGGTTTTTTGTTTGTTTGTGTTTGTTTTGAGGCTTGATAGCTCATTCTTTTTTTTATCACTGAATAGTATTCCATTATATGGATGTACCAGTGTATTTATTCACTTACCTGTTAGAGGATACCTTGGTTGCTTCCAAGTTTTGGCAATTATCATTAAAGCTATAAATATTCATGTGCAGGTTTTTATGTGGATGTAGGTTTTCAATTCATTTGTCCAAATACGAAGGAGTAAGGATTACAGGATAGAATGGTGAAAATGTGTTTATTTTGCATGAAACTGCCAAACTGTCTTCCATTTAGTATTTCCAGCAGTAATGAATGAGTTCTATTGCTCTACATCTTCACCAGCATTTCGTGGTGTCAGTGTTTTGGATTTCACCACTGTAATAGTTTTTAATGCCATCTCTTTTTTGTTTTAATTTGTAATTCCCTCATGAGGATGATGTTGACCATCTTTTCTTATGCTTATTTGCCATTTGTGTGTTTTTTTTTCAGGTGTTCATTCAGATTTTTTGCCCAGATTTTAATTGGGTGGTTTGTATTCTTGTTGAGTTTAAGGAGTTATTTGTATATTTTGGATTCTAGTCCTTTATTAGATACATGTTTTGCAAATATTTTCTTCCATTTTGAGGCTTGTCTTTTTATTCCCTTGCCAGTGTGTTTGCAGAGTAAAAGTTTTTAATTTTAATTATGTCCAACTTAGAATTTCATCTGATTGTTCACACTTTTAGCATTTTATTTAAAAAAATCATTGCCAAACCTAAGGTCACCTAGATTTTCTACTGTTGTCTTCTAAGAGCTTTATAGTTTTGCATTTACATTTAGGTCTATAATCCATTTTGAGTTAATTTTTGAAAGGAGTAAGGTCTATGTCTAGATTCATTTCTCTTTTTTTTTATGTGGATGTCCAGTTGTACTAGCATCATTTGTGGAAAAGACATTCTTCCTCCATGGAATTGCCTTTGTTCTTTGGTTAAAGATCAGTTGACTGTACCCGTGGGGTGTATTTCTGGGCTCTCTCTTCTGTTCCTTTAATCTATTTGTCTTTCCCCACCCCCCCAATACCATACTGTCTTGATTACTATAGCTTTATAGTAAATCTTGAAGTTGGGGACTGTCAGTACTTTGATTTTATCTTTTCGTAATACTATGTTGGCTATTCTGGGTATTTTGCCTTTCCATATAAAATTAGTTTGTTGATACCCACAAAATAACTTGCTGGGATTTTGATTGGGTTTGTGCTAAATCGGTAGATCAAGCTAGGAAGAACTGACGTCTTAACAATGAAGTGTCTTCTTATCCATGAACATAGAATATTTCTTCGTTAAGTTCTTCTTTGATTTCTTTAATCAGAGTTTGGTAGTTTTTCTCATACAGATTTTGCATATATTTTGTTATATTTATACCCAAGTATTTTAATTTTGGGGTGCTAATGTAAATGGTCTTGTGTTTTAAATTTCAAATTTCAATCGTCATTGCTGTTATATAGGAAAGCAGTTGACTTTTGTGTATTAACCTTGTCTCCTGAAACTTTGCTGTAAGTGCTTATTAGTTACAGGCGATTTTTTGTTGATTCTTTGGAGTTTTCTACGTAGACAGTCATGTCACCTGTAAACAGAGACAGTTTTAT
Source organism: Homo sapiens (assembly GCF_000001405.40). Taxonomy (NCBI): domain Eukaryota; kingdom Metazoa; phylum Chordata; class Mammalia; order Primates; family Hominidae; genus Homo; species Homo sapiens. The sequence continues at coordinate 56,925,310 of NC_000005.10, read as the reverse complement.
TTCTTCCTTCCCAATCTGTATACTTTTTATTTCTTTTTCTTGTCTTACTGCATTAGCTAGACCTTCCAGTATTGATGTTGAAAATTTCACACTTTCTGTATGTTTGAAAATCTAATGTTTCTCAAAGATGAGATAAAGCGTATAATTTAAGACATTTTTAAAGAAGTCTGGATTGTCCTTTTAAGTAAAAAAAACCATCAGTTTTGTAATGACTTATGAAATTTACTCTATCCATTCATTCCGTAAACAGTTATGTCCTTCCACTTCACTTACCAGACATTGTTTTAGGCACTAGAGATACAACAGTGAATAAGACAGAAAAGGTCTGTAGCCCCACGAAGCCTGCATTCTCTGCGAAGACTTATAGTTAATGATGTTTATTGAAAGGTATACTGTATTTCTTGGTTTAAAAAGCTTATTCCCATATTAGTAATCTTATATCACAACTTACTCAGGAGTCAGGTTAGAGATACTGAAACTTCTTTATCGGGTACTGATTAAGCAAGGGAGAAAGCATTTATTGGATAAGGATGAAGAATTTTGTTCATACATCTGAATTCATATCTGTGGCTGTATGTGGTTAGAGGAACCCTGGTTTGGGTGTGGAGCCAAGGTGGTGAGGCTCAAATTTTATTGTTGTTGTTTCCAAAATCTGTTGGATCTAAAAACCAAACATACTGGAGGGAGAAAGCCCTGCCTTTAGCTAGCAAGTCATCTTAAATTCCAGATGCTGTAGACCGTTGGTCCATTTGCCAAGGGTTCTTAATCTCTTTTGGAAAGTGGAACTCAAATCTGATGAGGCTGCATTCCTTCTCTCCAGAAAAATATACCTAAATATAATTTTGTGAATTAATAGATCTCAATGAAATCCATTTATGGACCCCTCAGGGGTTAGTTAATCCAAAGTTAAGAACCCTCACTGTAGTCAAAATCACAGAGCTCAGTAAAGAAAAGTAAAGAATGCTAGTGTTTAAGATTTTCAGTGAAGGTGTAAGATAATTTCTGGATACACACTTGTTTTATAAACTAATACATTCTGATTTTTTTAAAAAAAAAACCTTGGGCTTTCGAAAATGGCCTCATTATTAAATGTAAAGGCATTCCACTAATCAAAGTGTTCAGAACTTTATAATTTATTAAAAGTGTTCAGAACTATATAATGGGAAAATAAGACCCATGGATTGAAGTTGTAGTGTTGTGGAAAAGAAAAGTTGCTTAAAAAAATGGTTGAGTTTGTTGGTTTTTTAAAAATTCAACTTTTTCATTAGGTGAGAACTAGGACAGTTGCTGAGTGTGTAGCATTCTACTATATGTGGAAGAAATCTGAACGTTATGATTACTTTGCTCAACAGACAAGATTTGGGAAAAAAAGATATAACCATCACCCTGGAGTTACGTAAGTACTGTGGCCTTGCCTTCAAAGACTTACTTTTAACTGTAATATATAGTCATAAAATTACTGGGGTGTGTTTTTCAGGGACTATATGGATCGTTTAGTAGATGAAACAGAAGCTTTGGGTGGGACGGTAAATGCTTCAGCCTTAACTTCTAACCGGCCTGAGCCTATTCCTGATCAACAGCTAAACATTCTCAACTCCTTCACTGCCAGTGACTTGACAGGTAAAATGAAGACCTTTCTGCATTTAGTACAGTTTGTTGCAAAATTGTGTCCTCTGTTTGATGTCATAGGACCACTTACTTAAACAATTTTCCATTCCTTTTTAGCTTTGACCAACAGTGTAGCAACCGTCTGCGACCCCACAGATGTGAATTGTTTGGATGATAGCTTTCCTCCACTGGGCAACACACCCCGTGGACAAGTTAATCATGTGCCTGTTGTAACAGAAGAGTTACTCACCCTGCCCAGCAATGGGGAAAGTGATTGTTTTAATTTATTTGAGACTGGATTTTATCACTCGGAGCTAAACCCTATGAACATGTGCAGTGAAGAGTCAGAGAGACCAGCAAAAAGATTGAAAATGGGCATTGCCGTCCCTGAATCCTTTATGAATGAAGTTTCTGTAAATAACCTGGGTGTGGACTTTGAAAATCACACACATCACATCACCAGTGCCAAAATGGCTGTTTCTGTGGCTGACTTTGGCAGTCTCTCTGCCAACGAGACCAATGGTTTCATCAGTGCCCATGCTCTGCATCAGCACGCGGCCCTACACTCTGAGTGACCTGAGTGAGGATCCCGGAACTGCGTGTGCAGCACCAGTAAACTTGAGGGGAGCTATCAGGTTTGCATAGTCTTTCACTGGAAGTTTGAACCTTTCTCACTATGACATCAGTGATGTCAGTATGTATAGAACTATATCTTGATTTATCAAGAGTATTTTCATTTTTCAATCCATAAATGTGGAAATGAACTATGATCAGCAGAGTTGGGAACTAAGATTGAACTCTGTGGTGCAGCTTTAAGCTCTGCTTCTCTCTTCCTCATCTCCCAATACCTCTTCCCCACTCCCTTCTTTTTCTATTCTTTTGTGTTCCCCACTGCCCTCACTCCCAATTTTAAAACCTGTAGACAGAGGCCACCAGCTCAAAACCAGCACAGATGTTCTGAACTGAATGGTGTGGCCTGTTTTTGTGTAAATTCCTTTTGCCGTAATGGATGCAGTGGAATAACAATGTTTACAGGTACCGATCCCGATCCCTGCTCAATGTAGCATTTTTTTGGTTTTATTTTCTTAATAAAAGCAGGGGTAGGTTTCTTTAAACTGCACAAACATGCAAGGATTTTTTAAAAATGGAAACTTCTCTCATGTTATTCAACTAGAGCACTTCAGTTTACAAAACAGCAAGTCCATCTTTATGGAAGCCAGCACAAGGAACTGTGTGCAAATAATGAAGACGCTTGCTTGGATCCTGTTTCAAAATTCTAGACCAGGGCTACCTTACACAGAATTGGTCATGTTACTGCCAGGAGATTTCTGTGTAACTTCATTTATTGGCTACAGTTTTGGCATTTGAAGATGTGGTACTCAGATGGGGTTTTGTCCACCATTGTCAAGATTGTAATCTTAAAAATCATACCAGTCATTGATAATTTAGTTTATCCTGAGGCAGTCGACTTGCAGAGGCACAGTCTACAAAGCCTAGGATGTTGCCACTCAATGGTTTACATTTTGGGACATCTTTTAAGTTGTTTGTAGCACTGCAGTTCAAAGTGTTAATATTTAGAGGGACTTCTAGATTTTATACCTAATGCAGTAGAACCTTGAAGTATATTTAAGCTTTTTTGTTAAGCTTGAACAGTTGGCAAGAATAATGTGAGTTCCTATCTGAAATAGAATGGTACATTACCACTTTTAAGTTTTAAAAATTGATAGATGTTCAGATGTATCTCAAACTCAGTTTTATTTTTATTCCAAATATTGTGAATGAGAAGCCATTGTCCTAAACTTTGGCCATTTTTGTGCTATAAACATGCATTTTTAAGTTATAAGGTGAATCAAACAATATGTAATACAGTATTAGGATGTAATCTTTGCTTTTGTAGTACTGTTAAAATAGAGAATTATGTTGTTTGCACCGTCTTAATTAAAATTCTTGATTTTTACTAGTTGCTTTGCAAAAAACAAATGTTTGGCTGCATTGCTAATATTTGTAAGTATAAGTTGCTTCAAGGTTGTGCTGATGAGTAGATAGGATGTAGTGATCTTAGTAGTGATTGAAAGGGAGGGTATTTATTATACAAACTGTGAACTGCAATGACATCCTTAGTTTTGGATGATGTGTATTCTTGTTTTTCTTTGCAGCATTTTAATGAAGATTGCTTTGAAGTGTTTACGCAGTAGCACATTAGTATAAAATTTAGTTTAGCACAGTGGACAAAAAGTAGTTAAATTAATAACTTAAAATCAGTCTCTAATTTATACATCTGAAGTATAGCATTCCTGTATGCACACAGTAAATAATGGGTAGCCTGGGCTCTGTGTTACTTTCTTGTATTTTTATCCAAGTTGTCAGCTTCTTATTGCTGTGTTGTTGTGCTAAACTTTGAACCTTATTTCTTTTATTAAAAATCAGTACACTTTCTATAATTTAGTAAGATACTGGCCATAATCTTCCATTGTTATAACCTTAATTTTCACTCTGGGTTTACAGTGGCTGGTCTGTATAAATAATTTACACAAAGATGACTGAATGCTAATACCAGTTGCACTTAAATGAACATGCCCATTCTCAGTAGCTGATGCAGTAATATATTCAGTTTATCTATGCATTGCTGGGGTCTTGATATAAGATGGAAACAGTGTTTCTTATCTAAAGTTTTGATTATCAGCAAGTTGAATGGACACTTTAGTTATTTAAATAAAGATTTTTGACCAAAATCCAGAAAATGGTATGAGAGAAAAATAAATTCCAGCTAGTTTAATAGATTTTTAAATGTCAATCTGATTTTAGCCTCTTAGAGAGTGCTAACTAGCTGGTAATGTTTACTTTTAATTCCTTGTTAAAATGAGGCAATAATTTGCAAGATTTTTGTATATAAGTGTAAATTCTTCATATCTTTTTAGATCTAATTCAATATTTTCTGACTACTTCTGCCATGTATAATACCATTTTTGTGCATGCTTGATGTGACATTCATAAATTGTACCACTATGACTTTATCCATGTAAAATAGCTATTTATTGAATTTTCTTTTAAAAGCTGGATTTACTGGGTTTTTTTTTTCTCTCAGTTTAAACATCTTAACAGAGAATTTGTTACTGTTTATTAAAAGAATTGCATTTGGAAGCAAGAAAACAACCGGATTTGCAATCATGTGAAGAAACAATAATGCCTTTATTATCAAGTGTTAAGCACAATTCTTATAACAAACTGTGATAAATTCTTTTTGTTTTTTTTTCCTTTGCCCCATTATTTTCTTATGAACAAACCAAAAATTCATGGTGAGCAGTTGCAGTGTTGGCTGATATATCTTTTATGTACAGGGAATTTGAAAAGGACAGTGGATTCATTTAGAAGTGTAACTGGTGCTGTGATTATAGCAATACATTTGTTAGTTGTACTTCATCTTTTTCATGCTAGCTTTTTAAATGTTTAGTTTTCCTCTTGTCATGGTCAGCTGCTGAATTTACTTGAAGGATGTAGAATACTGTTTAAAAAATACTAAAATTTGTACAATTAGATCAAAGAATTGTGCAATCATTTCCTTTTTAATTTTTAAAATGTTGAGGCTCATAAATATTTGAGAACATCAGATCTAATAGAGCATAGTGATACTATTTAATTTAACCAAAGTCTCTAGTGAATATTTCAACTTTGAATGTAAACTAACAAATAAACCTGACCACCAAGGAGATTGTTTGCCCAGAGTTTCAAAGCACATTGTCTACAAATGGAAATTGAAATAATTTATAAAATATTGACGTTACTATGTTTTTTAAAAAGTTCCTAATTTTTTCACTAAATGGAGGAAACTATTAGTTTTATTGTTAAATATGGTAGATATTAATATTCCTCTTAGATGACCAGTGATTCCAATTGTCCCAGTTTGAAATAAGTACCCTGTGAGTATGAGATAAATTAGTGACAATCAGAACAAGTTTCAGTATCAGATGTTCAAGAGGAAGTTGCTATTGCATTGATTTTAATATTTGTACATAAACACTGATTTTTTTGAGCATTATTTTGTATTTGTTGTACTTTAATACCTGGTGTACAGTTCCAGAAATAAAAATCTGGGAATCTTTTTTTCTTGGTTTGTGTGAATATTTGCCAAAAATACAGATATTTTATTTAATGAATCTTAAGCTACAGCAAATAGATAGATATTATACCACTGTTAAATTGGTTTTAGATGCAGTAAATAAGATATATGATAGATAGTGAAGTTGGTAGATTAAATATTTTCCTTAAATCCTCTATAATTTCCATCTATAATAAAAGTCCCCCTGTAATCCCAACACTTTGAGAGGCCGAGGCGGGCAGATCATGAGGTCAGGAGTTCAAGACCAGCCTGACCAACATAGTGAAACCCCGTCTCTACTAAAAATACAAAAATCAGCCGAGCGAGGTGGCGCATGCCTGTAACCCCAGCTACTCAGGAGGCTGAGGCAGGAAAATTGCTTGAACCCTGGGGGTGGTGGTTGCAGTGAGCTGAGATCCTGCCATTGCACTCCAGCCTGGACAACAGACTGAGACTCCATCTCAAAAAAAAAAAAAAAAAGAAGTCCCAAAGTAAGGATTATACTTTTAGTTTAATTCAGGAAACATTTATTATGTTTCAAACGCTGTTCTAGGTAACTGTCTTTTATGAAGACAGACAGATCTGAAATTTGGTCAAATATTATTATTATTTGACAGACTACATTTATGGTCAACTAGTCTTCCTTATCCATACGATTCATAGTTTGACCGTAGTCATATCTATCTTTCCTAAACATCTTTTTAAGCTAAAGCTCCTATCTTGCCATTATTTCACAAGTTTGTCCCCATATTTCATTTCCTCTGACCAGAGCTTTATGTAGTTCCATTTTTAAGATGCAGTGATCAGCTTGCCCATAATATCCAAAGTTTGTACAAGGCCAAGAAGGGGATAAAAGGAAAGCAAAAATCTTGACTCCTCTGCTTTGGTTACTTGACTAAAACCACATCCCTTCCTTGTCAGACACGAAAGGACCTTAGCACATAGGGCTCTGTGGTGGACACATGCACAGAAGTGCCTTCAGAGCAGGGACAAGCACACATATTCCGAATACAGCAAGAATGCAACAATGTGCCATGTGAGAGCTCAGAGTATTTTCAGGCTTTAGGAGACGGAAAAGCCTGTGGAAGCAGGATAATCTAGTACATCTGTTACTAGAAGTCATTTTGGCCATAATTTCCATCTATGGTACGCTTTTTGAGCTTGCTGGTGGTAAGTGCTAAAGAGAATGAGGAATATGTCAGGGTTGGGAGCAGTGAGGGATTGTAAATTTCAGTGGGGTGATGAGGCAACGCTCCTCACTGAGGTGACAGGAAGGGAGAGAACAAGCTATGTGGCTGTCTGGGGGAAGATGTTTACAGGCAGAGAGAACTAAGTGCAAAAGTCCTTGGTTGGGAATGTGCCTGGCAGGTTTGGGGAGTGGCCAGGAGGCAGGTGTGGGTTGGGATGGAGTGAGCAAGGGGAGAAAGGAGAGGAGCTCTTGAGGTCATGAGCAGGTTATGCATGTGAAGGACTTCAGCATTTACTCCATGATAGGGAGAGGGTTTTGAGCAGACGTATGTCAATACCTGACTTTCATTTAAAAGAATCACACTTGGTGATATGTTCTGTAAGGGGGACAGGAGTGGAAACAAGGAAGGCAATTGAGAGGCTACTGAAATTGCAATAAACTAGGTGAGTAAAGCTGGTGGTAAGGAAGTGAAGGTAATCAGAATCTGGTCATATAGGTTCCATGAATTTTTGAGGGATCCAGTAAAGAACACCCTCCTTCCTATCCAAGTTTGGAACTGAGAGAGCTGGAGTCAGGTCGATGGAGGTCAAAGTAACTATTGCTAATAAAACGGGAAGGTAGCTTCAGGGCTGCAGCCAGGTTGGCCTGCCAATATATTACACCTCTGGACTCACTCTGTCACTGGCTGGGCTGGCTACAGGCTATTCTCTGCACAAGGCAGAGAACTGCCAGGACACATTCTTTCTGCTGGCAGCCAGAGTCCACAGGGAAGGAACTAGAAGGGTATATAGGACATGGGTGCCTAGTTATTCTCCAAACATAATCAGGGAGTCAATCTCCCTCCAGTGGGTGGAGAGAGAGGCTAGGAACATTAACCAGTGGAAGCCCTCCACATGAAGACATGAGACACGGGGAATAAGTGTTCCTCCCACCAACACTATCTTGCACTTTTTTTCCACCTTTTCTTTGGTGTGAAAATGTTCAAAGAGTAAAGAAAATAGTAATAATGACCTCACATTTTCCCCTCAGCCAGCTAGAGCAATCTTTACATTATACATAGACACACCAATTTACTCATGGCAACACAATAGGTATTTTTTACTCAATTCTGTAAAAATAAAGTTTTTACAGAAGTTTGTACACATCAGCAGTACTACAAGAACTGCTGATGCCTGGCTACAATTTTATAAACCACCACAGAGCTTACAAAATAAACAAAAGAAAAATTGAAATTATAAGTTCAAAGAGTAGGTTTTAATTTAATAAGCTATTGTGTATTTAGGTGAAAACCAATTAAACTTGGAATTGCATTACAAATTTGAAATTGTAATGAAGCAAGTAGCTTTTATCATGAAATTGGAACATAAATATAATATCAACAAAAACATAAGAAATTCCTATTCCAATTAAGTCTCAAAATATTTGTTTTACAGGTAGAACTCAGAGAAGTGATTAACAAAAAACACTTAGAATTAATAGCTGAGTAGAAAACCTAATAATTTCTGATTCACAGAGTTAGCTGACAATTGTGTAGTAGTTTGAAAAAAGCTCTTCTCCTTGATTGATGTCCCTAAGTGCGACAAGAACAACACATCGAAGTGGGCTGAAAACAAAAAGATATACAAAAGGTAGAGCATTAACAAATATAAGCTCATATTTTTAATATAACCAAGATGGCTTTTATAGAGGTAACTTTACTCAGGTTCCTTCCATTTTAGTTTATGCATTTGATTTCCATGAGGAAATAGTTCTTATTCCTGATGCAGGTATTCTAAAGAGTATATCTATATCATTTAAAAAATCACAAATCAATGTTTATACAACTGACTACTTCTTCTGAAAACATTGTTTCTAAGTTTAGGCCCCCAAAACTAGTATCACAAAAAGGATTTTAAAATGACATTATAGTTTTTCTTGCATTCATTTGTATCTTATATCCTGAAAAATGAAAACATTACTTAAAATTAGTTGGAGTTTTAAAAAAATGCTTTTTTCTGGACATCATAAAATATTGTTTGTTTTTTTTGAGATGGAATCTCACTCTGTCACCCAGGCTGGTGTGCAGTGGTGTGACCTTGGCTCACTGCAACCTCTGCCTCCCGGGTTCAAGCGATTCTCCTGCCTCAGCCTCCTGAGTAGCTGGGATTACAGGTGCGTGCCACCACGCCTGACTAATTTTTGTATTTTTAGTAGAGATGAGGTTTCACCATGTTGGTCAGGCTGTTCTCAAACTCCTGACCTTGTGATCCGCCCGCCTCGGCCTCCCAAAGTGCTGGGATTACAGGCATGAGCCACCGCACCCAGCCTAGATATTGTTACATATATACATTCAAAGTTCTAATAACATCATGCCCCGGAGTATATGGCTAAGAAAAGCTAATAGTTAAACACACAAACATACACATGCAGAGAAGCAAAAGTTATCAAGTTTTTGGTTTTTGTTTTTTTCCTGTTTTGGGACAGGATCTGGCTCTGTCACCCAGGCTGCAGTGCAGTGGTGCCATCTCAGCTCAATGCAACATACACCTCCCAAGTCAAGGATCCTCCCACCTCAGCTTCCCAAGTAGCTGGGACTACAGGTACACACCACCACACCCAGCTAATTTTTGTATTTTTTGTAGAGAAGGGGTTTTGTCATGTTGTCTGGGCTGGTTTCGAATTCCTGTGCTCAAGCAATCCACCCACCTTGGCCTCCCAAAGTGCTGAGATTACAGGCTTGAGGTACCGTGTCTGGCCTCAAGTTTTAAGTATAAATAATAGTTCATGTTTTAAATGTCATTCATCTTAGAAGGACAATTTAATAGGTCCTATATAAAATAAAGTTTGCTAGCAACTCAACAAAATAATACAAAGATTGTATCTTCCTACAGCACTGTTAAGAAAGAACTCTTAGCTCTCCAGAATTACCTATATTTTAAAATTGTTATTTGAATATTCTCAGTAGACTTTCCACTGAATGAACAGGAAATAAATGCTATGTTAAAATATGTGTCTTCTGAATACAGTCCTTTTTTATTTAGTTTCATTATTAAGAACCTAATAGTGAAATTGGCAAAGGAATCATAGTGTAATTTGGCCTCTTTCTTCAATTGGATGCTTTCTTATAAGGTAGAGAACATGATATTATAAATGATTAAAGTAAAGATATATTTGAAGATTTTGTAGGTAGGAAAAACAACAGAATTATTTGAAAAAACTTTAAGGTGGATACTTATGAAGTATTGCCATAGAATAAAAATGGGTAAAAATAAACAGAATGAGCTAGTTTAAAGGAAAATTTTAAATTTCAAATAAGCCTACATTAACACGTTAAGGTGTGAACATAAAAATCTGAGTTATAATTTTTCACTAAAAAAAAAATTTTACCCCAAATTCTACATAGCTTTTTCTTCTATATTTTTTTAAGTACAGCATAAGCAGAAGATATGAAATGCTCTTTTAGCAAACGAACCTTTGTTTGTCATAGCTGTAGGCAATGTTTGGAAGATACTGCTTCAGTTCTATAGGGAAAACTGCAGGCACATCAAATTCCTGATAACAGACATTAGCTGCTCTGTCTAGGAACAAGCACATCATTTTTAGAAAAAGAGCCATTATACAAGGTCATGGAAAACAGAATTGAATTATGACACTCAATGTCTGTTTTTCTAAATTATCAAAACATGATCAAAATAATTACTACTATGTTCCAGGTACTGTCAGAGTTTATTTACGTATATATATTTGCAGATATATATGGTAAATCATAAATATATAAAATAAAATATTCAAAAAGACATATATAAAACATGTTTTATTACTTTTTGCATAAACAACATATATAATAACATATGTTTAGATAATATCTACCAACATACATAATAAACATATATGTATGTTTTATTGTTTACTTTTTATATATCAGGAAATAGAGGCTCAGAAATGTTAAAGGTTAAATACTAATAAAAGAGTCAGGCTTGGACTTCGTTTCTCACTAACGCCAAAGCCCATGTTAAATGTATTCAAACAATCAAACTTTTACCTATGGGAAAGTCAACTCCTAAAGAAGATATAGATAGGGACTCACAAACTTAGCAACAGAAAGCAGATACTAGTCTAGCCATTAATCTATAAGGCTATATTGAAGCACTGACATAATAATTTCTATTTTTAAAATGCTAAAATAATAATGATCAAAGGGGAGTTATCAATTGCCTATATTCACTGCAAAATCAGAAGAAAAATAGTAAATTAAACAATTCTAAATAATGTATATCAAGATTTCCCCTAATTCTCTCTAATATCATCCCCCAAAAGTGAGAGTTGCTTAAGGACTTGACTAGCTTATTATATGTTATACTCAACTGCCCTTGGCACTCAGTCATATGACAAAGGAGTAGAATTAGCCATTGATATATCTCATCTCACAGCCCCATGATGCCTTCTTACCATTGGAACAATTGTTGACATACTGTCCCACAGCCAGAGGGTTATGAATTTCTGACGTTAGCCATGTACTATCACTCATTTTTAAAGGGCCGAGTCGATCCCTCCCATTGCAAGATCTGAAACAAGTGAAAGCATTAGCTAATGGATCTGTATCTTAAAATAGAATCCTAAAATACAAAACCCTAGAATTACACCAGTGCATTTTTTCTTAAAAAAAAAAAAAAAAGACTTTAGTATAATCAGTAGGGCAACTGAGTTGTTACACAGCAGCTATCTAAACAGAATTTTATTCAAAGTATAAATGCTGGCCAGGCGCAGTGGCTCACGCCTGTAATCCCAATACTTTGGGAGGCTGAGGCAGGCAGATCACTTGAGGTCTAGAGTTCGAGACCAGCCTGGCCAACATGGTGAAACCCCAACTCTACTAAAAATACAAAAATTATCTGGGCCTGGTGGTGCACACCTGTAATCCCAGCTACTTGGGAGGCTGAGGCAGGAAAATCACTTGAACCCGGGAGGCAGAGGTTGCAGTGAGCAGAGACCGCACTGTTGCACTCCAGCCTGGGCGACAGAGCAAGACTCTGTCTCAAAAAAAAAAAAAAGTAAAAAAAATAATAAAATGAAGCATAAATGCTGAGCTGGGTGTGGTGGCTCAAGCCTGTAATCCCAGCACTTTGGAAGGCCGAGATGGGAGGGTCGCTTGAGGCCAGGAGTTCAAAACCAGCCTGGACAACATAGCAAGACCCCATCTCTTTATATAAAAAATAAATAAAGTACAAATGCTATTAGTCATAATCATTGTGGTAAGTGCGGTTCTGTCTCCTATAATTAAATTTGAACATGGGCATCACTTACCTGTACACAACTTTTGATATCCCTTTGTCATTCCCATCAATGAGTACCCCATCCAGGCATCTAAAAATAAACGGATTTCCAATGGACTGGAAAAAGATCGGCTCATACTTCTGATATACTGTACCTATTACACAACAAGACAAAGAAATATGATAACAACATGAAAAATCATAAACACTGCGATAAGAACCCTTCTTTGGAATATAATCACATTCTCTTTAGTTACTTTCTCCCTCTTAAAGCGTGAACGCCCAATAGCAGATGGAGCACAGAACCAACTCATCCACACAGCAAAACAGAATATGGCTATCTTGGTTAATGATAATATGAACATCACATTTTAGGCTCAGTTTTACAAAGTCATATATATACATATACACATTTATATGTATATGTGTATATATATACACACACACATATATATTTAAGTAGAATGTGATTTAACATCTAAAGAGTTTGAAGAAATTTATTTTGCTAATAATTAAATAATGTAGACACATATGGGAATAGATGAGTCTGACATTAAGGCTGTTTCTCCTTTCACTGGCAAAAGACGAAATGAGAAAATATTTACCGAGTGCTTCCTATGTTCCAGGCATGTTAATCTATTTATTAAACTTCTTTTAGTATTAATTTATTTATTCTATTTAGTCTTTACAAAATTAGATTACTCGTACAGCAGGAAACTGAAACTCCCTTGTTTGGGGATGTAAAATTAGAAAACAGGAGAATGAATTTTTAAAAACCTGGGTCTATCTGACTCAAATATTCACACACACACTTTCCACTATACCAAATAATATAATGTTAGTTTAACACATAACGTAGTCTATTTAGCATTCTAGTTAATGATCTTGTGCCAAGAAATTGCCTTACTTTCCAAGTGTAGAAAGGGCAGGAAGGTCTTCATTCGGTGACTTATGGGTTTAAATGTTGTCTTTTATGTTTTGATCCGTACGCTTTTTTTTTTTCTTTTTTTTGAGATGGAGCCTAGCACTGTCACCCAGGCTGGAGCGCAATGGCACAATCTCGGCTCACTGCAACCTCCGCCTCCCGGGTTCACGCCATTCTCCTGCCTCAACCTCCTGAATAGCTGGGATTACAGGTGCACACCACCACACCTGGCTAATTTCTTGTATTTTCAGTAGAGACAGGGTTTCACTATGTTGGCCAGACTGGTCTCAAACCCCTCGCGATCTGCCCGCCTCGGCCTCCCAAAGTGCTGGGATTACCGGCGTGAGCCTATCCATACCATTTTTATCCTTAGCTATCAATTAAACCAAACTGACATGTTTCTCTAGTGCTTTTTAAGTAATTTGTCAAAGTGGGTCATACTATGTTCTAAATTTAAACGTTGACAGGAAAGCTTTCCTTGAAAGAAAAAGTGCATTTATCCCAACAAATACTCCAGGATACTTTCTAACACAAAACAATTTACAAACAGTTAATTTCCGAATTAGAATTGCAAAAATCTATGGAAACTCGAGTTTCCAATTTAATCCCTTACTCTAAGGATTGCAAGGCTGGGTATGTTACTGAACTTATGTTTATCAATACGTAAGAAGCTTGGCAAAGTATAATATTAATCGTGCTGTTACCAGGATACATAGATACGACTGCGCCTTTTGGTACCAATCCTTTAGTAACGAAGACACCTTTTCCAGCAGAAATCAATGAGCTAGTTGCTTGGGCAACACTGAAACCCAAAGTCTTGTAAAGAATTTCTTCTGGTTTAAAGGTACTTTGCTGTTGATGTCTGTTTTCAAGCAGTTTCACCCCTTGATGTTCAACTGCCAGTAGGTCTTGATATTTTGATTTAACAGATTCTGGAAGCATAGACAAGATTTCTGATTGTTTATTGAAATCATTTAAGAATAGAGCCTGGAAAACTTTCAGTAATGTTCCTAGGACATCTTCATCTGAGATAACTTTGTCTTTGGATTCCTCTGGAACATATCGGAGGGTCCTGAAAATGGGAAAAGTTTCTATTCACTACCCTTCAACTGATAAAAGCCAAACTTACCTGCATAACTTCTGGGTTCCTGGCCTTAAGGAACTATAAGCTTATTCTCATGTGTGTGGAGGGCTGGAAACTAAGTTCAGAAAAGAATTGTTTGAGGGAGTTCTAGTTAGCTAACTCCCAACACTTCCCACCCAAGTAGTCAGTACTTATGAAAGGCCCATTCTATACCACATGCTGTGGGGTCCTTACATTATTCCATTTTTGCAGACAAGGAAAGCAAAATTGTTAGGGAACTTGTTCAAGGTCCCAAAGCCAGTAAGTGGGAGAGCCAGAGGCAGAAACGAAGTTCAGCTCTTTCCCGTACTACACCCAACAGCCAAGCTGAATGTCATCACAATGAGAATGAATGACCTCACATTCAATGGCTTTTTAAAAATGGCCTTGTAGTTTCAAAGACAAATTCAACATCGTATACTTTGTGACACTCCCTCCAGGACGACTAACGTCTTCAATGACTGCACCTCTTATTTCCATAATCATTATCTTTTTGTACTAACTGCATTATTTTTACTTGAACAAAAAGGTTGTAATTCCCGCCTCACGGTTCCGAGTCATGATACAACTGATCTCCTGTTTCCCTAGCATGCAACCTTCCGGAAACCGCTTTGTTTCCCTATTTGTCGGACACTGACTTCAGGGAGGCCCGGTCGGCCTCTTTGGTGAGCACGGTGTTGAGCTGATCACTGGTGCGCCCTTAATAACGCCGGCGGGACTCACCCCAATCCGAAACCCACCATCCCGACGTGCTTTTGAGTGGCGTTCTGCCCGTTCTTAACGCGCGAGCTACTGCACGCTATTCTCACAGCCGGGATGGGCTTCTTTAACCACGTGAAGTACTTGTATGAACTATGAAAATAAACCCTGGCTTGGCTTTTCTGAGGAAGTTCAAGCACCTAATTAACCCCTGGTGGAGAAAAAGCCACGCACTCTCACGCGGTAAGGGCAGTCTTTTTAAAAAGTTTCCATTTTTGCCCAGATACAAGCTCCCCAGTCAGTGCCGAACGCAACAGGGAAGAACAGGCGACACATCCGGCTGGCGAGCTCGGCCTCGCGGGCCCGGCAGCGCAGCGGACACTGGGAAAGAGGCCATAGGCCCCGCCCACCTGAAGCCACCGCCCACTTCAGGCTTCCAGCGGGCCTCGGACTCCACCAACCTCGGCCCCGCCCGCCTCTGGCCCGCGTTCCTTAAACCCCTCCGAGGCCTCAGTCCCCGCCCACCCGGCCCGCCCACCTCAGTCCCTGCCCACCCGGGCCCGCCCATCTCAGGCCGGCAGTCAGCCTCAGGCTCTCCGCTTTGCGTCCCGCCGCCGTGGTGGCGTCTGGGAACCGAAGGCAGGTGCCCCTCGTTCTGCCGTCCCGCCCTCTCACCTCGGGTTGTGGCTTAGGTTCAGTGCGATCCAGGGAACGAAGCGGTACTTGTAACGGCGCCATCGCTGCCACAGGCCCCGCAGCAGACGGCCAGGCATGGCTGCCCCGCGGGGCCGTGACCAGGACGGCGCGGGGAAGGCGGATCGAGGCCTCGGGCCCGCCCCGGCCCGGGAGGAGAGGGGGCCGCGCTCGGCCGCCTTCCCCTGGCTCCGCTCTCAGTGTTCCTGGCACCGCCTGACTTCTGTTGCTCTGGGGCTTCGTCCTTCCCCTTTCCTGACCTCACCTCTCTGAATGAGAGGCGCGTAGAGCTGGAAGGAGGTCCCCTTGACCACTTTTTCTTTCTCCGGTCGCTCGGGTGCTTCCGTGGGCGCACACAAGCGCTAGCCCTGGTTGCGGGCGAAGGGTCACCGGGCCTCAGGGGCGAACCCGCCCCCGAGACCGCGTCCCAGGAGCGGACCGCCTAGTTTCTCTGTCACGGCTGTCTGGCCTGCCCCTTTGTCCCGGCCGCGCTCTGTGTTCCATCCTCCGTCCACTTGAGCTCTGCCTCTTCCTCGACGTTCTCTCCCCTTCTCTCCGTGGCCCCAGAGCAGCCCGACTTCGGGAACCCGAGTTTCAGTCCTCCCCAGACAGCAGCCCTTCTTCTGCGTGAACCCGTGTTCCCAAAGTTACCAGTTTGGGCGTTTTGCGAATATTTACACGTAAAAAAACAAAGTGTCATGATTCCCTGTTTTCACTCGTTTTTCTCTTCATTGACCCAACCATTCAAAGGCAAAACTACATGGACAAATGTTTCTGAAAAACAGCTTTGTTGAGGAATGGTTGGGATACAATAAACTGCACATATTTAAAGTGAACAATTTGATAGGTTTTCGACACCACAGCCAAGATAGTAATCCAGCCCCTCCCCCAGTCCCCAAGCAACCACTGAGGTGCTTTTGTCCTTTTAATATGGTCTTCGCTTCAATTTGGAAACGTTTTGTCTAGAAGTTCTGCATCTGTGTTCGTGAGAGATATTGTTTCGTAGTTTTCTTGTAGTGTCTTAATCTGGCTTTGGTATTTAGGCTAATGTTGACTTCATAGGATGAGGTGGGAAGTAGTCCCCCATAGGTGAAATTTAAAAGGAACTTTACGACCGCTCCTCCCCAACACCCAGATGCATGCACACGCACACACATATTTAGAACAGGTTTGGACAAAGTTCAGTTTTAAGGGGGGCAAACTACAGGAATCCCTTAACCATATTCAAATCACCAAGTGTTTATTGACAGATAAATACGTTGGTATCATTTCCTCTATTCTTTGCCTGAGAGTGAGGTTGGATCCTAAACTATTGAAATTGAACGGCTCAGATCTAATAAAAACTCAGCCAAGGCCGGGCGCAGTGGCTCACGCCTGTAATCCCAGCACTTTGGGAGGCCGAGGCGGGTGGATCCCCTGAGGTCAGGAGTTCGGGACCAATCTGGCCAACATGGCGAAACCCCGTCTTTACTAAAAAAGAACAAATACAAAAATTAGCCGAGCGTTGGTGGCACGTGCCTGTAGTCCCAGCTACTCAGGAGGCTGAGGCAGAAGAATCGCTTGAACCTGAGAGACGGAGGTTGCAGGGAGCCGAGATCCGCCACTGCACTCCAGCCTGGGTGACAGAGTGAGATCCCGTCTCAAAAAAAAAAAAAATTCAGCCAATCGCCAGTAGCTGCGGGACTAATTTGTTCTATTCTGAAAGAAATAAAGAGAAAGAGTATCTACCAATGTCTCTATTTCGTTCATATCATATAGAATGTTAGCAAACTCTAGAGGCTTTCTCTCAGACTCTGTGTTTGTTTGATAATTTGGCATAATCTAGATTTACCTGACTTGCTAAATGGAGTCAATTCAGTTCCAGGATGTATTAATAAGTGGCATACAAGAAAGTTTCTTTATAGTCTCCAAACTTAACAAAGAACCCAAAAGAACTAGTTTAATCTTTACCTATGGTAATGTACTTGTCTAAAAAAAGAAAAAAATCAGTTTTTGTATATTTTTACAGTTTTTTTATATTTATGGTATTAAAATTAAATTTTGGTTAGCTAAGTAATTAATGAAAACCTTCTTTTTCTAGTTTCTTAAAGTAGGTTATTAGGTCACTAATTTTAATCTTTTCTTCTTTTCTAATGGAAGCATCTAAAGTTATACAAATAGAAACATGGTAGCTAAAGCTCAAGTCACCCTTAACCAAACACCGTACCTTGTACTTCCACCAATCCTGGTACTTGGCGCTTCTCAGAAGTTATCAGACGGGTGTGTTTTCTGCCAGTTTTATTTTTATGTATTTACATACCCGCGTATGTTTTTATAGAAAATACATAGTATTTTGTGTGAGTATTGTTAAAATATTATAAGGATCCACAACTTATTTGATTTCCTCAAAAATACATCTTGAAGATCTACCCATATTGGTTTAAGTCTACTGCATTCTTCTATTTTTGAGGTTTTGCCTTCAAGTTTAATATTTACTGTAGTTTTCTAGTAGGTATGTATACTTTATGAAGTTTTTTAAAGTTCTATTTTTGACTTTCCAAAAATTTTTATTGTTTTAAATTTTAAATGAATGATAAATATCAAATGCTTTTCTCTGCTTATTGAGATGACCATATAGTTTCTATTCATTTATTCATGTAGTGAATGATGACACATTGTCAAATGTTGACCGTCCTTGGATTTCTGACATAACTACTCAGTTATGAGTACCTCTTTGGTCAGATCCTGTAGGTTTTAATATATGCTATTGTCATCCCACATTTATTTTGAAGTATGTTTTAAAATTTTTTAGATAGAATTTGCCTGTGAAAACATCTGGGCTTGTAATTTTCTTTGATAATAAATTCAACTTATTTTAAAGATATAGGGCTATTCATAATGTCCGTTTCATCTTGTGTTGTTTGGTAAGTTATATTTTTATGGAATTTGTTCATTTTGTCTAAGTTGCCAAATATCTTGGTATAAAGTTGTTTATAAATACTGTCTTACTAACCTTTTAATGTCTGTATGATCTGTTGTAATAGCCCATTTTTGTTCCTGATTTTGGTGATTTGTGTTCTCTTCTTCATCATTGTAATTGAGGGTTTGTCAATCTTTTCAAAGAAACAGCTTTTGGCTTTATTACTTTTCCCTGCTTATTTTTTATTTTGTTGACCTCTGTTCTTATCTTTTTTCTCTCTTTTTTTATTTTTAGTGATGGGGTCTCACTGTGTTGCCTGAACTGGTCCCCAAGTGACCCAACTGCCTATGCCTTCCAAATAATTGGAATTACAGGCATAAGTCACCGTGACCAGTCATATTCTTATCTTTATTATTTTATGTTTTCTACTTAAACATAAAGTAGTTTATTTTTCTCTTCTTTTTCTAGTTTCTTAGAATAGAATATTAGGTCACTGATTTTGGTCTTTCCTTCATTTCTATAGAAGCATCTAAAGTTATAACTATCCTTCCAAACATTACTGTAGCCAAATCTCAGGAATTTTGATATGTTGTATTTTCATTATCATTCAGTACAAAATATTTTTAAAATTTCTTTGTTATTTATGTTTTTAATCCATGAAATATTTAGAAATGTGTTTTTAATTTCCAAATATTTGGGATTTCTAGATATCTTATTGTAACTGGTGTTTAGTTTAATTCTGTTGTGTCAGAAAACATGAATGATTTCAATTCTTTTAAATTTATTGACTTGTTTTGTGTCCCAGCATGCACTCTATCTTGGTGAATATACCGTGTTCAGTTGAAAGGAGTGTATATTCTGTAGTTGTTGGGTTTAGGGTTCTATAAATATTAAGTAGGTCATTGGTTCATAGTGTCTTTTAAATCATCTGTCTTTATTGATTTACATAACTTTTAAATACAGATGAATGAAGAATGACAATTTGACAGACAGTTTTATAATATATCATAGATAGCAAGCAAAAGATTGGCCACGATGGGCATGGAGATATGCTGCTATCCAAAATTACCCTCTTCTTCTGACTCTTTTTCCCACTTCCTGTTGTTTCCAGTTTCCCCAAATACTCTACCCAATTGAATATAAGAATGTATGTGCTGTGTTTTCCATTTAAAACCCATTTATGCTATAAATCACAAAACTACTGTGTAGGAAAAATGTTCTTTTTTGAGACAGGGTATAGCTCACTGCAGCCTCCAAACTCTTGGGTTCAAGCAATCCTCCCTCCTTATTCTCCCCAAGTAGCTGGGATTACAGGCATGCACCACCATGCCTGGCTAATTTTTTAATTTTTAATTTTGTAGAGATGGGGTCTCACTATGTTGCCCAGGCTTGTCTTGAACTCCTGAGCTCAATCGGTCCTCCTGCCTTGGCCTCCCAAAGTGCTGAGATTACAGACGTGAGGCACTGCACCTGGCTGGTAAAATCATCTTTAACATCAGTGTCCTAAATATTATAAATAAGGCATGTATGCCTGGACAGATTGTAACTTCCAGAGTTCAAAATGAGATTAACTTGATTTTTAAATAATTTATTGAACTTCTATTATGTCCCGAGCTCTAGTGCAGGAGACAGATACTAAGTAAACACATAAATAATGTCAGACAGTGATAAATGCAATAAAGAAAACAAGGCAGGATAATGAGAAGAGAGTGGGCTGGATATCTTATGTAGCCTGTCCAGATCCACTGTCCACACCCTGGGGGATTGACTGGCTTGCACATCAACAAGGTCCCTCATCTTCCTGCTTCCAAGTGGATTCAACCAGTGGAGAGCACTGGCAGGAAACTGCAAGAAGAGAGGAGAGTGAGGTGCTGGTCTCTGTGTACTGGCTGTATTCCAACCTAAGGTCCTCTCCATGTAGTCTTATGTGTTTCCGGGTTTCATTCAAGCCTATGGATGGTAACAGCACTCTATTATTGCCAACTCCACAGTTCTGTGTACTATCCTTGTGGTTTCCCTTCATTCTGTCCATGCTGTTACACAATTATTTTCAAATGTCTTAATTTGTGTGTGTCATCTGTTTCCTGCTGGGACCCCACTCTCTTTATGTGGGTCACATGGTGTGGGATTAGGGGTATCAATTTTCGATAGGGTGATGACATGAATGGCTGAGACCTGAATAAGAAGGCAACGAACTTGAAAATATCCACGGGGAGATTCTCCCAATGGGAAATGCAAAGGCACTGAGGTAGTGATATGGTTTGGATGTTTTTATCCCTCCAAATCTCATGTTAAAATGTGACCTCCAGTGTTGGAGATGTGCCTAGTGGGAGGTGTTTGGGTCATGAGGGCAGATCCCTCACCTATGGCCTGGTGCTGTCCTCACCTCAATGAGTGAGTTCTTGCTGTGTGAGTTCATGCGAGAGCTGGTTGTTGAAAAGAGCCTGGCATCTCCTCTCTCCCTTGCTCCCTCTCTCTGTATGTGATACACCAGCTCCCCCTTTGCCTTCGGCTATGATTGGAAGCTTCCTGAGGGCTTACCAGGAGCAGATGCTCCAGCGCCACACTTCTCATACAGTTGGCAGAACTGTGAGGCAAAATAAACCTCTTTTCTTTATAAATTATTCAGTCTCAGGTGTTCCTTATTGCAATGCAAATGGACAAGCATGGGTGGGGAGGAGCTTCACATGTTCAAGCAGGGAAAATAAGGTTATGGAACAGGGTAAGTAAGAAAAAGTGAAAGATGAAGTCAGGGAGAAAGAGAAGATGCCAAGTCCTGTAGGTCCTGGTGAGGAGTTGGGATTCTTAGTGTAATGGGAAGCCACTGGAGGGTTTTAAGCAGGAGGGTAATAGGATCTGATTCATGTTTTAAAAAGATCACTTTGGATATTATGTGGTGAAAAGGTGGGCAATCACCACACCGGTAAGGCCAATTAGGAGGTGAATACAGTAGTTTAGGCAGAGATGATGGTAGCTTAGACTAGAATGGTAACTGTGGAGATGGAGAGGGTGGATGGATTAGGATTCTATTTTGGAGGAACTCACAGGACTTGCCAATGGATTCGATATGGGAAGGTGAAGTTTTGAAATGCCTCCAAGAAATGTCAAGTATCTAGTTGAATATTGTCACATCTGGAGCTCCGAAGCCATAGCTGGTGATAGAGTCTTTAGCCAGAGCCCTGGATGAGATCACCTAGGAAGAAAAGGGGGATGGCAAAGAACATAGATTGAGCAGTGACCATGAAGTCACCTGTCAATAAATGCAGAACCCTCATAACTTGGTCAAAAGCAGTTTTGGTGATAGGTTTGAGTGTGTTTGAGTGCGTTGAGAAGCAAATGTGAGGTGAGGAATGGGAAACAAGTGTGTGTGTCTCTTTCAGTAAATTTTATGGAAAGAGAAGAAGAGAAATGGAGCCAAAGGCAGAGAATAATTCAGTAAGATAAAAGATCTCGTAGCATATTTGTGTGTTGATGGGAATGACCCAACACAGAGAAGGAAAATGTGGTGTGTGTGTGTGTGTGTTTATTGGGTGTCAGGGGGACAGAGGAAGTAGCAGGCACAACTTTGATTTCACAATTCTGTGCTGGAAGAGAGATAATAGTTAGAGATAGTGGATATTCTGTAGGCTATTTGAATAGCTATGTAGTCTAATGTGGGTAACATAACTGGCAAATATTTATTCATTGAAAACTGTATGCCTAGGTACAACTTTAAAAGATTACAGTCTACTTGGGAAAACATATAATTTCTAAAAATTAAATATTAATTACCATAGAATTTCAGTGTGAGCTACTGGAGTTGGGGAGTGCTTCAAGGAGAAATAAGTAGAAGAGAAGTGGAAGGGATTAACAGAAGCCAGCAATTCTCAAATGTGGCCTGGGGACCCTGGGGGTCCCTAGGATTTTTTCTGGGCTCTATGAGGTCAAAATTATTTTCTTAATCATACTAAGTTGTATTTGTCTTTACTCTCATTCTTTCTTGAGGGTACAGTGGAGTTTCCAGAGGTTACATGATGTGTGATAAAACAACAGATTGAATGCACAAGCAGATATGAGGATCCAACTGCCTTGTATTAAGTTAGAAATTACATAGATTTGGCCAGGCACAGTGGCTCACGCCTGTAATCCCAGCACTTTGGGAGGCCAAGGCGGGCGAATCCCTTGAGGTCAGGAGTTTGACACCAGCCTGGCCAACATGGTGAAAACCTGTCTCTATTAAAAATATAAAAATTAGCTGGGCATGATGGTGGGTGCCTGTAATCCCAGCTACTCGGGAGGCTGAGGCACGAGAATTGCTTGAACCCGGGAGGCAGAGGTTGCAGTGAGCTGAGATGGCGCCACTGCACTCTCGTCTGGGTGACAGAGTGAGACTCCCTCTCAAAAAAAAAAAAAATTATATAGATTTGAAAAAAATATAAAACATGCCACTCTTCCTATTTTTTGGGGGGTGAAATATAGCTATTTTCATAAAGATATGTTATCTGATTTAACATGTAATAAGTTTTAATAGTTATTTCTAGTGAATTAATGCATTTTTATGTATTTATCAGTTTTAATATTGATACAGTAAATAGCAGCTATTAACCACATGAACAAAAGGTCCTTGGGGGCTTCTGATAATTTTTAAAAGTGTAATGGGGTCTGAAGACAAAAATATTTGGGAAATTGAGTGTTAGAACCACATATTGTGATTCAAAATTTTGAGAAGGAAAGTATGTGACACTTCATTGAATGTTGTAGTTAATACCAGTTCTATGAATTATAGTAGTATGTTACATATTGATGATATTAGACAAAGTATTTTAAAATAATTTTGTGCTGCAGGACCTAAAATATTGCATAAAAAGGAGGAGAAAATGATCTCTGCTAGTCTTTGTATGAATTAGCAAAAGGCACCTTTTCCTTTGGCCACTTTACTGCCATCGACTGTAAAAAAATGTAATAAATATACAAATCTATTAGGACTATACTGTGCAGCATGCTCCATATAGGTATGTAGTACACCAGCTAGTTTTGGCAGTCTTGGGAATCGACTGGAAGGTTCTGTGGCAGCACTTCTTGACTGCTCTGAGAACAAAAAGTTTGAAAACCACTGGTGTGAGGGAAGGTGCAGAGGTGGGGTGGAACACAATGGATTCAGAGAGCAGGAATGTAACGAAAGGAGTAGAACAGAAATTTTGTATTACGGATAGTAGGAAATAAAGATTTAGGCAGAATAAGGTCAGACCATTAAAAAACATGGACATTTGAGGTAGTCAGCAGTAGATAGTCATTGAATGTTCTAGTAGCAGAGTACTAGCTGGAAATAGAGTTTGAAAAGCTCAGAGGAACAGTAGTTGGCAGGATGCATGGATGGATAGATGCATGGATGGATATGGATGGATGGATGGACAGATGGATGGATGGATGGATGGATGGATGGATGGATGGATGGATGGATGGTTGGATGGATGGATGGATGGATGAATGGATGGATGACCCAGCCAGCTGAGAGTAGAGTGGTTCTGAGAACAAGAGACCAGGAAAGGGCATCAAGTATCTTGCTACAGCCTCTCCTTTTGTTGTAGACTGTTAGGAGCGGGTAGAGGGACTAGGAATACCCTGTTATGCAATAGATAAGCATAGAATCTAGGTTTTAGAATGGAAAAATGCAACTCTTAGTGATAGTTTTGAGTTTTTTTCAGTATTCTAAGGGGGAACACTGAGATTTCTGCTCTATTCCTGAGGAAGGGGTGAGATAACCTTTGATTTTCAGATATCTGGCAGGCAGTGCAAATTAAAAGTTTTACTCTGCTGCCCTCTTCTGGAGGTTGCATAATTGCCCAAATAATTCTTCCACGTTGTTCCCTTCACTTTTGCTCCTAGACAGACTTCTGGACAAAGTAGGCTATGCACATCATCTCCATGACCATGCTTGCCCAGCTATGATCATGTTTCCTTCTAGTCGGCTTCACTGGAATGGTCCTTGCCATTCACCTTGTGAGACTTAAGTTCTTATCTTACCTGACGTCTGTGGCTTTTGAAATTACTGACCTTTCTTTAAAACATTCTCCTCTCTTGATTTCCCTGACCCTGTGCGTTTCTAGTTTCTGAAGATGAGCTCTTGTCTCCTTTATCTATTCTGCTTCTTGTCTATGCCTTAAATCTTGGTCTTCATCGGGGTTCTGGTCTTGGTTTTTCCTCACTGAACATATTCTCCTGAGTATTCTCCCCCGTTTCCCTTGTGACTCATTGTGGTAGATGCTGTAGAGTTGCCTGCTTGATGTCCATTCTTCTCAGACTTCCTTATAGCTAGGGAGTTCTAGTCAAATGAAATGTGAGTGAAAATCTCGTAAGCATTTTAAGGAAAGTTTCTGTCTTCCTGACACAGGCACTACCTTTTTATTCTCCTTTTTCTTTCCCTGATTGTAGATTGGAGATCAGAGTTGGAGCCTGAGGGTGAAAGCCTCATGCTGAGAAGAGTGGAGCGGGAAGATAAAGCATGGCAACATTGATGACACCCTAGGCCTAATACACCAGCCCTGACCTGCTTACCTTCTCTCATTTGTAGGCTATGTAGTCCAGTCACTTTTACGTGCAGCTGAGTACAACCCTAAATGATATATCAATCGCTTCAGTGACCATTTATATGTCAATAGCTTGCACATTTATTATTTGCAACCAAAGTATCTCTGGAGGTACTCATGTGCATATACAGTATTACTGGAAACTTCTACTTGGATATCCTCCAGGCAACTCGAATATTTTAACATGGCCAAAGCACATCTTGTCCTCCAACCTACTCCCCCTGTGATTTCCTTGTATCAGTAATGGCACCAGCGTTCACACAGGTGACCAAGCCTGGATAGCAGACGCATCCTCGATGTCATTCTCCATCCTCCGCATACCCTTCCCCCAAGATCATTTCTACAATCTTTCAATTCTGCTGTTTAATATCGCTCAGATTTGTCTCTTCCTCCTCATTCCCATGATGCTACCTTCACCTAGGTTCTGGATACTGCAATTGCCTTCTGACTTTCTCTCTGCCTTTTGTACTGGCCCATGTAATTCTTTCTTCAAGGTACTGCAAGGGTGCTCTTTCTAACGCACAAATATCGTCATGCCACTCTCTGCCAAAGATTTTTCAATATCTCCCCATCTTTTTATTTCTCCTCCTATCCTTTCTCTCCATTTCACCCTAGTTACAACCCTCATCCTCTCAGTATGTCTACATAGATGTTGAGAAATCTTATTAAGTAAATTGACCTTAAGGGAAGCTATCACTTAGTTATCTCAAAAATAAACTCTAACAGGAATCTCAGCATTGTGGGAAAAAGAATTTTGGGGCATGAAGGATTTATCCCTTGCCACATCAGCTTAGGCTGGTTTTACCTCTACAGATGTAATAAGTTACAACCTAGGGCCATGAGGCATGGGGTATAGAGATGTCAGGTTGCATACCAACTAATGAGACTGGCTTCAGTCATCGATGGAGTTCTTTTGGTAACGGACTGTGCAGACAGTTATCTATTGCAAAATAAGACCTACAAAGTTAACTCTAACATCGACAACATATTTGAATGCTACATATGCATATTAATATTTTGTAACATGATACTTGAGCTGTAGTGGTAAGCATTTCACATTAGTGTGTGTAGTTAAGACATTAATTTTCTCTTCAGAGGTAAGCTGTCTAGCATCTATAATCAGCATCTCCACTTTTGTTCATCTCACATCTTGGAAGACAAAAGTCTTGGCCGGGAATGGTGGCTCATGCCTATAACCCCAGCACTTTGGGAGGCTGAGGCGGGCAGATCACGACGTCAGGAGATCGAGACCATCCTGGCCAACATGGTGAAACCCCGTCTCTACTAAAAATACAAAAAAATTAGCTGGATGTGGTGGCACGTGCCTGTAATCCCACTACTTGGGAGGCCGAGGCAGGAAAATCACTTAAATCAGGGAGTTGGAGGTTGCAGTGAGCCGAGATCACACCACTGCACTCCAGCCTGGTCACAGAGTGAGATTCTGTCTCAAAAAAAAAAAAAAAAAAAAAAAAAAAAAAAGACAAAAGTCTTAGATCCAATTTCCCAAAGCTGAGATTCTCGTCTAATTTTCTACCTTTTTTGTTTTCTAAGCCTGGGCACAGATCAGAGGTCAAAAGGTAGTCAGCCACAGGACAGTAGTCTAGCCCAAATAATTTTTATAGTTCTTAATAAGGATTTAAATTAGTTTTTAATGTTTAAACATCAGGGAATTGCACCTAAAATCCAGATTTCCAGCTTCTCTTGAAAATTTAGAGGATTTGACAATACTGGGCTTTCATTCTGACATGGTAACTATGACCTCCCTTGTACATGAACTTGACGCAAACTCTTAGGTCCGCCACAAGCCTTGCTGGGGATCTAGTCCCATGGGTGGTTTGAGTCTGTGACCTTTGGGTCATTCATTCATAAAAACACATCTTGTGCATTCACTACATGCCAGATACTATTCTAGGCCATTTATATAGGCTCTCACTTCTCACGACACTGTCACTTTCATTTTATAGATGCAGAAATGGAGGTTCAGAAAGTCAAAATGGGGGTCACGTAGCAGGTAAGTGGCAGAACCAGATTTAACCCAGGTTGTATCTCAGGTCCTGTAGTCACTGCATCCGTCGTTACCTACTTTAAGAGGCCCGTCCTTTCCTTTTTAATCACAGCTCAACCTGGCATTTATGCTTATAGTATAATTTAAAACGGCCAAACCACGTCATGACATAGAAAGACAGCAATTTGTATAAGTTTCCATTAGTCAGTTTTCCCTCACTGTAGTTATTTCATGCATTGTTTTATAACAAATGACTTACATCAGCTCATAAATGCAATCATTGGCATTTCTATGAGCACAATACCCCAACATTTTTCTGGATTCTGACATGAAGACTGTCACCCATTTTATAAAATTATTAATATCATTTAAATAGAATTAAGGAGCAATAGAATTGGTTCTATTACTTCATCTGGAAAAAAAACTTTTCTCCAACTTAATATTTTTAAGTGACAGAAATGTACCCTTTTGCAAAAAATACCCAAAACCTATTTAAAAGACTTACATTTAAAATCAAATTATACTTTGGGAGGCCGAGGCAGGTGGTTCACCTGAGGTCAGGAATTCGAGACCAGCCTGGCCAACATGGTGAAACCTTGTCTCTACTAAAAATACAAGAATTAGACAGGCATGGTGGTGTCCACCTGTAATCCCAGCTACTCGGGAGGCTGAGGCAGGAGCATCCTTTGAACCTGGGAGGCAGAGCCTTTAGTGAGCTGAGATTGTGCCACTGCACTTCAACGTGGACAACAGAGTGAGACTGTCTCAAAAAAAAAAAAAAAAAAAAAAACAAAAAAAACAACAAATCAAATTATACAGAAACTTGAAACCAATGTAGAGAAACAAAATGGCTTCTGAACTCAGCAACATTAACCATTTTGCATGGAGATCGGTTACATGGG
Source organism: Homo sapiens (assembly GCF_000001405.40). Taxonomy (NCBI): domain Eukaryota; kingdom Metazoa; phylum Chordata; class Mammalia; order Primates; family Hominidae; genus Homo; species Homo sapiens. The sequence goes on along the minus strand of NC_000005.10, from coordinate 56,897,353 downwards.
GGAGGGACATGAGGAAGAATTAAGCAAGTAAGTCAATATGTTGGGAATAATCAGTCATGATTCTCACTGCCTGAGAAGAAAGTTACAAATTTGGAAAAAGGGAAAGCTTGAATGAACCCTGTTGGTGTTGGATTGCAGTTGGAAGGTTGGTGTGAGCTCATGGTTTTTATGTATGTAGGTAGGTATATGTATGCGTACTTTGCAAGTGTGCACCGAACTGTGCATATTCATAAATACATTCTAGCTCTACCAAGACAGCCAAGGAGTGGTGACATCCAGTAGAATTGAGCCTATCTAGCACCCAGATGTTGGTTTTAAACATACCATTCTCTATCAAAGGAATCAGGGCTCTTTGGGAAAATGGCTGATTCCAGGGCCAAAGGAGACATTGCGTAAGATGGGGCTGAAAGTATGGAAGTGTTCAAAGAATAATGGTGGCTTGCCAAGGATAGAGAAGCTAGCTCTCAGACATTCCCACTGGGCAAATCCGCAACAAGTTGAGCAAATATATGATGATACATGATAAATAAATGGGAGAAGGGAAAGCTCTTCTTTGCAGCAAAATGTTGCAAAGAAAAAGTGAAGGAACTACATCACCATTTGGCAACCATCAGAGTAATATATTCAGGCAAAAAAGCTAAGAGCAGAGTTAAAACTGGGCAAGAAACATCATATTTATGTAGTCTCTAATATCACCCCCAAAGAATACTTCCAATTATAAAGGTGGATTTTAATTATAAAAGGAAAGACTAACTATACAGTGTTACTATCAGTTATCACCAGTGATGGGGCAAACGACCTCTATGCCTCCTGACATGACACACCGAGAGGAGCACAGCATCACCTCTGTGATGTTCCTGCCAAAAGTGCATACTCTGAATCTAATCAAGAAGCAGCACCAGACAAACTCAATTTGAAGAGCTTCTATAAAACAATAATCTGAAATCTTTAAAAAATTAAGGCCATTAAGGTCAAGGAAGAACTAAGGAATGGCCCTGGATTCAATGAGACTGAAGAAACATGACAACTGAGAGCAACATGTGATCCTGGTTTGGATCCTCTTGCTATAAAGGACATAAATGGGCAGCTGGTGAAACCTGACTGGGGTCTTTGGGTGAAGGGTATACAGAAGTTCTCTGTGGTATTCTTGCAACTTTTATATAAGTATGAAATTATTTCAAAATAAATAAAAGTAACAACATTTGTTCAAAAACTTTTATTTACTATAAAGACAAAAACACCAAAATAGGTACAAATACTATAAAATCGGTTCAATGGGGTAAAAATTTTAATTAAAATATCTCAATATATTTAAAATAACAAAGGATACATTTAAGCCAAATTTTCTTAACCCAGAGATTTTTTTTTTTTTTTTTTGTAACATTTGCTTACACAGTAAGGTGCTAATAGAAGTTAGCCCTTAAGCCCTGGAAATCTTAGGAATCATAGTCACACAGCAAATATAATTTCATTGTGAAAGTGAACTTTGGTAGAAGAAAAATCTATAGGACACCTGAGGTAGTAGAAACTGGAATAAACAGTAGTAGACGTTATTTACAACTTGAGTACCAAATAACATTAAGAACACAAAAATAATTACACGATACAATTTCCAGTCCAGCTTTGATCCAAAGAAAATAAGAATATTACATCACATTTGCATTGAAAACAAAACAAAAAACAAAACACCACAATTACCAGCAAGCTGAGGGAACTGCAAACAAACTCAAACACAATGGATTTTGAAATCTACAGATAGTTTGAGTTTGAAATGTGGTGGGCATGGTGATCTACAAAGTAATACTGATTAGCTGAGGTTCCTCAGTTTATACAGTTTACATTTTTGTCAGACACAGTATTCATCTGACCAATGATCTTCCAGTACATAAAATGGCAAGAGTGCATCCTTTAAAGCTTGCACATGAGAGACTTGGAAACAATCTTATTAGAATTGTGAAAATTCTAAGTAGTCAAAAAAAAAAAAAAACAAAATAAAAAAGAAAGTCAAGTACAACACATTTAGAGATACCAAACTTCACATTTCTGTACTATTTTTAACTCTTCAAATATCGCCAATCTTCCAAAACAAAGGAATGTAAAATTTCACTAAGAAACATATTCACATAAAAAACAAACTGCCTTTTAAAAATTGTAAGCAATATATCCCTGTAAACTTATCTTGTAACTTATTTTATTTCCAATTTGTGTTGTACATTTTAAATGTACTCTATATATAGCTTATTTAGTTTATCCTGAGTCTTTGAGAATAACCAATTCTATTTCACACTGGCTTCTGAAGAGTTAAAACTAAAATCTCAAAGTTGTACTTAATAGTTAATCAGTACTTGATTTAAAAGACTCACACACACACAAAAAGATTAAAAAGCTACCATTTTCCTTCAGGATTCCATGCATCTGAATTTAACTCCAGACTAAAACCGTTAGGTAACTGTGCAAAATCCAAGGAATTAGTGTATAAATGAAATTCAATTCCATTTTTCTTTCTGAACACATTTTCCAAGTTCAAAGCAAATGTACTGTTTAAAAACATTACTGATTGGTAGTTGAATAATCTTTTTAAAAAATGATCTGCCAGGCCTACTGTAAAGAGATGATGCATGGTAAAAGGAAAATGGCAGCTCTATGTTACTACCAGTAGTGAAGGTGAATGATGGATTGTTACATACAGAGTAAGACTTAAATGTTGTGAAGTTTCCTACAGTTTGACAACCAAAACATCTAAAAAATTCAAATAAATTTTAAGGTAATCTTGATCTTGGTTGTGAGTTGCACCAGAGAGGACAGTTTATTTTTAGTTAACTTGTACTTAACCTGCACAATAAGAGTGGTGACTGACTCAAATGTAGGTAGTACTTTATTGTATTCCAATTTAAAAAAACAAAATTAAGTCTATATTTTAAAAACTCTGACAATAGCAAGATATTTAATGAACTCTACTTCATATCTAGTTCATTTTTTTTTTCTGGTTTGAAAAAAAGATCAGCTTTCCCTGAATAAACAAAAATGAATGTAAATAAACATGAAAATACAAAACCATAATTTCCAAAAACGAAATGAATGGGCCAACAGTAAAATGCACAATGAGCCACAACTGCCCTGGTATTTAAGAAAATAAAGGTCAACTGTGGGTCATAAAGAAGTATCAACTTTTAAAAATATATGTATGTATTGCTACTCATAGCATACTCTGACCTAAAAGAGGCAGATACTGATTTTATAGCCAGTGACAAAAAATTTGAACGGAATTGCAGAACCCCCTGCTTGTGATCACTATATGAAATGGAAGAATAATTGAAATATTAAAATAGATCCTGAGCCCCTCAGCCGCTAATATTGCTGAAAAAGTGCTCCAAAAAAATAAAATTATGCTTCTGCAATTTAGTCATGCAAACTTCATTGTTTTCCTGTTCACCTAGGGCCAGTTCTTTGAAAGGCACAGTTTACAGTTTCTGCACTAGTTTGGGCTTTTGCATACTGAGCTTAGGTACAGATCATGATTTGTCAATCACATACTTAGGTAAGGGTTCCCCACTGGCCTCGTTCATAGCTGTTCAGTGGCATCATGGCCAGTAGAATATCAATGTGGTTCCCCACAAGTTTTTTTTCTCTTGTTGAGCATCCTGTTTCTACTGTAGTTGATCTGCATAATTGGCTACCATGTAGTACGAAAGACTGGATGCTTCAGTAGCTCTCTTGATGGAGGTCTGTCCTGAGGTTGAAGTTCTAAACAACGAAGAGCCACATCTCGTAAACCAGGAGACAAATGTGAAGGGATCGATGGAGCAGTAGTTGCACTAGCAATCTGTGGAGAAAAAGCCAGTGTTGAAGCTTTGCACAACTGTAACTTCTGATACAGAAACACATGTGCATAGACCTCATAACCCTTACATTTACATCCTGAACAGAGAGGAACTGAAGCAGAAGTGGGAGGATTTTCTGCTATCAAAAAGTCTATGAAAAAATTCATCCACTGGATGGGAGGTTTTCTCTAACAATCTTTCAAATTTTAGGATTTTAGGATTTGATCAAATATATCCTATTCCTTATTATTTACATCAACAAGGCTAAGTACATCAAAATGTTCAGGTAGATAAAGTATTCACTCAAATGAATTCTGCTGTCCTCATATTCAATCTCCGAGATGGTTTGTTCTTACTGCACGTTTTCTATTTCTTCAGCATACAGAGCTATTTAGATTAAGAAAGACTAAAACTGAAGAGTCAATTTAATACATAGAAAACACAACTGCATTGTTTTTTTCCTTCCGTGTTGGACAAATTCTGATTCTTAGTATCAAATACACTATGAAGAATAACTTTTTTATAAACAAATTGTAAGTCTGAATACTTTTTTTTTAAAAAAAAAGAAATTTTATTTGGTCTTATTTGTAGTTTTTCTAAAAAAATTCAAAATCTGATAATTATTTTTAAATTGTGATACACTCTTTACATTCTAAAATTTGTGCTGCAATAACCATATTTTAATTTCAAGTCATATATAAAAAAAAGTATTAGTTTTCTAACAATTTTTGAGCACCCATTATGAATCAGAGCTGACTCCAGGCAGAGATAGTGTCTTTCTTGCATATCTCCCTATTTGTGGTATCAATTTTCTTCTTCTTGAAATGCATTCCTAAAAATAATTTTTTTCAGTGAGTGTCTGCTGAAGGTAAACTTCCACAATTCTCATGTGTCTGAAAATATCTCTATTTCATTCTTATTTTTTGATGATCATTTAGCTAGCTATGAAATCCTAGGTTAACTGTTATTTTATTTCAATCACTAGAAGGTACAATTTGTCTTTTGAATTCTCTTGTTGCTGCTGTATTCTGTTATCCATATAATTGTTATCAATTTTTTTTCTTGTAATTTGTCTTTTCTCTTTGGTTCCTTCTTGTCTTTAGCATTCTTCAGTTTCATTAAGCTGATAAGCAACTTCAGCAAAGTCTCAGGATACAAAATCAATGTGCAAAAATCACAAGCATTCTTATACACCAATAACAGACAAACAGCCAAATCATGAGTGAACTCCCATTCACAATTGCTTCAAAGAGAATAAAATACCTAGGAATCCAACTTACAAGGGATGTGAAGGACCTCTTCAAGAACTACAAACCAGTGCTCAATGAAATAAAAGAGGACACAAACAAATGGAAGAACATTCCATGCTCATGGATAGGAAGAATCGATATCGTGAAAATGGCCATACTGCCCAAGGTAATTCATAGATTCAATGCCGTCCCCATCAAGCTACCAATGACTTTCTTCACAGAATTGGAAAAAACTACTTAAGTTCATATGGAACCAAAAAAGAGCCCACATTGCCAAGTCAATCCTAAGCCAAAAGAACAAAGCTGGAGGCATCATGCTACCTGACTTCAAACTATACTACAAGGCTACAGTAACCAAAACAGCATGGTACTGGTGCCAAAACAGAGATATAGACCAATGGAACAGAATAGGGCCCTCAGAAATAATCCCACACATCTACAACCATCTGATCTTTGACAAACCTGACAAAAACAAGAAATGGGGAAATGATTCCCTATTTAAGAAATGGTTCTGGGAAAACTGGCTAGCCATATGTAGAAAGCTGAAACTGGATCCCTTCCTTACACCTTATAAAAAAATTCAAGATGGATTAAAGACTTAAATGTTAGACCTAAAACCATAAAAACCCTAGAAGAAAACCTAGGCAATACCATTCAGGACATAGGCATGGGCAAGGACTTCATGTCTAAAACACCAAAAGCAATGGCAACAAAAGCCAAAATTGACAAATGGGATCTAATTAAACTAAAGCGCTTCTGCAGAGCAAAAGAAACTACCATCAGAGTGAACAGGCAACCTACAGAATGGGAGAAAATTTTTGCAATCTACTCATCTGACAAAGGGCTAATATCAAGTCTGAATACTTTAAACTCACCTATCCACTCCTAATCACAAGAAAACTCTCTTTTCCCTACCCCAGTAATTTCATAAATGCTTTGGGTTAAAAAATGCAAAGTAATATAAAGAAAAATCCTCTAAGGTCTGTGATCCTGTATCATGATATACTCAGCTGATATATACACATCTTACACACCACAAAAAGGAAAAATACAAAACAAAAAAAGTCCCTCTTCCTTCTTTTCCCCAAATGTAACTTACTGATGATTTGTGTGTGTGTGTGTGGGGGGGGGGGGTGTGTGTGTGTCTGTGTGTGTTTTGTGGAGGAAAAAAGGCCAATATATTCACAGACTTAAGATTTTCTAAAATGTCTACAAAAGAGAAAACTTAATTTAGAGACAGGGTCTCGCTCTCACTGTCACCCAGGCTGAAGTGCAGTGATATGAACATGGCTCACTGCAGCTTTGACCTCCTGGGCTCAAGCGATCCTCCCACCTCAACCTCCTGAGTACCCTGGAGCACAGGTGCGTCTCACTATGCCCAGCTAATTTTTTTTTTTTTTTGGTAGAGATGGGGTCTCGCTATGCCCAGGCTGCTCTCCAACTCCTGGGTTCAAGTTTTGTTCTTGCCTCAGCCTCCCAAAGTGCTGGGATTACAGGCATGAGCCACTGTGCTTGGCCAGGATCACTTTATATACCTTGCTCTTTTCACTTATTAATGTATCTTGTAGCACTTTGTAAATCAACACCAACAGCTTCATACTCGTTTAATTTCTGTATAGTGTGGATAATTTAATTACTTTCTTGAGTAGAGTGAATAATCCTGAACTTGGCACTTGGTACTTCTAGAGGTAATCTTGAGTAAATTCCTAACAATGGGCATAGCTGAGTCAAAGAATAAGTGCATTAAAAATTCTGGCAGATATTGCCAAATCACTCTCTAAAAAAACGTGCTATGGCAATTTATACTACCATAAACAGGGTATGGAAGTGTTTGAGAAAGCTTTGGGGTGCTTCCAAAAACCTCAAAGTATTTACTCCAAATTAAGGAAACTGAAAATGTTACAGTACAATTCTCTTTAAACTCTACCTAGGAAGGAGAATGCAATGAAATCTGTTAAAATATGAACTGTGCCAATTTGAAAATTATTTACAATTGTTTCCAGGGTCTCATCAAAACTCTTAAAATAACATCAAACTTTCAAATTGATCCTAGCCATGAGTATTTATTGAGCAACTTCTGTATAAGACTCTGGGAAGAAGAAAATGAATCAGACATGAATGGACCTCAAGGAGAATTAGTTTGAAAGAGGCAGCAAGATAGGAACATAACTAGCAAACAAGAAACAAAGTGTCAGAAACAAGTATGTACTAAAATGCTATGAGAATCTGGAATGAGTAAAAAGGGGGTGCCCAAGCAGGAGAAGCACAAAATGGGGGCCTTAAAGAGAATAAGAATTTGAACCACGTAGAGAACGGACATGGGACGTCTGAAAGAATAGAGGAAATGAGGTGATAATACAAAACAGGTATTGTCAGAGAGGTGACTGAGGAGGTTATATAATAAGTGTGGGGAGCACTGGAGGAGGTTATGGCAGGTGGAGCTGACTGTGTGGGCTGAGTGCTTGACTAAGGCCTAGGTATAATTTTGTTTATCTTCATAGTAATCCCACGAAGTACATGCTTCATGGGGTTCTTGCACCAATTTTACATGTGAGAAAATGGAGGGTAGACACAAAAAATAATTTTCCTATGATTACATGGCCATTAAGGGGTAGAGCCAGGGTTTAAAACTAGGTCAGTGTGACTCCAAAGCCCATGATTTCAACCATCACATCTACTGAAAAGCTAAGAATATCAACCATTACTTATTCTATGGTGGAAAAGGAGAGAATGGATTTGTGAGTTATAAAAAAGTAGGAAAGGCAGACAGGACTGAACTGACTTGGGTGTGAATTTTTAAAATATACAAAATAGTAAATTAGGCCAGGAGTGGTGGCTCACGCCTGTAATCCCAGTACTTTGGGAGGCTGAGGTGGGCTTGAGGTCAGGAGTTCGAGACCAGCCTGGCCAATATGGTGAAACTCCATCTCTACTAAAAATACAAAAATTAGCTGGGCATGGTGGCGCGTGCCTGTAGTCTCAGCTACCTGGGAGGCTGAGGCAGGAGAACTGCCTGAACCTGGGAAGCGGAGGCTATAGTGAGCTGAGATCGTGCCACTGCACTCCAGCCTGGGCACTGCAGCGAGACTCTGTCTCAAAAACAAAAACAAAAAACAAACGAACAAAAGAAAATGGTAAATTAGATTTTAAGATTTTTGAATTATGTAAAATGCATGAATTTCACGTTTTTAAAGTGATGGATGGATATATATACACACATACATATACATATAAACACACTACATATTTCTTCTAGAAGCAGTGTTTTAGTATTTGCTAATTCAATATTTGTAGCAACTTAACAGAGCATAACTACCTCAAATAACAAGAAGTGACTATGTATGTCACTAACATTGACAACACCATTGACAATATCAACTCCTGGAAATACACACATACACAGATGCTCTTCAACTTACGCTGAGGTTATGTCGTGATAAACCCCTTTTAAGTTGATGATATTTTTTTAAGTTGAAAATGCAGTTAATACACCTAACCTGCCAAACATTATAGCTTAGTCTGGCCTACCTTGAATGTGCTTATAATACCTACATTAGCCTACTGTTCCGCAAAATCATCTGACAACACAGTCCACTATAGAGTATTGGTTGTTCACTCTCGTGATTGTGTGGCTGACTGGGAGCTGTGACTCGCTGCCACTGCCTAGCATCACCAGTGTATCATAGCACATATTGCTAGCTCAGACAAAAATCAAAATTCAAAGTATGGTTTTTACCAAATTTGTATTGCTTTTGCACCATCTTAAAGTAAAAAACTTGTATATCAAATCCTCTCTGAATAAATATACAGACTATTTATTTACCTTCATGCTAGATTGTTAGGGAGAACCCATCAAAATTTGCCTCCTGCCAAATTCTGCTGTACTCCTTTTAGCACAAAGAAGTAATTTTTATCTCACAATTACCTTAAATATCAAAGCAAGATGATTGGAGTGTTTTTCTGCATTCCATGGTGGTTTTGCACAAGCCATTTCTATAATAGCACAGCCAACACTCCATACATCACAGCTCCTTCCATACTGTTGACCTCTTAGTACCTAAAATAAATCAGAGTTAATTTGGAAATAGGACTCATTTGAAAAAGAGAAGGCCATTTTGTAGTTATAGATTCTACTTCCTTACTTTAGGGAGAAAACTGGTACAAACAGGAATTCTGTGGACTACCTAATATCTAATTTATTTCATTAATGAGCTTAATTTTCCAGGTAGCACAAAAATATTTTGGAGAATTGTGAGATTCTGAAGCAGAGTCCCATCACAGAATTTTGCTCTTAGCAAACTATGTGGCAAGAGGACAACAGATCATTACTACATATGAACATGAAGAATTATGAACACGACAGAAGAAGCTGAGTCAGAAGAACAATGCTTAAACTCCTTCCACTACAGACAGGAGCTGCCTCTGTATGCTCATCTCCTTTTAGAATAGAGAGAGAATATTTTTAAAAATTTCTTATGTGCACTTTGAGTTTATTACAAAACAACTGCTATAAATTACCCCAGAATTCTTTATTAGTAACAGCCGTTAAGTAAATCTATTAAAACCTGTTTTTTGAATATTGCCAAGGCAAAGAAAGGTCGAGAATAAGGGTCTGAAAGATATTATTAAAACCGTATTTTAAGGGCCACGGACTTCTAGTTGGTAAGTACATACTGGATACCACTGCAAGATAATTTAGTATAATGCTGTTACACAGAATTCCAAAATATTTTCTGTCATCACACTCAAAGATGCTTCTCACCTCAGGTGCCATAAATGCAATTGTCCCCAGTAATTGTCCCTGAAACTCTCCTGCACCAGTTCCTTTTGATGCCAACCTGGCTGCAGCTCCAAAATCTGCAATTCTTAGTCTCTGACCAGTGCTGTCAATTAGCAAATTGGCACCTGTCAACAAACACAGCAAATGACCTTGTATGTTAAAAACAAAAATAAGGACAGATAAAAGCCCAGTACAATACTAATGAACTAGGACAATGACAAAAGAAAGAAGTGAACTACATGTCAGAGGTGCAAACAGTTATTCTCTTTTCCTTTCACTTCATTCTTGCTAAAGGCACACAGCTCTCTCTAGCGTACGCTAAATTCATAATTAGAGCTTAATTTAAAAAGTTATAAAATTACTTCAACACATTATGTCAAATACTAGCTAAAAAGACTAATGACAGAAAACCAAATTTGCTCTTGAGAAAAATAAACTGAGGCCAGGTACGGTGGCTGACGCCTGTAATCTCAGCACTGTGGGAGGCTGAGGCAAGCGGGTCGCTTGAGCCCAGGAGTTCAAGACCAGCCTGGGGGCAACATGGCAAAACCCCATCTCTACAAAAAATATAAAAAATTAGCCAGGCATGGTGGTGCACACCTGTTGTCCTAGCTACTTGGGAGGCTGAGGTGGGAGGATCACTTGAGCCCAGGAAATGAGTTACAGTGTGCCAAGTTTGCAACACTACACTCCAGCCTGAGTGACAGAGAACCTGTCTCCAAAAAAAAGAAAAGGATAAGGAAAATAATGGGACCTACAAAGGATTTGAAGGAATTTTTCTTAAAAGAAGTTGATGATATCCCAATATCCCAATTATTCAAAATAAAACCAGGAAAAGGAACTTTCTGGGAGTCAGCGTATCATGAGGCCAAGACAGGGAATCTGGAGACCTGTGTTGTATACTTTCTGCCATTAACTAGCAATAAAACTGTAGAAAAGGCACAGCCTCTCTTGTATTCAATGTACTTTTCTATTAAACGAGGAAGGCAGATTAAATGATCCCTAAGGCTCATTTCAGTTCTAATATTCTGAATTACTCAGAGAAAAAAATCCCACTGTTAGAAACTATCAACAAAGGTCCATTTTTTTGTTCTTCTTTGAGACAGAGTCTCACTCTGTCACCCAGGCTAGAGTGCAGTGGTGTGATCTCAGCTCACTTCAACCTCTGCCTTCCGGGTTCAAGCAATTCTCCTGTCTCAGCCTCCCAAATAGCCAGGATTACAGGCATGCGCCACCTTACCCTGTTAATTTTTGTATTTTTAGTAGAGACAGGGTTTCACCATGTTGGCCTGGCTGGTCTCGAGCTCCTGACCTCAAGTGATCCACCTGCCTTCACCTCCCAAAGTACTGGGATTACAGGTGTGAGCCACTGTGCCTGGCCCCAAATTTTAAAATTAATTTTTTTATTGTCACTAGATAATAATTAGAAGAATTCTCACCTTTGACATCTCTGTGAATGATTTGGTTTTCATGGAGATACGAAAGGCCACGGAGTAACTGTTCAGTGTAGTTAATAACTACTGATTCTTTGAAGGCTCCATATTTACTCAGCAAATGAGCCACCGATCCCCCTATAAGACAATAGAAATAATTATCATAAACTTAAGACAGAATTAAAAGTATTTATTACACTTTGGTTTCTAAAGTTTTCACTGCATGAACTCACATTCACATCTGAAACAGAAGAAAAACATTTCAAAACTAACATATTCCTGTATCATCTCAAAAACCTACTAATTAGGAGACATTTTCACAGAACCCACAGGGAAACCAGTTTATTGGAGAGTCAAGATTTCAGAAAGCTGTAAAAGTTAACAATTTCGGATTAAACTATTTCTGAAATGTACAATTCAATTCTCTGTCTTCTCAAAATACACAAAACAACTTTATTAATGACTAAAGTAAACAATGTTAACATATTATGTAGTAAAAGGTGGAAAGAATGGGAGGAGGAACAGAAAACCCAGAGTTAGGCGTCATATTCTACCATTTACTAGCTCTGACCTGGAACATGTCTCAAATTTAGCCGCTTTTAAAAGTGTTTATAGTAGTCAACCTATCTACTGTAGTGTAAATCTTTATTAAGACCAACCAACAGATAACATACTTAAGAACTGACTGGTAAAGAGAAATGCACTCTTAAATACACACACAAATCTAAGAAGTTAAACCAAACAATCTGTTCATCACATCAGGTCATTAATTTTATTGTATACATTGTATAATACAAAATAAAACTCAGTCTTCATTTATTTCAGCAGATGACAAGGTTCAACTTTATGCTTCAGTGCTAGTTTACTTGTAGTAAGTTTTCAAGTTATATGTTAATTTTGTTTGTATATTGTTATGTTAAAACACTTCCTCATCTGTCCAATTTATCATGGCTACCTGGAAATATACATATCTTATACATATCAAGTATTAAAAACAACAATGCTACACAATCATTTAAAAACACACTGGAAAAATTTAAAAGGTAGAGGTAGTCAATATTTCATTTATAGTAAATGAAATACAAAACGAAGTATTTGTGGTTCATACTAATATATTGGGGTGATTTGTTTTTAGAAACCCAAACTATTTGATAGAAATAAATTTTAATTAAACTGGTTTTTCCTAAATTGCAGAAAGTTAAATCCACGTACTACTATTTTGTAATTTAAAACATTAACATACCTGCCATCCATTCAATGAAGAGATTGTAATTGCTCTTCTCACACGTGGCTCCCAACATCCTAATGATGTTTGGATGATTCAGATGGCTCATCATTCTTATCTCTTCTCTTAGTGCTTCTACTACTTCTTCTTGCTCAGAAGATGTGTTTCTGACATAAGTCACCTGTTTCAAATAAACACGTTCACAAAGTTTTGCATATTTTCACTAGCAATCTGATCTAAAATGAACAAATGCAAACTAGCACTTTATTAGCAACAGATGGCATTTATGCTTATGGATGCAATGTACTTTAAACAAACCCAAGTCAAACTCTTTTAAACACTAAGAATCTAGCTTAAGCAGCAGTAAACATCAGAAAAATGACAAAAATATTGGGATATAGTCAATATTCCAATAGTCTCAGAGTAAAGATGAGAAAAGCCCAAATATGGGAGAAGAATCAACATGATTTAAAAATGAAAGTTTAATAATTTTCCTATCCTGATTAAGTATGCTCGTTATAATAAAAAGTAAACCACTGAAACCCCAAGATGGCACCGCACAAGTACACTGTTGAAAGAAGTACCTGAAAACCACCTCTACTACCTACAAAAAGCAAAACCAAAAAAACCTTTGTAAGGCCCATCTTGATATTGTAGTCTTACAATAATCATACTTCAACTTTTATTTATTTTTTTTTGAGACAGTCTTGCTCTGTTGCTCAGGCTGGAGTACAGTGGTGCGATCTCGGCTCACTGCAACCTCTACCTCCTGAGTTCAAGCAATTCTTCTGTCTCAGCCTCCTGAGTAGCTGGGACTACAGGTGCCTACCACCCTGCCCGGCCGATTTTTGTATTTTTAGTAGAGGTAGGGTTTCACCATGCTGGCCAGGCTGGTCTTGAACTCCTGGCCTCAAATGATCCAACCACCTTGGCCTCCCAAAGTGCTGGGATTACAGGTGTGAGCCACCACGCGTGGCCTCAACTTTTAACAATAACAGAATTCATGATGTTTCTGGTGCTTTAGAAACATCTACTTTGAAACTAAGTTTCTCAAAGTTTAAAGAACTAAAGTACACACACGTGGACATATCCTTTATTCTTTTTACTGAACATGCTTCATTTTGTGATTTGAGTCATTTCATTTATATGCTCACTAGATATTTACCTGTTTAACAGCCATTAAAGTTCCAGTTCCCACATCTTGAGCCTGATAACAAGAAGAAAATGCTCCAAGGCCTATCTGTTGACCTTTCAGCCATTCAGTGTCTTCTCTATACGGTTGTTTTGCTTTGGTATGTCCTGGTAGAGTCTCTGGTGTCTACATATTAAACGAAAGCAATCTTTTTACTGTTAAAGGAGTAAGATTTTGTGAAATTAGTCTGCAAGATATTATTCTTATTCAGTCTGGCTTCCCAAACCACCTATAAATGTGACCTCTGAATGGAAGGTATTTGTGACCGACAGCAAATGCAAAAGTAATCACCATTATACAATTAACCGGAAATGCCCATAGGCAAGAATTATTGCTGTTTAAACAGTACAAACATTATTGTTGTATAAGTAATAATTTTATGTGGAAAACTCTGCTTCTGAATGTTAGAAGCAGCATTTCTGAATTAGGTTTATTTTAGTATGGTCCAAGGAAGCTCTCTGTGAGACAGTGTCTTGCTCTGTCATTCAGGCTAGAGTACAATGGTGTAATCACAGCTCACTGTAGCCTCAAACTCCCAGGTTCAAGTGACCCTCCCCACCTCAGCTTCCTGAGTAGCTGGGACCCCAGGTGTACACTATCATGCCTGGCTAATTTTTAAAATTTTTTGTAGAGACAGGGTCTTGCTTTGTTGACCAGGCTAGTTTCGAACTCCTGTGCTCAAGCAATCCTTCGGCCTCAGCCTCCCCAAGTGCTGGAATTCCAGGTATGAGTCACTGTGCCCAGCCCCAAGGAAGTTTTCTAACCTCTTAAAGAATCTATACTTACATCCTGTTGAATAATGATGATATCTTCTCCATTTTCAACCTGCAGCTGAGGAACTATGGGGAGGGCATCCTGAGACGCTGACATTGCCATGGCAATTGCTAAAGCTTCTTCTTCTTCAGCTTCCATCTTCTCTTTGCACTTTTGATTATGATTCACATCATCTTTGTAGGTATCATCATTTTCAGCCTTTTCAGGAGACAGGACAGCAACTTCTGACTTAAAAGTTACTGTTGTATCACTTGAAGGCATAGATGCTTCAAGAAGGTCCTCAATACTGGAGTTGAGCTCTGTATTGACATCTAATCTGCATTTCTCCTCTACTGGGGTGAACACTGTCTCGTCACTGGGTATAACAGCATTACTACTATTGCTGCTACAGCCAAAGCTGTCATCACATTTGGAACTACTGTTCAGATCAAGTGTCATGCTATTTTTTGAGGGATCTCCCTGTTTACTTGTATTACCTGGGGTAGGTCTAGATGGCTTTGGCCTGTGTATGTTACTGGAGGGCAAGGGTCTTGACTGAGTAAAGACTGGGGAAAGTTTATCTGAGTCTTTGTTTTCAGGACAGTTTCTGTGGAATTGTAGAGAAAACTTGCGCTGTGTTTGAGGAGATGCAGAAGGTATTCTGCAGGGAATGAATCCCTGAAGTCTATGCTTAGAGACATCTGTTGCAGTGCCAGCTGGTACAGATGGGGTAGAAGAAGAAGGGGTTGACAAGGCTGGAAACATTAATTGGGAATGATGAGATAAAGGAGAGGAGTTCAAACACTGACTGTGGGGTCTGCCTTTTGTTTGAACCATTGGCTTTGGTTGCTCTGTTGTTGTTGTTGTTGTTGTTGTTGAACTAGAAGGTCCTACTGAAATGCTGGCCAGTCTCTCAGAAATGTCCTCTGAACTGGCACTCAATTTTGTAGCACATAATCCTTTTCCAGTTTTCTCTAAATGGACTGTGCACTCAGGGGAACTGTTCTCTGTGGTTTCCAGATAGTTGTTGGGAACAGATGCCTGCAAGAAGCTGTCCTGTTGACCATCCAAAGTGTCTTCTACGCCCAACTGGATGGCTTCGGCAATTTCCACCTCATCTGCAATAGCCATCAAACGGCGACGCATCCTGGTGAAGTGAGTGGAACTGGAAACACTCAGCATTTCTAACAGTTTTGAAAACACATGGGGTACTGTAGTAACCATTCTTGCAGAACTCAAGTAGATCCTTCTGGAAAGTTTGCCAACCATTGAGTGGGAATTATCAATGGACTGCAAAGCAAAGGTTAAGAGGGACAGCAGCTTCTTATACCTGAAAGAAAAAAACATTCATTACCATATAAGTTCCAATTACTGAAAAATACATGGAAACTTAAAAAATGGTAGTAATTTACAGCATGTATACTTCAAAAACCATTTCAGCATAAAGTATCTATGAATTTTTAATTAAAGAGCCCAGACTTTGGGTTTTCATATGTCAATCAAATATTAAGGTATCAGCAACCTATTCATGCTCTGAGTCTTTCAAAAATCTAAAATGTGTCATTCTTGAGGAGGGTGTAGGGAGGGTAGGAAGATACAAGTAATACATTTTCAGAAGAAAAATTACCTGATTTCAACAGGCTCAGCTTGTGAAACATCAGTACTGACAATATGAGGATAAAATTCAGCAGGAAATTCCAACAACAGTCTATCTATAAGACAAAGGCGGCCAAGAAGTTCTTGCCAATTGTTTGATTCAGTTTGGTTTCCAAGAATACAATTTAAGACATAATCAACACCACCAATACCAATGGATCCTACAAAAAGGAAAGTAAAAATAAATGATTAAAAAATAGTGATATTAAAATCTAAAACAAGACATGATTAAATGGTGTAAGGCCAACAAAAATATTCTGAACTATTTTAAAGAATTTCTCTCTCAGAGTAATTCACATTTCTAACTGTAACACAGTGAATCAATTTATAAAATTACTTCAAAATCCTGTAAACTGCCTCATGAGAGATTATGAGATTAGACAAGGCTGCTCAGGAACATGATAAAATATGCTATATTCCTTTTAAGTGAAAAGTTATTACCAGCTTTTAGTATTTCTCTGCCAACTGCCAACTCTCCTGCTTGGCCTTTGCACAGTTCCAACAGTGTTGATATGGACAGCTGACTTGTGCGGCTAAAAACAAAGGAAAAGCAACATCAATCCTGGATCTTGGCTAAAACACTATACAATATTAGAGGAGTAATGTAATGCCTTGTGAAAAAGTGGAGAAATAATGTTTTCAGGAGTGTTTACTTTTCCACCACTAAAATCATATTAACAATGTCACCATAAGTAGTAATATTCATTTATTAGGTCTAATTTCGTAAATTTAACATATCCCCTATGTTAAGCACAGAATTTTCAACAATGGCTCTTTGCAAGTACTGATTTAAATACCAAATCAGATAAAAGTCTTATATTTTGTTAAAAGAAAAAACAAGGACCTTGATATTTTGATTTCTGAACTTTCACTAAGAAGCTCTTGAATTAAAAACAAAACCTTCCTATCCAAAAACCCTCCATTTCCTTACATAGCCAAAATGAGGTCTGAATATTATAAAATCTCTCTACAGTATTTCTTATGTTCAGTCATTCAGGTGACCAGGTAAACAACCTAAGTTTGGAGTTTCAAAAAGTGAGCAGCATAACAAATACCATGAGAACACTGAATTCTCAGAAATATACCTATTCTAATATTTAAAAATGACATTTTTCCTATGCATTTTGCAAATTACTTGTTAATTTGCAATATTTTACAGATATACAATGTTTTCTCTAAGCAACAAGGAAACATCCAATATTTTCAATCTATAGAGAAAACAATAGAGGCAAAAGACAGACTTCATGATATGAGAAATTCGTTAAAGGTAGGTACCTAATTTTTGAGATCCTGTGCAAACTAAGTCATTATGACTTGCAGAGGAAGAGAAAGGTTGTACTGAGAGAACTCTAAATGGGTGAAATGGAAGAGGCAACAGAAGGGAGATTCAACACTTCTTGCTAACCAAGATCTGCTGGGATAGAAAGAAATAGGAACTACCAAATAACTGTTCACAGTAGCTGTGATTATTAAATGAAAATTGATCTTTTCCTCCTATTTTATGGAAGGGGAAAATAAAAGAGAACCATTGGTCTGAAAAAAGCATGGCTTGTACTCATCTTTACTGTCATTGTACCTCAATTCTCTACTTCATATTTTTCTTTCCAGTTAGGGTTATTCTTGTTCCCTGTCAATTTTTAAGGATATTGCAGGAATATAAAAAATCTAAAAATTTTTTGACAAAACTGTCATAAGTAGAGTAAAATTCCACTACACTGAAAATGAGATGGATTTGTTAATTTTTTATCCTGATAATAAGGCATATGCAGGTGTAATGATCTTACTGGTTCCTATTCTGTGTAACCCATACTCTAATATGAGATTATAACTTATAGATATAAATGTCAACTACTGTTCTTATCGACTGGTCTTCAGATTATGAATGTTACTAAAGAGAGTAAATCACAATACAATAATGTGGAGATCCATGCAGTTTGTTTGCCTGGCTTTTACTTGCCAGTAGTTCTTTCCGCCAGTCCTTAAGAGCTTTATGCTGCATTTTCATTTTAAATCTCACATTAAAAGACAATGTTCAAAGACTCATTTAATAAAATGTATCAGATATTCACACTAGGTGTGAGGCTTGCTGCGAGGCACTTTTAAGACAAGAGGGTTTGAAGTGATTCATCAATAAAGCCTTACCTATTGGCATCTGCACATTTGACTAGGATGGTGTCTACAACTGGCTGGAGAAGTCTCTGAAGTTTGATTCTTTCCGCTAAACTGTGGCAAGGAGTATATACCAGCATGGCTCTCAATGTTTTCTAAGGAAAAAAATCTGAAGGTCAGTTTATGTACACTTAAAAAGCATCAGAGATAATGGCCTAATTTGAGACAATTTGAGCAACAAAATAAGTAGACAGGAATGGATTATAACCCATAGAATAAAATAAGAATTCCATGCTTCTGTAATAATACAACTAACTAACAAAATAAATGAATGGGGCAGGAAGGAATTTTCTGAACTCTTTTCTCTGCAATTTTTAAAAGTCTGAATTCATTTCAAGATGAAAAGTTAAAAAAAATTATTTTAAAAAAGAAAATGAGAACAGGCGCCAACCTGAAAGAGCTCCCAATGGTCAAGGCTGGAATAATTAGAGCAACAAAACAAATGATGGTAGTACTGGGTTGCAACCCACAGAACAAAATGAATACCCAGGAGCCTACACCAATACAAATTAAAAATTGAATAGGTATATAAACAGAGAAGCTCTTCTTTATAGAATAATTCCAATTAATTAATGTAGAAGGAATGAGGAAAATAGAAAATCACCACTAGAACACCATTTTTTAAATTATACTTTAGTTGTGGGGTACATGTGCAGAACGTGCAGGTTTGTTACATAGGTACACACATGCCATGGTGGTTTGCTGCATCCATCGACCCGTCATCTACATTAGGTATTTCTTGTAATGCTATCCCTCCTCTACCTCCCGACCCCCGACAGACTCCAGTGTGTGATGCTCCCCTCCCTGTGCCCAAGAGAGCACCATTTTTAATGGTGTAGTAATAACTGCTATAGGCAAGATCCACAAATGCTTTTAAAATCAGTGGACAAAATTTTGAGGTGAAATAGGGTATTTGCATAATCTCAAAGTAACTCTCACAAGATATTTAGGAATATTAACTTTACAGCAGGGAAACTTGGTAGACATTACCTTAACTGACAGCATCACCAATAATAAAAGCCATGGGCATATGTACCCACTGATATGATGCACTAAGAAAGGCCTGTCACCTCTGTGGCGTTCTTGTGAAAAATACGTAACTTCCATCTAATCATGAGAAAACATCAGATAAACCCAAATTGAGGGATATTCTACAAAATAACTGGCCAGTAAACTTTGAAAGTATCTGTCAAGGTCATTAAAAACCAGGAAAGGCTGAGGAACTGTCATGGATGAGAAGACATTAAGGGGACATGGTGACTAAATGCACTGTGGGATCCTGGATTGGATCCTGGAACAGAAAAAAGACAACAGCAGAAAAACTGGTGAAATCTGAATAAAGTCTGCAGTTTAGCTATGAAGGGCACTGTTGGGCAACTGAAGAGATTTGAGTATGAACTTTATAGTACAAAACAGTATTGTGATTAATGTTAATGTGCTGACTGTATATGGAAGAATAAATGGAATTATGTATTTGGTTTTAAGAGACACATATTTAAGTGTCATGATGCTGCAAAAAACTCTCAAACGATTCAGCAAAAAAAAAAAAAAAAATTATATATGCAGAGGGAGGGAGAGGAAAAAAAGGAAGAGACAGAGGAAGGGGAGATAAGAGAAAGGGAAAGGGTGAGCCTTAACAGCAGGAGCCATTTCTGCCTCCATGGAGCCTGGTATCCTTTATACAATCTTTGTGCTCTAGGATCTCATAAGCTAGTTGGGAAACAGTCTGAACTTAAGAAGAAACAACCACAACAGTAAGGCAGTTACGGTGTGTACAAAAAGAGTAACACAGCAAAGGCTTTGCAGAAAAGGAACTAGCAAAAAGAGGATTTTATTTAGTCAAGTATGCCTGAAGGTTTGTGTTGGAAAATACTAAGTAAGAGGCAAAATATTGGGCCAATTGGTCTTTATTCTATAGTATGCTGGTCCCTCCAGATGCTACATGAAAAAACAAGGTGTAGCAAAATAACTCTGGGAAACAATGCATTCTATCCTTTGATCCTTTAGGTTCACAATGTACATTAGCTTACTGAAGGATCCTAGAAGCCTTTCAGTCAACAGACCTAGTTATCCTTGTGTAATCCAGTGTTCACCAATCTTAACTGAATACGGGATTCTTTCTTCAGGGAACTTTTCACAACCCTGCCAAACTTCCACAGAATATGCTTTAGGAATGTCAAAGAAACAGAAACCTCTAAAGGTTTCTAAATGATTTGGGGGATAATCCAAGTTGTGTTTAAGAAATAATGATAACTATTATATAATATTAAATGTTCTTACAATGTGCCAGGCATATGGTTGAAAGTTTCTACATAATCTAATTTCAAACCTAAAAGGTATTTTCATTATTTTATGGGTGAGAAAACTGAAGTTTATTTAAGAGAGGTTAAGTAACCTTCATAAAGCCATCGTGCTAGTAAAAGGGAGAACCAGAATTTGAATCCAGGTCTGTCTCTATGATCTTGATCATGTGTTCAGATTGCCTAGGCTAGTCCAACTTTAACCAGCACATTATGCAAGCATTGTGGTTGGAATGATAAATTATGAGATCACTCAATTGTGACTCCAAACCCATGTTCGTAACTGTCATGCTGTATTACCTGTCAAGAAGATTCATTAGGCCCAATCGGTAGAGGATGCATTAGAAAAAGACTGAGGGAGGAAGCCTACAGACTGCTCATGAATTTTAAGAACAGACTAGATAAGAATTAAAGTAGTGATTCTGAATTGGGGGCAGTTTTGACCACTGGAGACATTTGGCAATGCCTGGAGACATTCTTGGTTGTCATAACTGGGGGCATGATCGGGTGGGGGTGGGTTTGCTCCTGGTATCTAATGGGTAGAGGCCAGAGATGCTGCCACAGTACACACATGACAACATCCCTGGCCCTCCCCCCACCCTCCAACAAATAATTATCTAACAAATGTTAATAGTACTGAGGCTGAGAAGCCCTAAAGAGACATATACGCAGAATGGAGAAAGTCCAGTTAGTCTCCTAAATTACCTCCTTGTCACTCTATTCCACCCATGAAAGAACTTTTAACAGGTTAAACTGGAAAACAACTCAATGATCTATGTCATGGAACCCTTTTCTTTGAAAAGGCTTTTGAATCTCCACATGACAATGTTTATTAAAAATCAATCAAAATGTTTATTAAAAACATATCTTCCTTAATATCTGATAAATTTTTTAAAAAATCAGAATAACGTTGATGACTCTGCCATCCCAAAAAGCATTTTTAATTTGGTCATGTATAAGGTATCTGCTCAGAAAAATGTACAGATATGAACAGCAAGACATTAAAAAAATCTTTAAAAATTAGCAAGCTTGTCTAGCTCACCCTATTTGTTGTTGTTCTGTTTTGTTTTGTTTTGTTTTAGGCTTTAGCAGCCTGAAGCCATGGTTTTTAGTCTGTCTCTAGTGGTAAGTGGAAAAGGAGGATGAGGAAGGAGCTTTACTGGCCCAAACAGAAACTAAGAAACCATGACTATATTCTCTCCCTTGGATACCCCTGCAAAGCCTTTAAAACAATGAAACTAAAAAGTAAAACAGTTATATAAGAAACCTTGGACATCATAAAAATCAGTAAAATTCAAATAAACAAAACAAAAGCTGTAATTTCCTGGAATTATGGAATAAAAATAAAATTTGGATTTTCCAAAATTAGGTAAAGTAGCTTTATTGTATCTTAAAAACACTATCTACGAACCATCAAAAAACCCCAAACCCATAATGATATGATTATGGAATAAAGCTACTTACTAAAGCAGCAACGTACACTTTGTAGACAGGGTCAGCACAGACCATTGACAGAACGCTGCAGCATGCCTCCACCACATCTCCTGAGATACTGGTCTGGGAAGACCCACTGGTGGCTCCCCCACTCGGGCTGCTTCCACTGCTGCCCCCAGAATTTCCAGTGCTCTCCCCATTTGCCAACAGCAGGGCCCCACTGACATCATGGGAAAGACGCCTGAGGGCCATCTCTCTCACATTCCAGTTTCTAGAAAATAAGCAGCCAACGAGTTCCATTCCAAACACCTGTATCAAACACACACGATGAATTCAATGTAAAGAAAAGCTTATGGACCCAGAGCATTTTGAGTTTAGCATCATTTTTGATTACTACGTAAAAACTGGACATTTCTGAAATCTTTACCATCCTTCACAACTTCAAATATATCCAGCCACTTAAGCATCATAAGGAAGAATTTTATACTCAAGTTTAACTGATAATTATCCAAAGTCATTAATATTTATTAGCTCAGGTAAAATTAATAATAAGCTCCATTAAGTCACTAGATGGCTATACATACATTCTATGCCTCTACTGTCCCACATGCTTACCAAAACGCCAAAAAACTGTGAAAACCTCAACTCTGTATTCATATTAAGGTAGTTTAAAGAGAAAAACTGGAGCAAGATTAAGAAAACAAACAAACAAACAAAAAACAAATCAAAAAAAGCACCAGGAGAAGGTTTCAAGAGATATAGAGTATTTCTCTTACAGACAAGAGCAATAAGCAAAACACATTTAATTGGTTTTTGTCTGTATAAAAAGGTTTAAAAAACTAGACAAAACAGGTAGGACTGTAAAACGAATGGAGTGGACAAATCAAACAACTGAAGAAAAAATGCTTGTGTTCGAGTAAGCAAAGGATAAATGTAGACGTAGAATTATAGTATATGCTGTTATCGTCGTCAATACCATGCCCCAAAAGCCAGAGTCCCTACAGTGAGGAAAGGGTGAATGGTCTTGACATTATGGGCCAATTAGCTAAAAGTAAGCTTAATACCTAAGATAATTCATTATGTGAAAAATGCCTAAATATTAAAGATGAATAAACACAACTTTTGAAAAACAGATCATAACATACTTATTTACATATGTTTTGTTATAAAGGGATATTATGGGAGAATGAACCAACTAGAATATAGTGAGCTTCTGGTACTGTTAAGTAGTGTACCACTACCTATGTTTTAACTGTCTTACCTAACATGCTTAATAAAAAGCTAGGAATGTAGAGCCTAGTCTGACCTAAAGCTTAGGCAAAACAAACTAGACCATATGCTTGAAAGAATGAACTCTAACAGCTCAGAATCAACTTGAGAGTTCTTTGATGGGTCATGAAAGGGCAGGTGAGGGCCTATGTTCATTAATAGTTCATTAAATTTCATTAATGAACTAGGTACAAGAATGTGTTTAATATTTTTGCAGATTTTATTAGATTCATAAATGGGTTGCTAATATGCTAAGAGAATTCCAAAGCTGCAGGACTGTAATGGTCACAAAAGAAAAATGTAACAAATCCTAATGATATATAAGCTCAATGTGTTAATGCACCTGTTCACAAATTTAATTCAACAGAATTTAACAGATTATTGAAAATAATTATTTTACTTTATTATTGTCTACTGGAGACCCGTCTGGTTTTAGATCCTACATTTAAAAAATAATAGACTGAGCATTCAACAACCAAGAAAATCATTACAAACCAACTGACAAAAAAGCCCTACTTACTGAGGATGAAAAAACATTCAATCAGAAGAGATGGTAAAGGGATGGGAAACTGTTCTTACAAATAAAAATGATGAACTCAAGGTAACCATCACATATTTTTTTCTTATTCATCTCCTCTGCAATTATTAAGCACCCATTGTATGCCATTAGGATATGAAAAGAGAAATTAATTTTAAATGGCAGCAAATAAGAAACATGATAAAAATTCTTGGCAGGCACGGGGATTAAACATTGGGAAAAGTTAGCATTGAAGGGTTCTGGTTTCTATCCTTCTATCCTTGAATAACCCCGTATGTCCGTTAGTTCAGGAAGAGATGTTTCTAGATATGTGAAGTGAAACCACAAGAAGTTTTGAAGTTGAAGCTGTACAATAAGCAGTATAGTATTAATACCAAAAGTAACATTAAAATTTCCAGTGGAATGAAGGTCATGATGGAGGCAAGTAAAAGTGTTTTTTTAAATTATGAACAACTGAGGGAAGGAGACAAATACATTAATTGATCTATAAATATTTCTTTGAGAAATGAAAAACAAAGAACTACTTACCTGAATCCATGGCTCAGCTAAATCTTTGTAAGCAGGAGGGATTTGCTGAGTTCCATAATGAGTAAGGTTAAAATTGCTCTCTTGATTCCTTCGTGATCCAGCCAAAGGCTGCTGCTGTACGGTTTGCTGCTGTGCAGCTCTGAGGGAAGAAGGGGAATCCACAGGACTTGACAACTCGTGGCTAAAATGAAAAATAACAAAACTTGCTTTAAAAAAATTAAGACAAACCACACTGAGAAATTTTTAAAAATTAAACATATCCGTATCATTTCAAAATTATTACCTGTAGAAATCATGAGATCTCCACTTAGATCTACAAAGGGGACATATTAAAGGTTCTCTATTTCTTCTACACTCTTCTGCCCCTGAAAAATTACAGAAACAAAATCTTACAAAAATGTAAATGTTTAACATTATTTTTATTTCATAACTGTTTATAATTATAGAATTTATATAGAAGGAACCTCAAAAATAATCTAATTAAATGTTTATCTGAAAGCAAGTAAACACAGCAGGTTAAATGATTTTGATTTGCAAATGCTATTTTATTCATTCTGATAACATGTACTCTGCTTACTATTTTTCAAAACATTCTGCCCTGTTTGACTACCAGGTAAAGTCCTTCCAAACCTTACTTTGATGCTAGCCTTTCTGTAATGCCTGCCCAGGTCTTCTTCCACCTCCTTCCCTTCATGTATACCTTCCAGATTGAAATTGTTTCTAATTCTGTGCACTTCTTCCATTATCACATATGTCACACACACTTTATTGCATTTCTTTGCTCACACAGGTCATCTCCTAAAGATCCTACATTCCCATTTGTTGAAAACTTTTCACATAGGACTTAGGACTTAGATATACTTTTTTTATTCTCTCACCAATTTCCCCTCAAGCCATGTTACACTCTTAAATAACATAGTTAGCTCAGAGAGCAACTGTGTTGAGTAAGCATAGGGAGAAAAAGAGCCACATACAAATTGACATGCAGTGGTGGTGCAGCTTGTTCCTGCAGCCGTCTTCACACACTGTAAGACTTTCTTCATCAAGCATGCCCAACAAGCAAATAGGACACATCTGTTCCTCTTCATCCTTTATGCTATAGAAAAGGGGAAGAAAAAGTATTAAGCATAAAAGAATATAAAGTAGAACGGATATGCTAAAAACACTTTCTGCTTGCTTAGAATATAAATACATTAGAAATTCTTAAGAGCATCTTATATAACTAAGAGATACATATTTACACTATTAATATACAGTAATTTAAAATCAGATTAACACACGAGTATTTATAGATTGTAGGTGTGAGTTAACCTTCTTTGCTATGAAAACAATTCAATACACAGACTGCAATCTTAGAAAGAAACATTTGTATCCCCCAAATTCTGCTACTGTACCTTTTGAATAGACCAACAGGTTTGACTATGTATAAAAATACACTACATGGTACCAGTTTCAAGATTTTAAGTACTGGCGGACCTTAGAGCTCAAAGATTCCACATCCTAAATTTAAATGCCTATTTCAGAAATTTCTGGTGGCAGTATGAACTGATCCAACTTTCCCAGAAATGAATCTAGGAACACATCACATTTTAAGTGTACACAATCTTTCACCTAGACTTCTAGGAATGTATCGTAAGAAAATAAAAAGATAAATATATAGAGATATATGTATGAAAATGTCCACTGCAATATTATTTAGAATAACGAAAAGAAATCAAAACAACCAAATGAATGCCAAAAAGAGGCTAAACAAATTATGGCAAACCCAGACACCTTGAAGCCTTTAAAAAGGAACAGAGAAATCCATAAATGAGGTCAAAATAAAACTACCATGTATAGGATGATTCCATTTATGGCAAAATCGCAACATAATGGTTAATTATATTGCATATACTTGAGTATTTCTAACATACAAAGTACTTTTAAAAATCAGTTAGAAAAATACTAATAAATAGTACAATGGACAAAGGAAATAAAAAGGCAATTGGAATAAAAAATAATAGATTGGTAACATCTGGCCCTGATAATGGCACAGAAAACCAGGTTCTCATATAGACTGCTGGTAGGAGTAAAAACTAAAATCTCTGGAAGGAAATTTTGTTAGTATTTCTTAAAATACTACATGGTATATATTCATGACCTAAAAATCCTATTTTCTAGGATGTTATCGCTACATATTTTAAGTATGTAAACCAAAAAGTGGAGATGTACTTAATGTACATTAATTAAGGCAATGGCTAAATAAATTATGGTGTACCAACATAATCTTATACAGCCATGAAAAGAAAAAAGTATGTAATTTGGTGATGATGTGGAAAAATATTCTTGATATATAAAGTAAAAGTAAAAGAAAACTGCACACCAGAACATATGGCATGACTTTGTATTTGTTTAAAAACAGTAAGAAAGTTGAGAGAAACATGGATGGGGGAACGTGCGTGCATGTGTTTGCTGAAGTACGAAGTGTGCAAAGAAGAGTTTCATTCCTTGATTTATGTAATTTTTAAAAGTTGTATGAAATAGTTAACAGTAGTTATTTTGTGTGCAGCCAGGCTAAAGAGGGCTTTAGTTTTCTATTTCATAAATGTTTTTATTTAAACCTTCATGATGTGAGGGATGGCTTTTAAAATCAATAGCCGTATTTTCATTATAATATAAAGACAAGGCTCTGGGATGTTAAATAAGTTGCCTCAAATCATAAAATCAGTTTGTGGCAGATCTATCATTACACTTTTATCTGAGAAGAATATGCCATAAACTTACAACATCTATAAATTTCAGAGTCTGCTAAGCTAGGCCCAATATTGCACTTCTACTATCTTAAACTATTAGGTTGGTGCAAAAGTAATTGCGGTTTTTGCCATTACTTCTAATTTTTTTAATTCTAATTTTGCCATTAGAAGTAATGGCAAAAACAGTAACTACTTTTCCCTGAAAAACAGATCTGAGTAACTACCAGCAAAATAACCAGTTCCCCAAATGCACAAAAAGCTTTCCAAAAAGCTAGTCAAACAAGTCAGCAAAGTCATAATGCGTGATTCCTGTGATGAAGGCACACTTACTAGTCTGTCCCTCCTGATGTACCTGCCCATCTCTTTTCCTAATTATGGAGCTACTTAGGATGGGGAAAAACTGTCAAGACTATGCATGCATTAGTAACAAAGAATTAACAGCAGCATTACAGAAATGATGTATACAACTACCTATAATAAAAATATTCATGGCAAAAATAATCCAAGGTCAACTAACCCTTCAAATAATTATACCAAAATTAAGCTTATTCATAGAGGAAAATAAAGTTTCACAATTTAGTCAAATTATAAGTGCAACTTATTAAATACTTCTCTGACAACAAAAAGAATACCATTCCGGGGTATTTCCTGCCCATCTTTTTTCCAAGTACATATTTTGTAAGCATTGTTCAGATCATTTATGTATATATATGCACTATTTCATATTTTAAAAATTTTTATTATAAAATTGCACTTAAACTCTTCATATACATAATTCTTTTTTTTGTTGTGGCAACATATGCAAAACATAAAATTTACCATCTTAACCATTTTTAAGTGTACACGTGAGTGGTATTAAATGCCTTCACGCTGTGCAACCATCACCACTATGTGTCTCCAGTATCCTTTTCATCTTGTAAAACTGAAACCCTATACCCATTAAACACCATTTTCCATGATCTCCTTCCTCCAGCCTCTGGCAACCACCATTCTACATTTTTTTGAGACAGGTTCTTGCTCTGTCACCCAGACTGTAGTACAGCGGCACAAGTATAGCTCACTGCAGCCTTGAACTTCTGGGCTCAAGAGATCCTCCTGCCTCAGCCTCCTGAGTAGCTGGGACCACAGGGGCATGCCACCCATGCCTGGCTAATTTTTCTTTTCTTTCTTTTCTCTTTTTTTTTTTTGGTACAGACAGGGTCACACTATGTTGCCCAGGCTGGTCAACATATCCTCCCACCTAGGCTCATTCTACTTTCTGTCTCTATGGTTTTGACTAAGTATCTCATGTAAGTGCAATTATACAATATTTGTCTTTTTGTGACTGGCTTATTTTGCTTAGAATAATGTCCTAAAGGTTCATCCATGTTGTAGCACACTTCCTTCCTTTGTAAAGCTGAGTAATATTCCACTATGTGTATATACCACATTTTATCCATTCATTTATTGATGGACACCTGGGTTGCTTCCACCACATAATTTTTAATGCCATCATAATTTTCCACTGACTAGATAGATCCTGTTTTAAGTATCCATTAATGTTGGACATATAAGCTGTTTCCATATTTTTACATTTTAAGAAACCATTACGGCCGGGCGCGGTGGCTCACGCCTGTAATCCCAGCACTTTGGGAGGCTGAGACGGGCAGATCATGAGGTCAGGAGATCGAGACTATCCTGGTTAACATGGTGAAACCCTGTCACTACTAAAAATACAAAAAATTAGCTGGGCATGGTGGCAGGCGCCTGTAATCCCAGCTACTCGGGAGGCTGAGGCAGGAGAATGGCATGAACCCGGGAGGCAGAGCTTGCAGTGAGCCAAGATCACGCCACTGCACTCCAGCCTGGGTGACAGAGAGAGACTCCGTCTAAAAAAAGAGAAAAGAAAGAAAGAAACCATTACAAACATCTTTGTACTCATTTTTTTTTGACGTTTCAGATTTTTTTTAGCATAGTTTTTTCTGAAGCAAAATTACAAGTATAGAGCAGGGAGTAATGAACTTATAAGGAAAACAAATCAGCCTGTGGACTACTTGTGTAAATACAGTTTTACTGAACATAGCCATCCCGTTCATTTATATATCGTCTTTGGCTATTTTCAGGATATAAGGGCAGAGCTGAGTAGTTTTAAAAGAGACCAAATGGACCACAAAATATTTAAAGTTTAAAAAAAGTTACCCATAATAGCACCTCCTATTAATAACCAGTGAAGTTTTTATTCCTTCCGATTTTTACATACTTGTAATACCTTTTCTATATAAAACTGGGTTCATGCATAATATATTATTATAACCTAGATTTGGTTTTACTTATCGACATTTTCCCAGGCCATTCAACGTTCTCCAAAAGCATAATTTTAATGCCTACATGACATTTGTAACATGGGCATATGCTAATTTAATCATTCAATTGCTGTTGGATATTTAAACTGTTTCTACTTTTTCACCATAATACTATGAGAAACAGTCATATATGATATATGTGAGGCTTTTGCATTTCTCAGATTAAACTTTTACTTAAGAAGAACATTTACTGGATCAATGAATATAAATGTTTTTAAAAGCCATATTCCTTTTTTCTTCAAAAGGCTATACGGCTTTACATACGATCAAGCACATGCTTACAATAACTGAATTACATCATTTAAAAAGTCTTCATTATTTCGGTAAATAAAAACTGGTATCTTTTTTTAAAAAATGAACATTTCTTCGGTTATTAGGTTGACTGAACAGTTTTTGTGTTTCTTAGCCCCTTAAAATTCTTTTTTGGTGGATATTCTCTTTATGCCCTTCATTTTCAATTGAATTTTAAATTTGTTTATCCTAATTCTTTTATTATTGTTTTGGGCATAACATTTAAAATTGTATGTAATCAGACCTCCAGATAAATTTCCTCTGTATTTTCTTTTTATTGATCTTAGATATAAAAATAGTGGTTATACGAAACAAAAATCTATCTATGTATGTACAGTACAATCTCAGTAACCAAGATAACTTTTGTGATTCCCCCCATGGATATGCAAATCCAAATATATATATTTAACCTCAGAGAGAAACTTTCTATTTTGACTACTTGGTTTTAAGCATCTGTTATTTTTCTCCACAGTAAAAAGTTACAGAAATGTCACTCAAAAGGAAAAAGGAGCTGGGTGTGGTGGTTCACACTTGTAATCCCAGCACTTTGGGACGCTGAGGTGGGAGGAATGCTTGGGGCTAGGAGTTCAGGAGGCTGGAGAAATAAAGCTCATTTTTTTCATTTTATTTAGAAGAGATGAGGGGTAAAACAAAGATACCCAGGTTCTGGCTATACCTTTCCTCAAATGAGCTGCATAACCTCTTGGCTTCACTTATCGCTGTGTCACTGAGACATGCCAACTAGAAAATCTTCAATGTCTAAAAACTCGTAAAACTCTAGGATTCTAAAATTATTTCATTTAATCAAAATTAAGAAAATTCTTCAAACATTTACTTTTTCCACAGATGAAGAAAACCTCTCTTCTCTTCACTGCACCCTTGTTACGACCCTGTCACTTTTTCATTCTTCATGAATTTTGAGGTAGTTACAATACTTAACAGATTAATAGGATGAAGACAGGATTTAACCACTCAGAACAATGCTTCTCAAACTGGGCACTTCGGGAATAACATAGAAGGTGCCCTGGTAAGAGAAGCAGCACTCCTTTGTGGATTAATTTTTAAAAATCTAATTTTTACACTAAAACCAATAAAGCAATATACAGAACAGAAAGAAGATTCACATGAATGCTGTAGTTTTTAGCACAAAACGTCTATATACACACACACACTCACATGACCTTTAACATACATACATACATACAGACATACATACATACACACACCCACATATTTTTTAAGAGACAGGGTCTTGTTCTGTCACCTAGGCAGTGGTGCGATCATAGGTCACTGGAGACTTGAACTCCTGGGTTCAAGCGATCCTCCTGCCTTGGCCTCTCGAGTAACTGGGACTACAGGTATCACCACTCCCAGCTAATTATTTTACTTCTGTAGAGTTGGGGTATCCCTATGTTGCCCAGGCTGGTCTTGAACTCCTGGGCTCAAGCAATCCTTCTGCCTTAGTCTCCCAAGGTGCTGGGATTACAGGCACGAGCCACCATGCCCAGCGAACTTTTAGTATCTTCACCCTTGATTTTAACTTGAAAGCCAAGATTCAATAATTAAATCATTTTAGAGCAACTTAACAAGTAGATATAAAAAATTACCCCTAAAATTAAAAGTAACACTGGATTAATGTTTGAAATCCTTAAAAAGTACTAACCTGTTTTCTGAACTAGACGTAGAAGTACTAGATGATGACAATGTATGAGAATTTGACATGCGTGAAACAAACTTCTGGATGGTGTTACGAGATGGAGCTTTGATCCTTGAGCTACGCCTACTGTGATATTTCTGGAACAAACTCTCAACCTAACATTGGAAAAAGACAGTAACAATGATATTTGTGCCATAATTATACATATGAAGAGTTCTAGAGGCTGAATTATTTATCTTTAATTTGCATGTTTTTCATAAAGTTGATTTAAGAGCTTCAAAAATAAGAACACATTATAGTTTTTACTAAGGACAACATTCTTACAGCAGGTCAGTGTTTGTTTTTTTCAAGCTAGAAGAAAAAGTTTAGTAAATATCTCATGAGAACTATTTATAAGCATCAACTAATTCTTACATACCTTCACACCTTTAAAATGGTCACTGCCTAAATTTAGTGAAGGATAAATTTTAAGAATATATCCTAAGAATATGCTAACAATTTTACTCTAAGCATTTATTAAAAACTACCTCAAAATTCTTTAAAGTTTTTCTCCATAACATTGGGTCTGAAGGTTCTAGTTGAAACACCCGGAGCATCACAAATAGCAGATGAATACAGAATGTTCCACGTGCACAGCTGCAGTTCTAAAGAGTTAAAAAGAAAACCTATAGGTTAATACATCTGTGGTTCACAAGAACTTCTAAATTTATCACTTTTACAATATTTCCAACTTTTTATACTAAAGTTTCTATTAATTCATATTCTTCATTATCTTTGTATATAAGAAAAATCTACAGCTATTTCCATGATTTAATCTTTCATTTTCACTGAATTTATTAAATAGATCAAATTTCTATTCTATGGTATATTAAGATAGTAAAACCTCATAAATACATTAAAGAAAAATATTAGCCTAAAATACATTTTAAGTTTAACTTTGTTTACTATAGGGAATTAATTGATCTAAATTTAAGAACATTATAGTATATAAATTTGAGGTAGTACCATATACTACTACTAATAAAGTATAAAATGGTGACGAATCCTACCTGAGGCCCAATAAACACCCGGTATTTATTGTCTGGGCTGTCTCCTCCAATCAGGAAAGAGTTAGGCCCTATCTGCTGCAGTAAGTACAGTCTGGCCCGCATCACTTTGTTAACACGGCGGTTTGTTTCCTCAGGGCTATATGGTGAGAAGCCATCTGGTGAAGGGGCTCTTCGGGGTGGTGTGATTCTGCCACTCTGAAACTTCACAACATTTTTTTTTATTAGGTACGTTTCTCATTTCTTAATTAAGAAACTATTATCCGGTCAGGCATGGTGGCTCACGCCTGTAATCCCAGCACTTTGGGAGGCCGAGGAGGGCGGATCATGAGGTCAGGAGATCCAGACCATCCGGGTTAACATGGTGAAACCCATCTCTACTAAAAATACAAAAAATCAGCTGGGTGTGATGGCACATGCCTGTAATCCCAGCTACTCTGAGGCTGAGGCAGGAGAATCACTTGAACCTGGGATGGAGGTTGCAGTAAGCCGAGATTGTGCCACTGCACTCCAGCCTGGGCAACAGAGCGAGGCTCCATCTCAAAAAAAAAAAAAAAAAGAAACTATTATCCAAAGAAGATCATACAAGACAGTCATGTGGCAGATTATAGTCTGAAAAAATGTCAGATTTAAAATATTATGGAACAAAGGCTAAATGATTTTGTCTGACATACTCATCTCAGGTGAACTTTTAAAATCTCAGTCATCCCCATAAATGTTGATAAATATCTGGCTGAGAGAGACAACCATGTGGTAATTTTATAAATTATTCTATTAACATTTGAGTTCTTTGAAACATCTAATATAAACCAAAACAAAAAGCATAGAAAGTATATATCATAAGCAGGCAGAATGCTGTGTCTAGTAGTAAAAACTAAAAATCCAACTTCCTGGGATCTATTGAAGGCTTTATTAATCTTCTTTAACAGGAAATTTACAAACGCTGCCATGGAATGCCTCCCAACATACACTCTGCAGACTCTTCCTCAATAAAAACAAATTAGTGGAAGCTGACAAAAACGCTCCTAGGGTGAGGATAATATATAACACTCTCACTATACTAACTTTCCTAGAACTTGGTCTTTCCATCAATGTCCAGTGGAAATTCCAGTTTTTTGGATCCCTAATTAAATAGTTAAGGGTAATAAATGTTGGCAAGACCACAAAGCAATTAGAATTCTCATATAGTGCTGGCAGAATGTAAAATGTGCAGCTGGTTTGGAAAACAGTATAGCAGTTCCTCAAAATGTTAAACGTATTACCCAGCAATTCCATTCCTAGGTATAAACTCAAGAGAAATGAGAATATATGTCCACCTGAAAACTTGTACACAAATGTTCACAGTAGCATTATTCATAATAGCCACCAAACAGGAGCAGCTCAAATGTCCATCAACTAATAGATAAACAAAATGTGGTATATCCATACAATATTGCTCTGCAATTAAAAATGGAGTACTAACACATGCTATAGCATGGATGAACCTTGAAAATATGATACTAAGTGAAAGAAGCCAGTCATAAAAGATCACCTATTAAGTGATCCCATTTATATGAAATGTCCAGAATAGGCAAATTATATATATAGAGAAAATAGATTAGTGGTTGCCTAGGGTTGGGAGAGACTGTTGTTAAATGGAAAACTTTAGACAAAATAAATTTAACAGAGTTTATTTGAGCAAAGAATGATTCATGAACCAAGTGGTACTCAAAACCGCAAGTTCAGAGATCTCTGATCTAGCACCTTGAACAGCCAGCTTTTACAGGCTGAACACAAAGCAAAGCAAAGCAAAGGAATCAGCTGATTGGCTACAGCTAGGTGTTTGCCTTACTTGGGCATGGCATTATGCAAAGTCCCTAGTTATATAACAAATAGGCTGGCTGGCTGTTTGTGATTGGCTAAAGGTTGGTTTCATTTCCAGGTGTAGAAACAACCCCAGGCTACCTACTACCTATTTTGCTTTAATACTGCTAATAGGTCTAGGATATCTTATTGGGGTAATAAAGATGTTTAAAAACCGACCGTAATAATGGCTACACAACCCTGTGAATATACTATAAAACACTGAATTGTACAATCTAAACAGGTGAATTGTACAGTAGATGAATTACACATCAATAAAGCCATTATTTTTAAAAAAGCAGTTACTAAAAAGTAAAAACAAACAAAAAAAGCCAATTATGCATGCACACGTCATTTTGACCTGCTAGGTATCCAGCCTATGGATATGTTCACAGATACATGCTCACAGATGTACAAGATGACATACGTATAAAAATACTTTTGAAGCACTGTTTTCAGTAACAAAAGGTTAAAAAGATTATAAATGTTCATTAGTATATCATTCATTAAATAAACCATGATTTATCCAGCTAATGAAAGGCTATGTAACTGTTAAAAAGAATGAGGGGTAACTTTGTCTAGCATATATGCCCAAAGTGGGTTTTGGGGGTGGGGTGTGGGGAAGGAAGACAGTTCTGTTTATACTTGTTGTAAACTTTCATTTTGATGGCCCCCATGAACCATACCTCCCAGTATTTACATTCTTGTGTAGTTCCCTATCACATCAATTCTGGGTTTGGGCATGCAACTAGCTTTGGACAATAAGGCATTAGCAAACACAATGAAGTGGAGGCTTGAGAAGAGCCTGCATGTTGAGACTTGCCTCTCGAAACAATACTCTTTGCAACCCAGTCTTCGTGCTAGGAGGAAGAGATGCCAACAGCCCCCCAAGTGTTCCAGTATCCCAGCTGAAGCAATAGGCATGTGAGTGAAGAAGCAGTCTTGGACCTTTCATCTTCAGAGAATGTCACAAGGAACAGAGATAAGCCACCCCTGCTGAGCCCTGCCCAATCTGCAGATTCGTGAGCTAGTAACTGATTATTGTTTTAAGTTAACAAAAATTAATAGTTAATTTAAAGGTATTTTAACATAGAGCCAACAACTACTGTTGGGCATCAGGTTTTACTGTAAAATGTTTTTGCTTTAAATGTACTTTTTAACGAATTTATGTACCTTAATAACTCCAGATCTTAAAAAAAAACCCAAACTCCTCTTGTGGTCACTATCTCAACCATTTTTCCATTCAATCATTTGTTCTTCAAAGTTAGAAAGTGAGTCTTAACATGCATTTCCACTACTAGAAGTCTCTCTCTCACATGAATTTACCACCTATCTTTTTGCAAATTTCTTTGATGTTTAGCTTAATATACAAGACAGCTAAGATTCTCATAGCTGCTTCTGCATTCAATCTGCTGTGATATGATGTTTTGATTAAAGTATATGAAAGAAAGTTTGGCCTCATGCAGATACGTAGATGTAAAAGGAAGGAGTATTTTAATAGCCCCTTTTTTTTTTTTTTTTTTTTTTAGGAGTCTCACTCTGTCGCCCAGGCTGGAGAGCAGTGGCGTGATCTCGGCTCACTGCAACCTCTGCCTCCCGGGTTCAAGCCATTCTCTCTGCCTCAGCCTCCAAAGTAGCTGGGATTACAGGTGCCTGCCACCACGCCTGGCTAATTTTTGTATTTTTAGTAGAGACGGGGTTTCACCACGTTGGCCAGGCTGATCTTGAACTCCTGACCTCCAGTGATCCGCCCACCTTGGCCTCCCAAAGTGCTAGGATTATAGGTGTGAGCCACTGCCTGTTCAAATAATGATGAATATTCTTTGGTACTATACCAAAGCTCAAAAAATGGTTTCTTAAAGGCAGTTGTAATGTGGAATCTGAAACCACATCAACAAACTTTTCCTACTGGCACATTAAAAATCCAAATGGTGTATTTTACACTTTGAATGTATCTTTTACCTATGAATAATTTTGTTATTATCATACACTGATCACGTGGAAAATATTGGTTCCTTAAGTTACGCAGATCTTCCAAATGTTCACATATTTCATTATACAGCATGAAAATAATCACATTTGTTATCACCAATCTTATCAGAAAAGTCTAAGCACTGGGAGGCTGTCAAGCTCATAGTGGTGGATAGTAGCTTTCTAAAATTCTAATTTTTGTTTCGACATCTCAACTTTTAACACTAGTGAAAAAATACTTAAGTTGCTTTTCTTTTTTTCTTTTTTTTTTGAGATGGAGTTTCGCTGTTGTCGCCCAGGCTGGAGTGCAATGGTGTAATCTAGGCTCACTGCAACCTCTGCCTCCTGGGTTCAAGCGATTCTCCTGCCTCAGCCCCCCGAGTAGCTGGGATTACAGGCATCTGCCACCATGCCTGGCTAATTTCTGTATTTTTAGTAGAGATGAGGTTTCACCATGTTGGCCAAGCTGGTCTCGAACTCCTGACCTCAGGTGATCCGCCCACTTCGCCCTCCCAAAGTGGTGGGATTATAGATGTGAGCCACCGCTCCCAGCCTTAAGTTGCTTTCCTTGAAGTGACAGTCTCATTTAATTCACCTTAAGAAAAATGTCTTCCAAATACCCAAATCTAAATAATCATAGTTTGTTGGTCACTCATTTCATGTTCCATGAAAGAAATAACTAGTTCAGCTTGCAACTCTAACAACCGCACAAATACTTCTCCTTTAGAAACTACTGGATTTTGGTATGTAGAAGTGCTTTATGCATGCATCCCATTTCATCACACACAATATTACAAAGGCACGTATTTACTAAGAGTCAAGATTTAATAAAATTAATTTATATTTCCTTGTCAAAGGCATTATCAAGTGTAACTGGCATTTTTTTCTTTAATGGCTGATACATAGCAATAATGAATATAGTTTCTACAGTTGTAGCCTTAAATTGGGAAAAGGCACCAGTAGCTTTACCCACCACTGCAAATATCAATGCAGGGAAAGAGGCAAACAACATCCCAGTTTTATCACAAAATTAGTTTTGACCTAATAGACCCCAGAAAGGGTCTCAGGAACCACCCCCCCCATCCTCAGGGGTCTGCAGATCATATTTTGAAAACTGATGTTCTAACAGATGGCTGGCCAGTCTTTTCTTTGTTATAAATGAAGCTAAAAATTATAAAAACTAACATATTTGTTGTAACATTAACTTACAGGCACTGGGGAAACTCTTTTTCTCCTTACTCCTGGAGATTCTGATTTCACTGTGCGACCTGATGGGGAGTTGCCAGGAGAAGGACTGCGTCGGCCTTTGGAAGCTGGTGAAGCCGCACTTGCCTGGACCTCTCCTGGAGACTCAGCTGCTAAGTGATTCATTTCAGATCCATCTCCTTTAACTGGGATTGGTTTTACCACCTGAATCAAAGTATTCCAATATTTTGATTACTTAAAAATATAAAAGGTAAGTAAATGTAAATATCATAGACTAGGAAATACACTTAATGAGTTTTTGTTATGAAATATTATACCAGTATACCAGACAATATATCAACTTTTATTATTACTTTAAGCTATTAATGTAAAAGATTATTTTTACCTGCACAAATTTCAGTCATTTAGGATTTAACACTAGTTAAAACGCAACCTCCTCCCTTACAATTTTGTAATGCATACAAAACTGTAGAAATGGTATTATTTGTTATTATATACCCTAACTCATTTAACACTCAAAAGCAACAATCAAAGGTGATTAAACAAATGTGAAAAATAAGCACTCATAACTTCTACAGTCAACTTATTCAACTACTAGATCAAAGATCTAGGTACGTTTTTATTTGTTTTTACAAAATGTAGGACCTTGAAACAACACTGGGCATAATTTCAAATAGTTTGATCACTATGCAATCATTTTCCCTGCTTTGTGTGTGTGTTTCTTTACAATGTTATATTACAATAATAGGTTAGATGTGTATCTCAGAAAACCAAAAGAGACTAGAAGTTTAAAGATCAATTTCTCAAGCAGAAATGCAGTTTACAAGACCTGCCTTTTTTTTTTTTTTTTTTTAATTAAGGCTTTCAGACCTAATCTAGCCATGACCAAAGGCCAAACTCCACAGCTTTGTACAACTGAAGCTCAGCAGACCTTTCTGGACTTTCTCCCACTGCTCCTGTTCTATAGCCAGTTGCTGTGTTCACCAAACTTGCCTGACCCTTCCTCCTCCTGTGCTTTCACTCACTCTCCTCCTATTTTAATACTCATCTCCAGCCTGCAGCACCCCAGGCAGTACACCTTCACATGAGGAAAATTTACCCATCTTTCTACGCTGAGTTAAAATTCTTCCTTTTATGAAACTTCCCTGAAGTCTACCAGCAAGACATTCCTTCTCTTTCCTAAGTCCCTATTGCTCTTCTGCCCATCCCACACATTTGGCACCTAGTCACAAGTTGCTTTGTGATATTTCATGTATTACTCTATTTATTATGTATAAGTCTAATTTTCCCATTTGGAGATATTTACCCTTTATGTTTCAAGAATGATTTGACACAACTTACTTAAAGTATAAAAACAAACAAAATCAGACCTCCCAAGTAAACAGTAAACTTCCTAAGGATAATACGAAATCCGTAAATCATAAAATGTAGGGTGGCATAATTAAGCTTAAGGACTATGTGTTATGCATCTTATTCCACACATCTCCTCCCTCTTCACTCATGTCTTATATACAGACAAGGTACTTTGGTACTTGCTAGAAAGTGAACAGTATAAAAACCAAAATTTTGTTTTAGAGAACTGGATATTCTTAGTTCATGTATAATAAAGAACAAATAGCTGGCTCATTTTTAAAAAGTTGTGATTTATGCCCTACGGTATTCTCAAAAGATTTAGGCTGTTTGAACACCTCCATCTAAAGGAGCTCAGAAAGCAGCACATTCAAACTTCAGATGGCTCTGCTTGTTCAAAAGTTCTTTATATTGATTGAGTAGTAATATGCCCTTTTAACTGCCAACATTCTACAAGATGTTTCAATAGCACTTTCTCTTCTCTAAGATAAATCCTTAATTTCTTCATATTCACCTTCTGGCACGAATAGCTAAAATGGTGAGGGGTTCCCACCATACCACCTCACGTGAGTAATAAATGGAAGAAATGTAGAAACTTAGCTGTAAAGACAAGGACTCACGGGCCCATAATAACTTACCAAGTGCTGGTATGGAAAGGAACAATTAGATTTATTCTGTATAATTCCATCGGTTAGAATGAGAACCAGTGGGTAAAATATTCCTGACAGACTGCAGCTCAGTGATGAGGATATCGAAAGCCACAGGGATTATTGAGTTATTTAAGTCAGACACGAGTCAGTACTACACATCTAAGAGAGCTTTCTGAGGCAGTGAAAATGTGCTAAAACTGCACTGCCTAAAAGGTAGCCATTGGCCACATGTGGTTACTGAGCATTTGAAATGTAGTTGGTGAGACTGAGGAACTAAATTTTTACTTTTATTTACATCTAATTAATTTAAATGTAAACTTAAATAGGCATATGGGATGAATGTAGGGCAGACAATCACTTGGCAGGGGTGTATTTAGACCCTTGTCAAAGCTTAGATGAATTTTAAGTTGCCATATCTGTTTTAAAAGAACAAAATAAAAACTTGCTGAGAGAGATTAGTGCTAGGATACTGTAATACTTCTTCCTTTGTAAGAATGAAGACACACATTTCATGATGGTATTCTTATAAGAATATATATTCTTATACCTATAGCAAAGGACAGAGTATCCCTGCTTTTTAAAATCTAGGACTCTAGATTTTCTTTCATCAAACCCCACACATTTTTAATTTATCTTAATCCCCATAGGTCTATTAAACATTTTTTCATGTCAAATGAGGATAACATGCTGACACTGTAACAAAGTTGGAGAAACGCACATCTTATGCATGCATGTGAAAACCCAATCATTACACTTATGAATTACTGCAATTAAATGTTTTCTTTCCTAGAAGATTTCTGAAATTAAGATCCTTGGATCCTGTCTTAGAGATAAAACATCTAAAATAAACTGGAAAAATTCTTTTTAAAATTTACAAGTACAGTATAAAACTCCAATGAAAGGATTTTAGATACTGACATGAGAGGGCAGTCTTGGTTTAAGCATTTACCCCTCCACCAAACACAACAGTTAAGTTCCCAGAATAGTTTAAGTTGTTTAATGAGCACAGTTTTAATTATGGTTTCTTCCAAATGACCACAATATCAAGTAAAGAAAACTACTACATTTAAAATGAAGAAGAAAAGCTTACAAGAGGATCTATTTATGCTTACTTTTCCATTTCCTCCTATGCTTTCTTCCTTATAACTGGTAACCCATAGCCACTTACCACAGGCCCTCGCCTATTTCTCCTTTCCAACCATTCGTGCTTCCAGGCTGGCATACAGGTTGCCTTCAGTTTCTCCCTGATCATTCGTTCCTCTGGACGATCATCCATCTTGTGCAACCCTTTGAGAGTTTCTTTATTCTCCATCTCACGACTAAAATGCAGGCAGAAACAAATAAAATGAGAAATGTATATATGAAAAATAATTTCCAAGAACAAACAGAATGGATGGTTCTATTTTATACTTCCAACGGACATGTAATAAAAAAGATAACTGCTAAAAACCCCAAATGACTTAAAGCTTGAAAAGATTCTGAATTATATACTACTGACATATATCATGCAGACCTATGTTCCACTGTAGTTAACAAAATGAATCCCAAGACATTAAGCACTATATTAACAAATATATTCACTAAGACTGCATTGTTTTTAATTCTACCACCCAAATAACAAATATTTAGAAGGGTGTATTACTACACTTTTATCCCAGGATTTCCAATAAATTAAGTCAATACAGATAGAATCTGGTGGATATGCTGATTTATCTGAAATAAGCTCAATAAATATTTAATAAGTGAAGTGAAACTTAACTACATCATCTATGACCCCAAAACAATTTTTCATAGCCTACATGATTAAATTTTTATTTTCATAGAACAGTGACTTCATAACAAAGCACTTGGGGTACTCTATAAAGAATAAAAATTATCCAGTACAAACATTTGATCTTTACTCCATAAAATGGTGTGGATTTACCAGAATAAAACAATCTCTAAACTAAGAACGTTTGAGAATTAACTCTACAAAGCCTAACAGGCAAAGCATCAAGCTCACGAAAATCACTAATTTTAAAATATACCCATATCCACATGAGCATACATGCATACACGATATGCATAGATTTGAAAACCTGATTTATAAGGATGCAGTTAAAGCAACTGCACCTTGGGATTAGTAACAACTTTAAAAATACTAAGCTAATTTCAGTAACTATTTTGAAAAGTCTTTAAAGCTAGAGAACAGTTTTTCTACACTGATAGGAAAAGGAAATACTCAAGGAAATACCAAAAACAAGAACCTCAAGTTTACTACAAAGACAAATTCAAACTCCTCTAGGAATTTTCCAGCTAATCACAACTATGAAGTACGATCTTCAGAGAATCAGCCAAAGGAAGAAGAAACTACTTAAAAAAAAATATTCACTAGAAAGGAAACGGTTAACCCGTTTCACTGAAGCATCAAGACTGTGAGGAAAGTAGAAGGCAACATATTAAACATCTTTGTATCAGCAACTGGCCTAGACATTTTTAGAAATACAAAGAATACATAACATTTGGTTTGAAACTTGCAAATAGGCATTAAGACCACAGCGTAAAATATTTCCTTACACACACATACACACACAAATACTGTTATATAGAAGCAATATGAGACTTTCAAAAAGTATGAAAAAAGGAGGATTATCTAATTTACTTATATGTGCTTGGCTGCTTTTTATGCTGATTATAAAATATAAATATTAGGGGATGTGTAGAAGAAAGTAAGAGAGGGAGGGAGGAGAAAGAAGGAAAGAGGAAGGGGGGATGGAGAGAAGGGAAGAAGGCAGAGAAGAAAGGAGGAGGAGAAAAAGGAGGAGGGAGAGGAAGGCAGAGAAAGAGAGGTAGGGGTGAAGAACACAGGGGATAAAGTGTCTTCCAAAAAAGTCCATCCTGCTCAGTTGGTATTCCAGGAGGCTCAGCTTTGTAGGCAACTGAATTTATGTGGTGACTGCATAATAAAAATTCACTTCCAAGTCTTTAGTATTAAAAGCGCTTTCCCCCTCCAGTAACAATGTTGCAAGAGGTGGTTTGGTTCCCAGGCTAGTTCCAAAAAATAAGCCTCACAGTGGAACTGCAGTGCATTTTTATACCAGAAACTCCTGCACTCCTAGACCAAGGTGCTTGATAGTCTTTCCTCTGGTCCTAGCTATCTCTCTTCCCCCAAATCTGTTTCAGGAGTATCTCTTCTCTGCTATGGATT
The DNA here is from genome assembly GCF_000001405.40 of Homo sapiens. Lineage (NCBI taxonomy): Eukaryota > Metazoa > Chordata > Mammalia > Primates > Hominidae > Homo > Homo sapiens. Next base: position 56,854,731 of record NC_000005.10, on the reverse strand, counting down.
TTCAGTTTCTGTTCCTGGCCCTGAGTCAAACACACAAAGGATGTTCCTTGTCTAAACAAATCTTTCTGGATGGCATGGCCTCCTTAAAGTCTAATGTGTCTCTTTCCTTTCCACTTGTTTGAAAATACTGTCATCTTTTAGACCAATTTCTTTTATCATAAATAATAGGGATGAGCATTCTAGTAGCTGAACTTTTACACACATCTGAGATTCTTTTTTAAATTTCGTTTTACCTTATTTATGTTTAAGGACTATGAGATTATTTTTTTCTTTTTTCTTTCTTTTTTTTTTTTTTTTTTGAGATGGAGTTTAGCTCTTGTTGCCCAGACTGGAGTGCAATGGTGCAATAGGCTCACTGGCAACCTCCGCCTCCCAGGTTCAAGTGATTCTCCTGCCTCAGCCTTCCAAGTAGCTAGTATTACAGGCATGTGCCACCACGCCTGGCTAATTTTGTGTTTTTAGTAGAGATGAGGTTTCACCATGTTGGTCAGGCTGGTCTCGAACTCCTGACCTCAGGTGATCCACCCACCTCGGCCTCCCAAAGTGCTGGGATTACACCACATTTGGCCTAAATTATTTCTTTAGAATAAACACCTAGAAATGGAAATGCTGGGTTAAAAATGTACACAAATGAAGACTTTTGATAATATTGTCAAATAATCTTCTAAAAAATATGTCTTCCATTCACACGCCCATCCAGGTCAAGCTGCTCTTAAACCTGCTCTGAACTAGCAACAGGCTCCTAACGAGGCTTCTTTAACTTTGAATCTTACCCAGATTTCACAGTGCAGCCAGGGTTACTTCCTCCATTAAAATGCTCTAGTGGTTCCCCCCGGGCTTAGACTAAAATCCAAAATGTTTAGCCCAACCTAAGTGGCCCTGCACCTCGTGGTCTCACCTCAATTCCTGTCATCAGACCTGCAACCCCCCTTCTTCACTGCCTCAATAACCCCAAGATCTTTCCTACTCAGGGCTTCTGGACAGGCTGCTTCCTTCTCTGTCTACTTTTTACCTAATTTCTACCCACTCTCTAGATTTTCCTCAACTCCTCAGAGACTTTCCCAATTTCAATTAAGAACTCCCAGTTCCATTCTTTCACAGCACTTGTATTTTTCCTTTAACATGGTTAATGCAGTTTGCAAACTGTTCCTCTCTTATGAACTGTAAGCTCCATGAGTGAGGGGACCACGTGTTATCGCCATCTATACACCTAACATCTAAGCATGTCTGGCTCATAATAAGTATGAACATATATTAAGTGAATGATCACTTATTAACTCTGGCAGTCCTACAGCCTTCCCAGTTTTAAATTTTAATGACTATTCTTATTAACTTTTTTTATAATTCTGTATTTAATTAAGACTAAATTTGCAATTTAGATGTTGTTCAGAACAATTTTCACTGTTCCTAAATTAATCTGCAAATATAAACCAAAGTGTTTTTCCTAGTCTCTTTGTAATAATTACATGTCATTAATTTTAAAATGTGTATTTTTTCACATTTTAATATCTGAAATATGAATGCCTCTTGCAATCAAAAGTTATTATAATTTAACTGGCAGGTGTTATTTCCTTCATAGTATATAAAATAATGGTACAACTTACAACCACTGGGATCTTTGAATCAATGAAATATATAGTAAATCCTATTGTATTTGCCACGAATAAATCACATCTACTCTGTTTAATTTCTCTCTGAAACAGAACCAAACTGTGAAAAATTTTTTTACATACTTGTATTGTTTTTGTTATAATCCTAACATATAATCTTCCATAAGCCAGGCATATATAGGGTTTTCATTTTTACTAGATGAGTGTGTGTGTGTATGTATGTATGTATATAGCAGTGATTTATCATCCAATTAAGATATCACAGCCATAGCAGGAAAAAAATCTTTTTTTAACCAAAGCTAATCTAAACAGATAGCTGTGAAGTCACTGGGAGATGAGAGCCATCTCCAACTCATGTTGGTTAAACGTGAATGTTTCGGGGAGTTATTTTTGCCAAACATTACCCAGAAACATACCTATTTTAAATAATAGTGTATACACTTTTGACCTTAAAAAAATAACAGATTTCAGCTAAACAATGTGTTTTGAGAAACTACCTTGAAGACTTAAAAATAAATAAAATTGTGGTCAGAAAAATAAGAGAAACTTAAGCACTATTACAGATCAAGCTTTATCTTCATTTCCTGTTTATTTAGGAAACATGAGGTTTCTTGGTTTTGGTTTCTAGACATTCCTAAGAATGAATTTGTGACCTGACACAGAACTTCAAGAACGCTTACTCCCTGAGGTTAGGTTTCTAGTGCTAGACTCTTCCTAGACCTACAAAACTCACCTGTTAAAAACCAAGATGCTTCAAGGGTCCCTTCTCAGGGAAACTGTAGTCAGTCCTCCCCTTATAATGTGGTGTCAGCCACTGTTGATTGTGCTAACTCTCTTGTAGGTCTCTCCTCTACTCTTCTATGAGGTCTTTTTCTCCTGGTTCTATGTCTAATCATCTTCATCAGTACCATAAATTAGACCTTCTTCCTGGAGCCCCTTAAATACCAACTATGGCCCTCTTCTCATAGCACAAAAAAACTTCATAAATATACCATGATATTTTACTCCCGTCTCTGCAGATGACTTTTTTTTTTTTTTCCCTGCCAGGAATACCCTTTGCCATCTCAATATGGCTTCAATGAAGAATTTCCTACCACCATTCTACGGCAGTTAGCTGCTCTCCCGCTGCATGGTAAATATTAACTACAATATATCATAAAATTAAGTATATGTTTAAGTATCTGCTTCCCTCTCCACATTGTGAGCTCTTCCAGGACAAGTTCCCTCTTATTCATTGTTCTATCACACTGCCCAGTGACCTGACATACTGCCCCTTTCTGGGAAGCGAAGGGTCTGCCCAGTCCTAAGGGTGGTGGCTAATGCTTAAGGTGCTTTATACATCTGAATCCATCCCAGCTTCCACAGCTGCCTGGTCCAGGAATGTTCCTTGGTCCAATGACCTTCTGTACTGAACGGTATTGTACGCCTGAGTCAGCTCTCTCCCTGAGAGTTTGAAAGTAAAACACACAAATAGTGTTACTGCAGGAAGAGTGGCACTTAACACGGAAACAGAGCAAGGTAATAAGTAGAAACACTGAGACAGAAATAAGGGAGAAGAGAGAGAAATTAGAAGAAAGACAGGGATGCAGAAGCAACAAAAGTCAACCTAACAAGTTGTACACGGGTCCCCTGATAAGCTGTTAGATGATGACAGCCACTTTTATACCACCCCTGGATAATGAATGACTAGTTCTCCACGGGCCAAGTGTACATGCTGCAATGGAGGAAACTTCTTGGTGGATTCTTTAATTTGGAATGAAATAAATTTTAACCCATCTCTGTTCCCTGCAACCTCAAATAGTCTGACTAAAACACTAGTTCTGCACAATGCCTGGCACACAGGGGACATTTCATAAACACTCAAAAATAGAATCCTGGCCGGGCACGGTGGCTCATGCCTGTAATCCCAGCACTTTGAGAGGCCGAGGCAGGCAGATCAACTGAGGTTGGGAGTTCGAGACCAGCCTGACCAACATGGAGAAACCCCATCTCTACTAAAAATACAAAATTAGCCGGGCATAGTGGCGCATGCCTGTAATCCCAGCTAGTAGGGAAGTTGAGGCAGGAGAATCACTTGAACCCAGGAGGCTGAGGTTGCGGTGAGCTGAGATTGCGCCATTGCACTCCAGCCTGGGCAACAAGAGCAAAACTCCATGTCCAAAAAAATAAACAAACAAAAAGAATCCTACCAGTCTACTGTAATTTTTAAGTTATTTATTAAATGGCTCATCCTTAGGAAGGAAATATTATGTTTGTCAACAACCAGCGATATGGAGAAATAACTGCCAGAGTGTCATCACAGAAAAATTATATTACATGCCAGACAATGGATTAGGTGCTTTACATGTATGAATTTACTGCACCCTTCCAGCAACCCTGTGAGGTCTTTTCCATCGGAGGCTTGGGGAGGCTGGGTTATGCCCAGGGTAACACAGTTTGTAAGTGAGTGGCAGGGCCAGATTCAAACCCCCACAGGTTTGATTCAAGAGCTGTACTCTCTGCTGCTATGAGTGTTCACTGCCCAGTCTAAGTTTGTTTTTACAAGAAGTCAGCACCTGTGCTGATACCTATTTGATAATAATCCAAACAAGTTTTGTAAGTTTTTACAACAGTGACGATTTGATTAATTATAATAATTAAAGAAGCATATTAATTCTCTTCATTATTAGAGCATTTCACTGCAATAGAGGCAACTAAGACTATAACGATCGTAGAAAACCTTTCTGGAAATTAATGAGATTTAACCTTAGGTATAAATTAAGATTTCCGTATCTTGATTCTCTTGGTGTCCAAGGAACTTCAAGGAACCCTAGAAAATACATTATTTGGGATAGGCACAATTCAGAGCTAACTAATTAAGGTCCACCTGTGAAGCCTTCCTAGCAGAAGAAATTCACACACTACCAAACTCATAAGCCATATTACTGAGGAAGAGGACAGCAAGGGAGGAACGACCTTCCAAAACAATCCTAGTCCATTGTGGGACACTTAAAGTGTAAGGTTCCAGGTAAAGGACAAGAGCAGGAATGACTTAAACTGAGGATAGGGAGAGCATAATGAAACAGAAAGGCTGACAATTCCTTCCCAAGGATAGGGCTAACAGTCACATGGGTTACTCAGTCAATTCTCTTGAGACGCGGCTCTTACTACTCCATTTTACAGATGAGACAAAGGATATGGGAGGTTCAGTTACATGTTCAAGGTGATAAAGTCTATATGTAAAAAACACTATGACTTACACTCAGATGAGAGTGATTTCACAGTCTGTGTCTTCCAAGAACAAAAGGAAAATGAATATTTACAAGTACTTTTAATCTGTTGACCTAGATCTGAGGCATCTGCAAACAAAACCAAAACCAAAACCAAACCATCTTTATCTCAATACTAGGACAATTCTATTTTCCAGTAAGATAGTTTCTCCAGAGACATACTGTCTTTGCCAACTGTTGGCCTATTCCTTCTAAGCAAGGAAGATTAAATAAACCATTGGAAGGGCGAATCTTCCATCTTTATATGATACAACATTTATAACATAGGTAGGTTTACATAAGAAGTAACAATGTATAAAAATGGCTCACATTCTGAAAATTAGTTCCCACAAGATTTTATTCCAGATTTTATTCAGTAAAGTTTGACCCTGAGGACTAAAGACGGCACAACTGCTATTTATTTATAACAAGAAACAGGCACTACTACTTTTATCCCCCCATAGGGTAAATATCCTCTCTTTAGCACAACAAAGGATTGATTCTTTTTTTTTTTTTTTTTAAAGACAGAGAGGGTTTGGCTCTGACGCCCAGGCTGGAGTGCAGTGGCGCAATCTTGGCTCACTGCAACCTCCACTTCCCAATTCAAGCAATCCTCCAGCGTCAGCCTCCCGAGTAGCTGGGACCACAGGCACAAGCCACCATACCTGACTCATTTTTTTGTACTTTTTGTACAGATGGGGTTTCTCCATGTTGTCCGGGCTGGCCTTGAACTCCTGAGCTCAAAGCACTCTGCCCGCCCTGGCCTCCCAAAGTGCTAGAATTACAGGCATGAGCCACTGCACCCGGTTGAAATCAGTTTTATAGTATGTTGAATCTGTATCAGAAATCTTTATTAGTGGAAAAACTATTTTAAGTATTGTGTGCAAACATTCCTATTTAGGCCTTTGAGAGATATGGGCATAGAATTCACCCTCAAAAAGCTCATGTTCTGATTAACCACATCAACAGTTAAGTAATATGGAAGTCAAGTAACAAAGACAATAACACAACTAATTATAAACAAGACATATAAGCAGTTTAATACCACCTTAGTGATTCTGATTGACTCATATTGATAACATATTCCACATGGTCATGCACAATAACTCCATTTACCCTAAATCATGGATTAGTTTCCATCAAAACACCACTCCATTTGAGTTTTAAAATTAAAAGTATTCTCCAGCACAATTACAGGATTTTGAAAACCAGAACACAGTATAGAAACATAAAATATATATAAAATTAACCAAAATTAAAATAAGACAATGTATTAATAGATAATCATACTGTAAACACACAATCACTGGCTGAACTAGACAAGGAAAGGGTAAATTCTTTGAGGGCAGGGCCTTTTCCTTGTCCTGCAGCTAGGAACAAAGCACCCAGAACAACAGATGTCATGGGCTTGATAAACACTCCCTGATTCAGAGTCAGAGTAGCTGATTATCACTTCTAATCAACAAAGATCTAAGAAGTAACACCATGCAGATGTTACACCATCATTCATGATGGACAAACATAGCCCTTAACAACTTCTACCATAAACTAGTGCCTCTAGGGATATGTAAGTAACTTCAAAGAGAAAAGGTAAAGAACTTCAATGAGAAAAGGAAGAATATTCGAAAGTTTTTATTACTTCCAAATTAGTAAATTTGTAACAATCATCAGGCAACTAACTATAATAAGAGGGAATTTACAAAAGACAGAGAGCTACTAGTCAGTATCAAATCATTCTTAAAAGTGGCAACTCTGTATCAATTTTTTTTTTGCAGTCAATTACCTTTGACTCAGTCTATAAAGTACATGCCCAAATCTCCCTTTAGAGAAGAAAAGTGAATCAAAAAGAAAAATGTATATTAACTGTACAGTTCTCCTATACTAAATGTTCTTACATGCTCAAAATGTATGAATATATTTAAAGCAACTGATCCTCTATTGAATACTGAATAAACTTGAAGGGATTTCTAAGTAAATTATTACTGGTAACTCAAACTCAGTGTGCTATAAATTTCAGACACCACTGGAACATATAAAATAACGTCTGCATAAAATACTGACAACTGTAGACCAGGGCATTATTATGAGCAGAGAATACATTATTAAGTGAAGGAAAAGATTCTCATTTGTCTTCTTGCATGAAGTACATTTTTTAAAAACTCTATTCAAGATTATTTTATGATTAAAAGGCATCTTTCTTGACCACAAATAGTCATAAGAATATTCAAATATGAATTTGAGAAAACTGCCTTGCAGGAAAAGTGTTACTTTTTTTGTTGAGATCCAGTGTTACTCTGTCACCCAGGCTGGAGTACAGTGGCAGGATCTCAGCTCACTGCAGCCTCCACCTCCCAGGTTCAAGCAATTCTGCAGCCTCGCCTCCCTAGTAGCTGGGATTACAGACGCCCAACACAACGCCCAGCTAATTTTTGTATTTTTAGTAGAGATGGGGTTTCACCATGTTGGCCAGGCTGGTCTCAAACTCCTGACCTCAAGTGATCCACCCACTTCGGCCTCCCGAAGTACTGGGATTACAGGCATGAGCCACCACGCCCGACCAAGTCTTTTTTACTTTTAAACTAACATACAAACATTATGGATGTACTTCAACAGTCTCCAAAGTCACTGACATATTTAAGATAAAACACTAAGGCTAAACTTTCAGGTGGCCATGTTTAAATATGGATAAACATCATCAAACGAAAGGGGCTATATTCCTTGCAGCTGAAACCCAGATAAACACTAAGAAAAAGATAAAATGCAAAAAGGTTTTCTAAATCATCTCTTTACACCTGCCTAGTTCCAGAAAGAAAATAAGGCAGTAGTGTAAAAGCTTGGTTATGGTGTTTCTTTGGCACACTCATGTCTCTCAGAAATGTAGCTGGCAGATTCCATTAAAAACTACCACATTCAAGTTATTAATGTACCACAATAAATCAATCCAATACACATTACTAAGCACATCACTAATAGAATTGAGATGTTCTGTTCAAATTTGGAAAAAGAAAAGTTCTTTCTTCTAAATGTGTTAATAGATGAACAGAAAAATCAACAAATTTATACAATAATGAAACTAAATATGTACACTTTGTTAAGCCACGGAAACAATCATGAGCACTGACAGGTCAAGAAAACGTCAAACTGCAACGAAGTCAAAACTTGCCAGGAGGAAATATAATCCAAACAAGTCAAATACACATCAGAATTCGGAGAGGGGGACATGGAGATATAGCCATGCAGAAGTAATCAAGAATATGCAGTGACTCTTAAAATTGGTAGGGATTTTAAATAAATCTAAAAGAGATAAGACAAATCAAGTTAGTAAGCAAGTTAACTTGGTAGCAAATGAAAACTCTAGAAGACTAGCAATTTGAGTTAGCGAATGAAAATCCTAGAAGACTATCAATTTGAGTCAGGTACAATTATTTTTTAAAGAGCAGGTGAGGAGAAAAAGCAGGAGGTGAAGGAAGACTTGTTTTCAAGCGAACACCCTTGGTGTGTAGGCATAAAAGAAAACAAATTGGACTAGAATGAAGCCAATATGTTGTTAGTTCTATTGTGACCTAAGACTCAAGTTCAATGAAATCTGCTGACATATCACAAATTATGAACTATAATATGTGGGTAATATTTACATAGGCAAATGAAAATTGTAAAAATGGTCAGACCTGAACAGAAATATGAGTTTGGTGATTCTGTATGATTCATCATCTTAGAAAACATATAAAAACGTTAGTGACAGAAAAACAACATTGTTCTGCCATTTAAGACAACAAAACAAATGAATTGTAAAGTTACTGTCTGTCTTAGGAATATTTACTACTTAGACTAAATATTGCTTTAAAACACTTATATCACTCATCAGAGTAATCAGCTTTGTAACAGTACTTCTAAATACTAGGACTCTTTCACCTATCTCCCTGCGGGGAGAAACTCAGAACATCCATCAGGCTTAAGGTAAACTATGTTCTGAGCACCCAACAGAGGGAGTTTAAAATTAATATGGTCCCATTTCCCACTTGTTCCTTTCCAACAAAAACCCATAAAACCTTGTATTCTTTTGACATTCTGCGCTAAAAATTCCACTGTTTATTCTTTCCTTTGTTGTGTCCTTGGTACTTGAGGAAAAACCTTTAGAAACCTTTGGGGAAAAATGAAACATTGTGAGTATCCTCTTCCCTAATTGTTGAACACAGATCAGTAAGTAAGAAGGATGTTTTTAAAAACAAAACAAAACAGTTTTTGGCTAAACGTGTTTTTCCTTTTAAGAATCCCCCCTTGCTACTTGACAAATCTAGGGCTGGGAATGTCTACAAGACAACTGATGCATAAACCTAGAGAGACGTTACACTAGAGAAGTAGGTTGGAACTTCCTACACTACTACTGTGGGGGGAGGGGTGTTCTCAGCAAGGCCATGCATCCTGCCCTTATCTGGGGGCACTGGTACAGAATGCATGGCACAGTGAAATGAAAACCTCTGTTCCTTCACCATTTGGGTGTTCATTAAAAAGATCCCAAGTCAGTGTTACATGAAGGCTGCAGTGTATGTTTTCTCCTATGTTTACTTGTTACCTTTGGGGAAATGTGGCAGTGCAGTTTGAGTATACTTCTAAGTGGTCAACTCAACAGGGCTAGTACATACTTACGAAAGTGGTCTGTTAGTATATGTAGGTTATGGCATAATACAACTTACTATAATTCTTACCCCACTAACAAAATTTAAAGCTTCTGTATTTTAAGAAGTTATAGATATGTAATATTTTGAGTGAATACCTTCTATTTTAAAAAAGCCCTTAACTGTTTTTAATGCTCTGAGATTAAAGGAGAAGAGGGGATAACCCCGAATTAGCATACAAAGCCCTCTTACAGTCTTTGCTAGGAGAAGGATTTCTTTCAAAATTCTACAGAACAGCTAGTACTATACTATTTCCTTCCACCTGGTAAAAAGGCATGTTAACTGGGATGCTCAGAATGAGGAAGAATGACTTCCTGACAAATGCAGCTTTTCTTCTTTATGCTTTGAATGCTAGCAAACCACTCCGTTCAATGAATGCTGGCACACCTACCACAGATAAGCACTGGCCAGGCAGCAAAGAAGAAAAATTAAAAAACGAAAGATAAATAAAACAGGGTCTGTGTTCCTCCAATCATTCTGTCTCACAGAAGCAAGAAAACACAATGTCAACTCTGCTGTAATAAAAGTATTTAACATCCCATAAACAGTTGCGAAGGTGGAGTGATCTCCATCCTTAATTTTATCTAGGAGAGTCCTGAAAAGATCCACAGAGGAGGTGATGCCTGAATAATTTTAAAGAACAGAACTGGAAGAGAGAGTTGGTGAAGGCCAAAAGATGTTCCAAACAGAAGACATAGCTTTGGCAAAATAATATCCTAGGCCGGGCACGGTGGCTCACACCTGTAATCCCAGCACTTTGGGAGGCCAAGGCGGGCGGATCACGAGGTCAGGAGATCGAGACCATCCTGGCTAACACGGTGAAACCCCGTCTCTACTAAAAATACAAAAAAATAGCCGGGCATGGTGGCGGGCACCTGTAGTCCCAGCTACTCGGGAGGCTGAGGCTGGAGAATGGCATGAACCCAGGAGGCGGAGCTTGCAGTGAGCTGAGATCCCTCCAGCCTGGGCGACAGAGCGAGACTCTGTCTCAAAAAAAAAAAAAAAAAAAAAAAACCAAAAAAAACAATCCTATAATACTAAACATCTAATGATTCTGCAAATCAGGGAACACTTGATAAAAACAAGTTAGTTGGCTTTATTTATCACAGGACAGCACAGAGCCTCTAATAAGACCTACATGTGTCATTAATCTCCAAGGGGAAAAAGAAGGTATGTAGCATTCCTCACATTCACTTGCCATGGAAGTCCTTTTATGCAGAGCATCTTTGATAGCGCAGTGTTCCTTGGAACATACTCTAAGAAACCTGTACTGGCTCATCTCTACAGACCCTCTGGCTCCAGTAAGTCAATATTTCTAAGAAAATTGCAGAGAAAAAACTAACACCAGGAATCTTAATGTCTTAATACTACTTAAGCTATCACAAAATTTAGCATGTCTGTAGTGCAATTAAGGCTCCAATAATTCAAAATGAATATGGGGAGAAAAGATTATTTAGACAGCCAGCGAGATGGGTAGTCTCGTTGTATGAACCCACCCTAAGAGAAGGGGGCATCAGAAATTCAAGCCTGGCCCAATCCAACCACTAGCAGAGGCCAGAGTCTGTCACAAAGATTTGCCCCTGGTCCAGTCCACTCATTCTCTGCCAAGCTCTTAGGTCTGGGGTGAAAGCAAAAAAGCCATGAGAAACCAAACCAAACCAAACCAAAAAACCTTGGTAATTTATTTTCTCTAAAGGTCTCTATATGGTTACAAGTAAGTCCCAGAATACAAAATAAAATAAATGGGCCTGGGGAATGGTTCTCATTTCATTGTAAAGACCCTGGAACTCTGCACAGTGGGAACATTGTGCATCTTCAGCACTGATGGTGGTGTTACTGGCAGGACTGGTGGGTGAAGCAGGTCCGAGGGGGCGAGGCCAATGTGGCTGAAGGAGGTGATGGCAATGGCCAGAAAGCAGTGCTGACCAGAGACGGCTACTGGGTCACTGGCCAAATTCAGCACATGTAAGACCCACACTGGGGACTTCAGGAAGAACTGGTGGGTGGGGGGTGAAGAGACTGTTAAAGGTACTTATGGAGCAACAGCCACCCAAACGAATCAAATCCAGGTAGCTTCTATCAAAATGACCCCATTTTAACAGGCTGGGGTCACATGAGGAAACGTGTTGCATCTACAACAAAACCAGGAAGGACTTCTTAGTCAATAGAGATCATACCACCTGAAAGATATGTTCCTAGGACTGGATAGATAAGGTAAGAAGCCATACCACATACAGAAGAAGTATGGCACAGCGATCAGGGGCATGAGTTCTGGAGCGAGACTGCCTGGGTTAAGATATAAGCTCTGACACTACCTGTGCAATCTTGGTAGAAGTGCTTCTTTGTGCCTCAATTTCCTCACTATAAAATGGGGATAATAGTATCTACCATATAAAGTAGCGACCAGGATTAAATAAATTAATATATATGTAAAGTACTTAGAAGAAAGTTAACTTCTTAGAGTTCCTCCCATTATTCTCCTATAAATGGGGATAATAATAATAGCTAATACTTATGACCCACCTACTACCCGCCACACCTTGTTCTAAGTCTTTTACATATAGTTAATTCTTACCTCACTTTTTAAATGAACATGGATGAAGTACTTGCAATGGCACCAAGTGCATGGTAGCCCACAATAAACTGAATTACTACTATCACTACTACTACTATTAAAGCTAGCCTCTGCAGTGCCTCCTCTGTTCTAAGTACTACTCTAGGTATTGTCCATACAGTGGCTTTACATCTCACCAAAGCTACAAGGTAAGAGTCCTCATCTTCATTGGGCAGATGAAGAAACCTGCAGAAAGATTAAGTAGTTTGATTAACTCTCCATAGTCAGTGACAATTCTGAGTTTCAAAACCAGCTCTCTACGACTTTAAAGTCCTGTCCTCCTCCACTATGCTGTTATTATAACTTCTTTTAACAAGTTATTTGAAAAACAGATGACAGTAGCAAAATAAAACTTTTTTTCTGGTTTCAGAAGGTAACAATGTTGACTAGCAACATCTAGAATATGAAGACTGCTGTACAAGGCTGCTTCTGCTGGTATTGAGGGAGAGAAGAAGCTCTAGCCAGAAGACAAAGGAGGCTTCAACTGTTTAATATTAGTTCCTTTAAAAAATACACATCCAACTGCACTGCAGCAAGTACAATAAAATATTAACATTTATTAAATACAGGTGAAGGTTTTCTGGCTGTTTATTATACTATTATCTAATGTATTCCATCTGTATCTTTCTGTATGCTTGAAATATTTCCTTAAAAATAAACATGCACCACTGAACTACTACTCCACACTGTGGGAAGCTTCACGGAACTAAAGGAAAATGACAGGATTCAGGGGTCTGGAAATTCATAATCAAGTCCTGACTGTGCCATTAGCCATGACATGCTCTTAAGAAATTCACAACCTTTTTGGAACTTAAGAACCTATGAAATCACATCAGACTACAAGATGATAGCTTAGGGTCATTCAGTGTGAACATACAATTCATTTATCGCCACTGCCACATCAATATTATTCCTGTCAGGCAGATAGACACCATCAGAAGATAGAAAGCTCAATAGGACCACAAATTCCTTTTAATCGTTAAATCTGGAGAGTACTTCCCAAAATTTTTTTGAGTAAAATATTCTTTGTCATTCTATAATCCAGTGGCTCTCCATGTTTTTGAATGTGAAAATCCTTTCTTAAGGTATCATCACCATCTACGTGGTAGCTAAGTGGATCTGCAGACCCCTTGTACTAACTCAGGCAGTATATCAGTATGGGTGACATACTGTTACGAACTTTTAGACTCCTCCAATATTCACTATCATAGCAATTCAAACTTTATTACTAAGAGAGGCACGTATTATGTATAAGACTCTATCAAAGCTCTCAGAAAGTTCAGACAACTGTCAAGCAGAACATTCGAGAAAGTAGAGAGCACAAAGATTTTAAGATCGTTTTACATGAAAAATATTAACCTGTCTAGTTTTTTTTTTTTTTAAATCAATAAGCCATACATTTCTCTTCCTTAAAAGGCTTAACAATTTTGACCTCAGATGATCTGCCTGCCTTGGCCTCCCAAAGGGCTGGGATTACAGGTGTGAAACACCTTGCCCAGCCAATATGGCAAAACCCCATCTCTACTAAACACACACACAAATTAGCTGGGCGTGGTGGTGCATGCCTGTAATCCCAGCTACTCAGGAGGCTGAGGCAGGAGAATCGCTTGAACTCGGGAAGCGGAGGTTACAGTGAGCTGAGAACGTGCCACTGCACTCCAGCCTGGGTGACAGACAGAACAAGACTCCATCTTTAAAAAAAAAAAAAAAAAACCTTAACAATTTTGCATTTGCATATTTAAGTGCTGTAAGTCAAAAAGATGCAAAGTAGTAGCCTGAAATGAGACATGAAACATGGCGGCTCTCAGACCAAGTTTCAGTTCCAGTTGTTTTTACGTCCCAATGTGAATTCTATTAATAACTACTTCAGGCCAGAGCTCTCTGTAGCCACACAGCTGACTTTTCTCATAATCTGGAATAATGGTATCAGATACGCTTAATCTCAGTCAAGTTACAGAAGTTAGGGTTTTCTGTTTTTTAAAAGGAGAAAAGCTGGGATACAATATTAAAAGTCATACTAGTTTTCTGAGTGCAAATCTGAAAACACAGTTATTGCTAAAATATTTACAAGTTTTGTATTATTAAATAATGTTTTCAGAGAATACTTGCTATTCAGCCAATTAATACTCATTATTTGGCTGGACGCAGTGGCTCATGCCTGTAATCCCAGCACTTTAGGAGGCCGAGGCGGGTAGAACACCTCAAGTCTGGAGTTCAAGACCAGCCTGGCCAACATGGTGAAACCCTGCCTCTACTAAAAATACAAAAATTAGCCAGGTGTGGTGGCATGTGCCTGTAATCCCGGCTAACTGGGAGGCTGAGGCAGGAGAATCGTTTGAACTTGGGAGGCGGAGGTTGCAGTGAGCCGAGATCAGGGCACTGTACTCCGGCCTGGGTGACAGAGCAAGGCTCCATCTCAAAAAAACAAAAAACAAACAAACAAACAAAACGCTTATTTAAGTAACATGAGTAGATGTCAATGGCAAGTTACACAATAAGAGAAACTTTGACTTTAAAACCAACTTTACCATAGGCCAATTGATGTAAACAAGTGGGAAAGTTTCTATGGCATATTTCTGGTCACAAAAACATCACCAAACTTCTAGAGACCCCAAACACTTCTAACACTAAACACTGAAAAAATGTGAGCTGTAACATACATTTAAGAAACATTAATAAGATGATTATTTACCCACTTATTCCAGTTCAGGGTCACAGGTGGCCAGAGCCTGTCCCAACAATTCAGGGTGCCAGACTTGAACTAGCCCTGGGTAGGATGTCATCCCGTTGCAGGGTGCATTAACAAACACCCACATTCTCTCAGTCTGGGTCCTTGCAGACATGACAATGAACCTAACGTGCACATCTTTGGGGTGTCAGGGGGAAACCAGAGTACTGAGAGAAAATCCACCCAGAGATGGGGGGAGTATGCAAACTCCATACAGACAGTAGCCTCTGCCAGAAGAGATTTTTATCCTCATCAACTTTTTAGCAAAATTGTCCAAAATGTTCAACTAAATGACATTATTGAAGGATCTGCTATACTTTACACTGGAAAAATAAAAGGCAACTAACCATTGGTTAATATACCTGACACTATATATGTATTTTTTCACTTCAGGATCTTAATCTATCACCCCTCATGGATTATACCATTAATCTGTACACATAAGCAAGGATAAATCAATTTAGCATACAGTCCACCTCTTTTAAATACCACTCATGACTTGCATAATCCAATCGACAAGTGGAAAAAGCTGGAGATGGCTGATGCCTAGTAGTCAATTAAGCCACAACATCAAAAATGTCCCAATATACTAAAAATAATGACTATGCGAAATTCTCAAATGATGTCCTTTAATTCGGATACTGGTGTGTTTGCTGCTGTTCATGTACTCAACCTTTCACTAATGAGATACTATTGTTAGGAACTACAAAAAGAGCACCATATGGATTACTCTGAAGTAGGCCTTTGGATTCGCAACTTGACCTCAGGAATCCCTCCACTGACCTATGGCCAAGTTGTGATCAAGCAATCTCTGCACTAATATTATTCCCTAGGAAAACGAAGTCTCCCCAGAAGATCTCGACCAATGTCATATGCTCTTCAATCCCCTTCAATTATTTTTTGGAATAGTTCATTTCCTCCCAGCCATTTGCTCCTAGCTCAAAACAAAACAAAACAAAAAACCTTCTGGGCCAGTGAGTACATTAACATGATGGTAAGGTTTTGAGACTTGCCAAGTGCTGAATCATGTTTATGCTTAGGTTTTGTTTCTACACCTGGTTTTGGGGGCATAAACTCCCTCTAAGAATCCTAGCTACCCTAGTCAATCCACTGGAAGACGGGATCACTGCCCAGCAAATGCCACCCACTAAGGATTCAAAGTGAAACAAGATTCTTCGAATTGAATGGAAGAAAACAAAAGCTCTTCATTCAGTAGGTGGCACTCTTTCCTTAAAAATGTTAACTCAGGCAATCATTAATACCAAAGATGTCATCTGCCCACTAATCACTTGAAAGAGAAGGCACATTAACTCTAACATCCTGTCCTAAATATAGTCTGAATCATTACTGTCTTCCTAAATAATGTCTTCCTCATTTCAATGAGATCCTGGAGTTGTTCATAAATATGCCAATTTCTTTTCACTATAGCAAAAGCTACAATTTCATAGAACCAAATAATTGCATTTACTTTAAACTGGCAGGTTTTGACTTATGACTTTTCCTGCTATATGCTTCAAAAGACATTCATCATAACTGTTTTCTAATTTTAATGATTTCAGATATAAATGACAATTTGAATGGAAATGGGGCAAAGAACTGTACTTGTAACACAAATTGTATTACTCCATTTTAAAACAAGACAGCTCTTTTTCATAGGCATGCATATGAATATTCTTTTTAAAACAACAGCTTTGACTCAATTCATCATCACTCTGACTGATACCGGACCAAAGTTATCAACCTGAAAACTTTTAAACTGAAAAATGAAAACAGACTGACAGCTAATAAAATGTGAGTTTGCCTAGCATACAGAAGAAGCAAAAAATAAAAATAAAACCCTAGTTTATCTAGTTTTCCTTAGGCATATTTCCTGGTGTCAGTACTCTGTAGGGTTCACCTCATTAACTGAAGCTCTAGGGTCCCCTTGGAGAAACCATCCCAGGTGCTGCCTTCAGCCTCCCCCACTGGCCACGTCCCCTAAAACTCAGTGTGAAGAAATCTTCCTCAGTCCTCACTCAGCAAAGAGCACTGCTATAATGGCCTCTTATCTGTTTCCCACTCTTGACTTTGAGATCCGTGAGGACGGAAATGGGTCTCAAGCTTATGTCTCCTGCCCCAGCAGAAAGCCTGGCACAAGGGTGGTAGTCAATAAATATGTACTTAATAAAATAATGGATTAATCTTTTCCCCTTGGACTTTTACTTGAGAACAAAGCCTTTGTCTTACTCATCTTTCATCCAGACTCCCAAATGCCCAGTATTTGTACATAGGAAGCTGTGAGGAAGCAATGCCTTTCCAATATGAACTTCTACGCCAGAAAGATCTCCAAGATGTAAATAAGCTTCACTGAGGCCTTTGTGTATGCCAAGTATCCACTGTTAGTCCTGGGGCACTGCAGAAAGAGGGAAGAGCTCCCACACCACTCTTGGGAAAAATGACAGCTTTCAACCCCAGGAAAAGACTAAGAGATGGTCAGTAAAGAAGCTAAGAACCATGAGTCTAGACTCATATATATTTCAGTGAAAACCTAACTTAGGAACTTACCCATGTCTATAATTTTGTTAATGGCTGTTAATTTTTCCTGTGGTAAGTAGGAATAAAATGCCTTGAAGAAAACCCTCAGAGATTCAAAGATCTTGTGGCTGGGAGGGGAGATGCAAAAGCCATGAAGTGCATCCTATTAGGGAAGCAACCCAAGAGGAAGAAAGGGAACTAGCTCAGGGGGTCAGTGAATGGGCATGTCTGGGGGGCAGTGCTGGAATTCCGAATCCAAATTTCTCACACCTAGATTCTCCTAGCTTAAGGTGGGGGGATACTGCTGGCAGGATACATTTAAAACCACAGCATAAGCATAAAAAATGGAGCATCTGTTTTCTAGAGTGTCAATTTTATTCCAAGATTTCTGAGAGGAGTACCCTGTGATGGTTTTATGTCAAAGATACAAAGGTGGCTAAAATACAAAATTCAAATGGATTAAGGTAAATCAAAAGACTTGAGACTTGAATCGATTGTGTTCACTGTTCCAAGTAAGCATTACTAGGATGACAGTCTGCACAGACACTCCTGGGTCCCTTTCCTTCAGTCCCCTAAAAGAAGTATGCTGGATGGATAGGGCCAAAATGTTTGACAATAGGCTGAAGCAGCTGTTCTCAACAACTCTGCCATCATAATATGACAGTCACATACACAAGACAAAACTTCAATAAACTGTTTAGGGAGTGCCACACAACTAGCCTCATGTAAACAGTAACAAGTCACTCCCGACCCGAAGCAGAGACAAGATAAACCGCACAAATGCCCAAAGCGTTAATCACATCTCTACCACTTTCCCCATCCAAGAAAGCCTATCAGTATGCAAGAGAATAAGTAATATCTATATGGGTATTTCTAAATAGGTCCGAAATTAACTCTCTAAAAACTAATCACTTTAACACTCTGACATTATTACCAAAAAAAAGGTAATTCCTGAATTACCTTCCCACGTGCACTGCCACACCCATGTCACCAGCACCAAAATTTGACTGGCTGTAGTCAGGTACACATGCTGACCAAGTTGAAATATGGAGAGAGAGTATTTCTATGAGGTATTTAAAAGCGACAATTAGGAAGAGGGTAGACAAACACAAGAGCCACTCAGAGGGCTTGGACGGAAAACAATTCTCTGAACAACCTGGGATAGGGATGGTCCTTTACAGGAACTGCTCACATCAACCTCAGTCGAGTCCACAAACCAAGCAGAAATCATGAAATGGGTTCTGCGCACACTTACAAACACGTTTTTGTTAGAATATTATCTCTCTGAGAGCAGGGATTTGTGTCTGTTTCATTACTGCCATCTTCCTAGTATCTGCATACAGCCAATTCTTTACAAAATTTGATGAGTGAATGTTTTGTTATACCACAAGCTACAATTTAAACAAAGAGAACACAAACATTTCTAACTACAAATTTCCTATTTCAAAGGTATAGCTAGCTTTTCATTAGACTGGCTTCCTATTAACCATCAATTGACCCCCTCCAAGCCGCCATCTCCTTGAGAAATGACATTTCAGAAAAGCATGCTCACTACTTTAACCACAAATAAAACTTTTTCCTCTCTGTGCCATCTCTTCAGCTTGTAAAATTCCCCCCCTTTTTATCTTAAAACAAAAAACCACCAAACCCCAAAATGCTTCATCTTTGCAAACATTCTAGCTTCTATTTCTCTCCCATCTCCCTCCTTCTCCAGGTTTCTCCAGAGTAGCCTAAGATTCCGCACCTCTCCTTCATCCCTCAGTAAAGTACGTCCCACTCCCATCACTCCATTAACCCACGTCCTCTGTAGCCCTCAACCAGCAGCATCCCTACTGCGGACCACTGGCTCCTTGGAAAAAGTCCTCTTCCTACCTTCCTGTCTCCTCTTCCCTGCCTTCCTGTCTCCTCTTCCCTGCCTTCCTGTCAACTCTTCCCTGCCTCCTTGTCTCCTCTTCCCTGCCTTCCTGTCTCCTCTTCCCTGCCTTCCTGTCAACTCTTCCCTGCCTCCTTGTCTCCTCTTCCCTGCCTTCCTGTCTCCTCTTCCCTGCCTTCCTGTCTCCTAACCTGCAGTGGTCTCAGGCTCCTCCATAGGATCCTCTTCAGCTCTTTTCCAGGAAATACTGGCATTCTTCAGGGAGGAAGCTGAGCTAGTATTTCCCTGCTACCCTTTCTAAGGTATGGATGTGATCCTGGGCCTGCCCATCAAGGAATTAAGATTGCCAACAGAACTATCATTCACTTCTCAACCCTTAGCATCTGTGCCAGATTCTAAGCCATCCAAGGTTCAACGGAGCAAAGGTTCCATTGGAGAGAAACACTGGAGGCCATGAAACTTCAAGCCTGCAGGTGGAATTACCACTAATAAGTAATTAACTTGTATAAAATAAGATACTTAATTTTATATCTTATTACTTGTTAAGACTTATTATAATAATATCTAAAATTAAGTATCTTATTTTATACAAGTTATTCTCTTAAAAGCTGTATATAAGTAAAATATACACAACAAAATCATTTTCAGGAGCCTGACACCATCACCCTTATTCTGGCTGGGGTGTCAACTCACATTTTAATTTAAAAGGCTTTCTTAAAGCACAACAATATTTCTCTCATCTTTTTTCTTTCTTTGTTTTGAGATGGAGTCTTGCTCTGTTGCCCAGGCTGGAGTGCAGTGGCATCATCTCAGCTCACTGCAACATCCGCCTCTCGGGTTCAAGTGATTATCCTGCCTCAGCTTCCCGAGTAGCTGGGATTACAGGCACCTGCCACCATGCCCAGCTAATTTTTTGTACAGTACAGACGGGGTTTTACCATGTTGGCCAGGCTGGTCTCGAACTCCTGACCTCATGATCCACCCAAAAGCAAATTAACAGGCAGTATTCAACAAGCTGTCCTCATATCCAGGCATACACATAGAATCCTGTCACATCCAGGTAGAACCTACAACTACTCTTCAGTTTCCTCCAAGAGTTTCTTATGAAATTAGCTACAAGTAATCAATAACTAGCTAGAGAACACAAGAATTAAACTCTCTTTTTATCTCCCCTGGCTCCAGCATTTACCTAGGGCTCACTCAGTTCCTAGCACAGTACATACACATAGGAAAGTATGTCAATAAACAAGTGCTGAGCTAAAGTGACAGTGTTTAAGTTTCCAACCATAAGCAGTTCACATAAAAGACTTATGGGCCAGCAAACTACTACTGAAGAAAAAATAATGGCATGTCAGAGACACAGTTAAGGATAAAGATATTTATCTTGCCTTGAAGGAGATTTCAGTTTTACCTGAGTGACCTTTCTATAAACTAAAAGATAATCTCCTTTGTTGGGAAGGCATAGGGGTCAGGAAGATTACTGAATTCTCTCAGTCACTAAGCTCTTATAATTATCAAAGAAGGTGCCTGCTGAACACAAAATAAAGGCCCCACATGTGACAGGCAGGCATTCGTTAACTTATTTCACTAGTAAAGAACAACCACCAGTAACAGAATAAATGAACAGAAGTCCATCTAGGCATAACTTAATACTAGATGCTGGCCTTAGATATCATCTTTACTCAAATTAAAGGGCATTACCAACCAAGAATAATTAATTCTTTTAATTAAAACACATTAATTAAAAGAATGCTGAAGTGTGAAATAAGCCTAAATTTAAAATAACTGGAAATGAAAACCAGCTTTCCCCGCCCCCGCCAAGGCTCATTTGTAAACAGCTTTAACAAGTGTGTCTTGTTGTAAAGACACACGTTTCAGAATGCCTAAGGTACTGCAGGAAGCTCCCTGGGAGCATGCAGAGAGATACTCAGGTGTGAGCTGAGGCACTGTGGGGGAGGGAGTGTGTGCATAGACAGCAGGAGGTCATGAGTGTTCACTCTCCCCTTACTACTGTGCAAGGCTGCGTAGGCACCAAATGAGAAGCATGTCAGACAGTCTGGGCAGGCACTCTGTGAAGTACTCCAAAAGTGTTAACAATTACTGCTTTTAATGTATGTGCACACCAAGCATATCTCCAATTTTGCTGGCAAAAAAATGTATGTATTAACAAAGTTCAACCATATTTTTCCCTGAAGCCGCGTCTCTTCCCTGGCCTTGTAAAAACACTGAAATTTAAATGTATTTGTGTTTATAACTTGCTTTATTTTAGAAGAACTTCATATAAAAACAAAAAAATCATGGCAGAGCATGGTGGCTCACGCCTGTAATCCCAGCACTTTGGGAGGCTGAGGCAGGCGGATCACAAGGTCAGGAGATCAAGACCATCCTAGCCAACATGGTGAAACCCCATCTCTACTAAAAACACAAAAATTATCTGGGTGCGGTGATGCATGCCTGTAATCCCAGCTACTAGGGAGGCTGAGGCAGGAGAATCACTTGAACCCAGGAGGTGGAGGTTTCAGTGAGCTGAGATAGCCCCACTGCACTCCAGCCTGGTGACAGAGCGAGACTCCGTCTCAAAACAAAAACAAAACAAAACAAAAACTTAAAATGCTTCACTAATGTTTTCTGTATTTTTGGAAGACCTAAATAGATAATTTAATTTAAAAAGTCATCACTACATATGATTTTGACTTCATAATACACTATGTGAAGAATGAATAAAAGCTAAGACAAAGAAATGAATAATTTTTCCAAGATAATAAAATTTGTGCTCTGATTAAACAAACTTACCTCTTGATTTAAAAAAAATATGCAAAGATAATCATAAAGGTTAAGAACGCAGGCTTGAAGTCAAACTGCTAAGGTTCAGTTTCAGGCTTTGCCACCCACTAGCTGTGCTACCACCTTGCCAGGATACCTCACCTCTCACAGTCTCTGATTTCTCATATGTAAAATGGGAATCAAAATTCACAAGGATGATGTAAGACTTAAATGAGACAATTTATATAAGGCATCCAGTGTACCAAGCACAGAGGAAGTTAACTATTATTGCCATTTCAGATAAGTACAGTAGGAGAGTGACAGTGAACTAGGATGATTGAGGCTGGATCCCAGACCCAGCACTGTACTGAAGTAGGAAATCTCTCAACAATGGCTGAACCCCCTTTGCTTGCCACTTTTACTGCTTAGAGTCAGGAGGTTGTCCTTCCGAATTCTAAAATGCTATGACCATAAATCCTAGTATTTTATTTTTACCCTTCTGAAAGGGTAGGTTTTTATATTCATCATCTCATTTGCTCTTCCCAAATTCTCTAAGTATGAAGGGTATCATTATTTCTAATTCATAGATGAGGTCAAACTCAAAAGAGGTTAAATAAAGTAACTTTACTCAAAATCCTGCCAAAGTGTTAGGACAGTAATGGGGAACGGTCTCACAAGCCTGAGCCAGTGCTAACACTTCATCTACCACAATAAGCAGTCAGACAGCAGGTTAAATATCTTTCCACTAAAGACACCTGGCAATTCCCTCTCCAACAGCTAAAAGGGGAAAGAGGAAATCAAATATGCCCACAAGGAATGTCTAGACTCTTGAATTTCAACTGCAATTCAATTAGGTTTTTTACTTTAACAGACACAGTAAACTGTTTAGTATCAGAGTAATTTAGGTTTTCAAAGTATTATCTATAAAAATCTCACTTTCACATAAAGTAGGTCTCCTTAACTCTTGTGAGGTCAAAAAAGAATTCTCATGGAATTCATTTAATTTTTGCATTAGTCCTACATAAGCAATCATAAGTACCTTGAAATACATGAGAATACTCAAAAGGATTAATGTTTAATGTTCTAAAAGAAAAAGGAAATGATTCTGGATATCATTTAATAAATGTGTAAGTTTCAATTTTTGAAAGTGCAAACTAAATGCCTGCCTGATAGTTGGTCTGATTAAACTCGAATTACAAAATGAACAAATAGATAAACATTAGAAATCATGGGTTAAAAAAAAATTAGGGCTAGGTTTTTTGTGGTCTGTCTTCGTCTCTCATAGAATCTGCCTAGAAAGAAGCCTGATTAGGTTTTGGAGTTCACTGGTTTGCGATGGATTCTGCCACCTTCCCTTTTCTACCCCCTGCTCTCCCTCCCATTCCTAATCCTGCAGGTGGGAATCACAGGGGACACATATAATCACAGAGGACAGACAGTAATGGCTTTCAGGTCTCTGCAGTGACTGCAGTCTCTGAACCTCAAATTCACACACATGATCCTAAAAAAAAAAAAAAAAAACCCAACATTTTATCCCATTTTCACGGGTTAAAAAAAAGTTATAGAAGACAGAACTGGAATGCAGAAATAAAATTTCTAGGCTATTTTAATGCAAGAACACTGTACTTGAAAAGATCTGACACACATGACTACTTAAGCATATGGGAATGAATTAACATTTTAAATATATTATATTCCTTACGCAGAAACTTCTTACAAAACATTTACGTGCTGTTACCAATGCTTTTAATGTAGGCAATCTCTCATAGTGCATTACAAAAAAAAAAAATCAATCCTAGACTAGGTATTTAAAAAAAAAACAGTAAATGACAACATAAAATTTTCTGTCTTTGGGCAAAATTTTGTGACAGATTTTTAAACTCTTTAACCAATATAAGATTTAGCTCATGTGCTCTAAATACACACAAAATGATACAGCTGGGGCAGAAGTAACCCAATAGTATAAGGACAGGAAGTCAGACTAGGTGTAAAAAGTACAGTACAGGTAATCCAAAGTATAAAGCAGAAGGACAGCATCTGATTACACACACAAACCCTATCAATGCTCAATAAATGATTTATAAAATATTTATTTTTAAATAAAGAACTGAGAAATTTACAGGAAAATGTGTGTGTACCAGCACTATAGCAACTTTTCTATAGCACAGAACCCAGTGTAAGAGGCTTACTGAACCTGGAACACCAAGTCCCAAAACAACTTGGTCATGTGGAGTGAAAAGGCAGTAATTTAGAAAGACCTGTATATGCATGGGGGTGGGGTAGGTAGTATATGTATGTGTTTAAGAAAGAGAGAGGGAAAGTAAAACAAGAAACAGAGACGGAACTTGGGGAAAAAAAATTTCATTTTGGATTAGGTTATGGCCAACAGTATCTTCTACTCAGATAAGAAATGTCTACTAATTTGTTTTTAGTAATTAAAATATATGACATTTTAAATTTTAAATTCACAATTATAATCTGCAAAATCTGTGACATCTATCGGTATTCTGGGGCATCCTCAACAAGAAGAAAGCATTATATTACACAATATAATTCTGATAACATTTCTTTAGAAGGCTGCTGGATTCAGAGGTACTTCAGACACCAACGGTTTTGTATCTTATCACCAACACTTAGTCCAAGAAGTAAGAGGGAGAAGAAAAAGCAAGAAGTTCTTGAGCATAAACCTTTTCTCTTTAATGCCAAAACTGCTTTTTTGGACCTGAGCTCAAAAAGGGAAGGCTTTGTTCTCGTGTGTCTTCAGCACTATTTAAAACTCTCCTAGCAAATCATCTTGCAATGGAGGGAATGTCCTACTATCCACTTAAAAAACTGCAGGATGATTTCAGTTTGCATTGTGCAGATGACAGCTTAGCTGCCTTATTTACTGGTAACAAAACCTACAGCCAGTTATCACCATCAGTCACAACTACCTAGAGAATGGTGCTGAGGTGACCAAGATTCAAGACTTTGCTCTATTCCTGATCACAGCCTTATCTGGAAATCACGTGCTAGCAGCACAGAGTAAGTGCCCCAAATAAATATCTAATAACTGATCACAACAGTAAGAACTAGCATGGGTTGGGGCAGAAGCAGGAAGGATCAAGCATTCTTTACTACCAGGAATCCAAGACAAAAAATAATTACTGCTGAATGTCCGTGTGCTCTGCAATGAATTATGAACAGTTTCAGTTCAGTGTATAAAAAACAGCAATGCGGGCTCGGCATGGTGGCTCACACCTGTAAGCCTGGCATTCTGGGAGGCCAAGGCGGGTGGACTGCTTGAGCCCAGGAGTTGGAGACCGGCTTAGGCAACATGGCGAAACTCTGTCACTACAAAAAAAAAAAAAAAAAAATTTGCCGGGCACAGTGGCATGCACCTGTGGTCCCAGCTACGCAGGAGGCTGAAGTGAAAGGATACACTGAGCCCGCTAAGGTTGACGCTGCAGTGAGTCATGATCATGTCACTGCACTTCAGCCTGGGTGAAGGAGTGAGACCCTGTCTCAGAAAAAAGAGGAAAAAAAAAAAAAGAAGAAAAACAGCAATAGGCAAGGTGGTTTCTGTGAATACGATTCAAGTTGGTGCAATTACAATGATTAAATCAGTTAAACAGTCTTATTCCAAGTCTATTTGAAAGTCATAATTTTTTAGAACTTGAGCCCAAAATAATAGAATAGTGAAATGCAGTTGCATTTTCTAGTAGCTGTCAACTCTATCCAAATTACATGAAAAAACCCCCAAAATATAATTAAATGTAAATTTTCACAATTAGGAAGCAATATGATTGTTACCAAGCGATGCATTTTTAACTTAAAAAAAAAAGATGCATACATGTTTATTTACAAAAAGGTCTTTATAAATAAACACAAGAAGAAGTCAAAGAAGAAGCTTTTTTAGAGGTTATATCCAAAAATGTCCCTTCTTTATACAATTAACATTAAGAAGAAAAAGATAGCTTTTAATAGCAAAGTTGTCAAAAAATTAAAGTTACTTTAAAAACTGCCCCCTAAGGTAGTATTTGCTAAACACAAACATGCTAATGACTTTGACCTAATTTATTTTCTCCAATTTGCAAAATAATATTCTCCTAGCAGTTATTACGCTTTTTAAAAAACAGATTTTCTCATCACTTAATGTTGCTTGACAAACATGATTTCTTTTTTCTAAGCTTTTGTTGCTTTTCATTTGCATTTCTCTTTATAGTTGTTACCCAGGTTTAAAATTCCAAGAGTTTCTAAGTTCAAAAAACTAATTGTTGTTTCAATAATTACAGCTAAATTTAGCCACAAGAAGTAATTTCCAAGTTAAATTTTTGGAGAGTTGCTAGAGCTTGAATGGAACTGAGAGATTATGTAAACCAACCTTTTCTTTTCACAGATGAGAAAAGAAGACCAAGAAACCTGCATTAGGTCACAGAGATAAGAACCCTGAGGAGATGCTTTATCCCATATCACAGAATTTTGAAAGTTGCCATTTTCTATTTTTCTAGTAAATCATTTCAAAATAACAGGGGAAAATGTATTGTTATCAAGATGATGTATTATCTACACAAACCGCCTTTGCTAACCTAGTGATAAGTAGCACAGCAACCTTGGGGGAGGCTCTTAACCTCATTCTAAAAGGTTAAAGGTTTAAGTAGTGAGCATAGACAGTTACTTGCAAGAGTATTATCTACAGTTAGTATTAACTGAATACTTTTCTGGATCAAGAATGGTGCTTCATTATACCACCAACGACCCCATTTTAGAGACAAGAAATTCAAGGTTCAGAGAAGTGACTTCCCTGGGGTCCAAGTAGCTAACAGGTCTAATTCCTAGGGCCCAGGTTCTTTTTTTTTTTTGAGATGGAGTTTTCGTCATGTCACCCAGGCTGGAGAGCAGTGGCGCGATCTCAGCTCACTGCAACCTCTGCCTTCCAGTTTCAAGTGATTCTCCTGCCTCAGCCTCCCAAGAAGCTGGGATTACAGGCACACACCACCAAGCCCGGCTAATTTTTGTATTTTTAGTAGAGACGGGGTTTCACCATGTTGGCCTGGCTGGTCTCGAACTCCTGACTTCAGGTGATCCACCCGCCTCAGCCTCCCAAAGTACTGGGATTACGGGCGTGAGCCACGGCACCCAGCAAGGCCCAGGTTCTTAATCACTACAGTGCATGGTCTCTGAAATGGAAACATGTAGTTCCAAAACCACATTCAGGACCACAGTGGATGGAATTCATTTTGCCATGAGAACACTTCCCAATCTGTGAACCTCTGAAACTACATGGAGCTACTGAAGTACAAAAGCCACAGCTCCCAGATTTGTGACCCCAGACTGTCTTGTCCCAGCTCTGATGTAAATCCTTCTTGGGGCCTCCTGACCCACTTCCTAACACTCTGTGGTTACCTGTCAAATTACAAAGGCTTTTTTATTTTGTCCTAAGCGCTGAGATTCAAGGATTGGCCAGTGGGGGCAATACGAGGCAGAGAGCTCTGCGTGGCTCTCTCTCTGGCCAGAGCCAGAAATCGTGTCCCAGCTTGGTCCCTGGACCCTGCCTCCACTCTGGCCGAGTTACCTGAACTACACTTGCAGTCCTCCATGCCATCCTAAGACTGCTGATTTCTGGGCCTGTGTGTTCTCCACCCACCCCTAGGCCACAAAACCTCCTTGCAAGTTCCTTTCACCTGGTTCATTCCTCCACGTTTATCGGGACTTGGCTTGGTGCTCCACCTCACATTTCCCAAAAAAGCCTCCTGATGCCTCCCCGACTCACAGTGGACGGGGGCCTGCACTGTCTGTCATCAGGTAAGCTCCTCCACAGGCAAGTGATGGAGACTTCCCTCCTGCTGTGTCCCCAGCACCTTGGTGCCTGGCTGGCAGCTCTGAGTGTTTCTTGAAGGCATGGACATCTCCTCAGGAGTGACAGCAGGACTGAAGACACATGCTCTAGCATGCTTACTCATCTGCCCTTTCATTTCTCAGGAAAGAACATCCATTGATCCCACAAAAAGGGATGTGAGTGACCTGCACATCTAACGTGCTTGCTCACCTACAACCTGTCAGCTTGCTGGGACCCTGTCTGTGGAGGTCCAGCAGCTGACATAAATCTTGTGATGCTTACATCGTCATCAAGCTCTCTGCTTGAAGTATCTGAGCACATCTGTTGTCTGACCTGTGAAGGTCTCGGATTATTCTCAAGGACAGTAATATGTAGGTTGGCAGCAACATTTTTTCCCTGAGACCACATCTCTGAGCTTTTAACACAAAATAAGAAAATCTGATTCACTTTACAATAATGTGTGCTTTACAAACATCTCTTTGTGAACACTGTCGTTCAGAAAGACCTGACTACATGTACAATGATAGAGAAAAAAACTAAAAAGGCTTAAAAGTAGCAAATCTAACTCAGATATCGAGGAACTTGTTAAACCAGAGCTCGGCAGAATTCACAGTACAGCACTGATTTCTACAAAGCCACATTTATTTTTTAGTGGAATACCAATAATTCTTTATTGCAAAGAGAATAAAAACAAAACAAACAAAACCTCACCACGGAGCTGGAAAGAGTATTCTAGATAGAGGTAAGAGCATTGGGCACGCCGAGAAAGAAGGGTGATCAGCTGCAGGACAGAGCTGGAATTCAGCTGGTCAACAGTCCAACCAGAGAAGCCATTTCAAATGCCTTATCTATGTATTCATGCCAATACTTCTTATAAAATAAATTTTTAAATAAAAATTGTTTTCTTTAAAAAAAAAAAAGAAGAACGGTCAGTTGAGGGACTAAAACTGAGCACGATGCTGAAATGACGGGAGCAGACCATTCTGAGGGGCTGCTGAAAGTGAGCAGAAGCCTGAGTCCTAAGGGTTTCTGAACTGCATTATGGAGTCTGGACTTCATTCTGAGGGTGAAGAAAAGGTTGACAGTGGGTTGACAGTGGCCTGACCCTGGGTTAGCAGTCATGGCAGTGGAGGAAGTTGGATGGATTCTCAGGCTACTAGGAGAGTGGCAATAACAAGAACTGGTGACTGATTGGAAGCTGAAGGTGTGAAAGCCAGAAGAGTAAGAGCACAGCAATTAAAGAGACAATGGCAGTGTTTACCCTGATGGGCACCCTAAACCACATGGAGATCTGAATGCAAGGATGAAGAGGCTGAGCAGGGCAGAGATGCAGCCTGGACATGTGACTGCCACAGTGCCTGGCAGAGGGGTCCCTCCTGGAGGAACTATCCTGGAGAAAGTTGTATGCAGGATTCTGTCACAAAAGCCAAGATGTCTTAGGCACCACAGTATCAATGAGTCAGCAAAGATACGGCTGATAATCTCTTAACAAATCCTTTTCTTCCTGGTTAAAGACTAGCTTTCCTTCAATCTTTGTACAAAACTTGAAATTTGGTTATTTAAGAATCTAGACCTGGCCGGGCATGGTGGCTCACACCTGTAATCTCAGCACTTTGGGAAGCTGAGGCGGGTGGATTACCTGAGGTCAGGAGTTCAAGACCAGCCTGGCCAACATGGTGAAACCCTGTCTCTACTAAAAATACAAAAATTTAAAAAGTTGGAAGTGGTGGCAGGCGCCTGTAATCCCAGCTACTCAAGAGGCTGAGGCAGGAGAATTGCCTGAACCTGGGAGGCGGAGGTTGTGGTGAACCAAGATTGTGCCATTGCACTCCAGCCTGGGCAACAAGAGCGAAACTCCATCTCAACAACAACAAAAAAAGAAGAATCTAGACCCTTGGAGCAAGAAAAATATCTTTAAGACTCCGTCTCAAAAAAAAAAATAAAAATTTTTTTTAAAAAACCGGAAAAGATCAGTATATTAGTGGTAGTGGTGATTATTATGCATTTTAAAGAAACTGCAAGGTATAAAATGACTCAGGTCAACAATAACAAAAAAGATTTCTCCACACAGATAATAGATAAGACATTCGGTAAGCAGCATCCATTTTTATGTAATTCTAAAGTACATATTTATTCAGTATCATCAAGGCTACAGAAATACATCTTACAGAACAGTTAGAGGTTTACCACTTCAAAGATCAAGACACTTTCTATAACTATCTTGGATAGTAATTTTCCTTAATCTATATTACAAGCTTTCCAACTTCACTTCACTGAGTATATTTTTAAATGGCAGAGGCTGCCCTAGATGGAACTAATTGTACCAATGCTAGGTGGCCCCCGACTGCAATGTTTTGAGTCCTATTCTCCCTCTCTCCTCTCACTGTCAGGTGTGCCAACACTGCTGCCTTTGGGGAACCTGCCTCTTGCAGGACTCACACCGCCACCCCTTCTAACTGGCTGCTTCTAATTGCTGCATGTTAGGAACACCACATGAACAACACTGCATGAACAACATCTGAAATAAGTATCAATCCTGAGCAAATGCCCTGGGAACTCTACTAAGTGTAAAATCAAAGTGCTTCAAAGCACATATTTTGTTACAGGTCCTTTGGCTGCTTAGAGTATTTTTTCTTACTTCTTAGTGCTAACCCATGTTCTAGATAAGAGAGGCTGCTGGGTTTACTTACCAACAGTAAACTTTGAAATGTTTTGTTACATGGGTTCTTGGCTTCTGCAATCTCATGGAGTACTTGCCTAACAAATATTTTCTTCAATGGAAATGTGAACTTTTATTTATCCCAAGTTGAATTATGATCAAATTAATGAATTTTGGATGAAGTAGGGTTATCAGATAAGAATTCTAAAAATGATATCTTAAGTTTAGATGACATTCTGAGAACTTTAAAAATAAGAATAATTATATTAATGCATGACACCTTTATGTGTATATTTATTCACAGATGTATGTGTGAATATATAAATGCATATATATACACACACGCACTCTTAACTCCCTATTAAGTACAGAATAATTATATACACATAGCAGACTCTTCTTACCTATAAAGTTGTCATGCAGTATAGCTATTTGCTCTCTACTACATTAAGCTGTCCTATTTCACTCGAGCCACCAGGCACGTCTACAAGTCCAGGTACCTCTGAATGAGTCTATCACAAATCTACAGTGTTGAAACACCATAGTCTAGACTTTTGCCATTTAACACCTTTTCAGCTATGTCCTAAACTACGTCTGACTAAACAGGAAAAACAGTGGATCCACTAATTTGAACATGCCATGCCATTATCCCTCTCATTCATTTATTCAATAAATATTTATGCAGTGTCTACCCTATGCCAGGCATCCTGCTAGGTGCTAGGGGGAAGGCAGTCATTCATCAAATGAGGTAACAAATGTAAAAGCACAACACTGACAGTAGGGACACCCTGCTACAAAGCCAGTCTGGGTGGATGAGGGAAAGCTTCCCTGAGGAAGTGTCAATGAGTTAAGATTTTAACAACGAGGAGCTGACTTTATGGAAAAACAGTGTTCCTGGCAGAGGGAGCATGTGAGGGCCCTATAGAAGAAGGCAGTGAGTGAGTCTGAGGAAATGAAAGCACGCAACCCTGCCACGGAACAAGGGCAAGTGTGAGCTGAGATGGGCCTGGAGAAGCAGACAGGGGCCCAACCGGGCAGGGACTCGGTCAGGCATGTTAAAGATTTCCTGGTCTTTATCCAAATGGAAGCCATCTGAACATCTTAAAATTAAATTACATTTACTTTTCTGGAGGGAGGAAGTTATGATCAGATTTACATTTGGAAATGATCACTCTGGCCACCTAATACAGATTGGAACGGACAGCAAAGGAGAAAGGACACAGGGATCAGGCAAGGAGGCCACTAAGTTAGTGGAAATGAGAGACAATGGGCACCTGGCTAGGGGTGTGATAACAGGTCAAACTGCCAGCACCTAAGGATGGTCTGAATCTGACGAGGTGAGAGGAGGAGGTGTCAAGGGTGACTCCTGGGTTCTGGTTCTGCCATTTAATGAGCAGGGAACATGTTAGGAGAAGGTTTAGGGAAGATCTTTAATTTGGTTTTAGACATCTGACTGCGCAGAAGTCATGTAGCCAGGTGTAGGTCTGGACTTTAGGAGAGATCATGGTTAGGACAATAAACTCTGCAATCATTTGTAAATGGTCCATAACTGATCTAAGGGCATTAATAAGACTGGGGTGGGGATCGACAAGACAGAATGAGAGAAGGCCTAGGACCACCCTGGGAATCTTCCAGTATCAATGTTCAAGAGAATGAAGATGGGCGCCACGGAAGAAGTGTCATGGTTAAGTAGAAAATCAGGAGGGGCTTACCAATTAACGCAAATAATTAGACACTTTCAAATACCAGGAATTCAGTTTTCTCAATATTTGACAGTTTGAGCATGGCTCCAATTATTTTGTAACTACACTAATTATTAGAAGGCTCACATTACATAAAATTGGTCAATATTATCAATGACTGCTTGCTAAATGCCAACTACTGCTATTAAACATCAAGCAATGGTCTGGCCGCAGTGGCTCATTTCTGTAATCCCAGCACTTTGGGAGGCCAAGGTGGGTGGATCACTTGAGGTCAGGAGTTCAAGACCAGCCTGGCCAACATGGTGAAACCCTGTCTCTACAAAAAAATACAAAAATTAACTGGGCATAGTGGGGCATGCCTGTAATCCCAGCAAGCTACTCGGGAGGCTAGGCAGGAGAATTGCTTGAACCTAGGAGGCAGAGGCTGCAGTGAGCAAAGATTGCGCCACTGCACTCCAGCCTGGGCAACAGAGCAAGACTCCGTCTCAAAAATAAATAAATAAATACCAAACGATATACAAAAACTCCTAAAAAAAGACAGTTCTTGCCTTCAAAACTCGTCTTAAGCTAGATCATGATTAAAATCTCACTACAGTAAGTTAATCTTCAGATATACTAATTTAACCACTTTTGGAAAATTAATTCATGTTAACATTTCTGGGTACCTAATATTCATGGGTGCCAGACACTAGTCTAGATGCTGGGAGATGGTGCAAAGAATCAGATAAAGTTCCTGGTCTGTTAACAACTGATGTTTAGTATTCAGAATACCATAAGACCAGTTTGAAGATTATGTGTTAACATATAACTTAAATTATTGTTTAGGCAATGAAGAAAAGTAAAGCCAGACACAGTGGCTTGCACCCATAGTTCCAGCTATGTGGAAAGATCACCTGAGCCCAGGAGTTCGATTCCAGCCTGGGCAACATAGTGAGAACCCATTTCTAATTTAAAAATAAAAAAAGAAAAGTAATGATAACATCTGTCAAGAGCAAAGCTTCCACCTACACCCCAGTACTGACCCTGTTCTCACTCCATGTCTATCCATCATTATGCTTACAAGTGATGAACTTAGTTAACGTACTAACTACAGTACTGTGTAGGCTGTCCCATGTGGCTCCAAGCACTTTCTCCAGGCTTCAAGAGGTCTGGTGGCTTAGTAATTCCCAGGTGACAGATGTGTACTTGCAGAATTATACACTTGGTGAGTTTTAACAATTCCCCTTAGTATGCTACAACATCTCCACATCTCGATCAAATTAACATCTGCATCAAACCAGCCTGGTATTCCAAAGGACTCAATCACTAACAATACAGAACTCCCTTCCATACCAAACATAACTCAATCACCAATGACATGCCATAGAGTAAATAAAGACAAGGCTATCTTCTTGATCATCTTATGCCCTAAAGAATATTTTATATTTCTCCATGTTGTTTTCGTAACTAGTAGAGTTGCTGTTACTAATAATAAAGACAGAATTTCAGAACTAGCAGTAGCAGATGTTGAATTTCTTGCTCCCCGTATCTCCTTTTTAATTTTCCCTTGGAAGAAAAAAAAACATGCCTGAACATGCAGTGTTGTATATATTCTTATCAGAAAATAGGCAGAAATAGTTTGAAACTAATATGTTGTATCCCCTCTGTATCCCCATCTCTCTTATAGCACTTAACACGGTATTGTGAAACATGTTCATACTACAACCTACCGACAGAAACAGCTTGTGCACTCATGATCTTTTTCTCCACCACTCAAGACCACCACCTTGCAGAAGTTCATAAATGTTGAATGGATGAAATCTAAAACAATAACAAAGGGGTAGGGTCTAGCAATAGTAAAAGTTTCTCTTCCTGTGTGATTACCATGAATGAACCATATTAATTTCAGCTTATCTCCTTTCACTTATGATT
This sequence comes from Homo sapiens, assembly GCF_000001405.40. Taxonomy (NCBI): domain Eukaryota; kingdom Metazoa; phylum Chordata; class Mammalia; order Primates; family Hominidae; genus Homo; species Homo sapiens. The sequence goes on along the minus strand of NC_000005.10, from coordinate 56,820,614 downwards.
TAATACAGCACAAATCAATAAATCTAAGAAACATTCAACACTAATGACTAACCCTCTTTGGCTGACATGATAGGGTGATCCAAATACAGTTTACTTGTATTACATATACAAGGCCAGGTTACAGAAACATACCTATTATATACATTAACAGGCAAACTTAGCACAGGGTAGAGACCTAGCTCATGGTCTATTAGAATGCCTGCAAAACAAATTTCTCCTTAAAAATAATCAATTAATTTGATTATTAATTTGAAAAAAGAAAATGGAAGAAGCAGAGTAGTGGAAAGAAATGGACTGTGGAGTCAGTCTGACTTGGGATTGAATCCTAGCTGTCTTCTAGTTGTGTAATCATGAGGTTTTACCATCTCAGATGAGTTTGCACCTACAGAAAACAGAAATTACACTATCTTAGGGGGCTGCAGTGATGATCAAATGAGATTATATATAAACATATATATAATACATATAATAGATATCATACACACACACAGAAGGCAAAAGAGTTGATTATGTAAAAGGTATCTAGGCATATCTATATGCTCAATGAGTATGTTTTAAGCCACAGATAAAATCCTAATATATTTTTGCAAACTGAAAAGAGTATCTGACTAATCTCATGCTTTGCAATGAACCATTTACTAATTCCGGCCCTGATTATTTCTTTCATGATTAAACATGTTCTTAAATAATTTCTTAAAGACAACTTTGGGTTACTCCTAATCTTACACATTTCCTCACATTAATAGTCTACCATTTACATGTTTAAGTTGCTTTAGCTTTTAACTTAGGATATAGAAAGAGGCAAGGACTAAGGAAAACAACCAAGTCTATACTTGATATATTTGATAGAAGCAAAGAATTCCAAGATTAGAGGTGTAATATACACGCAGTTCCTAAGCAGCCTCTAGAGACTACTACTTTTCCATGACACATTTTCCCATCGCCTTCTGTGTAACAGACAGCCCTCAACCCAAGAAGATGACTGGAGTACAAAATGCAAAAGAGGTGCTTTCTACCTGAGAGCATTTCTGAATGCCCCATATTTTTCCTCATGGTAATCCATTCCCCATTAACTACCTTGCCACCCCCTCATTTCTTCCTTTGGGATGCACACAGCCAGTGTCAAGGACTGATTAGCCGACTCAGCCTAGGCAAGCTGTAGCTGGTTTTTTTTTTGCTCTTGTTGAAAGCAAAAAAACACTCCTTTCTTCCCACATTTTGAAATCTGCAAGTTGACAAGTCAGTGGCCATTTCTAAAATATGCAACATATTATGCTCGAGGTGCTATGGAAGTTGTAAATGAATATCAATGAACAGGGCTACTTCCTGTTTTTCGTATCTAACAAAATGGAGTTTTAGTGCATTGGAAATCGTATATTAAGGAATGTTGGTTAACCAGTCACTCTTGCCAAAATCAGATATGAAAAGAAAATAAAAGTTGGCAACAATTCTAGCTCTTATATTTCTCTTCCAGAATTATATTAAGGTTCATCTTTGAAGAATGCATTAATTTTCTTATCTGATTTAAAATGAAACTGACACCATTCTTAACTAAAAACTTACAAATTCACGGAAGACTAACTTATGTGACTACCTTTATTTTTATAAAGTCACCCACTTAATATTTTAAGAGTAATTTTTAGGTAATAATGCTCTTATACCTCCTCTTTAGTAAAAGGTCACTAAATCATATTTTTAGCCTAATAGCTTTAAAAAGGAAGTGAAATCTGAGGGCTATATGAGGATATAAAAGCAGCCTGTGAAATACCTTTAGTTTTAAACAAAAACTAACATTAACAAGTACAGCATATCTTGTTCTTTCACGGGGCCAGCAAATTGATAGTTTGGTTTTTTAAGTTACAAAAATAGGATGGGGTAATTATATCTACCAAACTCACAATAGGCTGTTCAATGGAGAGTAACACTGTAATTTTTCTTCAAAGACAGTAAATAGGAAGAAAAAGCCCCTAAATTCTGTAATATAAGGAAAAATTCCAAACCCTTGGGCGCCACTTACAGGCACTTTCACTGATTTCAGCTATCACCCTGAAAAAGAGGGACAAACTTAAAATCTTCTATTTAAATACGAGTATTATTTATTTATATAAATTCTAATTCAAAGTATATTTTCTACATTCAAAGATCAGAAGGAAATTCTAAAATTAAAAAAAAGATCACAGAACTCTCAAATATTTCAAAATCTTAGATTTTCCTCTTGGAAGTATGAATGTAACTTAACTGTCAAAAAAAAGTAAAACATAAAGTTCAATTGATATTTTATTGAGTTGGCTATAATTAAGGGTTTTTTTTCCTAAAACTTTAAATGGTAAGTAATAGTGTAGCATAACCAACATGCAATACAAAATATACACACTCAAATAAGATACAAGCCCTTTCCCCACAAAGTTTTATACGAACAGATTCAAATGAATTTCAACCCAATTGTTAAGAAAAAAAAATTCACTATATTTCATAAGGTTAGGGAATCAACATTTTACTATAAATGAAATCTTTACGTATGACATTTGGGATAAACCAACAGCATTCTGACTCGTAAAAATAATTTCTTTAAAAAAGATTATCCTTACAAGCCCATTATTTTCTTATACTGTGCAATTATAATCTACACCTTAAGCAAAGGGGAAAAAACCTCGGTTACAAAACGCAAATACTAAGCATGGATTACTTAGTCCCTAAATTCTATCTGCCTCCACCTTAGTCCTCTTATTTTGTGTCAAGAGACAACATTAAACAATTTCAGTACATTATTTTTACAGTGGATGCTCTTCTACTATATTCACAGCTCATTAAGAGTACTAGAATGCTGACGTTTGCTAAATTATTTATTGTATCCAAAAAGTTAGGTCTCAATAGATACAATTTCTTAAATTTGGGGTTAAAAATTTTTATCTGGAATTCATTTAAAGTAGAAGTTGCCTTCAAAGAATTATTCCAGTTAAGTTTTAATACAATCTGCACAGAAATGGGAAAACTATAGAGGTACATAACTCTTGTAAGAATAAATTACATGTACAAGTGCACACAAAACTGTATCAGTCACAAATCTCCTTTGGTCTCAGTAGTGCCATGGTACAGTGCGAAGCATATTTTTTAGTTCTTGGGGAGAGGAAGGGGACTTCCAAATACTAAATGGATCGTGATTTTAAGCAAATAATCAAATGCACAAAAAATGCCAGATCACTTTAGATAATGAATCCAAACCAAGGACTCCTACTGTCAAATTCGTCTCACAAAATGACACGCTTTCTTCTCATAATAAAGGTCAGGGAATTCTACAGGGCCACGAGGGACTATCACAAAAACATTTCCAGCAACTCAAAATACCCATCAAGACTTTGTACTTTGCATACGTTAATCAGGTTTTTAAAAAACAAACAAACAAGGATGTAGCTGTCACACTTAAAAGAATTTCCTTTAACATAAAAATTTCCAGTAGCCAAAAATGGGCGAGGCCAATAAACCGCTGGTCTAAATTACCTTACACATACTGTACTTCATATGCACCAGAAGACGCATCTGAGCCGAAGCCCACCGCACTGCGGCCCCTGGAATTCAGCGGGCGGCCCGCGCCAGGGCACCGAGCAGGAAGCACTGCACCCGCGCCGCAGTCCCCGGGCCAAGCCGGAGGGGCTGCGGGGAGCAGTCACCACTGCTTTGAAACTGAATGGCTGACACATCCGGTCCTGGCTCTTACACCACTCCGCCAAATGCAAACTTCAAAGGCCAAATTCAAACTCCAAACAGAAGTCACTCAAGTGACTTAGCAGTGCAGTTCGCATTCCCAGGAACACTCAAAGCCCCTTGGGGGCTGCAATTAGACAAACCGCACTTCCTAAAAGACTGCAAGCCTCCGCGAGTGTGCAGCCTCCCGCCGCACGGCTTTGACAGGCGTTACCGAGCCGTCCTCCTGGAGCCCTGCGGCCGGCGCTGGGGGCGCGCCGCCTGCGTCCGGGCCCAGCCCGCGGTATCTGCCTAGGGACTCGAGTCCCGGGCGGGCCGAGGGGCTCTGCCTGTCACGGCCGCTGGGACCTGCTACTTTCTCTTCGGTCCTCTCAGTCTCCCACCCGACCTCGGGCTTCTCACCCACCCCGCCCCTCTTCCGACCACCGCCCGCCTCAGGCTCGGGCCTCGCCCCCCAGTGCCTTTGCCCCGGGGACACCCGTCCGGGGGCGCCGCCGCAGGGCCGTGCCCCGCCCCCGGGCTCCTCGGAGAGCCCCGATTCCAGGAGTCCCACAAAGCCAGCCGTGGCCCCCTACACCTTTTCGCAACGGTTCCCCGCAGAGAGGCTCGCACGCCTGTCACATGTCTGCAAACAATAACAAACTCTTCCGCACGTCCCCGTCCGGTCCCCCAGGCTGGGTCCGGGGCGCCGCCCGACTCCGAAGGGGTCGGGGGGTGCTCAGGGGCGTAGGTCCCGGCGAGCGGCGCGTAGCCTCGCTGCGCTGAACCCCGGGACGCCGTGCATGGTGCCCGGGGTTCATTCATTGCCCTCTGCCCGCTCTCCAAGTCCCCGCCGCGACCCCGGCCGTGCTGCTCACCCGGCGGGGGCCGCTGCAGGAGACGGCTCGGCGGCGGGCGCCCGCTTCTCCCCGGGCTCGGCCGCTGCGGGACTCGAGGCGCCGCTGTCCGGCGCCGCCACCGACTCGGTAAGGTGGGCGCCGCCGCGGCTCGCGGCTCCGTGGGGCGGCGGCACCGCCACAGGCTGGAAGCCGGTCCCACTCCCCGCTGCGTCCGCGGGCTCCGGCGACGGGGAAGTCGAGGAGGCCGGCGGTGAGGCGGCAAGGAAGAGCGGCTGCTCAGGCAGCTGGTCCAGCTCCACACTCCGCACTTTGCGCAGCTGCCGCCGCCGCCAGTCCGCCCGCTCGCGGCCCCCGCTGCCCGCCTCCCGCAGCAGTCCCGCGGCAGCCGCGGGCGCGCTGCTCGCCTTGAGGGCTCCTCCGCCGCCGCCTGCCTCAGGGCTCGTAGCCCTGGCGCCCGGGAATCCCGACGACGAGGCGCGATTCCCCGCCGCCGCCGCCATTTTCTCTCGCGGGCTACATTCGCTCGGCCCCTGCGAGGGAGGGAGGGGGCGGGGAGAGCGCAGGGGGCGGGCACTGCGCCGCCAGCGTAAGGCCTCCTGCGCCAACTGCGTGAGCGCGGCCCGCCGGGCGCCTGGCCTGGACTGACCGACGGGCGGGCGCACTGGGTCCGGCCTGCGGCAGAGGTGTGGGTGGAGGGCGGCCCGGCGGCCGCAGGTGGGAGGGAGTGGGCTGTGCTCTCCGCCGGGCGAGAGGGCGGGCGGGCGAGGTGGACTGGGAGGCGGAGGGGGCGGGGGCGGAGGCGGAGGCGTGGGCTCCCGGGACTCTGCGCGCTGCACGCGCCGCGCCGCCAGGTAGTCCCGGCCGCACCGGCGACAGGAGGAGCCTTGGCGGCAGCGCTGCGCCGCTTCCTCTCGGCAATCTCGGCCCGGCACCGCGGAGCTCGCGGGAGGGGAGTTGCACCTTCCGAAAGAAAGAATTAGTTCCAACTTGGGTTTCTGGTGCTTGAAGGGGACGCAGGCGAGAGGGTTTACAGTCTGTCATTCCCACTGCCCTTTGCAGTGGGCGTCGGGGGACCCGGGCGTGGACCAGCCTCCCACCGACGCGCAGGTGGCGCCCGGGACCGTCGCCTGCTGCAAAGCGAAAGCAAGTCAACGTTCAGCAGACAGGCTGCCGCGGACCAGAAAAATAAAGTTTTGTTTGTGTTTTCTTTTGAAAAGAAAACATTCCTTCTCTATTGTCCCACCCCTGTCCCTGTGCTACAGATAACAAAACTTCAAAGTTTTCTGTAATACCTTACATCCTGAAGCTGCTGATTTGGGACAACTACCCCCTACCCTCACCAAGTCCCCACAGCCTCTGAGAAACCGTTGGGGCGAGGAAGGGAGGCGGGTGTCCCCGTCGATCTTTAGTTTTTCCTTGGCTGTCTTTGGGAAAGGCAGTCCCGTACAGAACCACATATAGCGCGTTTGGGGAGGGGACCAGCGCTGTGCCAGGAAGTGCTCGGTAATGTCACCCTCGGCCAGGTCCCGGCCCTCCCCGAATCCGATGCTTCTCGCCGCACGTCCTTCTTCCCTGCAGGGTCGGGCCACCGGCCGGGTTCCCTCTGTCCCCACTCCTGCAGGGCCTGGCTGCCCATCGCTGCGTTGTGAGTCCTCCTAGTCCCTGGACTCTACGTGAGAAGGTGCTTTGGGATGGAAAAAGCAACATTTACACGTTAATGATTTTTGACCTTTTGTCAACTGAGGAGAACTTCTGTGTTGCGTTTATTTCTTCCTTCCTTTCCTTTCCTCCAGCTGGTTTGTTTAGGATGGGGAATCTCCCAAAACCCAGGAGGAACGTCTATAGATTTACTTTGTGAAACATGATTAAGGAGGGGGGAGGTTGGGGTGGGGGGGTGCGGATTCTCACGGAGATAGTCTTGTCAGTCTTCACATATTTAGACAAAAGCCTGAACTATTTACAGAATAATTCCATTGACTTCTGGAGACTAGGTAAAATGAAAGCCCCTTTCCCAGATACAATGTTAACTGCGTAACCAGGTTAGATCAGAGGGGTTTTAAAAAGTCCAGATTTCATATTAGCTCAATGATTTGAAAACTGCTGTAACATCTCCCATAAGATAGTTTTAGATCGTTACACCCAACGGTACAAATTTTGAAAGTTCAGATAAATCTGTTAAAAATTAAGTCTACATTTAGGCTATAATTATATGCTATTTTAATGGCAGTCAAATGTATCATTCAAACCAAACAGTGGTTATTTCTCAGGTCTTCCTGGGTTGCCACACCCACCAAATCCTAAACTGAAACGGATAAACTTTCCTTGTTCCTATTTTGATCTAAAGACTTTTACATTTGCACGCACATATTCAGGTACCTGTAAGTGAGAAAAGTAAGTGGAAGACTTTAGCCAGAGTAGCAGAGTAAAAAGGAGATTCCAGCAAAACTGATTTTTGACTGTTTGTACAGTGGTTGAAACTGGGGATCAAAGGGAGAGGGCTACCCAGCGCAGCACTATGAACTAGCTACAATTCTCTCACTTCCTCCATCCACCACGTATTACCATGGAGAAACCTAAGTGTTGGTATTTTCCCACAGTTTTTGTTGCTTTGAGTCATTTTTTTCTTTGTTTACGTAAATATTCAGGTTGTCATTATGCATCTGCATATGGACACACTGATTTCTTAAAGAGAGAATCAAAGGACATGCTTAACTGAAAAGGGTGTTCTCCCTCTGCCATATGTTAATAGAAGTTTCTGAGTCTAATGCGTGATTAAGACTCTAGCTGGTTTTGGTGCTCTTCAGTCCTGCTATGTTACTGCAGAGAGGTGGATGTCAAATATCAAGTACTGTAGGCTCTGAATTCTCTTAATATGATTTATTTAATAACATTCAGGAGACTTGTATTTCTTCCAAGGTTGTTTCTAGACTGAAAGCTCCAATTCCTGTTTCCAAGCTCTTCATTTCCATCCTCACTGGGACGTAAACCTTGCAATGATTTCACGCATGCAATTTCATGGCAATTTCATGACCATTTCAATAACCTTAATACCAGTGCATTACAGATCACTGCCTCCACATAGTGCTTCTGGAAACTGCCTACATCACACTTCAGTTCCTGCAGCATATTCACGTTGAGGATCCACTTTGACACTGGGCATTTCCTCACTGTACATAAATATCACAAATATTAGAATGAGCAGACATAATATACATTGGGAGAAATATTTCAGCCTGTACATCATTCATCATATATTTAGTAAGCACCTACTGTGCATATGCAGGAATTTTTCTTCTCTGAGGATATTGTTTGTTGTTTTTCATTTCTACAAAAATGAATAAACAAAATATTCCAATCTACAGATATTTTTATTAGTGGGTATTTATCAGGCTGACTGGTAGAATTCCAGATCCATCAGTATGTGAATGTATTCACATATTCATGGCTGTTTGTGAGATCTATACCTCAGATAAACATAAAAGAATAATATAACCTTGAGAATAGGGTAAAAGCTGGTGTTCTTTCAAGCTTACAAATATTTATTATGGAATACTTGCAGGAGTGCTGGGGCTAGAATTTGGTTTCTGCATGTTCTTTCCAGACAACATACTTCCCAGGTGTTTTCAGATGTTCTAAGTCAGAAAATCCTGTCATCAGTGGGATAATTGGTTCCCTACAAGGGCACTGTAAATGACATTATAGTAGAAGGTCTCTTAACCAGCCTCCATTTAGCTGACTCATCCAGTAACAGATACCAGCCATTACTGTGTGGTGTACAACATGCAGAGGGATGATACAGCACAATAAATGCTCAGGCCAGCGGCTGGTGTGCACCTGCATACTTCTGTTCCCACTAGGTGAGTTATGGGTCCCATGAGAATCCATTGTGCTTGTTCCCAAACTTGATTCCACCTATTACAATGTTCCTTGTGAAATTTAATTAAATATTACACAATTGATTATTAAATTTAAAAACATGAGTATGTGTGTGCGAAAAGAAAGTTGTTCCAGTGAAAATGAAGTGAAATGCTTTGAGAGAAAAGTGATTGAAACTGGGGATCAAAGTGAGGCAGTACCCAGTGCAACACTTATCAACTAGTTAACAATTCTCTAACTTCTTCCCAGCCACCGCATACCACCACGGGGAAACCTAAGTGCCAGTCTTTCCAATAGTTTTTGATGCTTCTAGTCATTTTTATTTTAATCACTTATGTGAATATTCAGGTTGTCATTATGCATTTGCATATGGACACACTGATTTTTTAAGAGAAAAATGATCAGAGGACATGCTTAATTGAAAGGGTGTTCTTCCTTTACCATATGTTAATAGGAAGTATTTGAGGCGAGGCACTGAAAAAATCTGTCAAATTAGTTGTGGGTATGACCATTATGAAAGATTGGGAAGAATTTACTTTGCAGGTATCTATCAGTAGTCACTTTAAAAAAACTAAAACTGAAAATTGTAGATGATGTGAAAGATACATGGAACTCTAAACGGTGAACCCACATTTTAAAGACTAAAGACTTACAGCCAAATATTGACCAAAAAAACCCCAAACCAACCAAAACAAAACACTGTTGTTTATATGTTTTAAGCTAAAGTAAAATACTTAAGAGATACGTATGATTCCCTCTTATTAATAAACCTTCTAAACATTTTGCATGTATTTGCATGTTCTTAAAATCAGAAATTAATTTTTGTAATAAATAATGAAAAGTACTTGGGATTTTATATTTAAGAACACAACTACAACTTATTAAATTTAATTTGCCTCAGAGTAAGCAAAATTCTTCTCACTTTACAATCTTGCACTGATTCTCTGAATTCTTTGAATGGCCATCGTAGTTGCTGTTTTTTGATGCATGCTGAGATACTCTTTTTCCATTTGACCTTTGTGGCTTAGTGAGGGCTATCATTTTTGCAAACAATATTTGAAGGGTTCATACATTTTCCCAAGATCCTCCTGTAATACTCAATTGCTTTTTTTAGACTAGTGTCCTTGTCAGTTTTTTCTTCCTTTTACCAACTTCCTGGTCCAACTCTGCTGAATCCTGCATTCACAAGGCTTTGCATGTGACCTGAGCAGTTCAGGACCACTTTCATTGGCTCTGTTCACTTCTGCATCTTTTGCAACATTTGCACCTTCACTTTGCAATTGATTTCCATTGTTTTATGGCCAAAGCTGCTATAAAGAGGTATACAAAGTTGGCATGGGGTTGGGCACAGTGGCTCACGCCTGTAATCCCAGCACTTTGGAAAGCCGAGACAGTAGGGTTACTTGAGGCCTGGAGTTTGAGGCCAGCCTGGGTGACATAGTGAGACCCTCATCTCTACAAAAATTAAAAAAAAAATTAGCTGGGCATGGTGGCACACACCTGTAGTCTCAGGTACTCAGGAAGCTGAGATGGGACGGTGGATTATGCCCCGGAGTTCCAGACTGCAAGGTGCATAATCACACCACTGCACTCCAGCCTGGGCCACAGAGCAACACCCTGTCTCTAAAAATAAATAAATAAATAAAAATTTTCAAAAATTATCATGCACTAGAAGAGTGCTGTCTAACAAAATATAGTGCAAGCCACATATATAATATTAAATTTTCTAGTAGATACATTTAAAACCAGGTGAAATTAATTTCAATAATGCATTTTATTTTACATAACGTATCCAAAAAATTATTTCCACGAGTAATCAATCAATGTATAACGTATTACGAATGAGATAGTTTCTCTTTTCTGGCGCTTTGAAATCTGGTGTGTGTTTTACACTGACCATTTCTAATATCTTAATTCAGACTAGCCACATTTTGAGTGCTCAAAGGTCACAGGTAGCTGACGTATTGGACAGTGCAGACCTAGAACTATAGTACCTAACACCAATGAGTTTTATGGATTGTTAAATGCTTGATTAGGTCAGGATTAATATATAAGAAAAATAATCCACATGTGTATGTTCAGGAAATAAGAAATGCAATGGATATAAATTATAGTCATGTGCTGCATAATGAGGGACCACATATATGATGGTGGTCCCAGAAGATTATAATGCCATGTTTTTACTGTACATTTTCTATGTTTAGATATATTTGGATACCCAAATACTTACCATTGTGTTACACTGCCTACAGTATTCAGCACAGTCACATGCTATATAGGTTTGTAGCCTAGGAGCAGTAAGCTATACCATATAGCTTATGTGTGTAGTAGGCTATACTATCCAGATTTGTGTACATACACTCTATGATGTTCACACAATGACAAAATCACCTAATGATGCATTTCTTGGAATGTATCAAATGTATTCCAGTCATTAAGTGGTGCATGACTGTAGTAACATATAACTAAGAAAATTAGTCTTTCCACCTCTCCTAGCTACCTTTTCAAATACATTTTAGCCACTATTGTTGGAGTTACCTTTCTCAACTACATTTCTGATTCTGTCCTCTCTCCTCAAACCCTTTAATGGTTCCACATTGCATAGAGTATGGAATCTACATTCTTTGATTCATTCAACAAATATCAAGTGCATTACCTCCTATGTGCTAGACACTGTACATACCCTAGAGATCAAAGTAGATATGACCTTTTACCCTCATGGAACTCTCAGTCTATCATCTCCCTTACTTTCCACCATTGACAGTTCAGTTCTCACCATAGTACATCCTGTCCTGAGGCCTGGGCTCCAGCCACAAATACCAGTTGCCCCTAGTTAGGAATATATCGTGCTCTCTTTCCTCTTCTCCTGAAAACACTTCCTTAAATCCACTTCACTCCTAAAACCCTCACTACACTACCCCTGGGCCAATCCCTTTCCTAACGTTTTCAGGGTTGGGGTGAGAATACAGATAGAGGCCCCTTACAACATTTTTAATTATTTAAAAGTTAAAATGTAAGCCAACAGTAAGTAAAATATGTTCTAGGTTCCCACTTTGATAAGTATACTTTTATAAAGACAAAATTGAATATTGTATGTAAAGTTATGGCTTTCATATGACTGATATGACAAAATATCAAAGACAGTTGTATTTAATTGCAGCCCATTAATGGGCTGACAATGTTTGGATGAGGAATAAAGACACGTAATTTGCAATTTTTTTATGAAATTAATTTTCTAGCTTTAATTTCAACAAAATTACTAATTATGTTGTTATATTAAGATATTTCACATAATTTGTGTTCAGTCACTTGAAACAATCCAATGATCTATCATTATTAAAAGGTAAAAATCAATTCAAAATACAAATTTGACAAACATCAAAATTTTAAATAAAAATGATTTAAATAAAGCTGAACTTCTAAAACTTTTGAAAATTTGATTATCAAATATTTTATTAAAATAAAACTATTTGAACTTCTAGCATTCAAGAGCCACATAGTTGCTAATGTATGGACAACATACTTTAAATGTTTTGTCAAATCTATATAAATACAAATCTAAGTCACACATAATGCTTAATACTGCAAAATATTCCTTAGTGTTCGTGTGCAAATGTTGTTAATATTGCCCATATATTGTGCCCATATATTTGACAAGTTAGCGGATTTCTCTCTTCTCTTACTGAACACTTCTACCTGTGAGGTCCTCCCTGTGTTCAAAGTGGTGTTGTTTCCAACATCAGTGGCAGCATCAACATCCACAAAACTTTTTGACATTTGAAGGCCCTGGGGCAAGGCATGTGAAGCTGCGCTTCCCTGGGGCTCACTAGTGTTGATCGCCAGAGCAGATGTTTGCCCAGCCACCACTGTGCACTAGATCCCAGTGATCAGGGCAGCTGTGTGTTCTTGAGTCTATTTCTATTTCCAAATTTGTGACACATCATGTACTCTAAAACACAGGGCCAGGGGTAGTCTCCTGCCCAGGTCCGAGGGAGGTACTGCTAAGCACCTGCTAAGGGGCAGGCCCTTTTCTGGGAGGCATAAGAGGTGCTGGGAGCAGAGAAAACAAGACAATGCCCTTTTCCTCTGGATATTTACAAAGCCTGCCTTGCATTGGAGCCACTTGTGTCTGTGTGCACATTTTCCAATTCCTATGAGACCCTGGAGCAGAGACCATTTCGTTTTCATCATCTCACCTCCACAGGGTCCCTACCTCGGTGCCTTGCATGCAGTAGATGCTCAGTGAACAGGAGTTGATTTAGATGGTTACGAAACACCAACTGTCTAAGAGTTCTTAGGATTTGACCTTTAATCACAACACTCCCTCCCTAACAGGGAGTTCCCCTTCCTTGAAATAAAACTACCTCATCTGCGAATTCAATTGTGCATTCATTTTAGAAAAAGATAAGAATTTATCTCTATTTATATTCTGAGTCTCTTACTGGGGGCAATTGGCGGGAATAGGGGATCAGGGAAACTGGGAATCTAAAAGGCAGAAAAATAGAATGGCAGAAAAGAAGCAGAAAGTTTTGCAACGAAGACTCAGGAAAGTTTAAGGAAAATGAGGGGTAGTAAACTCAGGTCTTAAAAGTGCACTTCAGGGGCCTCTGTGAGGGGAAGGGATTGTTGGTAGAGTGAGGGAAGAGGTGGACCCTTGAGGAGTAGACTGTGGTCAGGGTGGAGCTGGGGGTCATACAATTGAAAGGCATTGAATATTAGGATAGAAGCCCATAAAAGGAAAGCAAAATGTCTCTAGGTGTGTGTACCACCTGCAACACAAAACAAACCTGAAAGGTTTGGGGAAGAGGATCCTGGGAAGTTTCTGGAGAACAAAAGGTGTTTAAAATTATCATTAAATATAAACATATTAAACATTACTATGTGCCATTACAGTGATAAGTGCCTCATGTATATTAACTTATTTAATCAACACAATAACCCTGTGAGGTAGGCACTGTCGCCATCGCCATTTTCCAGGTGAAGAAACTGAAGCAGAGAGGTTAAGTAACTTAACCAAGACTATTCAGAGTCAGTAGGGGTGAGATTTGAACTTAGATATTCTGGGCCCACAGCCCATTCTTTTAACCTCAAAGCTGCAATGTGTATCCATCATGATAACATAATATATGTAAAATATCTTTGTTGTTTTTCTATGGTTAGCTGCTATTTTCTTAGTGAGAAACCTATTTATGAGTTCTTTCAGTGTTCTTGCTTCAATACAGCTTTCGTTCTCTAATGCCTTAAGCTTCTCAAGTGAAAATATTACCATGAAGGTCTTCACCAGTACATACCCCTTTGAATAGAGAAAGGGATACTACACTCTGCATTATTTTTGTAACTCAAAGTAGCAAGCTGTTTCAAATTTTATTTTTGAAAAATCTTCATAAACTAGACATAAAAATTTACCTTTGAATTACTATAGATATTAAAATTCATTATACAAAGAAATGGAAAACAATAATATCCTAAAGACTCTATGGGAAACTGTGATAGAGATGGTTAGCTGTCAACCAAAGTCCTTATCCCCAGCCATTGCCATGCAGCTGTAGTGGGGAAGCACTTGCCTAGCCAGTGGCTAAGTTTTCCAGCCTGCCTTGCAGCTACATATGGCCATGTGACTAGTTCTCATCAACAGCATGTGAGCCATAGATTTCAAGAAATGGCACAGCTGAATACAGATGACTATCATGGCCCAGAGGATGGCAGAGAAACAGAGTGAAAGGGTCCCTGAATGACTGGATGGAGGACAGTCCCCTAGATAATTCGAGTTCCCACCCACAAATATAATTCCTTTGTCTTAAGCCATTGCCTATTTAGATCTACTTGTTAGAGCAGAATAATTGACCCTAAGTAACACAATACAGTTTTATTTGTTCACTAAGGCATTGTGAGATGTACAGCTTTCTATAGGAGGAACAGCATGACACAGACTAGAAGGCTTTGCTATCAGCCAGGCCTGTGTTTGAATCTCAGCTCCTCCATGATTGTGTGACTTTTGGCAAGCCGTACACACTTTAGTCATCATTAATACGGGGATGTAGTAGTCACTGTTGGGGCCTTGCCCTTTTCCTTTCACCTTACCACTACCTTGGTGCACATAAGCCAGATTTCCACGGCAGCACCTGTATCTGTCTGGCTTGCGACACTCAATTTGCTGAGTATATGGCCGGCTAGAAGTGGGCTCTGCTCGTAATCCTAAGCAGTCCTTAGCCAATGATGCAAGTTGCAGATGGTGTGCTGGAGGTGGCTTCCATCAACTTGAGAGCCTAGAGTGCATCCCTCTTCCAAACTCTAAGTTCAACGATGTCACATTGGTGCTTGAAATTGGCCATGGTGGGAGCATTTACACTACAGAAACTGGCAAATGTTACAAATCAGAGCTCTCCCATCTTCTTCCAGAGCTGGCTGCTAAAAACTGACCAACATACTACCTCTCTTGCCCTTTGGGTAGGACAACTCGGGTATGTTCTACAAAGGCTTCTGGATTTTATTTTCCAGCAGGGTTAGGCTGTAGTTGCCCACAGTAGTAGCCAGTTTGGAAAAACACCTTTACTGGCTGCCTTCTCTGTCTCACTTTCCCACTCCCATGCAGTGTTTCCTTCACCTCCTGAGTCAACTATTTGAATTGGAATCCCATCTGAAGGTCCCCTTTTGGAGGAACTCAAAGTAGGACAGGGGATAGCAATAAATAAAGTTGAAATTCTCTAAAATGCATAGAATTTAGTAGATTCCTTGCAAATATTAGCTCTTCTCTAGCTGAAATAATATATGGCTGAAACAAACTCAACAGAGTTATTATAGGTTAACTAACCATAATAGGAGTTTAAATTATGCATTTAAAAGTCACTTGTCCTAAATATATGAATCACCTTCAATAACTTTTAACTTTCATTATTTTAAATAGTTTTATTATAATAAGTAAAAACTGTACATGTGAAAACTTAAGGTAAATCTCTAACATATCCAAAGAGACGAAGTTAACTCTGTAAGGTAGTCTTGTGAGATCTAGATGTCCAGGCTCCCTTATGCTGCTGGTAGGTATAGGCTTCTAAAAAATTTAAGATCTCTGACACTTTTTATTAATTGATTTTTTTTTTTTTGAGATGGAGTCTCACTCTGTCACCCAAGCTGGAATGCAGTGGTGGGATCTTGCAAGGCTCACTGCAATCTCTGCTTCCTGGGTTCAAGCTGTTCTCATGCCTCAGCCCCCCAAGTAGCTGGGATTACAAGCATGCGCCACCACACCCAGAGATGGGGTTTCACCATGTTGGCCAAACTGGTCTTGAACTCTTGATCTCAAGTGATCTGCTGCCTCGGCCTCCCAAAGTGCTGGGATTACAGAAATGAGCCACTGTGCCTGGCCTATTTATTGGTCTTGATTTTGTGTTAGCAACTCTCAGTTTTGTCTTGTGTATTTTAGATACTCATGCTGACCTCATATTTTATGTCACCTTTGAACTAGGATCCCAGTATTCCAGTAATAAATTGCAGTTTGGGACCCTTCAGAAAGCTCTCTCTGGAGCTCACCATAATAATGTTTCCTACAAAGATATCATGTCTCTGGATATTTTTCTTTAAAAAATCGTTCTTTGTGATGCCTTTATGGTGAAATTATAACATTTCTTATTTCAGTAGTAAATGTGGTCTTATAAGATACCACAAGTGAGGATGTTGTGGGAAAGCCAAATGATCAATTTCTGAAGAAAGGACAACATGGCTTAGCAGGAAAAGCACCAAAGAGTCAGGAGTTCCAGGCCAGGGCTACCCTTGTCTGTGTCACAGGTGGCAAGTCTCTCCATTACTTCTCTTCACTGGGTCTTAGTGTCTCCATTTTTCTAAGCCGGAATACTCAACTTGGTGATATTTAACATCTAGTCCGTCTCTAACAGTTTATGAAAGTCCGTCACATATAGACAAAGGCCCAAATTCAAATAATACCCATCATTTCCTGGTCCTGTCTTAACATTTCAAGAGCTATAAGGTAGTAGGAAAAGACTTCTGGTATGTTGTTTCCTTGGCACCATATTTGTCGTGTGAAAATCAGAAAGTAATACCTTCATCTGGGTTGGGGGAAGAGGCAACAAAGTATTGGTTTTTATCTTAGGAGAAACTACTGATTTTTTATTGTGGTTTACTTGTGATTTTTAAAAGTGTTTTCTCTTTCACTTACTAATAATCACACATGCAGATGAAAATGGTGACATTTATTTCCTGCCAGACTGAAAACACTTTAAAAAGTGGATAATGTCTGGTATTTGCTAAGGACAAAAGAAACAGTCACCATTGGTAGGAGTTTAATCTGTGTCCCTTGAAAGCAGATCCTGAGATGAGGAAACAGGAGTGAGGGAGGTGAAAACCAGGCCTGGGGGGCCTTATCCAGTTGATTTCCACCGTCATGGACGGTTGGGGCTCAGTCCCTCTGGGCCCATCTGGGGAGCTGTGTGGAAGGTGCCTCACATTATACACTGGAGAAATGGGAGAGGGTAGGGTAACATTTACCCTTCAGCTCCTGTCTTCAGTGGACAAGCTCTGGGCCAGGAGGTGTTACCCTTCCACGTTTCAAGCTTTGTGCCTGTGCAGAAGGCAATCGGCTTACCACTGGCACCTTCACCTGGGGCAGAAGTGAGCCATAACAGGGTGGGGCTAGAGAGAGATGCTGTGGGGCCACAGTGAGCTGCCGCCAGAGCAGAAGTAAAAGGTAGACCAAGAAGATGTGAGGTGCTAAGCTCAAAAAACAAACTGAAAACAACACATGAGATGAGAGAATCTTGGTTTTTGGTTTTAATTTAGTACTGCTCTGCACATCCTAAGACGATACTCATCATTGACTTCCATCTCAAATTACAAAGAAAAATAATTTCTAAGATGAAAAACTAAAAGTATCATTGCAGCAAAAGCTCTAAAACACAGGAAATCTCTGCAGAAAGCCTCCCCCTTCACAAATATTTATTGGCAATTGTGGGATCCATCTGTTGCTTCAGATGATTTAGTGGGCAGAGAATCTGCTGTGCCAACTGTAATAGAACATGGTAATCTGTGGAAGCTGAGACAGAAGCTCTTCACTCTGTTTCGTGGGCTACAGAGCAAGCCATATCCTATCCCAGTCTGAGAGAGGCAAAATAAACTAAGAATGATTTTTCTTTGAGGAGTGCTTCAAATGCTGGTAAAATCACAAGGCTATCTTCTTTATTTCTAAATAGATTAGTATAAAATCCATGAGTATTGTTGTTAGCTCATTAGTATATGTGAAAACATTGGGATGCCAACTCGTTTAAAGGGAAGAAACCATTGGGTTAGGCAAAGTAAGACCATGGAAATACAATTTTTCATGTTATTTTAAATCAATTTTGATATCTCAGAGGTTCCCTAAATTTTGTCTTAATGATTCACCTCCTCCATTAGAAGTAGGATATTGGCAAAATGAGTACAACCTAATTCCAGGAAGATTTAGGTTTTTAAAATTTGTTCAAATATTAACATGTTCAGGGGTGATATTCTATAGAAATGTTATTGGAAATAAAAAGCTTCTGAAATATAAGAACAATCCTAAGCTGATTTGTAAATGGCTATCTTTTTCTAAAAGCAGTTCTTTATCTTCCTGAAACAGCTAACTATATACCAGTACTTAGATTCTGAATTAATGGCTGAGGAGACCTAGGACATTTGCATTTTTCTATTCTCCAACTGCTTTGCAGGCTTGTTGGCTGGGACCAGTGCCCCTCCCTGCAGTTTCAGGCCCAGGCCCAGCTATTCCTATTCATGTGTCAGATGCTAATCATCATCTGGTCTGGCAGAAGGAAGGGGCAGCTCCCAAACTGCCTGGCCCATCGCATACTGGAGCTGTCAGTCTCCTGAGAGGCTGAGCATCTGTTTAGAGTAGCCCCTGCTAACTCAGCTGATTTTTGACCTCTTCGCTTGTATTTCTTCCTTATTCCTTGGATGCTGTTTTCATCTTATTTGAAGGGAAGTATCTCAGCACTTGTCATCCTTCTCATATTAATTTAATCAAGGATGATAATATGAGCTTAGGTAACTGTCAAGAGGCCATTCTTAATAAGAGGATGGCATAAAATTACAATGGGTTGGGTTCTCTCTGAAAGTCTGCAGTTGCCCTTATATACATAGGGAAGTTATTAACATTATTGGATTCACTGCCTTCCTTGACAATGTACACCAAAAAGTCTGGGCTGCTCTGTGAGCTTATTCATATCGCAAAGATTTTAATTCTTTTTATTGCCATTGCAATATTTAATATTCCTTTTATTCTTACTTGCTTCTTCTGTACTTTGCCCAAAATGAGTTGATTATTTTTGAAGGGAGGAGGACTACTCAATAATCCAGAAAACAAAATAAACGTATCAAATTTATTGATGGAAAGACTAAAATTAGAGATGAATTCCTTCCCGAGAATGAGTAATCTAGAATTCAATTCAACTAGCATTTGCTGAGAACTCTTGTGTGTCAGGCATTTTGCATACTGTCACTCCATTTAATTCTCCCACAACTCTTCTTCAAGGTAGACATAATTCTTCTCATTTTACAGACTTGAAAATAGAACCTTAGATTTTAAAAATATTTTCCCAAATCACTTAGCTGGCAAATTGGTAGGATAGGCTTCTAATTCTAAATTCAGTATTTTGTCACTACACACTGCTGCTTCCAGGAATAAATATATCCTTTGTACTATAATCAGGCACTGCTTAATCAGTCAATAAATATTTATCAAGTGCCTATCAGGTACCATGCAGTTGAAGGTCTTTTGGATAGCGATAGTGTAGTAATCACCCACAGTCTTCGACCAGTCCTATTTCAAGGAGTAGCATCAAATTTCCCAGCAGTTTGCTAGGGTTAGAACGTTAGTTGGTGGCAAAAGTGAATTTCTCTGAATGATCCTGAATAACTCAAACAGGGACCACAACTGCCATCTCTCCTCATTAGAATTATGTTTTAACGGGGCACTGGAGTTTCAACACAGATTTTTACCTATTTCACTAGAATTATTCAACATGTATAGTGTGTATTCAGGGTACTCAAATACTGATATAATACTTTCAGTTTTATATTTTCTCAGCTTTGCAAACTAAGTTCTTCACATCCACCTTCTTAGTAAATCTGTTTCAAAGTTTGGCTCCATCCTTTCCTCCTCCTTCTTCTAAAAATACTTGCATGGATAAGGAAGGAAAAAAAAATCTAACAAAGGTGCCAAGAAAACACTGCTTTATAAAGGCCTCGTAACTGAAGGAATGTTAATCAAACTTTCTCCCTAAATTAAATTTTGGGCTGACTCCAATATGGAGAGCTCCAGCTGCAAAGGATATAATCCCAGAAATTGTGAATACCTGAAAACAGGCAAGGATTTTACTTATTCTTTGTCTTTGATGCTAATCTTTCCTATTAGTTTCCAGTAGGGCTGATACAAGTCCTTCGGAGATGGACAAATGGTCAAAACTGAAAAAATATGGGAACAAAATGAGCTCATAAAAAAGCATTGTTTCATCATTAGTGAACAGTAGCAGATGAAAATCTCATTGTTCTTCAACTCTTAATTTTGGGAAAATCCTTGGTGAAATGTCACCTCTTCTTCCCCATGTGTCTCCTTTCACTGAGTAATTAAAAATTTAATTGAACTCAAAAGGACAGAATAGGCCTTCAGCATTTTACACTTGAAGTACAATCAGTATCTAACTTGTTTAAATGCATGGTGAAATGCAGAGATATACAATAGCACTTGGCATATGTTTTTTAAATCATTTTCCCCTCAGATACTTAACATGTTACTGAATTAGAAATTACATCATAAAATAGTGGTTCTAGCCAGATGACCCAAAAGCCAAGTCAGTACATCCCAAGTCTGGCTTTTCTTGAAATGATGATGAATCAACTTTACAGCACTTGAAAACCCACCATCAGAATCCATGTACAATTCTGTCTTTTCCTCCAGGGTCCCAGGGGGAAAAAAAGGGATAATGCAAATACAGCATCCCTGTCTTGTGCCAGTTTTCAAAGGGAATGCTTCCAGTTTTTGCCCATTCAGTATGATATTGGCTGTGGGTTTGTCATAGATAGCTCTTATTATTTTGAAATACGTCCCATCAATACCTAATTTATTGAGAGTTTTTAGCATGAAGGGTTGTTGAATTTTGTCAAAGGCTTTTTCTGCATCTATTGAGATAATCGTGTGGTTTTTGTCTTTGGCTCTGTTTATATGCTGGATTACATTTATTGATTTGCGTATATTGAACCAGCCTTGCATCCCAGGGATGAAGCCCACTTGATCATGGTGGATAAGCTTTTTGATGTGCTGCTGGATTCGTTTTGCCAGTATTTTATTGAGGATTTTTGCATCAATGTTCATCAAGGATATTGGTCTAAAATTCTCTTTTTTTTGTTGTGTCTCTGCCTGGCTTTGGTATCAGAATGATGCTGCCCTCATAAAATGAGTTAGGGAGGATTCCCTCTTTTTCTATTGATTGGAATAGTTTCAGAAGGAATGGTACCAGTTCCTCCTTGTACCTCTGGTAGAATTTGGCTGTGAATCCATCTGGTCCTGGACTCTTTTTGGTTGGTAAGCTATTGATTATTGCCACAATTTCAGCTCCTGTTATTGGTCTATTCAGAGATTCAACTTCTTCCTGGTTTAGTCTTGGGAGAGTGTATGTGTCCAGGAAGGATTGGTGACTTGATTCCAGGACAGGAGAGGAAGTGAGAAGCTTAAGATGGTGTTTGGTTTATTAGTTCAATAAGGAAAAGTGCAGCTCCTAAAGGTGGCAGATAGCAAGTTCTAGCAGTGGAGAGTGAAACAGGTAGATTTGGTAGAAAAGGAAAAGGACAATTAGTGAGGTATCTTAGGATCAAGGTATGTCCCTCCTAGCTCCTTAACCAGCCACCCGTCGGGCCATGGCAGGCATACCAGGGATCTGGAGCTGCAAGATCTCCCCACAGTCCCACAGCAGAATTTAGAGCAGCGCAGCACATTGCAGTGGAGAATTGTATCACAGAACACGAAATTGGAATTGCAATCATTATTTTCTCCAAAAGTGTTAAACATATGTTTGGTTCTATAGAAATATTGGCCTTCCACTATATAATCAAGTTTAAACAGGTTTGCTGTTATAAGGTTTTCTAAACTGCAGGTTTAAGCCAGTATTTTTTTTAAGAAAAGAAGAAAAGAAATACAATAGAAAGTATCAGAGTGCATTGTCTGAAGTAAGGACAATGTGATTCTTTTGTTTCATGTGTGTGTGTGTGTGTGTACATGCGTGCATGTGTGCATAGTTATGGTGTAAAGTGTATTCCTTACTGCAGGTTGCAGTAAAAAAGGATTCAAGATCATTGGGTTGGGGGCTGCAGAATGGAATCAGTGTTTACACATTTCAGTTCTAGATGTTGAAGCAGGCCCACATAGCAAAAATCAATTCATTGGCAGTGAGTTTGCCACAAGCCAGTTTAGCAAAAATCAATTCCACAAACTGATTTGCTGAGGCATCAATTTATCACATTAAGTGGAGACTTTCCCCACATTTTAGTTTCCTTAAAGCTTTATTATAGCACTGTAGCTAGAGATTTGTTAGACTCCTCAAATGTCTATCAATCTGGGCTACCAATCTCACAGTTTAGACACCTGTGTCCCTTTCTGCTCCTGGCTATGTGGATGTCTCTTGGGGTGACACTGCTACAAATGAATTTTCTGACAAATTTTAGCAAATTTGTCATTTGGCAAATTATTTGATAAATGGACTGTTAAACAGACCTATTGCCTGCTCATATTCTCTTTCCTTTGGAATTATTTCCCAATCATTTTCATTCATAGTGACTCTTTTCTAATCCCGTTCACATTCTCTCTCTGAACTGCACTGTCCATTGTGGTATGCTGTGCTATTCGCCAATTATGGATGCTACATAATGATCATGTTTATGATGTAGTTCATGAAAATGATAGCCCTGTACAAATAAAGTGCTAAATTCTACAGTTACACGATTAGAAAACAATGTAGTATATGATGCGCTGATTGCATGAGATTGTCAATTTGTGTGATATGTTAGTTTATTTTTCTCTAAATATATCCTATTCTCCCAATAAACTGACTTGAGACTTCAACCATCTCAGCATCTCTCCTCCACATTCAAGCACTAAATCTTTTCTGTGTTTCCTAAGAAACTCCTTTCAATTCCATTTTTCCCCATTCCATCCTTTTACCAAAGTTTAGTTGTTCCTGGATTATTCAGATAGTTTACTCATTTGTTGTCTCAATTCCTCTCCCCTCCCCTCTTGTTCTTCCTCCTTCTCCTTTTAAAAAGTTTTATCAATAAAAGTAGTTTAAGAACTCAAATGGTTCTGTAAGTTTTGATATAAAAAGTAGTGGTCTTCTGCTTCCCTTCCCACATTCCCACCTCACACCCCTACCAAAGAGATGACTGCTGTCATCTGCTCTCCTTTGGCTGCTTATTTTTAATGTTTATTTTTACGTATCTATTAATGTACAGTGTTACCACTTATTATTTCATTCCAGTAATTCTCTGTTGTCTTCTCACTAGAGTAGAAGAGGATCTAGTCCCCTTTCCTCCCTCCCTCCTTCCCTCCCTCCCTCCTCAAGATATTACCCCCATCCTCCCAGTAGAATTAAATTGTAATTTGAGTTGCATAAGGGATCAGTGTTTACATGTTTATGGCCACTATTCATCCATCAAAACAATTTTTTTCCCTAAAGTGTTAGCTGCGATATTGCTGTTTTCAATTTCTAAATGTCTTCATCCAGTTCTGCTCCTCTGTGGTTATTAATTCACTCCGTAGAAGCCAGGGTTTATTCCTAAACCCTCTATACACAGCAGGAGTTTTGTTCTTGGGAATGTGTATTTATCAAGATTACCCCTGTATCATAACATATCCTTTCCAATATTCATGACTGGCACTTTACACTGTTCTAAAGTGTCAAGTAAGTTAGTGACTTCATCTGTGCATTTGTACACTCAGAATTCCCAGGTGGTCTGTATCTGTAAATGTCCTTCTTTGTCCATTGGTGAAACCTATGGGGTGCTTTGCAAATCACAATGGCCCTGCCATCAGACAACCCCTTGAATGTGCTCTTCTTGGCCCTTCCATAAACCTGGAACAACTGCTCTCCACAACATGCCTCGGTGGCTACCTTCTGAAAATCTCGGCTTGTGTTCACACTGGCTCCCTATCCAAACTTCTTCAGACCCTTTTGCAGCTCCTCTGATGGGAGATGGAAAATTTGAGGAAGGTTATCTTGGACTGAAATGTGTGGGATTCTCAGGCAGGCTAGTAATTCAGCACTTTCCCAACAGGTATTATCTAAATATTTGGTCAATGCTCATCTAGTGAGCGTGTAAAAAAAAAAAAATCAATGTTATACTAATAAAAACTGAATACCTCAATTTATTTTCAAAATACTAGAAGGGCATTCATAAGTGGTATAAGGCAAGTGATTTATTATGGGCATAAATAGCATGTCTTTTGTTTAGAGTGTTGTCATGTCATGTCAGTTTTCTGTCACTGTTACCTGAAGAGCCTTGGCCACTCCCATTCACCAAAGATAGAGGTGACTTGCATTGACACTGTTACTCTGTTCAAAATAGGCAGAGGGAGCCTCTCCAAACACCATGATTTTTATGTGAGCAAAATGTTACTCACTTTTTTTCAGTTTTTTGGAAAGTATTTTTACCATTTTTTAAAAACATAATTTCTTGAGATATATATTGGATAGTTTAAAATTTTAGAAAACAACAAAGTCTCTCATTCCGGGTAAATCCACTCACCACACTTTACTTTGCTTTCAGAATTTTAGCTGACAATCACAAATGGTACCAGGCAACAGCTGGCCACTAGTCTCAGGATTGGTGGCATAGCCTTTGTGGTAGCACCAGGGAACCTGTGCTCCACAAGACACAAAAATAGTCAATAGAGATAACCTAGTGCCAAAAAACAGGTAAGGGACTGTTTGTTTGAAATTAAAATGTACACTCTGTGGGCGATCGAAATCAAATTTACATTTTGCCAGTTATGAAAGGAGTTGTATGTGGAAAACACATATACACACATATATATGTTTATGTCTCTCACAATATTATTTGCATAAAGTAAATATATATGTACATAGCAATATCATGATTTGTGCTCTTGTCTCTGTGTGCATTATATATATATATAAATTTTTTTTTTTGAGACAGAGTCTCTCTCTGTCACCCAGGCTGGAGTGCAGTGCCATGATCTCAGCTCACGGCAACCTCTGTCTCCTGGGTTCAAGCGATTCTCGTCCCTCAGCCTCCTGAGCAACTGGGATTACAGACGAGCACCACCATGACTGGGTAATTTTTGTATTTTTAGTAGAGGTGGGGTTTTGCCATGTTGCCCAGCCTGGTCTCAAACTCCTGGCCTCAAGCGATCTGCCCACCTTGGCCTCCCAAAGTGCTGGGATTACAGTCATGAGCCACCATGCCTGGCCATATATACATATAATTTTAATATATTCCAAAAAAGTCTATTATTAAGGCATTCACTGACTTTCAGTTTGAGCAGTTCAAATGGAATGATCAGAGACACAGCAATTGTCCCGAAGTTCTCAAGAGGTTTAACAAAATTCTATGTCTAAGATTTTAAAAAATTAAAAGTAAAAAAAACAATGCCAAGAGAAGGGACCTGGTTTAAGAACAGACTTTGAGGAAGAAGGAAGAACTGCCACCATCGCAGAAAGGGTTGTTCAAGAGTGTTGCCTCAGCCAGCTCTAGCAAGGGGACCTTTGGGTCTATGTCAATCCTGGAAAGAAAATGGCCAGAATATCTCTACAAAGAAGAAAAGGCGGTTTTTAAATACAATTATTACAGGGACTTTGATTTAAATCAACTGTAAAAAACACATGTGGTTAAAAAATAAAATATGTTATAAATCAAAATATATGCACCCAAACTATCTTGAAAAAGAAGAAAAATGTAGAAGACTCACACTTTCTGATTTCAAATCTTACAATCTTTCAAAGCAGTAATTAAGACAGGGTGGTACTGGCATAAAAACAGACATATAGATCAGTAGAATTGGGAATCCAGAAATAAACCTATATCTGACACTAAAGCCACAAGCAACAACAACAAAATAGACAAATTAGACTTCATCAAAATTTTAATAATTTGTGTTTCAAAGGACACTATTTGGAGATTGAAAAGACAATCCTGATAAAAGACTTCTATCTAGAATATACGAAGAATTCTTACAACTCAATAATAAAAAGATACAAACTCAATTTATAAATGGGCAAAAGATTGAAATGGACATTTTTCCAAAGAAGATGTACAAATGGAAATGAGCATGTGAAAAGATGCCCGACATTGTTACCTATCAGGCAAATACAAACCAAAAGCACAATGCAATACCATTCCATACCCACTATGATGGCTAGAAAAAAATGGACAGATAGTAAGTGTCCATCTCAGTGAGATTGTAAAGAAATTGCTGGTGTAAATCATCTAGCCCCTTTGGAAAACAGTTTGATGATTACTCAAATTATTAAATATAGAGTTACCATATGGCCCAGAAATTCCACTCCTAGGTATACACCCATGAGAATTGAAAACATATGCCTACACAAAAACTCGTATATGAATATTAATAGAAGCATTATTCATAATAGTCCAAAGGTAAAACAACTCAAATGTCCATTAACTGATGAATGGATAAAGTAAAATATGATAAATATATACAATAAAATATTATTCAGCCATAAAAAGGAATGAAGTACTAATAAATGCTATAACATGGATTAACCTTGAAAACTTGCTAAGTGAAAGGAGACAGACAGAAAAGACCACATGATATATGATTCCACTGATATGAAATGTCCAGAATAAGCAAATCCATAGAGCCAGAAAGCAGATTAGTGGTTGCCAGAGTTTAGGCAGAGGGGGGAATGGGGAGTGGCTCCTTAGTGAACACAAGGGTTTTTTTTTGCAATGATATAAATATTGTAAAATTGATTGTGGTGATGGTTGTGCAATTCTGGGAATACTGAATTACACACTTTTTAATTTTTTTTTTTTTTTTTTTTTTTGAGACGGAGTCTTGCTCTGTCGCCCAGGCTGGAGTGCAGTGGCGCGATCTCGGCTCACTGCAAGCTCCGCCTCCCGGGTTCACGCCATTCTCCTGCCTCAGCCTCCCGCGTAGCTGGGACTACAGGCGCCCGCTACCACGCCCGGCTAATTTTTTGTGTTTTTTAGTAGAGACGGGGTTTCACCGTGTTAGCCAGGATGGTCTCGATCTCCTGACCTCGTGATCCACCCACCTCAGCCTCCCAAAGTGCTGGGATTACAGGCGTGAGCCACCGCGCCCGGCCACTTTTTAATTTAATTTAATTAAACTGTACTGAATTGTATACTTTTTAATTTAACTTAATTTAATTTTGGAAACAGGGTCTCACTCTGTCTAGAGTCTGGGTCTCACCCAGGCTAGAGTGCAGTGGCTCGATCATAGCTCACGGCAACCTTGACCTCCTGGGGTCAAAGGATCTTCCCTCCCTAGCCTCCTGAATATCTGGGACTACAGGCACCCACCACCATACCTGGCTAATTTTTTTTTTTTTTTTTAAAGATGGCAGCTTGCTCTTTTGCCCAGGGTGGTCTCAAACTCCTGGGCTCAAGTGAGCCTCATACCTTGGCCTCCCAAAGTGCTGGGATTACAGGTGAGCATGCCTGGCCTGAACTGTACACTTTAAATGAGTGAATTAGGTAGTATGTAAATGATATCTTCATGAAGCTGCTACAAAAAATACAGGCAAAACAATAATATGCATTTTGTAAGAACATGGAAATGTCACCGTACATATTAAACACGGCAGAATGGCTGTCCATGAGGAAAGGGGGAACAGTGAGTGACACATGGGGATAAAAGGGAATAAGTAAATGAATACATAGAGAAACAAGGGCTCTTCCACCGTCTGAGGACTGTGTGGTGAGCTGAGGTGCATGATTAGCTCAGCTCTTGACACCTGTATTTAAAAAGCGAGGAAATAAATTTAAAACATTGAGTTCAATGTCACCATATTGTCAATATTTCAAATGATAGGTATTTTAGGTTCCCCAGAAACTGATTCTCTGATGTACCCCTTAATCTGCTCTCAGTTTTCATCTCTGTTTTTCTTCCTCCCATCTCCTGTTCTCAGGAAGGTGTGCAAGGTGCTCTCTGCATTTTGGTTTTTCAAGCGTAGCTTGTTTACCCCAATCATTCTTCAATTCATGATCTTAATTCGCTATCTGAAAGACGTGTAAATACCCAATAGTTTTGACCTACAAGTTTGGCCATAACATTGGAGCAAGGGAACACTCTTGCCAAACTGTTGTGAGGCTGCTGTGTTTGCCTCTTTCAGTGTTTCTTGGTTAAATAATGAAACTTTCACATACACAGTTTTGCTCTGCAATGATTTCTCTTCTGAAAGCATTATTTTTGTTTTTGAGACAGGGTCTTACTCTGTCACCCAGGCTGGAGTGTGAAGGCACAATCTCTGCTTACTGCAACCTCAACCTCCTGGATTCAAGCGATCCTCCCCACTCAACCTCCCAAGTAGTTGGGAATATAGGCACATGCCACCACGCCCAGCTAATTTTTGTATTTTTTGTAGAGACAGGGTTTCATCATGTTGCCCGGCCTGGTCTCAAACTCCTGAGATCAAGAGATCTGCCTGCCTCAGCCTCCCAAAGTGCTGGGATTATAGTCCTGAACCACCGTGCCCGGCCACATTATGTTTACTTAGTGTTTATATTACTGATTTGACCACTGGTCATCCATTTCTTCTGTCGCTTTTGTGTTGCTTTTCTATGTTGCAATTTATGTTTTAATGTACTTAAGCATTTCTTCCTGACCAAATTACAAACTAAGGGCAAAACCTATACCTTATGCTTTTTAATATTCTACTCAGCTGGGTGTGGTGGCTCACGCCTGTAATCCCAGCACTTTGGGAGGCCAAGGCGGGGGGACCACCTGAGGTCGGGAGTTCGAGACCAGCCTGACCAACATGGAGAAACCCCATCTCTACTAAAAATACAAAAAATTAGCTGGGCGTGGTGGCGCATGCCTATAATCCCAGTTACTCAGGAGGCTGAAGCAGGAGAATCGCTTGAACCCGGGAGGCCGAAGTTGCGGTGAGCTGAGATCATGCCATGGCACTCCAGCCTGGGCAACAAGAGTGAAACTCCATCTCAAAAAAAAAAAAAAAATATATATATATATATATATATACACACACATATATATATACACACACACATATATATATACACACATATATATATACACACACACATATATATATATACACATATATATATATACACATATATATATATATATACACACACACACATATATATATTCTCCTCGGTAACTGTCATGATTCTTTTCATATACGGTAGTTCCTTCTCATCTGCGCTTTTGCTTTCTGTGTGTGTGTTTTTTTAATCCACAGTAAACTGCAGTCCAAAAATATTAAATGAAAAATACCAGAAACCATTCACAGGTTTTCACTTGCATACCATTCTGAGTATCACAATGAAATCTCAAGCTGTCCTGCTCTATCTTATGTGGGATGTTTGACCTGTAGAGGCCCACCTGTTAGTCATTTAGGAGCTGTTTCACTGATCAGATCTGCTGTTTCAGTATTACAGTGCTTCTTGTGTTCAAGTCACCTTTATTTTACTTCATAATGGCCCCAAAGCTCAAGAGCAGTAACGCTGATATATTCCTATAATTGCTCTATTTTATTATTAGTTATTGTTGTTAATCTCTTACTGTGCCTGATTTATAAGTTAAACTTTATCATAGGTATGTATGTATACGAAAAGGCAGTATATACTGCATAGGGTACTATTTGGTACTATCCATGGTTTCAGGCATTTACTGGGGGTCTTGAAATGCATCCCTCAAGGATATGGGGGGACTACTGCAACAGGGATTGAAAACACAGATTGATAAATTGATTGATTGACAGTTCATGGATTTATCAAACCATCTTGGAGGCTCAAAATACTTTTGTAAAAAAGGCCTCAGCAAATACTTTTCATTTAGTATAATGTGATTCGTTTTTAAAAAAATCAGCGTATTGACCTTTTAGAATTACATAATTTTAACTCATATTTTTTTTTTTTTTTTTTTGGAGATGGAGTTTTGCTCTTCTTGCCCAGGCTGGAGTGCAATGGCACAGTCTTGGCTCACCGCAACCTCCACCTCCCAGGTTCAAGCGATTCTCCTGCCTCATCCTCCCGAGTAGCTGGGATTAAAGGCATGCGCCACCACGCCTAGCTAATTTTGTATTTTTAGTAGAGACCATGTTTCTCCATGTCGGTCAGGCTGGTCTCGAACCCTTGACCTGAGGTGATCCGCCCGCCTCAGCCTCGCAAAGTGCTGGGATTACAGGCAAGAGCCACTGTGCCTGGCCAGCTCATTTACTTTTGAACGTTTTTACCTGACTTGAAAACAAGTGACTTGTTATGATGTGCAATGTAACAACCAAATATTTATCTTGCCACCTCCTTGGGTTCTATATTAATCTATTTGTGGTGCTACAACAACATACCTAAAACTAGGTAATTTATAAAGAATAGGAATGTATTTTCTCACAGTTCTGGAGACTGGGAAGTTCAAGATAAAGATGCCAGCATCTGGTAGGGGCCTTTTTGCCGCATCCTTCTATGCAGAAGGCAAGAGAGGGCTGAATGCTGTGTGAAGCCTCTTTTATAAGCACCTTAATCCCATTCTTGAGGGAGGATCTATCACCTCTTAAAGGCCCCACCCCTTTTTAAAACAGGTTTTTGGGGAACACGTGGCGTTTGGTTACACGGATAAGTTCTTTAGTGGTGATTTCTGAGATTTTGGTACACCCATCACCCCAGCAGTGTACACTGTACCCAATGTGTAGTCTTTTATCCCGTGCCCCCTTCCCACCCTTCTCCACTAAGTACCCAAAGTCCATTGTGTCACTCTTAGGCCTTTGCATATTCATAGCTTAGGTCCCACTTATAAGTGAGAACATACGATGTTTTGTCTTCCATTCTTGAGTTACTTCACTTAGAAAAATGGTCTCAATTCCATCCAGGTTGCTGTGAATGCCATTATTTCTTTCCTTTTTATGGCTGAATAGTATTCCATGGTGTGTGTGTGTGTGTGTGTGTGTACACACATATATATATACACACACACATATATATACACACATAAATGTGGTATGTGTATATATGTATACATATATACACACATAAATGTGGTGTGTGTATACATATACTATATATGTATATACACATATATGTTGACTTTATCCATTCATTGACTAATGGGCATTTGGGCTGATTCCATATTTTTGCAATTGCAAATTGTGCTGCTATAAACATGCGTGTGCAAGTATCTTTTTTGTATAATGACTTCTTTTCTTCTGGGTAGATAACCAGTAGTGGGATTGCTGGATCAAATGGCAGATCTACTTTTAGTTCTTTAAGGAATCTCTGCACTGTTTTCCGTAGTGGTTGTACTAGTTTACATTCCCACCAGCAGTGTAAAGGTGTTCCCTTTTCACCACATACTATTTTTTTATTTTTAAATTATGGTAAAGGCCCCACGTCTTAATTCTGTTACATTGGCAACACTTGAATTTTGGAGGAGACACATTCAAACCATAGCAGGTATTGCATAGAATATCATAGAAAGACAGTTTCTGCCTGCAACAAGTTTGCTAAAACCAGTTCATAAAAATAGCCCTTTGGTAAGATTACATAGACTTAAAATTAATTGGTTTAAAGCTATACCCACTGGTACAACTAAATTTATTTCTGAAACATAAATGTTCATATTCTTACATGACCTTTATTTGCAAAGATATCTGTAGCATTGGCTGGGAAAAGTATTTCAGCAATTTTCTTTTAGTAACTGCATTTTATCAAACATAACAAAGACAGTCCTGAGGCTGTACGGTCTCTTTTAAAAAAGGGTTCATGTAGCATATTCAGAAGGTCACAGTTCGAAATTCCACTGATGTTGGCCAGTTGCTGTGGCTCATGCCTGTAATCCCAGTACTTTGGGAGGCCGAGGCGGGTGGATCACCTGAGGTCAGGAGTTCAAGACCAGCCTGGTCAACATGGTGAAACCCTATTTCTACTAAAAATATAAAAATTATTTGGGCATGGTGTCACACACCTGTAGTCCCAGCTACTCGGGAGGCTGAGGCAGGAGAATCGCTTGAAACTGGGAGGCAGAGGTTGCAGTGAGCTGAGAGTGCGCCACTGCATTCTAGCCTGGGGGACAGACCAAGACTCCATCTCAAAAAAGAAAGAAAACAAAATTCCACTGATGTCTTACATTCTAGTCTTGTGACAAAGAGTGGAAGAGTGTGAATGAACATTTCAGTGGTAGGCTTCAGCTCTGTAGTATTACTCAATTACTTGGATGTTTGCTGCTTCAGACTAGAATCTGAGTCTTGAAACCAGTGAGAAAACTTAGCAACCTTTAGTAGTCTTTCCTAGTCACCTGGTAGGTTTAAAATTATGGATTGCTTTAAAGAGCCCTTTAGCTCCCTAATTGATAGCTGAGCCAGTGCAAGATGCCCAACAGATTATGACATGTTCAGGGCACCAGCAAAGCAGGGGCACCCCCACCCTAAAAATAAACAAGTTAGCTTTGACAGATTTGTTCAGAACTTTGCACAAAAAATGTTGGAAGAAACTCTATTGATTTCAGCATGCATGGAAATTTTGCATCATAATAAAATGTTGAATTACCACTGGTGGGATGGTAGGACTCCATCATCTTTTCAATGTTTAGGGCCTCCCAAGGGTCTGGCTACAAGAAGCCACACACTATATGTATAAAGTCACATGAAAATTCTTTAGCTCTCAATACACAAGTTGAATCCAATTTTTGCAGGTATTATCTAAAATTAAGATAATGTTTTAGAGGCTGAAAGGAACTATGAGAAGTATACATGTGGAGAACTTTTCCTACCAGAAAGAAATCAATTGGAATTAGGGCCCAGATGTTTCTGAAAGCTGAACAACCACTTCTGTCTTTATTCAAGAACTGCCTCCTACATGGATTTTTGGGGGATAAATTACTGACCTCTTTTGTTCCTTTATAGCCTTTAAATCCATTTCTACACCCCTCACACCCCACCACCAAAAAATACAGGAAATCCTCTTCTTTTGTGTTTACCCTGCTCCATAATCAGCTAAAAGGTTTTGTTTGTACATTTTTTTGTTTTCATTTTCTTCATAATTTTATAGATATTTCATATCACAACGAAAGTTAAGAAAAATTAAGTTTTCTACTTTTTAAATTACTTTTTAAAGAATGCTTTTCTTGGCCAGGTGCAGTGGCTCACGCCTGTAATCCCAGCACTTTGGGAGGCCGAGGTAGGTGGATCACTTGAAGTCAGGAGTTTGAGACCGGCCTGGCCAACATGGTGAAACTGTGTCTCTACTAAAAATATAAAAATCACCCAGGCGTGGTGGTGCACACCTGTAATGCCAGCTACTCAGGAGGCTGAGGCATGAGAATCGCTTGAATCCAGGAGGTGGAGGTTGCAGTGAGCCGAGATCGTGCCATTGCACTCCTGCCTGGGTGACAAAGTGAGTCTCCGTCTCAAAAAAAAAGAAAAAAAAAAAGCTTTTCTCATATGTGCTTAAGGAAATGTACATTTAGTTGACTACTTGAAACAAAATTTTAGGAACACAGAAATAAATGAAACATTTTTTGTTTTTTGAGATGGAGTCTTGCTCTATCATCCAGGCTGGAGTGCAGTGGCACAATCTCAGCTCAGGCAACCTCCGTCTCCCGAGTTCAAGTGATTCTCCTGCCTCAGCCTCCCGAGTAGCTGGGACTACAGGTGTGTACCACCAAGCCCAGCTAAGTTTTGTAATTTTAGTAGAGATGGTGTTTCACTATGTTGGCCAGGATAGTCTTGATCTCTTGATCTCTTGACCTCGTGATTCACCCGCCTCAGCCTTACAAAGTGTGGGATTACAGGCGTGAGCCATGGTACCTGGCCAATATTTTATTTTTAATATTTTAAAATTATATAAAATTACAAAAAGTTGTGGCAGTAGTAGAGAGTTTGATACCAACTAGTTTTTATTTTATTTGATTTATCCAACTAGTTTTAATATGTGCTAATATTTTGCCACTCTTGCTTCAAAATTTTTTTGAATAAATAAAATAGATATGGATGAAGACCTCCCTTTCCTATTATCTATCCGATACCCAATGGTAATTGCCAGCCTGAAGTTGGTGTATATGCTTCTTGTCCACATCTTTTATGCTCTGACTATATTATGCTCCCAATACAAAATATTGCTTTATGATTTGTATATATTAATCTTGAAACATTGATTTTGAGATTTAATCACGTTGATGCAAGTAGTACTATCTCATATGTTTTAAGATTCTATAGTGTTTCACTGTGTAAATGCACTTAATTTATGTATTGATATATCAATTAAGATTTGAGTTATTTCCAGTTTTTCCCTAAAACAAAGGTTGCTACTGGGGAAGATCCTCAGATAGCTTTCCTATGATGATGCCCACAGGGACTCTAGCTCAGTTCCTAGAAGTAGAATTGCTAGTTTGTAGGGAATGAAAATTTATTTGACTAGATATTGCCAAGTTTTACAATTGACATTGGGGATGCTCATTTCTGTACACACTCCTCCATCAGACTTTAATTTTTCTGCCAGTCGTTGAAGTATCAAATAGTGTTTCATGTTGTTTTCATTTGCATTTCCCTGATTGCCGATGAGAAACAATCTTTTCACATACCATTCTTATGTGAACTATCTGTTCTTACTCTTTGCCTGTTTTTAAAAAATAGTTGTCTTCATGTTGATTTGTAGGATTTTAAGAAATTTATGCTAGGGATACTAGATTTTGAGAACTTTACATTGCATGTGTGTTCTCTTAGTATGTGATTTGTCTTTTAATTTTTTGTATGATGTCTCTTGTTGCCTAAACACTTAATTTTAGTGCAGTCAAATGTTTTATGTTTATTATTTATATTTATATATCTTTTTTTGTTGTTGTTTTTTGAGACAGAGTCTTGCTTTGTCACTCAGGCTGTAGTGCAGTGGTACAATCTCAGCTCACTGCAACTTTTGCTTCCCAGGTTCAAACGATTCTGGTGCCTCAGCCTCCCGAGTAGCTGGGATTACAGGCGCCCGCCATCACGCCTGGCTAATTTTTGTATTTTTAGTAGAGATGGGGTTCCGCCATGTTGGCCACGCTGGTCTCCAACCCCTGACCGCAAATGATCTGCCCGCCTTGGCCTCCCAAAGTGCTGGGATTACAGGCGTGAGCCACTGCGCCTGGCCCTATTTATACTTATATTTTTAATCAGCATAGATTTAAACGTGTAATATTGTGAGGTAAGCCCTAATTTATTGTTCCTGATTTAATACGGCCTAATTTACTGTTCCATATGGATTGCTAGTTAGAATAGTATACCCCTTCCTCCACTGATTGAGAGTTATCGTTACTGTGCTCTATAGAGACTGCAGTGGTTCTAACATTGTAACATATATCAGAATCACCTGAGGACTTGTTAAAAATGTAGATTTCTTGCCTCCACCCCAAGTTTTTGATTCAGTAGGTCTTGGGCTTGGGTGTGGTCTGAAAATTTGTTTCTCCAATAAATTCCCAGGGATGCTGATGCTGCTTGTCCTAGGACCACACTTTCAGAACCAGAGGAACCAACATGTTTTGTTAATATCTCTTGACATCAATGCCTTGAGGAAACTTAAATTTAAGCCTATTTTATAGATGAGGAACCTGGTGAGGCAATCAATTAGGTGATTTTCCAAGGTTTGTACTAACAAGTTAGAATTGGAGACTGCTGGCCGGGCACGGTGGTGCACACCTGTAATCCCAGAACTTTGGGAGGCTGAGGAGGGCAAATCACCAGGTCAGGAGTTCAAGACGAGCCTGAACAACATGGTGAAATCCCGTCTCTACTAAAAATACAAAAATTAGCCAGGCGTGGTTGCACACACTTGTAGTCCCAGCTATTCAGGAGGCTGAGGCAGGAGAATCACTTGAAACTGGGAGGCAGAGGTTGCAGTGAGCTGAGATGCACCACTGCACTTCAGCCTGGGCGACAAAGACAGACTCTGTCTCAAAATAAATAAATAAATAAATAAATAAATAAATAAATAAATAATTGAAGACTGCCGTAATTTCTTTACTTGGTTTTGTTTCCTACAACATGTAACTAGTATTAAATCATAACAAGATTTAAATTTTTTAAGAAAACACCAGTTTTTTCTTTACTTGAAAATTATATCTTTACGTATTTGGTTCTATCTCTTAAAAATAACTATTTCAAATGACGGTTGTCTGGCCTTAGGTAACATGACAAATAGAATGCATAAAATGAATACAAAGGTCGAATGTAAACATTATTGGAAAACAAATTGAAGTACTATGTTCATTAAATAGAAAAGGATAATAAACGGAAGTCTTATGGTCTATCTAAAGTCAAATAACTCAATCATAAAAGGATTAGTCATAGACTATGTGCTAAGTAAATCTTTATTTAACAACTACTTATCTTATTAAATCTCTTTGTTTTAGTCAGATACGTGGTAAGTGCGATATCATCATGGGCTCTTTCCCTAGGTCTTGCTACTCAGGAGGTGGCTTGAGGACTAGCTGTGTAGACATCACCTGTGAGCTCATCAAACTGCAGAATCTCGGGCCCCACCCCAGACCTCCTGAATCAGAATCTGCTTTTTAACATCCGCAGTTGGTTCAAATGCACATTAAAGTCTGAAAGTTCTGAGATTCTGCATTTCTAAGATGCTCTTAGGTGATGTCGATGCTGTGTTGAGGGTCCTCTTAACTACACTTAATGTGGCAGAACTCTGCCCTCCTCTCTACTCATTAAAACAAACAATATCTTTAAAGAATACTAACTTTGCTAAGTAGTTTAATAGTGAATCCCTTCAGTAAAGATTTATGGACACTACAGTGGATATTATCCCGAAGAGAGAAAAATAAAGACAAGACAGGCACAGCTCTCAGAGTGAAATAACAAGTTTGGTAGTCAGTGTTATAGAACAATGGTAATTGTATCTGATTGCTAAAAGAAAGTCCCAAAGAACAACACTAATCAGCTGAAATATAGTTATAACAAAGGAAGTCCAGAATTTGACTTCTATAGAACTGTTTTCCATTTGACAGAATATAAAGCAATGGAAAACAGATAAAATTATACATTATTTAGATGAAACCTATCACATTACATTGAGTACATCATTAGACTTGTAAAAGCAATTCTGCAGTTACTGTTTTGATTCAGAGGCTTTTGTATCTTAAGCTACACTAAGTACAGAAGCAATTGGTATGAAATATATACACTTTTTTTTTTTTTGAGACAAGGTTTTGCTCTATTGCCCAGGCTGGAGTGCTAGAGTGCAGTGGCATGATCTCTGCTCACTGCAGCCTCCACCTCCTGGGCTTAAGCAAGATACACATTTTAATAGAATGTGTATTTGAATCAAAGTGCCTTGAAGTTTTTCCAGCTTCAAATATAGGAGGAAACTTTTCAAGGTTTAGTTCCCATATCTCAGCGCTGATTTGTGCCACTCAAAATGAATAAAACATAGACTCTTGGTTTGAGTATAAACGTCCAACAGTCTTACAGTCTGGGTAGTTTGTGTTGTGACAAAGCATATTACTAATGCAACTGTTACCACATACAGTGGATTAAGACTGGATTAAAACCTGGATTCCACTTCAGAAAAGGCAAGTCTATTATCCATTCATTCATTCACTCATCTTTTTCTTCCCCTGGAGGTATCCAGGCTACATTTGTAATGAACTAGGTTTCCTGTTGATGCCAGAGCATAAGGCAGATTCTCTTTTTGTTTTGTTCTTTTTATGAGATAAAACACAAATTCCTGACAAGACGTATTATTTCCATAAACAACATTCCTTTCTTTTTCACCTTTTTTGGTTTCTGCAGGGTTTGAAATGCTCATGAGTGGGATAGTATTTCCTCCCTGAAAAGGCTTGGATAACATCAAGAGATAATTTTTTTTCTATATGTTGGTTAGCAAGAGAGAATTAGCTCATTAAGAAGAAAGTCTGTGAATATTTTTATTGTTAGGTGAGATTTTCATCCCTATTTCAAGGACATTCAAATTCCAATGGCTATCTAGTAAGTTGGGATAAATCCATCTATCCATCCATCCATTTTTAAAAATTGTTTTTTCTTTCATCCAACTATCCATCCAACAAGCGCCTACCACATACTTTTTAGGTACCAGGCACTGTGCTCAATACTGTTATGTAAATACAAAACTACTTCAGTCCTTGTTCTAAAGCAGTTTTCAGCTTAACAGGGGAGGCAAGTATTCAAAGCAACAATTACAATATAGTAAGATACATGCGATTATGCAGGTGTTATGGAAGCTAATGCATAGGCATCCTGATTACTTACTGATTAGCATGATAATACCTTGCCAGGCCTTCAGGTTTTAGATGAGCTAGATTCTAGCTCCAGACTGCCTAGGTTTAAATCCTACCCCTGATACTTGGTAATTGTGTAGCCGTGGACAAGTTAGGTGATCAGTCTGTACCTCAATTTCATCATCTGTGAAGTGGAGATAATAATTATACCTGTTGCATAAGGCTGATACCAAGGTAAAACAAGTTAATATATGTAAAGAACTGGAATTAGTAATATTTAGCAGTATTTACATACACTATGTAAATGTTAATTATAGAGGAGGTTCCAAGATGGCCAAATAGGAACAGCTCCAGTCTGCAGCTCCCAGCATGAGCGACGCAGAAGACTGGTGATTTCTGCATTTCCAACTGAGGTACCGGGTTCATCTCACTGGGGTTTGTCAGACAGTGCAGCCCACGGAGCAGGGCAGGGCATTGCCTCACCCAGGAAGTGCAAGGGATTGGGGAATTCCCTTTCCTGGTGAAGGGAAGCCGTGACAGACGGTACCTGGAAAATCAGGACACTCCCACCCTAATACTGCGCTTTTCCAATGGCCTTAGCAAATGGCACACCAGGAGATTATATCCCGCGCATGACTTGGAGGGTCCCACGCCCACGGAGCCTCGCTCACTGCTAGCACAGCAGTCTGAGATTGAACTGCAAGGTGGCAGTGAGGCTAGGGGAGGGGCGTCCACCATTGCTGAGGCATGAGTAGGTAAATAAAGCGGCTGGGAAGCTTGAACTGGGTGGAGCCCACCACAGCACAAGGATGCCTGCCTGCCTCTGTAGACTCCACCTCTGGGGGCAGGGCATAGCTGAACAAAAGGCAGCAGAAACTTCTGCAGACTTAAACGTCCTTGTCCGACAGCTTTGAAGAGAGTAGTGGTTCTCCCAGCACAGAGTTTGAGATCTGAGAAAGGACAGACTGCCTCCTCAAGTGGGTCCCTGACCCCTGAGTAGCCTAACTGGGAGAAGCCTCCCAGTAGGGGCCGACTGACACCTCATACAGCCTGTGCCCCTCTGAGATGAAGCTTCCAGAGGAAGGATCGGGCAGCAACATTCGCCATTCTGCAATATTTGCTGTTCGGCCACCTCGGCTGGTGATACCCAGGCAAACAGGGTCTGGAGTGGACCTCCAGCAAACTCCAACAGACCAGCAGCTGAGGGTCCTGATTGTTAAAAGGAAAACTAAGAAATAGAAAGGACACCCACACCAAAACCCCATCTGTACATCACCACCATCAAAGACCAAAGGTAGATAAAACCACAAAGATGGGGAGAAACCAGAGCAGAAAAGCTGAAAATTCTAAAAATCAGAGTGCCTCTTCTCCTCCAAAGGAACACAGCTCCTCACCAGCAACGGAACAAAGATGGACAGAGAATGACTTTGACGAGTTAAGAGAAGAAGGCTTCAGACGATCGGTAATAAGAAACTTCTCTGAGCTAAAGGAAGAGGTTCAAACCCATCACAAAGAAGCTAAAAACCTTGAAAAATGATTAGACAAATGGCTAGCTAGAATAAACAGTGGAGAGAAGTCCTTAAAGGACCTGATGGAGCTGAAAACCACGGCACAAGAACTACGTGACGTATGTACAAGCTTCAGTAGCTGATTTGATCAAGTGGAAGAAAGGGTATCAGTGATTGAAGATCAAATGAATGAAATGAAGTGAGAAGAGAAGTTTAGAGAAAAAAGAGTAAAAAGAAATGAACAAAGTCTCCAAGAAATACGGGACTATGTGAAAAGACCAAATCTACGTCTGATTGGCATACCTGAAAGTGACGGGGAGAATGCAAACAAGTTGGAAAACACTCTTCAGGATATTATCGCAGAGAACTTCCCCAACCTAGTGAGGCAGGCCAACATTCAAATTCAGGAAACACAGAGAATGCCACAAAGATACTCCTCGAGAAGAGCAACTCCAAGACACATAATTGTCAGATTCACCAAAGTTGAAATGAAGGAAAAAATGTTAAGGGCAGCCAGAAAGAAAGGTTGGGTTACCCAAAAAGGGAAGCCCATCAGACTAACATCAGATCTCTCAGCAGAAACTCTACAAGCCAGAAGAGAGTAGGGGCCAATATTCAACATTCTTAAAGAAAAGAATTTTCAACCCAGAATTTCATATCCAGCCAAACTAAGCTTCATAAGTGAAGGAGCAATAAAATCCTTTACAGACAAACAAATGCTGAGAGATTTTGTCACCACCAGGCCTGCCTTACAAGAGCTCCTGAAGGAAGCACTAAACATGGAAAGGAACAACCAGTACCAGCCACTGCAAAAACATGCCAAATTGTAAAGACCTTCAATGCTAGGAAGAAACTAACGAGCAAAACAACCAGCTAACATCATGACAGGATCAAATTCACACATAACAATATTAACCTTAAATGTAAATGGGCCAAATGCTCCAATTAAAAGACACAGACTGGCAAATTGGATAAAGAGTCAAGACCCATCAGTGTGCTGTATTCAGGAGACCCATCTCACGTGCAGAGACACACATAGACTCAAAATAAAGGGATGGAGGAAGATCTACCAAGCAAATGGAAAACCAAAAAAAAAAAAAAAAAAAAAAAGCAGGGGTAGCAATCCTAGTCTCTGATAAAACAGACTTTAAACCAACAAAGATCAAAAGAGACAGAGGAGGCCATTACATAATGGTAAAGGGATCAACTTAACAAGAAGAGCTAACTATCCTAAATATATATGCACCCAATACAGGAGCACCCAGATTCATAAAGCAAGTCCTTAGAGAACTACAAAGAGACTTAGACTCCCACACAATAATAATGGGAGATTTTAACACCCCACTGTCAACATTAGACAGACCCATGAGACAGAAAGTTAACAAAGACATCCAGGAATTGAACTCAGCTCTGCACCAAGTGGACCTAATAGACATCTACAGAACTCTCCACCCCAAATCAACAGAATATACATTCTTCTCAGCACCACACCACACTTATTCCAAAATTGACCACATAGTTGGAAGTAAAGCACTCCTCAGCAAATGTAAAAGAACAGAAATTATAACAAACTGTCTCTCAGACCACAGTGCAATCAAACTAGAACTCAGGATTAAGAAACTTACTCAAAACTACACAACTACATGGAAACTGAACAATCTGCTCCTGAATGACTACTGGGTACATAACGAAATGAAGGCAGAAATAAAGATGTTCTTTGAAACCAATGAGAACAAAGACACAACATACCAGAATCTCTGGGACACATTTAAAGCGGTGTGTAGAGGGAAATTTATAGCACTAAATGCCCACAAGAGAAAGCAGGAAAGATCTAAAATGGACACCCAAACATCACAATTGAAAGAACTAGAGAAGCAAGAGCAAACACATTCAAAAGCTAGCAGAAGGCAAGAAATAACTAAGATCAGAGAAGAACTGAAGGAGATAGAGACACAAAAAGCCCTTCAAAAAATCAATGAATCCAGGAGCTGGTTTTTTGAAAAGATCAACAAAATTGACAGACCACTAGCAAGACTAATAAAGAAGAAAAGAGAGAAGA
Organism: Homo sapiens; assembly: GCF_000001405.40. Taxonomy (NCBI): domain Eukaryota; kingdom Metazoa; phylum Chordata; class Mammalia; order Primates; family Hominidae; genus Homo; species Homo sapiens. The sequence continues at coordinate 56,779,190 of NC_000005.10, read as the reverse complement.
ATCAAATAGCTGCAATAAAAAATGATGAAGGGGATATCACCACCGATCCCACAGAAATACATACTACCATCAGAGAATACTATAAACACCTCTAAGCAAATAAACTAGAAAATCTGGAAGAAATCGATAAATTCCTGGACACATACACCCTCCCAAGACTAAACCAGGAAGAAGTTGAATCCCTGAATAGACCAATAAGAGGCTCTGAATTTGAGGCAATAATTAATAGCCTACCAACCAAAAAAAGTCCAGGACCAGACGGATTCACAGCCCAATTCTACCAGAGGTACAAAAAGGAGCTGGTACCATTCCTTCTGAAACTATTCCAATCAATAGAAAAAGAGGGAATCCTCACTAATTCATTTTATGAGGCCAACATCATCCTGATACCAAAGCCTGGCAGAGACACAACAAAAAAAGAGAATTTTAGACCAATATCCCTGATGAACAACAATGCAAAAATCCTCAATAAAATACTGGCAAACCGAATCCAGCAGCACATCAAAAAGCTTATCCACTATGATCAAGATGGCTTCATCCCTGGGATGCAAGGCTGGTTCAACATACGCAAATCAGTAAACATAATTCATCATATAAACAGAACCAAAGACAAAAACCACATGATTATCTCAATAGATGCAGAAAAGGCCTTTGACAAAATTCAACAGCCCTTCATGTTAAAAACTCTCAATAAACTAGGTATTGATGGGACGTATCTCAAAATAATAAGAGCTATTTATGACAGACCCACAGCCAATATCATACTGAATGGACAAAAACTGGAAGCATTCCCTTTGAAAACTGGCACAAGACAGGGATGCCCTCTCTCACCACTCCTATTCAATATAGTGTTGGAAGTTCTGGCCAGGGCAATCAGGCAAGAAAAAGAAATAAAAGGTATTCAATTAGGAAAAGAGGAAGTCAAATTGTCCCTGTTTGCAGATGACATGATTGTATACTTAGAAAACCCCATTGTCTCAGCCCAAAATCTCCTTAAGCTGATAAGCAACTTCAGCAAAGTCTCAGGATACAAAATCAATGTGCAAAAATCACAAGCATTCTTATACACCAATAACAGACAAACAGAGAGCCAACTCATGAGTGAACTCCCATTCACAATTGCTTCAAAGAGAACAAAATACCTAGGAATCCAACTTACAAGGGATGTGAAGGACCTCTTCAAGGAGAACGACAAATCACTGCTCAAAGAAATAAAAGAGGACACAAACAAATGGAAGAACATTCCATGCTCATGGATAGGAAGAATCGATATCGTGAAAATGGCCATACTGCCCAAGGTAATTTGTAGATTCAATGCCATCCCCATCAAGCTACCAATGACTTTCTTCACAGAATTGGAAAAAACTACTTTAAACTTCATATGGAACCAAAAAAGAGCCCGCATTGCCAAGTCAATCCTAAGCCAAAAGAACAAAGCTGAAGGCATCACGCTACCTGACTTCAAACTATACTACAAGGCTATAGTAACCAAAACAGCATGATACTGGTACCACAACAGAGATATGGACCAATGGAACAGAATAGAGCCCTCTGAAATAATACCACACATCTACAACCATCTGATCTTTGACAAACCTGACAAAAACAAGAAATGGGGAAAGGATTCCCTATTTAATGAATGGTGCTGGGAAAACTGGCTAGCCATAGGTAGAAAGCTGAAACTGGATCCCTTCCTTACACCTTATACGAAACTTAATTCAAGATGGATTAAAGACTTAAATGTTAGACCTAAAACCATAAAAACCCTAGAGGAAAACCTAGGCAATACCATTCAGGCCATAGGCATGGGCAAGGACTTCATGACTAAAACACCAAAAGCAATAGCAACAAAGCCAAAATTGACAAATGGGATCTAATTAAACTAAAGAGCTTCTGCACAGCGAAAGAAAATACCATCAGAGTGAACTGGCAACCTACGGAATGGGAGAAAATTTTTACAATCTACCCATCTGACAAAGAGCTAATATCCAGAATCTACAAAGAACTTAAACAAATTTACAAGAAAAAAATCAAACAACACCATCGAAAAGTGAGCAAAGGATATGAACAGACACTTCTCAAAAGAAGACATTTATGCAGCCAACAGACACATGAAAAAATGCTCATCATCACTGGCCATCAGAGAAATGCAAATTGAAACCACAATGAGATACCATCTCACACCACTTAGAATGGCGATCATTAAAAAGTCAGGAAACAACAGGGGCTGGAGAGGATGTGGAGAAATAGGAACACTTTTACACTGTTGGTGGGACTGTAAACGAGTTCAACCATTATGGAAGAAAGTGTGGCAATTCCTCAAGGATCTAGAATTAGCAATACCATTTGACCCAGCCATCCCATTACTGGGCATATACCCAAAGGATTATAAATCATGCTGCTATAAAGACACATTCACACGTATGTTTATTGAGGCACTATTCACAATAGCAAAGACTTGGAACCAACCCAAATGTCCATCAATGATAGACTGGATTAAGAAAAGGTGGCACATATACACCATGGAATACTATGCAGCCATTAAAAAGGATGAGTTCATGTCCTTTGTAGGGACATGGATGAAGCTGGAAACCATCATTCTGAGCAAACTATTGCAAGGACAGAAAACCAAACACTGCATGTTCTCACTCATAGGGGGGAATTGAACAATGAGAACACTTGGACACAGGGTGGGGAACATCACACACACCCCTGTCGAGGGGTGTGGGAAGGGGGAAGGGATAGCATTAGGAGATATACCTAATGTAAATGATGAGTTAATGGGTGCAGCACACCAACATGGCACATGTATACATATGTAACAAACCTGCAGGTTGTGCACATGTACCCTAGAACTTAAAGCATAATTTAAAAAATGTTAATTATAATTATCACCCCTACTTTTCAAAATGAACTTATCCATTAAAGCAGTAGTCTCCTAAGATGATCTGCTGGGAGCAGGAAAAAAATAGTAGAAATACTAGAAAATGAATTCCTACTTAGTTTTCCTTTTCTTTTTCTTTTTTTTTTTTTTTTTTTTTGTGACGGAATCTCGTTCTGTTGCCCAGGCTGGAGTGCAGTGGCTGGATCTCGGCTCACTGCAAGCTCAGCTTCCTGGATTCACGCCATTCTCCTGCCTCAGCCTCCCAAGTAGCTGGGACTACAGGTGCCCACCACCATGCCCCGCTAATTTTTTGTATTTTTAATAGAGATGGGGTTTCACCATGTTAGCCAGGATGGTCTCGATCTCCTGACCTCGTGATCTGCCTGCCTCTGCCTCCCAAGTGCTGGGATTACAGGTGTGAGCCACCACGCCCGGCCCCTCCTATTTAATTTTCATATCCTTTTTCAATCGCCATTTTTATGTATCTTATATGTATATATATGTGCATCTCATTAATATATATGTATATTAGTATACATATGTAGTTTATTAATGAATAAACCCATATGTAGACATTGGGGTAAAATGTTTATTTTATTTTATTTTTTTACTGTTAGGGCACTCAACAAAAAACTTAAAGATTATTGCATTAAATAAATATGTGATACCCTACCCACAGAAAGGACTTGCAATTTATAGTTTATGAGACACCTTTATGTATATTATCCCAAGTCTAAGAAGACACTGAGCATATTATCAACTATATACTTTTCATCTGCTTCTGATTCTTACCACATCTAAATTGACAGAGCTGAATGGTGAGGATACAGGCATACTAGAGTCAATGACTTGAGCAGTCAATGCTTCCTTCTTCCCTGATGAGGCACTTGATAGGTTTTGCAGGGCCTCAGAGAAGTTGGCTCATATTTTGCTAGCATGCATTTTCATCATACACACTCAATTGTAGCTTGGCAGTGACACATGAAATATAAAATCTATTGAAATATAAGCTGAACATATCATTGGCCAACATTTTCTCCAGTGTGATGGTTGATGAATGGTCTTTTTTGGTGTTTACTTTTCAACATCCTATGAGACGAGCATACAAAAACGTTTACTGTAGAGTGCAATCAGGTCTCTCCTGTCTGCATGATTCATTTTCAGATTTTCTTGTGTAAATGAAGCTGAAGATGCTAACAAAACAACAGCTGCTTAGCTATAAATTAGTAAAACAAGCTTCTCATCCAAGATTATTATTGAGGTTTTATTTAAAGCAATTTACAAATTCATGAAGGATTTTACTTAACACATTCACACTTGAAGCCGTTTAGGGAAGGCCTGGGGATTAGATGGGAACTGCCCCCTTTCCTCTTGCTGATAATTTGGAGATTAATTTATCTAAACAAAAAGGAAAGCCACATTTGCTAGAAATTCCATAAGCTCACTACATATTTAATTGGGGTTCCATAAGAACCTGCTCATTAAAAAGCAAAGAATATAAGCTCAAAAAAAAGTTATCATCAACCTCTCATTGATTAGAAAAATAACACAGACGAGGTAGGGATAATTAGTGGGAACCTTAGGCACACAAATTATTAGCTTTTAAAGAATTCTGTTCTCAACTTAAAAAAAAAAACCTATTCCTATTCCTTTTCCTTTTACCAAAGCTTGTTTTCCTAAATTGAATTATTTTATCCTTTGCTTTTGTTCTGTATTTCTTCGTATTTAAGGAACAAAAACCCAAAGGAATTGTCTTAACATAGAATCTATTCTGCACGGACAACTGACTCAGCCCTGCCGTGGGCAGGTCATTACTTACTCTTTCCTCAGTTTCCCCATCCACAAAACAAGAATAATCACACCTACCTCATAAGCTTGTTTCACTAACATTAACTAAAGAATTTACACAGCAAGCTTTCTAAAGATGGACTGTTCTGATTACCATTACTTATGGTGTACTTATTTACATAATTTGGGACATTGAATTTCTTAATGAGAATAAATAAACCTCAAGTTTAGAGAAACTAAACTTTTTTTTTTTGAGATGGAGTCTCACTCTGTTGTCTAGGCTGGAGTGCAGTGGCGCAATCTTGGCTCACTGCAACCTCTGCCTCCCTGGCTCAAGTGATTCCCCTGTTTCAGCCTCCTGAGTAGCAGGGATTACAGGTGCACACTACCACGCCTGGCTAATTTTTGTGTTTTTAGTAGAGACGGGGTTTCGCCATGTTGGTCAGGCTGCTCTTGAACTGCTGACCTTGTGATCTGCCCGCCTCAGCCTCTCAAAGTGGAGAAACTAAACTTTTATTGTACGTGTCAATGTGATTTGGTCTTTTAAGAAAAGCAAATATTGTGAAATGCAGGTTAATTTGTTAATGAAGGATGCCTTACTCTGTATGTTTAATGGACAGATTATTCCTACACTATATTTATATATAATATGCTCATAATAATTTGTTAAGTGTTAGGAAACATGAAGAAGACTATATTGGCTTCTCGTATATGTTATTTTTTGAAGATCTTGATTTGTACTCTCTGAAAAGAAAACAAAAGAATGTTGGGAGCATGAATCCCAAATGCTACTTTTCTTATGTTGGGTACTTCCCACATAAGAATCTGGTATTTTCAGATTTAGTGAATTTCATCCTTTTAACCTGAAGGAGTTTTTTTTGTTTGTTTGTTTCTGTTTAAAAAAATTTCAGAACCACAAACACACTAAGTATAGTGTATTATCAATGAATCAAAATACACTTATTGGGCATCTTCTATGTACTAGTTATGGCATAAGTAATGTGGATGAGTGATTTTCAAAGCGGTCTCAGAACCAGCATTATCAGCATCACCTGGCAACTTACTAGAGAGGTAAATTCTTGAACCTCATTTAAGACCTACTGAATCAGAAACTCTGGGAATGGGGCCTAGCAATCTATGTCTTAACAAATGCTCTAGGTGATTTCTGGTGTTAGCTAAAGTCTAAGAACACAAAGGTGAGTTAAATGGAGTGTTTGTAACTTGCAAACTGTGCATACTTGTCCTTGTTTCCAGCATTTGGACCAACACAGTCTGTCAGAGCGTGTCTTCCACATAAGTGCATCTATTCACTAATTATGTACTTGTGTTTTCGAGGTTGCATTTGAGAAACACAATCTGTATTATCACTTCTTGCACCTCCATTCTGTAAACAGGAGTTGGTATTGAAGTTGTTCTGGGAGTGAGAGTTTCTCTCACTTGAATTTAATTTCTCTTGAATGCGTGATCAGCTACAAGCTGTGGGGGGTTAGAATAGGGCCTACAGCTGGGCACGTGGATATTTAAAGACAGCGAAGGGGAAGCCCCGCTTCTGAGAGCAGGTATGTTGGAGGGTGGCTGTGGGAGAAGTGGCAGCTCCTGGCTCATTCCTGGGCTCTTGGCTCTGGGTCTTTGGTGCATGTGTTTGAGCTCAGTAGAGACGTTTGACTGTCCCAACCCGATGCTGCCTTCCCACATAAATGAGATTTTTTTCTGCCAGGCAACATGGTTTTACCCTCATATTCAAAAGTAAGTAGCTGGAGCGCTGGTCTTTGCCAGGGAAGGAGTGATCCAGAAGCTGCCTGGCAGCATTTTGTGGGGCTGGTCAGGGAATGGGGTGTAAATGACAACAGATATTAAGGGCTCTTGTGAGTAGAGCAAGGAGTTGGGTACAGAATATTCTTCAGCTGGTCTAGCAGAAATGGAATCTGCTTCCTGGTTTCAGCTCTGCAGGCTTGGTATGTAGGATGTCTTTAAGCTTTATGGCTGATGCCCTAAAGTTCTGTGTGTAAGGATGCTCTAAAGTGTGAAGTACACAGCTGCTGGGCTGGGCAACTATAGTGTTTTGGGAGATAAACAGGGCAAGTGGCTTGTCTTAGGTCATGGTGACTGGAATGATTTTCAGTACTAGGGCAATCATTCTGACTTAATTCCAGGGGTAGGGTGATGGGAGTTGAGGAACCTCAGTCCATCCCTGGCTGCTGTGGACTAAGCACTGACTTTGACAAGCTGAGACTGCTAAGTCTTTGTCCTGTCCTGCCCGGCTGGGTAGTGGGGAGTAAGAAGCTGAAAGGGAGGTGGGACTTTCCACGATAGTGGCCTCCTGGAGCTTCCACTCTTCTTTCCCTACAGGCTCATAGTTCCTACACAGCTACTGGCTTCTCTGTTTTGAGGCAGTTTCCTTCTTGGGGGTTTCCTTGATAAAGTTATGGGCTTGGGTGCCCATTGTCCCCCATGCCACTGAGCTTGTTCTAGAGTTCGAGGACCATAGAAGGGGCCTCCAAAGATTCCTTCTGGGATCTTTCCCCATTATCTTTTCATCCTACCAGTCAGAGGGAGGGTCATTATTGGATATCTACTGTTTACTCACGTATTGGATGGAGGTGGTGCCCACCCTCTTGGCAGAGACAAAGATTCCAGCCACTGATGTCGCTGATGCCAGCCTGAATGAATGTTCCAGTACCGAAAGGAAACAAGACGTAGTGTTGCTGTTCGTGACCTTGTCCCACACACAGCCACCTCTGTTTCACCTGCCTTATGTCCAGAAACCCTTAATCTCTAATGTGGAGCAGCTGATCCTGGGGATCCCGGGCCAGAATCGCCGGGAGATAGGCCATGGCCAGGATATCTTTCCAGCAGAGAAGCTCTGCCATCTGCAGGATCGCAAGGTGAACCTTCACAGAGCTGCCTGGGGCGAGTGTATTGTTGCACCCAAGACTCTCAGCTTCTCTTACTGTCAGGGGACCTGCCCGGCCCTCAACAGTGAGCTCCGTCATTCCAGCTTTGAGTGCTATAAGGTAAGACATGGAGCCTCGTTCTTTCTCTTCTGGGGTCATATTGGGATAGCACTAAGTGCTCAACTCTCTAGGCCTGGCTCCTTTTGAGTCAAGGAAGCCATTGAAGTTGGTAATTATGTAATCTAGCACTGATGCAGTGTGTAGCATCTTCCCCGCCCTGTGACCTTATCCCTTATCTTTATTCATAAGAAACATCAGCTTCCTAAAGATTGTTCTGAAACAGCCCTGATCCAGCAGCTTCTCCCCAGGCCCTCCTTCTCCCTTCCCATGTATCCCTGACAAGTCTACTGATGCCCTTAGATATGAGGCTGTGGCTATGAGGCACTCACCATTCTGCCATTTGTTTCTGCAGAGGGCAGTACCTACCTGTCCCTGGCTCTTCCAGACCTGCCGTCCCACCATGGTCAGACTCTTCTCCCTGATGGTCCAGGATGACGAACACAAGATGAGTGTGCACTATGTGAACACTTCCTTGGTGGAGAAGTGTGGCTGCTCTTGAGATACCCCAAAGCCTCCTACTGGCCTCAGGGCCACCTAAGTCTCAGGACTTTAGTAGGGGGTGGGATTACTTTTCATAGCAAGTAGAGCTCTTTGAAGGGAGGTGGGATTTGGTTTGTTTCTCAAAGCACAGCAAGAAGGTTGGCATTATGGCAGTAACCCCTCATAGATGCTTCTCTTTGATGTGGCAGGGGCCCCCTAGTGCTGTTCTCAGTCACTCCTACTACTGGGAAGCTGGGCCCATTGAGATGTCTGACTATCGCTGTCCTAGATTGTGAGTGGGCTGGGCTTAGTGCCACCTCTGGGATCATTTAGGTGGGGAAAGAGGAACTGGAATTGGACGCATGTCAGCTCTTGGGGTAGGGGTAAAATTGTTACCAGTGTTAAGCTGGCTTTGGACTCTTTCTGAGCCATTCAGCTGCTATCATCCTTCTCTGTACCATTGGCCTGGGGCTGGTCCAGAACTGACCTCAGCATGTACATTCCTCCTCACCTAACACTCCTGGCCTCTTTAGAGGGAGTGAAGACTCTGTGGAAGAAAGCATTCTGTCATGGGCTAGTCATGGGTAAAGGGCCCCAAGGCCTTCACAACCTGGTGTCAGATGGGAGCCTGAGAGTAGAGGATGTTGCTTGACTGACAGAGGGGGCCTCTGGCCTCATGGAAAGTTTGTCTCACTATCATTTAAGGAACTTGATATTAGCTTTTTCACTATCTTTAATAAAACTATAGGACCATTGTTGTGGGTCTCTTATGTTGGATATCTATTACTTAATGCCCTTGAGCCTCTGAATCAGAATGAGTAGATAGATGTTGGGTTTCAAATCCTATCGTCAAGGATCACAGGAAAGAAGCAACGCAATGCACTTTGAAACAAATATTCGGTCATTATAGCACTCACTCAATGACTCCTAGTTTTAGGTTCTAAAACTTACGTCCAAAGTAAGATATAAGGAAGTACTCCAACGCAGATATTAATACCAAAACTACTTGTTAGATTTCTTGAGGCAGAAGAGAAACAAAGTTAGATGACACTCAGAACCTTAGTAACATGTTATCTGTCCTATTGGGAGGAGGAGTATATCAGTTAAATTTACAATTTTAAAATGTGACTTTCTCAGTGGACATTCATAGTTCACATTAGCCTGCACCTTGCAGAGTATCCCTGTAGAATGATGGTCAGGGTGAGGGCTGAGCATAGAGGAGGGAGAGAGCCATCCCTGGCTCTAGACTTTCCCAAGCTCCGTCCTGGCTGTGTGGCGGATTTCAAGAAATAAGGATGAACTACTGTCTTTTTTTATTCCTTTCTCTATATCTCTGCAATGGAAGTTCTGACAAACTTATGAAAGTGGTTTGTGCTTTTAACTTTAATAGCAATGTATGCAATATGAGAAGCTGACTTTCCAGCCCCAATCCTAAACAAAGGTAGTGACTGTCAGGTTTGACATGTGCTCTGCCAGACTGCTTTCTTTGTATATGAACATAGCCTTAAAACGACCCTATAGCTCCTTAACAAGGTGTTGTGGAGACATTTCAAAATCCTAACACTTTTTTTTCCCCCATGGAAATTAGCTTGTATATAGTATTTAAACAGTTCAATACCCATTTAACTGATTCCCTTATTGATGGACATTCAAAGAGGGCATTTTAAAGTTACCCATTATTACAGTGCTGTGATCATCTTTGAATATAGATTCTTATATTTAGGTAGAATTGCTAAGAAAATGTCAGATGCAATTTGGTCTCCCCAAAAACTATGCCAGTTTACATTTCCCTCAACTGTGAGACCATTTTCCTCACACAGGGCAAGTCCTTTTGATAAGGGATACATTTCATTGTTAAGTTGCATCTTTAAAAATGAAAATTTGAACATATCAAATTAGCCAGTTGAATTCTTTGAGCTTATCAAGCATTTTTTGTCTTATAGAAACTCTTAATATAACAAAATGTGACAAATATATTTAAGTTTCTTTTCTACATGGGGGTATTATATGGATAAGTCCATCTCTGACTTTATTGGTTCTAGGTTTCATATTTGGTCATCCCCATAAAAAGATCATACACACTCTGCCTCTTGTAGTTCTTGTGTTCATGGTCTTATTTATACATTAATACTTCTGGGTAGGGAGAGCTGGAGGCGCCCAGGCCACTTGTGTCTAGGCCTGGCAGTGCCAATCTCTGGCCAGTCAAATGTAAGTGGGAGTCTGCAGGGTTTCCAAGAAGGCTTCTACTTTGGAGTTGAGGGCCTAGTTTACAGTAATAATGTACTACATTACTGGGGGCAATGTAACAAAGATGGCAAAGCTGGAAAGAGTACGGGTTCCTTAGGGCAGGGATTGGCAAGCTTTTTCTGTAAAGGGACAGATAGTAAATATCTTGGGCTTTGTAGGCCATACAACCTCTGTCTACTCAACTCTGGTGTTGAAGCATAGAAATGGCCATTGAGGAAATGTAAATGAGCATCTTTGTATTCCAGTAAAACTTTATTCACGGGCCCTAATATTTAAACTTAATGTAACTTGTCACAAAATATTCTTTTTTCCAACCATTTAAAATAGGTAAAGACCATTCTTCATTTTTGAGTTGTACAAAAGTGTAATGATTGGCCTGTGGGCTGTAGACTGTCAACTCACCTTAGAATATCATTGAGCAGGTGGGCCAATACTAGCAGAGACTTCTAATTTATGAGAAATTGTATCTCTAATTAGGCCACTGTTCGTTTGGTTTTTTGGTTACTTGCAGTCAAATACATTCTTATCTGATACAGGTCTTTTTTTTTTTTTAATAGCCCGCTGTTCTAACCTTTTATTGACTATTTGAACTTTCATCCACCTTCATTTGGGCACTATTTTTTAAATCACATGTTAAATTTCCTTAAGCCTAATAAGTTTTTTCTAACATTCTATTCTAATCCACTAATCTTTGTTCATTTTCATGTCCATATTAACTTAATTCCTATAGTTTTAATGTATACTTAGGATTCTGAAAGAATGTGTACCATACACTAAGTTGTTTTTCTCATGGAAGATGTCTGAATGTCTATATCTTCCCACCCATGAACATGATATAACTTTACATTTAATGGAGAAAAAGATCTGAATGAGTTACCTCACTTTTATTTCATTTAAGCCATGGCAATTTCTACTTGGATTATTTCTTGGTGATCTAGTTTACTGTTTTTAGTGTAAATGGAACTGTTAACTGGAATTACTTTTATGGCATCAGTCCACGTTACTCTTCCAATTCTGTAATGAAACCATGTAGATTCAGAGCATTGTTTTTTGTCCAACATGGAAGACCAACTCAGAGTTCAGTGCTTTCTGTCATTCTACTTAGTCTTTGGAAGGTGCTACTGGGCAGTTTTTTGTTCTGTTTGAATTAGGTGTTATTAAATGCTAGTGAGTCCTTAGACTTGACATCATCTAGAGCAGTAAAATGGTGTTATGTACAACTATTGGAAAGTGGATTGAACCTGGTTGCTGATACCGATCTAAGTGGTTTGGATTTGTGTATATTCTAAGCATCATGTTTTATGTCAATGGGAACCCAGAATGGAGGCTCAAAATAAGTTTAATCTGCATGTGCAGACAACTCCTAAAAGATAAAGAAACAGAGGTAGTAAGTGGCAAGACCTGGGCAAGAGGAGAATGCCAGAGCCTCATCTTCAGACTTACATTCCAACAGGAATGGACTCGTGATGACATGCATTTTGAGGAAGCATACTTTGTGCTTTGGTACTAGTTCTCAAAGGGGCTGAGGTCTGAGAGACAAACAGCCATCAAACCAGGTACAAAGAGGGTGCAGGCTGAGTGAAGCAGCACCCACAATGGCCTAGGGAGGAAAGAGTAGGAGACGGCTGTTCAGCTAAGCAGAGAAAGCTCAATAGAGCTGGCATGTGGGGTTTGCGGTGGGAGGAGTTGAGTGGGTGGGCAGTTTTACTCTTCTGGGCAGAGTCCACAGCATCATGTGAATTCAAATATGTAAATTGCTTTCCTTCATGTAAGATGAAAGATCACTTCTCTTTGGTGACTTGAATGTATTAATAAAAAGCAACAGGAATATCTACTAAAGCTGAATACATGCATACCCTATGTTCTATCAATTTCATTTCTAGCCACATATTTTACCAAAAGATATAGCAGCACTACATGTAAAAACCCCAAATTGAAAACTACCCAAATGCCCATCACCAGTAGAATACATTGTGGCATACTCACATAGGAGAGTACTATTTAACGAGGAGAAACAAAGTAGAACTCTAAATGAACTGATAAATCCCACAGACATGTTGAGGGAAAGAAGCTAGATACAGGGTAAAACATAGCTGTATGATTCTACTTAGGTAGAGAACAAAAATTGGCAAAAGTAGGACGAACACTTCAATTCCATTTATATTAAAGAATCCAGAGTGGTAAGATTCATAAAGACAAAGTAAAATGGTGGTTGCCAGGAGCTAGAGGGAGAGAGGAATAGGGAGATATTGCTGAGTGGGTATTGAGTCTCAGTTATGTGAGATGAAAAGAGTTTTGGAGACGGATGCTGGTGGTGGTTGTACAACAATGGGATTGCACTTAGTACGCTACTGAACTGTACACTTAAAAATGGTTAAGATGGGCTGGGCGTGGTGGCTCCTGCCTGTAATCCCAGCACTCAGAGAGGCCAAGGCGGGTGGATCACTAGGTTGAGATGGAGACCATCCTGGCCAACATGGTGAAACCCCGTCTCTACTAAAAATACAAAAATTAGCTGGGCGTGGTGGTGCACGCCTGTAGTCCCAGCTACTTGGGAGACTGAGGCAGGAGAATCACTTGAACCCAGGAGGCGGAGGTCGCAGTGAGCCAAGATCATGCCATGGTACTCCAGCCTGGCAAGAGAGCAACTCCGCCTAAAAAAAAAAAAAGATTCTAAGTTTTAGATATATTTTACCACAATAAATGTTTTACAAATGGCAAAGCAAATGTTGTTAGATTAACATTACTGTTAGCTGACGGTAGGGTGTGGGGTGCAAGTATAAAAGGAGCTCTTAAGTGTGGGGGATGTTCTGACCCTTAATCTGGGCAGAGGCCTCAAGGGTGTGTTCAGTTTGTGAAAATTCATCAAACCGTATACTTACGTGCATGTCTGCATGTATTTATATTTCAATAAAAGTTATCCTGGAAGGAAAAAGCAATGGGAAGCTTTAAAGTGAATTAATTTGTAATAGGTTACACTATTGAGTGTCTGGTGCAAGGCATTCTTCTATGCTCTTACTATCAGGAAGGTGCTGTCTTATGAAAGAGGAAACCGAGGAACAGTGGTTTATTGAGGTAAAAAGTAGCCATCTACAGATTCCTAGTAGGAGAAATCTCAAATGCTTCTATATACATCTCTAGAGAAACATTACCTACTCAGTTTACAATTTTTCCATCTTTAAAATAGAAGAATTCTAATTCTTAAAACTAGGCCCTGGCATTAAATTGCATGTCTCTTGGCTGGAAGGAAAAAAAAGACATTCTCTAATTTGAACTGGAATAATGAATTTTCTCACTTATGTTAATTTAAAGGTAAACTGAGATCATAGGATGCGTGTTAACTCTGGATAGTTCAAACGCAACCATGATAGGCTTATTTTTATCTTGGAAGTAAATTTTTAAAAGAAAATTTAGGCTGGGTGCGGTAGCTCACGCCTGTAATCCCAGCACTTTGGGAGGCCGAGGAGGGCAGATCACGAGGTCAGGAGTTCGAGATCAGTCTGGCCAACATAGTGAAACCCCATCTCTACTAAAAATACAAAAAATTAGCTGGGCGTGGTGGTGTGAACCTGTAATCCCAGCTACTTGGGAGGCTGAGGCAGGAGAATCACTTGAACCCGGGAGGCGGAGGTCGCAGTGAGCCGAGATTGCGCCATTGCATTCCAGCCCGGGTGACAGAGTGAGACTCCATCTCAAAAAAAAAAAAAAAAATGAAAATTTATCATAGCTTTAAAACTTAAGGTGTGGGAATCAAACTAGCAATGCATTTGAAATTTTTCAGTGTCCCAAATCATATTTCACACAGTTTTGGAAAAAATACATTTTTAAAATGCACTAAACATACTCTTTCCCTTTTCTTTCTTTCTTTTTTTTTTTTTGAGAGAGTCTCACTCTGTTCCCCAGGCTGGAGTGCAGTGGTGTGATCTCGGCTCACTGCAACCTCTGCCTCCCGGGTTCAAGTGATTCTCCTGCCTCAGCTTCCTGAGTAGCTGGTATTACAAGCATGTGTCACCATGCCTGGCTAATTTTTGTATTTTTAGTAGAGATGCAGTTTTACCATGTTGGCTAGGTGATCCTCCTGCCTCAGCCTCCCAAAGTGCTGGGATTATAGGCATGAGACATTGTGCCTGGCCACTAAACGTACTATTTTCTATCAAAATATGACCTTTTCTTTTCTTCATCTCTATTTATTTTACTGAGTGAAGAAACATTCTGCTAAATCTTTCCTGATGGATCCCTGCTCCCCTGTGCCTTTCTTTTGTGCTGCTGTCTTTATTCCCACATTTGTGTCTCTCACGCATGTTATCCTTCCTTGTTTAGTCTTATTGAGCTTTGTGACAATACCTGCATCCACCTTCAACCTCCACCACATCTAGTTGTCTCTGGCTGGCTGGTCAGAACTCAGAGCAGCCGTGGGTGGATCTGCTGCAGTACAGAGAGGCCTGTGGCCATGGCTGGCTGCCCAGAGCCCTGTTCTCTGTCACACCTGATCAGATTTTTGAGATACCACCTCGCCCCAGGGACTGGTTCTGGTTAAAATAAGATGCTCGGGAACACTCTTTCATAGAGAGTGGTTGTCAACGAGGTTGTGCAAGAAGGAGAGTCATCCTGGAAAAGATAAAGGGAAACAACAGGAAATGGAGAAGAAATGTGGTAAGGGATTAGTTCTTATCACAGTTAAACTAGTGCATCTTGCCACTGTATCATCGAAAATATCTCCTGTGACCAGCACTTTACAGGACATCTGCTGGTAACTGCCACTTATTTCACAATCCTGAATTCAAGGGTGCCCATGAGAGAAGAATACAGTATCTGTTGAAATAGACTCCCACATGAAGCCCGTTGTGCTGTCCCCATAATTTTCACTCGAGTCCAAGGCATGCTGACATATTTTAAATGGGAGATCTGTGTGCAACCTCATTCACTGCAGACTGCAGACAAGTCATTCTCCTGCTATGTGGAAATCTCTCATTTCCCTTCCCTACTGTGTCTTTGGTCAACAGTTATAAACTCTCCCTCAGACAGCTGGTTGTGTATTAAAGTCTATTTATAACAGTCAATGGACAACTGATTGTTTATGGGGAGTCGTGGCAATTTTTGCTTAGGAAAGACAATTGGGGCATTTCTTCTGTAGCAGAGCGGGTTCAGCCGCTGGACTCCACAAACATTGCCTCACTTGTCTCCTTACATTCTGTGGACTGAGGTTACCCCAGGTGCTAATGGTGAATTCAAACCCAGCAGACTGCTGGCTGGGTCTTCAGTCAAGGGTCTTGGGGGTTAGACAATAGAAAAAAATGAAACAGTAATACCTTGTGAGGAACAAAAAAATGCAAAAGTACCCATATCTATGAGGAACAGTATACCATACTCAAAATTTTCAGTAGTTTATGAAACTGTAGATTTCCATCCCCCTAACCACAGTTCTGGATTATGGGGTTTTTTGTTTTGTTTTGTTTTTGAGACAGAGCCTTGCTCTGTTGCCCAGGCTGGAGTGCAGTGGTGCAAAGTTGGCTCACTGCAACCTCTGCCTCCCGGGTTCAAGGGACTCTCCTGCCTCAGCCTCCCAAGTAGCTGAGATTACAAGTGTGTGCCATCATGCCCAGCTAATTTTTATATTTTTAGTAGGATGGGGGTTTTGCCATGTTGGCCAGGCTGCTCTGGAACTCCTGACCTCACCTGATTCTCCTGCCTCGCCTCCCAAAGTGCTAGGACTACAGGCATGAACCACCGTGCCTGGATGCCCCCTAACCACAGTTCTAACTAAAATATGATCATATGACAACTTTTTAGCATTGAGAAAACTTCCTATTCTGGTGGGTCTTGAGGTGCTTTTTATTTTTCTTTGTAATTTCAAAACTTTTTTTTCAACTAGGACAAAAACAGACAAAACTCATTTAAATCTCATCATTAATCGATAGTGAAATAAAAATGCTAATGGGAAAAAATGTGGATTTCTAGAAAATGTCTTGCACAATATTTTTCTACTAGCTCTGACTTTAGTAAGATGGTTTTGAACTCTTCCTTAATTTTTGGAAAAATGGAATGGGTGATATTTAATTTTTAAGTGATGTATTAGGTTTGTTAATATAAAAAAGAATATAGAAAAAATTAAAATGGTTTATACCCTCCCTGACTAGGTAACACTTGTTATGTTAGTTACTTGCTTATGATTAATAAGCTTAACTGAGCACAACATAAAAACTAAACATAATCATTATTCATATTACTAACCCAGAAAAAAATTGTGTGCAGATAGATATATCTATATCCATGGAGGAGTTTTAAACAAGTATATTTAAATGATACAATGACTTGGTCTACCTCTTGGTTTGCTTATTCTGATTCCAATTTATTCCATTTTATCTGTAAATCTTAGCATATCACATTTGTCTTATTCTGTCTTCTCCAGAAGATGTTAATGAATTACAATTCAAACATAATGTTATAGGTGATTTTTAATAGCTAAAAAGTTTGAGGATTTCAGAATTTTCAGTCACATTGTTTTCAAGTCAGTAAGTTACCCCTAAGTGACTAGTTATCTAATTTTTAGTGCTTTTGCTGCATTTAGTAACTTTCTGAAGTCCTGTTTGACCCATATTTTTCTACGTATTCTTTTTAGGGCCACTTTAGGAAAAAAGCAGTCTTGTGTTGCTGGAATAATTTGCTCATAATTCTGGATTAGTCTGAGACTGCTTTTTCATAAACAGCAGGTGAAGGCCCATCCATTTGGCTCAGGAGGTCCTCTCTGAGGAGATTTGGTCCTTGTGCATTTCTCTCTCGGTCTCTGCTCCAGCAAAAGGTAAATTAATAATGAGGTGCAGATGAATTGAGCCAAAGCCCTTTTAAGAGGAGCCTGAACAGCAATACCATGGTTTCAGTTCTTATATTCTGCTTAAAGTCTTAGATTCTTCTGGAATGTAAGACTACAAAAATGTTCTGTAGAGTCTGGAATCAGTTTCAGATTGTTCAGACAAGATCATCGTTCTTATTCCTGGTTCCCATCAGAGACAGAGCTGAAGGTTGAACTATTTAAAGCTTTCCTTGTGGCCACATTGACATTCAACTGTCAGAGATAGGAAGAGAGTACTGTCAATTCATCCCAAATAAAAGCCCTTTTCTCTGGGTTTATCAGTTAAAAGTAGTAAAAGTTTTGCGTTGATTGATGCCTCTGAGCTATTTGAGGTGTCGATAAACAACCAAAATGGGAAGTTGAAGACTTAAATAGGTCAAAAGAAGTTAGTATTTTCAGAATTGTATTCCATATGTGAATATAGAACACACAAGGGAGTAGTCAATATAAATAACTGGCACATAATTTTAAGCAAAAACCCTAGATAATCAGTTGGGGGCTACATTTTAATGTGGTTTTACCAGTGAACAAATCAGTGAGGTTTTCCCTTCCAGCAGTTAAAGTGCTTGAGATTTTAAGGAACTGAACTCTGAGCAAAAAGACCCACATAATACAAGTCTTCCACAGACCAAGTGTAATGTAACTTTTAGAAAACAAAAGCCTCAGCTCCTCAGGGCCAGCCGACCTCCAAGATACAGAATGACCCTCTCTCCAGAACACACTCTTCAAAAGCCAGCACAAATGTCTGCCAGGCATTTGGGGGGCAGGGGTATCTAAGTTTTCCTTCATTTATTCTTAAAATTCACTGATAGGGTAGGTTCCTAGGAACAATAAGTGTTTGATTTTTGGAAGTCCCTTTGTTTTCTTTTTTGTTTTCCTTTCCATTGTTTAAATCACTGAAGGAGTGGTTTCCCAAGCTCACTGAAACAAAGGAATGGAACATGCTTTCACTAAAGCCTTCTAGGAAGCTTTGGGACGGGGAGGAGGGTGGGTGGACCATTCAGGAAAGTGACTTAAGGTCACTGGTGACGGAGCAGAGTCAGCGAGGGTGAGAACGAGGGCAGACCTAAGACCAGAGCTGTAGGTGCTGGTGGATGGACTAAGAATTCCTGGGGAGGCAAAGGGCTGGGGAAACTACTTGAGTGTCCTTGGAAGCAGTGGGTGCCTCAGCACCATGGAGGCCAGTGCTGCTTCATCCTGGCTCGTTACACCCAATGGGCCCTTGGCCACTAGACTTAGTACATTAGAATCTCTGTGGAAAGGATTGGTATATTAAAAAATCCTGTCCAGGTAATTTTAACGAGTAGCAATGAAATCAGCTTCTGAGCAGGGAAATAATTATATGTGGGGTACAAGGGAATGAACTGAGAATTCCAACATTGAAACCCCCTGAGGTATTAACTTGGGTCATGTTGAAGGTAATACCTACTTTATGGAATTGCTAGGGAGATTATCCTTAGGGTTGAGCTCAGAGGTTTGGAATCAAACACACTGGCTTCAAATCTTAGTTCAGTCTATTTGACCATTTGTGTGTCCTTAAGCAAGTTACTTAATTTCTTTAAGCCCCAGTTTCTTCATTTGTAAAACAGGGGTAATAGTGCTTACAGGGAGGACTCAGTTCTGCAGCTGCCCTGAGCGTGCTGCTTGGCATATGGAAAGTATGCAAACATCAGAGCCGCACTTCATTTCTTCCCTTGTCCTCCTGTTCTTGCTGCTATTATATCTAATGCCTGACAAAATGTGTACAAACCTAAATGCTAATCTTTTATTTCCATTTCCAAACTTTGTTAATACTTATCATGGGATATAAATAGACTGTAGAACATTATTTATTATGATGTTATGGTATACTATGGTACAGTACTATATACTGTATAGTGGCTGCTGATCTTTTTTTCTTTTTCCTAAATTCAAGTATTTTAATACAAGGTATGCAGAATATGTGCAAAGACTAAATGCTGGTTGTCTGGGTGGGGTTCATGCCAAATCAAATGTGACAGCCTTTTCCGGAAAGAAAGAATAATGACATTGTTACCACCTAGATATTAACTGAATATGCTAAGCTCATCATATAGACTGCCCAAGTCGATCTGTACAACATCCTTTTGAGGTTGTTAGTAGAATTACCTGTTTTTTAGATAAGGAAATGGAAGCTTACAGTCATTTGCCCAAGGTCAGAGAACCAGTTAAGGAGGATTCCAACTCAGGCAGGCTGGCTCAGAGCCCTGCCTGTTACCATTATGCTTACCAGGCCTCACGGGCCCTGGCTGGGAGCTCAGGTTCAAGGATTCCTTTCCGGCAGGCCAGCTATCATAAGAGGAAAGGGAGTACCAGAAAGCTTTTTCTCTAATTTGCTAAATATCAACTTTCCTAATATATGAATTACTGCTTAGAGGCAGAGTTGTTATACTGTGTAATACATTTTGAAGTATGGTGTGTATGTTCCTGTGGTTGCATTTTTCGTGCATATACACACATCTCTGCAAACTTTATATGACAGGAGGGATAAAAGGCAATGAGATGTTTTCAGAAAAGTTACAATTATCTGTATTAAGATGTATTTTCTTTTGATTATAAAACAGGTACAAAAATCAGAATATAAAATAATATAGTATCCTAACATTAAAAAATGCACATTTATATTAATGTTAAATTCTAAATGTTAACATTCAAATGTTGACAGTGGTTATCTCTATAATGGTAGCCTTGGGTTGACTATCACTTTACCTTTCTGCCCTTTTGAATTGTCTGAATTTTTAAAATAATGGGCATGTATTACTTTTATGATAAGAAATCTAAAAACACAATCCTGTTCTAGAAAACTTAGAAAAGCCCAGAAAACTATAAAGAAGAATATAACAATCTTACCACCAGTTAAAAATGCTGACAACATTAGCAAACACACTTCCAATCATCTCTACTTGTATGTATATTATGTGGTAGAGATCATCTACAATTCATAATTTGGTGACTCATTTTCTTTTCTTTCTTTTTAAAAAGTCGAAAGCATTTTTATGATATTAAAGACTCTTCTTAAGTATTATTATTATTTGAGATGGAGTTTTGCTCTTGTTGCCCAGGCTGGAGTGCAATGGCATGATCTTGGCTCACTGCAACCTCCACCTCCCAGGTTCAAGCGATTCTCCTGCCTCAGCCTCCTGAGTAGCTGGGATTACAGGCCTTGCACCACCATGCCCGGCTAATTTTGTATTTTTAGTAGAGATGGGGTTTCTCCATGTTGGTCAGGCTGGTCTCAAACTCCCGACCTTAGGTGATCCACCCACCTTGGCCTCCCAAAGTGCTGGGATTACAGGCGTGAGCCACCGCCTGGCCTTAGCATTATTTACATTATTTAAATGTTACACAATAGATCATATGTACAATTTACTTAACCTTGCCCTATGTTTTTTCTCTTTTTTTTAATATGATCAACAATGATATGTATTAGATATCTTTATTCATGAATATTGGATTATATTTCGGATTATTTTCTAGATTCCTAGAATTAGTGGGTTAAAGTGAATGATCATAATTTATTTATTGCTACATAAAAAAATCCAAAACATGGTGACTTAATAATATATTATTGTTTTTCATGGTTCTGTGGGTTGAATGAGCTGAGCTCAGTAGTTCTTGTTTGGGAGTCTGGGGCTGAGCCATCTGGAAGCTTTACTGGTTGGACATTCAACATGGCTTCTTCATGCACATGCGTGATCCCTCTGTGTTCCTCCACGTGGCCTCTTTCCAGTACAGTGGCTGGATTTCTTCCGTGTCTCTCAGGGATCCAAGAGGCAAGAAGTGGAAACTGTCAGTCCTCTTAAAGACCAGGGCCTGGAGCTGGCACAATGTCACTTCCACCGTATCTTCTGTTGAGAGTAGTCACCGGCCAGCTGAGCTTCGAGGGTGTGCAGGAGCAGCCTCCCCTCTCCATGGAAGAGTGGCATGTGTCTACAAGAGGGCAGCAGTTGATGGCAACCATCTTTGTTTTTGTTTGTTTGTTTGTTTGTTTTTGTTTTTGTTTTTTGAGATGGTGTCTCGCTCTGTTGCCCAGGCTGGAGTGCAGTGGCGCGATCTCGGCTCACTGCAGGCTCCGCCTCCCGGGTTTATGCCATTCTCCTGCCTCAGCCTCCCTAGTAGCTGGGATTACAGGCACCCGCCACTTACGCCCGGCTAGTTTTTTGTATTTTTAGTAGAGATGGGGTTTCACCGTGCTAGCCGGAATGGTCTTGATCTCCTGACCTCGTGATCCACGCGTCTCGGCCTCCCAAAGTGCTGGGATTACAGGCGTGAGCCACCGCGCCCAGCCAAGGCAGCCAACTTTGAAGTCAGGCTACCACAGATCATTTTTGAAAATGGAATAAAATACAGTTTGGTACAGTTTTAAGCAAACTTGTGAAGTGACTGAATATTTACAAGTCTACAGAAAGACATTTCTGTCAGAAATAAATCTTGCTAAAGCCCCTTGAAGGAAGTGTGAGGGAAGAAAGTAGGCCAATGGAGGCTAGTCTCTTCAATAGGGCTAAATGTCCCCATGTCCCCTGGGAAGGTTTCTGCAGGGGGATGGAGTGCTAAGGAGCGAGAGTTAGTGACTGCTGAATGACTCGTTGTGCCTCAGGCAAACACTGAACTTTCCTGTTCCTTGAGGTTCAGCTCAGGCTGTCCCTGTCCAGTCCAGACCTCCGGGGCCAAACCACAGCCTGGGCAGAGGTGCCAGCCGGGAGGGTGTGGGGAATGCAGGGACAGCCCTGGAGGGAGAAGGGCAAGTCATTGCTGGGAAGTGATTTGAGATAGGGCTGTGAGGGGAAGGAAGAGGGAGGTGCGGGATGAGGTGACCAACTGAACACAGACATCTCCATCTCTGGCTTGAAGACACAACGGATCTACAGCACTTAGCAGTGAGGGGCACGCTTCAGACGGTACTGTTCTTTCTGGGAAGGGCCCAGTGACCCGAAATCTAGCATTCAGCCCCCATAGACACTCCAACGCAAGCTATTGTAAGGTTCTGTATTGCTTCAGGAACAGGAAAGAGGAGGACTACTGCTCACTCTTCATCCACCTCAGATGCTCCCCCACCCCCTCCCCACTGGAAATTCCACTTCCCACCCCACCTTCCCTCACCTGAGGGATCCCTCCATCCTTAGTTGTCCCAAACCTCCACAGAGGCTGAGGAGACAAGATTAGGAGTGAGGTTTTTGAGCTCACTGTTCAGGTTGGGATTCGGGCTTTACCACATTCTCTGAGTGACTTTTGGTTAGTTAGTAAGCTTCTTTGCATGTTGGTTCACTCATCTATAAAAGGGGGACTTAAATATAGTCTCACCTCATTCTGTTGTTGTAAGGATTGAATGAGTTAATTATGTAGAATTTTTTAGAACTCTGTGTGGCCCACAGTAAACACTCACAAAGCATTATTTTAACTTTCTATTACTTAAAAAAAGAGAATTTTTTTTTGGTTTAAATAGACTTTATCTTTTAGAAAGGTCTTAGGATCACAGCAAAATTGAGCAGAAAGTACAGAGATTTCCCATATGCATCCTGCCTGCATACACACATAAGCAGAGCCTTCCCCACCATCGGGATCCTGCACCCGGTAGTACATTTGTTGCAACTGATGAACATACTACAGTGACACATGATTATCACCGAAATCCATAGTTTACCTTACGGTTCACTTTTGGTGTTGTACATTCTATAGGTCTGGACAAATGTATAACGATATGCATCCACAATTCCAGCATCAGACAGAATTGTTTCACTGCCCTAAACATCCTCTTTTGTATTACTTTTAATTACAATTTGCCTTGAATTGTAGATAAGACATTCTTACATATCCTTTATTACTTCTTCTAAGCTAATCAAGCTGGGTTAGTTTATGTGAACTGTACAATATTACTTGTTCCACAGAGCCATGCATGAAACTTGGCAAATGGATAGTGAATTAGTGGTAGAAGAGGTGAGCAAATGAATGAATGAGACCTGTGGGTAGGGGTAAAAGACAAACTCAGGTGAGATTTTTGATTTTGATTTTTTATACTTTTTGAGTATTTTCTATATTTTCTCCAATGAGCATATTATGTTTATAGTCAGAAATAATAAAGATGATTTGTTTTAAACTTTTAAGTTTGGGGTACATGTGAAGGTTTGTTACTTAGGTAATCACGTGTCATGGGGGTTTGTTGTGCAGATTATTTCATTACCCAGGTATTAAGCCTAGTACCCATTAGATCCTCTCCCTCTTCCCATCCTTCACCCTCCAATGGGCCCTAGTGTGTGTTGTTCCCCTCTATGTGTTCATGTGTTCTCATCATTTAGCTCCCACTTACAAGTGAGAGCATGCAGTATTCGGTTTTCTGTTCCTGCATTAGTTTTCTAAGGATAATGGTCTCCAGCTCCATCCATGTCCTGTGTAAATGTACCATGGTGTAAATGTACCACATTTTCTTACATCCATGGTGTAAATGTACCACATTATCTAGTCTAGTACTGATGGGCATTTAGGTTGATCCCATATCTTTACTATTGTGAATAGTGATGCAATGAACATACACAGGCATGTAGAAAAATGCAAATCAAAACCACAATGAGATACCATCTCACACCAGTCAGAATGGCTATTATTAAAAAGTAAAAAAATAACAAATGCTGGTGAGGTTGTGGAGAAAAAGGAACCCCTATACATTCCTGGTGGGAGTGTAAATTAGTTCAACCATTGTTGAAGACAGTGTGGCAATTCCTTGGAGATCTGAAGACAGAAATATCATTCGACTCAGAAATCCCATTGCTGAGTATATGCCCAAAGGAATATAAATCGTTCTATTATAAAGACACATGCACATGCGTATGTGTGTGTGTTTTTAAAAAATACCTTAAACTTGCTTTCTGTTCCTCAGCTCCTTCTTTACCCATTGGTGCTTAGCTCTGGTTCCTCTGTTGCCAGCATACACCATGGAATCTATGCCAGGCAGCGTGGGGTTTGTCAGCTAGTGTTCATGTTGACCACAGTTAAGAGCACAGACTCTGGAGCCAGGTGCTTGGGTTCAAATTTGCGTTCCTCCCCTCCTAGCTGTGTGAACTTGGGCAAGTTAGTTACTTCTCTGTATCTGCCTTTCCTCATCTGTAAAATAGGTATGATGGCACATACCTCATAGGGATTTGTGAGGATTCTCTCAGTTAATACAGGTCAAGTGCTTAGGACAGTGACTGGCACATAATAAATATTTGCAGGTGTTAGCTCTTGTTTCTGTCATATACTGAAGCCTATTAGGACACAAAGAATCAGCCTAGAGAAGTTTCTGTTCTAATAAAGGACTGTTGAGGGCCTATTTAGACCCTGCCTTTTCTACTACCACAGCCACGTGCTGGTCTGAAGAAATATAGATAATTCTGGCAAAACAAGCTGCTTTTTAAATTTTTGTACAAATCTAACTTTCAAGCTCTGCTACCTTTGAACTAAAGCTCTCTTGTAATAAATGCATCAAGAAAATAATTAAAGAGTTAGAGATTTGGTTATAAGCTAAATAGTAACAAGGGAATCTGCTTGCTCCCTGGATCATCCTTTCACCCTTTAATGGCAACAGCAAAATGTAACAAGCAAGACTGGAACGAGAGTTGAGCCCCTGCTGAGAGTATCTGGTTAGAGGTGGTTCAGGTAGGTCTTGTCACTTTCGATCTCAGTTCATCTTGGCATGAGGTATGAGAATGTACATGGCTGGAGGATGTCACTTTCCCAGCCAAGGCATCAATCCCTAGAGTCTTTACCATTAGAAAATGTTCAATATTGTGACTTCTTCCAATGAATGTCAAGCCTAAAGTTAAGCCCAAATCCAAACCTCTTTGATTATTATTTTATTTTTTTATTATTATTATACTTTAAGTTTTAGGGTACATGTGCATAACGTGCAGGTTTGTTACATATGTATACATGTGCCATGTTGGTGTGCTGCACCCATTAACTCGTCACTTAGCATTAGGTATATCTCCTAATGCTATCCCTCCCCCCTCCCCCCACCCCACAACAGTCCCTGGTGTGTGATGTTCCCCTTCCTTTGTCCATGTGTTCTCGTTGTTCAATTCCCACCTATGAGTGAGAACATGTGGTATTTTGTGTTTTGTCCTTGCGATAGTTTGCTGAGAATGGTGGTTTCCAGCTTCATCCATGTCCCTACAAAGGACATGAACTCATCATTTTTTATGGCTGCATAGTATTCCATGGTGTATATGTGCCACATTTTCTTAATCCAGTCTATCACTGTTGGACTTTTGGGTTGGTTCCAAGTCTTTGCTATTGTGAATAGTGCCGCAATAAACATACGTGTGCATGTGTCTTTATAGCAGCATGATTTATGATTATTATTTTCAGTTATTATTATGCTTCTGCTAGCCTGAGGTTTCTTTAATATTCCTATACTGAGGGAGGTTTCATTTGGCCAGCATAAAAATCTCAAAACAATCCTATTTTCAAGAAATGGCTGATGTGTATGCAGATACAGCAGACTTCATTCATCCAACAGATACTATGAGCAGGTGCTAGGCTTCAGGCACTGAGCTAGGTGCTGGGGAGATGGTAATGAACAGGCCAATGAAGCTTCTTTCCTCATGGGGCTTCCTGTCTGGCCAAGGGTCAAAACTGACTTGTGGATCTGTAATGCCCAGTGCCTCAGCACTGAGAGAGGAAACAAAAGCCTCATACCCCTTGTCTTTTCTGTAAAGCGGCAGGATTGTTTCCTGTGATTCCAGGTCAAACCTCAACTAGGAGTATCTAATCAACTCTGTTTCCCCTCCCCTCTTTGCAAAGCCCACTCTCTCTGGATCTTTCTTTGCCGCACTAGCTTTCTGTTCAAAATCTGAGGATAGTACTTTTGAGAATAAGGTTTTCCAGAGAAACAGAGCCAGTAGGAATTATATATGTATATGTGTATGCACACACACGCACACACACACGCACATTAAGTAAAGAATTGGCCCACATGGTTATGGAGGACAAGAAGTCCCAGGATCTGCAGTGGGTAAGCTGGAGACCCAGGAGAGCTGATGGTATAGTTTCAGTCCAAAGCTGAAGGCCTGAGAACCAGGAGAGTTTATAGTATAAATTCCAGTCTAAGTCAGAAGACAGGACAAAACTAATGTCCCAGTTAAAAGTCAGGCAGAGTGAATTCTGTCTTACCTCATCTTTTTGTTCTATTCAGGCCTTCAATGGATTGGATGAGACCCACTCATCCTGGGGAGGGCAATCTGCTTTACTCTGTCTACTGATTTGAATGTTAATCTTATCCAGAAATGCCCTTGCAGACACACCTAGAATAACATTTGACTAAGTATCTGGGCACCTGTCATTCAGTCAGGTTGACACACAATTAGCCATTGCAGTGGAGTTTAGGCCATGTGCCCAAATTCTAGCTGCAAGGGAAGCTGGGAGAAATAAGTATCTGACCATTTAAGCTTATACAATGAAAGATGGGTTCTATATTTTAAGATGAGGGATTCTTCAAACCAGTAAAGAAAGGGTCAGATGCTGGGTTACTAAAGTGAATAATAAATGTTTCTTACAGACTAGAAGCCAGTTTTCCTGGTTCCAAGTCTAGTGCTTTCTTCATTACATTGCAGTTGCCACATTATTGGAAAATTTTTTTTTGTTTACTTTCAGAAAACAGGCTGATGGGGTGAGAGAGCACTGAGAATTCCATTCTTCAGTGTGTATTTAATTATTTCTACACTGGAGCAAATGCCGTGAACTGATTTTTTTTTTTTCATGGGAATTCAAGCCCCACTCTTTGGCAGGGAGTCCTAACTATTTTTGGAAGTTGGAAAAAAATTCAGAGAATCTGGTTCACTTTTGGTCATGTACAGTAATGTTATTTTTGTGTATCTAGGACAGTGACATGGTCAATGCTTATTTTTAATTGGCTTTCTGGGGACACAAGGTCAGGAACAAGGCAGAAGAGTCACTCACAATTGATTAGGATCCTGTCCTGTTGGTCTGTATTCACTGGCAGGAGCCCTCTTCTCCCTGAGTGCCGAAGTGGCTTCTCCTCAGAGCCTGCCAGGCCTCTTTCTGGTCTTATTATTGTCTTTTGATTATAGCTAGAGTGTTCTATAAGGGTTGGTGGAAAGTGCTTTAGTGCAAGAATCAGGACACTAGCATTTGAGTTGTAGCTCTGATACTTAATCAGACTGTAGAGCAAGTTATTTACTCACTCAGAGTCCTAGTTTCTGTATCTGTGAAACACAGATACTGGATTAGATAATCCCTAATATAGCAGCTTTTGGCTGCAAATCAGAATACCCATATAAAAATGTCTTTAAAAGTAAGGGATGTTATATAAAAATAAAAAACTCTGGACTCAGGGTTGTTTGAGGGATTAGTTCAACAGCTCAATGATGTAACAAAGGACACGGACCCTTTTGTCTTACTGTGTTGTATCATGTTCCTGATGTCTCTCTTTATGGTTGCTGGTGGCTACCATAGTTCTAGCACCAAGAATAGACAATGTGACATCAAAAAGATCACAGAAGATGAGGGGTTGCTTTCTTGTGAATCTTTTTATTGGGGAGGAAACCTTCCTGGGAAAGGCAGACTTCTCCTTAGGTCCCATGCCATAGTCCCAGAGGAAGGCGGGAAAACAATGATCAGGCATTTGAAGGCTCCACTGTGTGCATCAAACTCTACCAGTGAGAATAAAGACCTGCAAAGTCTTTCCCATGTCCAACATGCTATGATTCTATGGTTCCTTGATGGTCTTCATCAGTGAATATAAAGATCAGACTTTGGCACTGGTACTTGAGTGTTGAGTCTTACATGACTTTGGAAAGATAAAGAACAGTGGCTTCCTCCTATGAAAAGTACATGGAGTGGATATTGATGGTATACTTCATAACATTTTTCACGGGGAGATAATGAGTAGCCTGCTAGTGAGGGTAATTGCCCTTCTTAAAATAACGTCATGAGATAGACCCAATGTATGCTTCCTATCAAGTTTGTATTTTTACCCAATTTCTTTCTGTATTGCATTCTGGTCATGTGCAATATTGGAAGAATTCCATGTACCCCAATCACAGGTTGGGTTGTCTGGAAGCAGACACTGAGACAGAGGGGTTAACACCTGTAGTACTCTGTAGTGTAATTCTTCTGCTGAGACTTGCCATAAATTCTGCAT
Source organism: Homo sapiens (assembly GCF_000001405.40). Lineage (NCBI taxonomy): Eukaryota > Metazoa > Chordata > Mammalia > Primates > Hominidae > Homo > Homo sapiens. The sequence goes on along the minus strand of NC_000005.10, from coordinate 56,750,775 downwards.
GGCATCTTTTCCCATTACTGATTGCTATGGTTTAAATATAGCCCTTCCAAAATTTAGGTGTTGAAGCTCAATGGCTTGTGTGATGGTATTAAGAGGTAGGGCCTTTAAGGGATGATTATGTAGGCTGCTCCCTCATGAATGGGATTACAGCCTTTATAAAAAAGACTTCTTTATGTGGTGTTTGGCTATCTTGCCCTTCTACCATGTGAGGAAATGGTATTCCTCCCCTCCAGTGGATGCGGCAACAAGCGCCATCTTGGAAGGAGACAGCAGCCCTCACCAGACAACTGAACCTGCTGGCATCTTGATCTTAGATTCCCAGCCACCAGAACTGTGAGAAAATAAATTTCTGCTCTTTATGAATTACCAAGTCTGTGTTATTCTATTATAGCAGCACAAATGGACTGAGACACTGATACTTTCAACACCATAGTGACTGCCAGATCATATGGCCCAAGTGACAGGGATACTTATACTATAGCCTGAATATGCTGTAGAGTCCTTTTATTTTCTGGACCATGCAAAAGTCTTGTAGCCTTTTCTATCACCCAGTCTATGGGCTGGCAGAGTAACCCTAGATATGGGATATGCTGTCTCTAGAACTTCAAGAGGCTCACCAGGTATTGCGCTCTCTTCTTAATGATGTAGCATGGTCCTTACTTGTGGGGACTCATCACATCTTCAATGAGTGGGTTCTGGATCTGAAAACTGACTCAGGTCCAGAAACTGGGCAAGAAGTGTTCCTCTTTACTCGGGTGAGTGCTCTTAGCCGCTCAGCCATCTGTGAGCTCAGCCATATTTTTTTTTCCTGTAGTGCCCTTCTTGCTATCTATTATTTTTGCCCTTTTGGATGCTGTTTTCTGAGCTAGGCACTCTAGATTCTCACTCAGTCTTGCTGGTTCCTGTATTAATTGTAAGCCTCTGGCTTCTGGCAGTTAAAAGCTACAACCTGGACTTTATGGTTTGGAGTCCTATTATTCCCTTTGCTATCAGTAAGCCCAGTTCTATGATGGTATCTCCTGCCATCAGCCCTGGCCTACAGAGGGGAACCACCACCAAGTATTTTATTCTTCTTGGTAGTACGTTCCTTATGGCTTGAAAAATGGTGTGTCCTCTGGGCTTTGCTATGAACAATTATCTTCTGGTCATATATATAATAGTATATCCATTCAAGCATTCCTACTTCCCTGAGCCTCTTAATCCTTTTGTCCATCATCTATCATGGAAGTGCTGGAATGTTCACTTCACACTTAGTATGCCCAGTGCATTTTCCATACTTTTGGGAGCCATGATAGTAGTCAGTTTGCATGATCTCTTGGGGTCCTCTCCAGAATATTAAATTGCATATCTCAGAAAAACAATTCCAAGTCAACACACTATTTGCTGTGTCCCAGCCTCCTTGATCAAGACTCTGAGAATTCAGTCTCACACATCCTCTCCTGGATCCTGCTGGTCCATGCCAGGTTGGTCTTGGTGCTCTTTTGTGGTATTAGCCTCTTTCCTCCTTCTGAGCTTAGCAACAAAGGGTACTTGGGTGGCAAAACTGTGTGTCTCCCACAGTCCCAGGTGCTTATTATTCTAAATATCAAAGACAGACAATGAAAAAAAAATGGTTGCTGAAATTTGCTAAGAGTCCTGGAGCTTCTACTAAGGGACCTTATCAGTCAGAATGGGTGGGACTCCCGCTCTTTCACTGTCTGGTTCTAACTCTATGTTCCATCAAGTCTCAGCGAGGTGCCTCCTGAGGTCTAGGGCCCATAGAATGATTTGCAAGCTCATATGAAACTGCCTCCCTTTATGGATTCTCAAAATGACTGGAAAGGGGTGCACACTTCAGAGGGAGCAGCCAGACACCCTATGGGAGTATTAAAGGACTGGGAAACTGTAAGAACTTTTGAATATATTAATTTTTATCTTTTTTGTTTTACCATTTTAAGTCTTTATACTTTATAGAAATTCAGTTAAGTATTAAAATGTTTAGAATCAAAGGCATGAATTTGAGTCATAGCATAAATATCTGTTGGTAAATGAATCTCTTTTGGTAAGTTATTTACTCTTCTTGAGCTTGTTTGTTACTAAAATGGGGATAATAATACCTATCCAAATTGTTTGAGAGCAAATAAGACAATGTAACAATATCTTCAACATAATAAGCTTCAACAATGTCATACACATTATAATTATTATTATCTTCCCACCTCTATTTTAGGATTCCATGAGGTGGAGACAGGGCCATATTCATTTTTATATCTCCCACAGTGGTGAGCACAATGTCATGATCATTATAGGCACTGAATAAATGTTGGTTAAGATAATTTAAGATAGCTTTAGTAGTACTTTGATTTCTTTAGTGAAAACACCCTGTACAAATTCAAGACATAATAAGAATTACATGCACTTTAGATCATACTTTTGATTTTTCTATCAATAGTGTTTTGGGAGTTGGCAGAGCAGTGTTGGATTCTTATCAAGTCAACTCTGCTTGCTGAGGACTCTTTGTGAGTCTGTGGAAAGCTTAATGCAAGATGGTAAGCTGGGGCTGGGGATTAGTGGAGTGAAACCAATGAGATGTCAGCCATACATCTGAAATCTTGACCTCATTATCACAATGCTGTGATGAGGTGCTCAACAGTTGTCAATAATTCAAATATACATAATGAGGTAAACACCTGGGCAAGAGATGGAGGGTTCAGTAACAATGATGGCAGTAAGCAATGGCAGAAATATCAGTGTTCCAATAAAACATTTTACCCAATAGAAATGTTCTCTGCACTACAAGAAGCTTCTTAATATCATTTATACCTTTAATTGAATTAGGACTTAAGAACATTGGGGCTTGGGCTATGGTTCCGTCAGAATATATTTAGTACTGTAAATCAGGAGCCAAGAGAAACTCTTCTTACAGAACAAAGACAGGGAAAAGGCAACTGAGGTCACAGACCAATTCAAAATAGCAATTTTTTTCTATAAGTATTAAATTAGAGAACACTTTCTATAATACTCATATAGATTCAACAATCAAATTGAAAGAAATTAAAAGCTCTTCTTCCAAGCATTTATTAAAGGTGGTATCTACAGACCGCTGTGTAGGATAGGATGAGTCAACTAATACTCAATATTTATAAGAAGAACACAGTGCATATTTAGAATATATTCCTGTAACTAAAAGGCACCATGGAAAAGCTTTCCTGGTAAACTTTCACTTATTTTCTTTCTAGTTGCTGACTGATAATTTATTCATCATTCACTGTCACGATCACTCCTTAACTAACATCCCAGATGTTATCAGCAATAAGACTGAAAAAATTAGACTAATTTTTATTTTTGGGGGCTGTAGTGGGAGGTGGTGGTAGATAGGAAGGTAGGATATGAGCCTGGGTCCTCAAATTCCCCAGAATCGCTGGCCTAGGAAAAAACACATTGGGCAGAGAGTATTCAACTTTTACATTCGTCCACTGATTTAAGCCGTCACCTAAACCTTGGGTGCCTCAATTTCTTCATCTATAAAGTGGAATTACTTACAAATGTTAATAATATTACATTACAGATAAAATCATGTAGGGTATGCAGAAGAACTTTTTCACAGAGTCCCTTAAGTATTTTCTATACACAACACAAAAGACTTTGGATGACCCCTACTCCAGCTGTTGCTTCTTGTTACCAAAATAGCAACAAAGATCTCATCAGAATCAATGGAAAGAGAGATGCCACTTCTCAATAATAGGAGTTGTTAAAAATATAAAATAAGTGATTCACACCAAAAATAAAAATTGTAAGGTTGTACTCTGAACATGAATTCTTGGAGCCAAATTATGAGATGTTTATTGGAGATCTGGGAGTCCAATTTTGGGATGGAAAGGGACGAGCTGCTAATTAGTGCCTCTCTTGTAACCTCATGGTCAGTATGGGACTGGGGCATGGAGGTATGTGCTGAAAGGGATCTGGGGGAAAGAGAAAGATGCTGACAAAGAAGTCCTGCCAACTAAGCCACAGAGACAGGGAGGGGCCTTCAGTGGCCTCTGGCATAACAATGTCCTCATTGGAAATACCCAACTCACAGATGCCAACAACCTCTGCTCAAGCTCCCTCTTGCCTCAGGCCACCTAAAATGCCAGATATCAGGCCCTTCTTTCCTCCCAGTGGCTCCTGGCATTTCTAATGCCTGCCAGGTGTAGGGATTGGGCACTGGCTCCGAATCAACTAAGTCAGGTCTGTCATGGAAACTTCCTGGGTCCTTCCAATTATATCTGCCTGAGCTCCTGCTGCAGCTCCCCTCTCCTCACACTGATGGTTAGTATCATCTACCATGTGATGACATACAGGAGGAACAATACAATTTTTCAAGTGAAAATGGCATTTCAACACATAACATTTGATCCTTAGTCAAGAGTCTTCCTCCTTGTAGGCCATCTGCTCAGCTACCACATACTACAGAATTACAGAGCTACTGTCTCAAAAAGAACTCATTTTAGATTCGATCAGTTTTATGTGAACTATAATCTGTTCCAATGGTTCTCAAAGTGTGACCCACTAACCCCCGGGCATCTCTGAATCTCTGAGACCACTTCCAGGAGTCTACAGCATGAAAAACCACGTTTCTAATAAAAGACTCAACTCACCTTTTTAACTGTATAGTCATTTCCACTACTGGTACAAAAGCAATGATGGGTACGGCTGCTAATGCTTTCATGCAAATCAAGGCGGGGCGCCAAACTGTACTAGTTATCATTGTATTTTTCACCACCACACAGTTAGTGCAATTTTTAAATATTCTGTGCAATGATATGGGAAGTCCGCTTCATGAAGCACTTCTGCTGTCAATCAAAGTATATTGTCTTAAAAAAAGAATGTAAGCAAATTGTTTGAGTTAGAACTTTATTTTTGGAACAGCACTTTTATTTGAAGGAATAACTGACAAACCATAGATGTTCAAATTTGGGTATTGGCAGACATTTTCTCCAAAATGAACAAAGGAAGTGAACAATGTCACTTTGGGAAAAACAACTCACAGTGTTTTTATCAGTGTTAAAATCTAAGATTTCAAGCAAAAATTAGAATTTTAAAAACCTCGCATCCATCACCATGAGTTTGACACCTTCCCAATATTTAAAGATTTTTCTGAGATTAATGTTATATTAACAAATATGAATTTTATATGGTAGCATTATTTTTATATATCAACAAATGTAACCTTTTGTTATTGTTAAATTAATGTATCAACATTTGGAAGATTTTCATAACTAGCGAACTAAACACTTTCCAAATGACAGTGTATAGCATTACATGGACAACACGGGTAAAAGATTCGTTAGAAGTGCATAAGACTGATGGATTTTAATGGGACTATAAAAAGTTCATCAATACAATTTTAAATTACACATTGCAGCTAATCTTAAGGAAACTACTATCTATTGAGTTTTGCTATAGTATCAAAAAAGCTCACTTTTCTGTACCTTTAGGAAGCCTCTGGTCATCTTTCTCAAGTTAAATATATGTTTAGTGCCTTCAGGTCCTGATGGAAATTTGCTATGCAAATGCGGAGGTACAAGATAGCAATTTGGCCTTTGGCAAGCAAATTATGTCTGAATTACATTTTATTGAGAAATGTCTTTTTGAAATAGAGACATTGTCAGTAAAAGTTGTAATTTAAGACGGCAAATGGGATTGAAATACATTGGGCTTTCTGTTTCCTGACTCAATATGGTCAATATCTTTCAGCCTTTTCCTCCTTTGACCCACCCACAGTATGAGCTCTCCCAGCATTGCCACAGCAAATGGATAGATGAGTCTTGAGTCCATGTGAAAATAGCTCCTTTTGGGCTGTTAATATTTTGTACATACATAGAGCCTTTTTACTCATTAATGAAGTATCAGGCCTAGGAAGAGCCTAATTTTCATTGAGGGATGTAAGTAATTTGGAAGGGAATTCAACTGCCTTAGAAATAAAAAATGTGCTGATATTATTCAAGCCCCAGCTTTTTATAATCAAGCCTGCATTCCACTGAGCTATTCTTCAAAAAGAAACCTCAGCATACCCCTAGATTGTAGTCCTCCTGATATAAACTCCCCTAAGTAGCTAAAATGAACTGAAGGATTCAATAGAAGCATTAGTGTTCTTCCACTTGAATATTGCAGATTCTCTGCCAAATATGAAGTTTTTTTTTCTTGACAGTAATTAGCTAGCTGGCTCATATGTTTCTAATGACTACTCCTAGTGAGAGTGAATAAAGACATATTATAGAGGAGGATGCTTGCTAAGAAAGGGACATGCTTCCTCATTTACTGTAGCTCTATCAAGCAGTTAAGAACAGCCCTGTTTGACCCCATTTATGACTGGAATTAGCAATTATAATTAAAATTAGCAATTGAGTATCATGGCAAAGAACAGGGCTCTAGAGTCAGAAACTGCCACTTCGTGGCTTTGGATGTGTTTAATTTTCTGAGTCTTCATTTTTTTTTTTTTACTGTGAGTTGGAGATGATAATACCACTTATCTCACAGGGCTGTTGTAAGGATTCTATGAGATAATCCATTTAAAATGTGTAGAACAGGGCTTGGCACAGAGTTAGGGCACCATAGGTTTAGCTATATGTATTATTATAACTATGATTCTGTTTGGAAAAACAGGGTACAGATTCTAAAGAACCATTAACCTGGGACATATGTCAAAGTATTCTTTTTATTATTATGATTATTATTATACTTTAAGTTCTGGGATACATGTGCAGACGTGCAAGTTTGTTACTTACATAGGTATACATGTGCCATGGTGGTTTGCTGGACCCACCAACCCATCATCTACATTAGATATTTCTCCTAATGCTATCTGTCCCCTAGGCCCCTACCCATGGACAGACCCCGGTGTGTGATGTTCCCCTCCCTGTGTCCATGTGTTCTCATCGTTCAACTCCCACTTATGAGTGAGAACATGCGGTGTTTGGTTTTCTGTTTCTGTGTTAGTTTGCTGAGAATGATGGTTTCCAGCTTCATCCATGTCCCTGCAAAGGACATGAACTCATCCTTTTTTACAGCTGCATAGTATTCTGTGGTGTATAAGTGTCACATTTTCTTTATCGAGTCTATCGTTGATGGGCATTTGGGTTGGCTCCAAGTCTTTGCTGTTGTGAACAGTGCTGCAATAAACATACGTGGGCATACGTCTTTATAGTAGCATGATTTATAATCCTTTGGGTATATATCCAGTAATGGGATTGTTGGGTCAAATGGTATTTCTGGTTCTAGATCCTTGAGGAATCGCCACACTGTCTTCCACAATAGTTGAACTAATTTACACTCCCACAAACAGTGTAAAAGCGTTCCTATTTCTCTACATCCTTTCCAGCATTCTGTTGTTCCTGACTTTTTAATGATCACCATTTGAACTGGCATGAGATGGTATCTCATTGTAGTTTTGATTTGCATGTGTCTAATGACCAGTGATGTTGAGCTTTTTTTCATATAAAATTTTCAGTTTGGATTAAAGGCAATTCGTGCCTCTGAAATCACAAGCTGATGAAAGATTAATGAATGTTACAAATAGCCTTATGCTGTTTAAAACTTTGGTGGATGTTGGAGTAAAACAAGTTCAGCAGTGGAATAACTGTGGCAGAAATCCGCTTACTCTTAATCAACTATAGTCATTTGGAGAACCCTACCATTCAATTCTGAAGAGAGGTCTGGTGGTCTGGTAGTTAACTGGGGGATACAAAAGATTTCTCCTTTTTTGGCAATTAGTTGAGTCATGTTTAGGCCAATTATATGAACATTAGCATCCTGAAAACTTCAATTCAGAGAACTAGATTGGCACTTTGGGAGCCCATCAGACAGAACAGATTCTAAACAATTCTGACAAGAAATCTTCTCCCAGGAGCTTTTTCAATTTTAAGCAATTAATCAGTCACATTTTAGTAGGTGAAATTATTAGCTCCCGACCTTGGATTATTCTAGAATTAAGGAGAGTGAGGAGAGAGAGAGAGAGAGAAAGAAAAAGAAGAAAAGAAGAAGTTGAAGATGAAGAAGAAGAAGGAGAAGAAGAAGAAGGGGGGAGGGGAAGGGAGGGGAGGGGAGATCTTGTTCAAGGACCGTATCACTAATTAAGTAAAGTTAACTTTTCATCAGTGGAAATTTGTGCTATGGCAATTCCTATTTCAAAATTCATTTGGGGGAGTGGAATTAGTATGTCCCAAACTGCGTTTATTATGGATTCTGACAGCTGAATCCAAAGTTTCCATTAGGATTTTTAAAAGAGATGCAGTCATTATGAAATATTTTTAACAATGATTAGGGTTTAATTGTTTGTAATTTTGCCTTGTAGTCTTTATCAAACAAGTTATAAAATGATAGATTTTTCATTGAAGGGTAATCAAGGCTGGTTTCAGCCCTTTATCATCCAGTGGTACATAACTGAGAAGAAATTTCAGATGAAAAATGATATATGTGGATCTTTAGCTCCTCGATACTCACAATGCATCTATGAGCCAGTAGCATCTGCATCACCTAGGTGTCAGAGAACCTCAGGCCCCTCCCCAGACCAACGAAATTTCATTTTAACAAGATGTGAGAAGCGCTGTTTTAGGCCTCAAGAAATGAATCTTTTCATTAAAGAGACAACCTTCAGCCTTCGGTACCTTATCCCATGTTCTTACCTGACAGAGAAGGTCTGATGATTTTAAGAAAAACTTTTCTTCAAAACTTCTAACAATTAATAAAGAGTGTGCGGAGACGCGTCAAATACATAGAAAAGTATAGAACTAATAAACCATCAGTAAACCTACTACTGAATTTAAAGACATTTTAATTTTAACATTTTACCGTATTTGATTATCTTTCCCTTCCCTGATTGAAAAAAATATTTTTATTGCAAAAACATACATAACAAAAATTACCATTTTAAGTCTCTTTGAGTATACAACAGTACTATCAAGTACATTGAGATTGTTGTACAACATCATCACTATTTTTTTTTTTTTTTTTTTGAAATGGAGTCTCACTCTGTCACCCAGGCTGGAGTGCAATGGTTGGATCTTGGCTTATTGCAACCTCTGCCTCCTGAATTCAAGGGATTCTCCTGTCTCAGCCTCCCTAGTAGCTGGAATTCCAGGCGCCTGCCACCATGCCCGGCTAATTTTTATATTTTTAGTAGAGATGGGATTTCACCATGTTGGCTAGGCTGGTCTCGAACTCCTGACCTCAAATGATCCACCCACCTCGGCCTCCCAAAGTTCTAGGATTACAGGCATGAGCCACCATGCCTGGCCACCACTATTTATTTCCACAATTTTTTAAATCATCCCAGACTGAAACTCTGTAGCTGTTAGACAATTGCTTTTCATCCTCCTTGCAGCAACCCTTGGTAAACACTATTTTACTTTCTTGATAAATTTGGCTGTTCTAGGTACCCCATATAAGTGGAATCATACAATATTTGTTCTTTTGTGTCTCAGTTATTTCACTTAGCATAATGCTTTCAAGGTTTATCTATAATATGGCATGCATCAAAATATTTCCTTCCTTTTAAAGACTGAATAAAATTCTAAAGCATGCATGCATATACCACATTTTGTTTATCCATTCATCCATTGATAGGCATTTGTGTTGTCTTCACACTTTGGCTGTCGTCAATAATGTTGTTATGAATGCTGGTGTACAAATATCTGTTCGAGTCCTTGATTTCAATTTTTGGGTATAAACCTAGAAATGGAATTGCACAATCATACAGCAATTATATGCGTAACTTTTTGAGGAACCATCATACTGTCTTCCATAGTGGGGCACCATTTTACATTCCTACCAGCAATTCACAAGGTCTCTAATTTTTCTACATTGTCACCAACATTTGTTTTCTTCTCTCTCTCTATCTTGTTCTTTCTCTCTCAGAACCTAGCGGGTGTGAAATGGTATCTGATTTGTATTTCCTGAATTATCAGTGATGTTGAGCATCTTTTTCTGTGCTTCTTGCTGATATGTATATCTTCTTTGGAGGATATGTATTCAAGTCGTTTGCCCTGTTCTAAATTATGGAGTTATTTTGGTTTGTTTGTTTGTTTGTTTGTTTGTTTGTTTATTGCTGTTGAGCTGTAGTAGTTCTTTATATATTCTGGATAGTAATCCTTTATCAGATATATGATTTACAAATATTCTCCACTTCTGAGGGGTGTTGTTTTTTTTTAATACGCTGCTTCACGTTGATTCACAGTATTTAAATCCATTTCTAAAATGAGGGGCAGTTAGGTTGTCTACTTAAGAAGTTAATTGTTTCTAAGGTTTAAAAAATAAACAGCATGGCCACAAACATTTTTGTGCATGTCTCTCTCTCACACACACATTTTTCTAGGGTAGAAAACTAGAAGTGGAATTGCTGGTGTCATAGAGCAGATTGGAAAATGATAATGTTTAACAGTGTAACCTAAACATGACTGAGGTGTATAAGCAGCAAAGAGCTTATTATTGGAACTATCACTAGTTACTTGGTTACACTATATGTCTCATTTCCACTAGATAAATTCTAAGGGCTACTGTTTTTATTGTAAAAAAATATTGTGATGATGAATGAGTTTGACTGTCTAGTGTCGTCATTTGATCACATGGCTGAATTTCTAGGAAACAGGCCTTCTAATGGATCATTGCCAGCTTTAGCCTTAAAACATTCTCAAATTGTTTTGTCAGTGAAACTATTACATTCTGGAGCCAAATTGGTTCCAGGCACCTGCAATGACAAATAGAAAGGTATTTTTAATTTTTAAAAATAGTTTTTCATTTTTAATTGGGAATCTGAATTAGGATTGAGAGAGATAGGTTGTTAGAGAAGCAGATATCCCAGAGGCTGTTATTAACTGAAATCAGTTAATGTCTTATTTCTCCAAAAACATATGTGGCAGAGCACTGCATGAAGAAGGACCTTATTCTTAGCCTCTAACACCCAAGTTATTGATCTAGAAGGGGAGCCAACACACTAGGCTGTCCTTTCACCTAGATGCTGGTGCTCAAACAAATAAGAACTGATCAACTATAGACGCACCTTTAGAACTGGCCTAGACCGTAAGTAGTCTGCAAGATCTGCTTTAAACTTAAGTGTTTTCACGTTAAAATGAACATCACACTTTCTAACATTCCTAAATCAGCCAAAGACAACCAAAATAAAACCACAAAAAACCTGTTCTATTTAAAACATAATTTTTAGGGAACACTTATACACTGTTGATGAGAATGTAAATTAGCTCCACTCCTATGGAAAATAGTATGGAGATTTCTGAAAGAACTGAAAATAGAACTGAATAGTAATTCAACTCAGCAATCCCATTACTAGGTACCTAGCCAAAGGAAAAGAAATCATTTCATCAAAAAGACACCTGCACTGTTATGTTTATCAAAGCACTATTCAAAATATCAAAGGCTTGGAATCAATGTAAGTGTTCACCAGTGGTGGATTGGATTTAAAAAATGTGGTACATAGACCAAGCGTGGTGGCTCATGCCTGTAATCCCAGTACTTCAGGAGGCTGAGGCAGACAGATCACTGAGGTCAGGAGTTTGAGACCAGCCTGCCCAACATGGTAAAACCCCGTCTCTTCTAAAATACAAAAATTAGCCAGGCATGGTGGTGGGCACCTATAATCCCAGCTACTCAGGAGGCTGAGGCAGGAAAATTGCTTGAACCCAGGAGGCTGAGGTTGCAGTAGCCGAGATCGTGCCACTGCACTCCAGCCTGGGTGACAGAGCAAGACTCGCTCTCAAAAAGAAAAAAAAGAGAAAAAAATGTGGTATATATACACCATGGAATACTATGCAGCCATAAAAAGAATGAAATCATGTCCTTTGCAGCAACATAGGTACAACTGGAGGACATTATCCTAAGTGAATTAATGCAGAAATAGAAAACCAAGTACTATGTGTTCTCACTAATAAGTGGGAGCTAAACAATGGGTGCACATGGACATAAAGAGGTAAACAATAGACACTGGGGACTCCAAAAGGGGAGAGGGAGGAAGGGGAGAAGGGCTGGAAAAACTACCTATTTGGTACTAGGTTTACTACTTGGGTTCACCAGAACCCAACCCCAGAACTATGCAATACACCTATGTAACAAACCTGTACATGGAACCCCCGAATCTATAATTTAAATAAAATATGATTTTTGATAATATTGGTATTGGCTTTTATAATTCCATGGACTTGATCAAATTTTTAAGATGACTGTTATGCTCTGGGTCAATTGCAACAGAGAGTATAGTTTTATAGAACAAAATCTTTAGAGTGGTAAACTAGATATTCAAAATCTAAGTCATTGAGGTTGTCAGAATAGGTCATTGCTCACCCTCCCACCAGTCAGGTTGAATACTTGTCATCCCAGAAGTAGACAAACCTGTCTTTGATGCAAAAGGCTCTGAGTAGACGTCTTAGTTTAAACCAGAGGGCTGTTATATTAGCAAGATCACTGATTTGAGCCAGAAGGCCTGGGATGAAGTTCTCATTCTATCACTCACTGCTTGGATAGTCTCAGACGAGTCTCTGAGCTTGTCTAAATTCTCAATTTCCTCATCTACCATAGGATGATGACAAAACCATAGTTACTTCAAAGGGCTGTTCTGAGAATTTAATGAAACGGTCCATATCACAGTTGTTGAGGAACTGTAAAATCTGTAAATTGTCACGTAAACAGTGATGGAATGAAGGCCCACACCCTGAGCAAGAGCGTGGTTAATAATGACAGCCACTGGCAGAGCCGGTGCAGGGACATTTAGTTAAAACAAAACTAAACAAACAAAAAACCCCAATAAACTTCAGACAGAGTACTCAGTGGGGTTTTCTATTCAGCCATTACCAGAGAACTTCCAATTTAATATGCAATAAAAGGTGCTTAACACGCAATTAATATTTCATCACCTTTAGTTTTGCCAGGGGAAGTTTTGACCCCAAATAGTTTTAATATTTGCATGCCACAAATTTAATATATATGTATTGTTTGCATATCAATTTTGCCAACTGTGATATAAATCATGGCCCTAACCTGAATAGATTGGTAAGGGTTTATAGTACAACGGAAGCTATGACCTTGGAAGAACAACCTGTCTCAATGATGGGGGTTATTTATTATCTTTTTTCTTTTGGCTTAAGTTTGTTTCAGTAAAACATTCAAGAATTTTGAGATAAAAGCAGTTAAGAATCCCCAACTGTTCATCATATGAAGCTCAGATGTTCTTGTGTCTTAGTTAAGAGCTACGCTCAGCTTATGAGTCAGAGCAGTTTGTATCTAAGCACAGATCTTCATCCTGACAAATAAACATAAATTGTATTAATCCTGGAAGTTATTCATTAGATATTGATATGATTAACACAAAGTTCCTTTGAAATGAACATTACATTCATCCTACGAAATATGACAAAGATAAACTGCTCAGCGGGATAGCTACTTTGGAGAAACCAATTTTGCCAACCATTCTTCCCCGCCCCTCACCCACCAGCAAAGCTCTATGATTCAAACAGGATTTCCTGTATGCTACCAGAAGCATCCATGACTTTTTTTTTTTCCTTCCAGTACTTCTAAAGTTCCCCATTTTGGCCTTTCAATCTCTTACCCACATTTTTTCCTGGGCCCCCATGTATGGTATCATGCAAGCTGTGCCTTCTGGAAGATTACCTGGCTGAAGGGAAGAGCACAGGCTGACATCTAGCCATGCACTCTTGCATGGGTTTGTGTGTGCTCAGAGGAAGTGGTGCCTTTTTCTAACTTGTACGAAGGTGCTGTATGGGCTGGAAGAGGCCCTGCCCTGTCTTCCTCAATGTCTTTCTTATTCCTTTATCCTTCACCTCCACTTTTCCATTATTTGGACTTCAAATCGCCTCATCACCACCCATCAACTGGTCCCCTTCCTGTAACCCTTCTTGCCCTCTGCCCCTCTCTAGCCACCCCATGGGCCATTCCAAAGGTCTCTCACCCTTGTGTTTCCAAAGAACCTCTCCTAACTTGAATATCTTTTATAGGACATATCCAAATGCATGTTTTTATAGTGTCATTTAAGGCACATGAGATAAAATAAACTTTATTGGTTTGTTGCAGTTTCCTGAGTATTGAAAAAAGGATGAAGACTAGGTTGGGTTGAAACAAAATTATTAAAAGCAAAACAAGAAATGAATGTTTGCTCAGCTGATCATTTCCTATTGAGGGTTCTCTGTGCAATGTGGTCTATGAAGAGTTCACTGTTCAGCTTTAAACAGATTGAAATGATCCGTGGGGGGAAATAACACTAAACCCAAGGACTGTGTGGAAGCGATGCTCAATGCCGGCCCCCAGGCTGCTGTGGAAAGGCCGGCTGTGCAGGCGTACGTGTTCAAGTTGAAGGAAGCCTTTGAAAGCTATCTTTTAAACAGAATGAATGTGAAAAGCTACTGGGGAGGAAGAAAAAGGCAGCACAGAACTGCCACTTGAGCGTTGCTTCCTGTCCATGTGGCTCTAGCTCTTTGCTGACAGTTATTCTTAGGCCTTCTTTGGCTTCAAAGATTTCCTCTTTTCTATTTTTGGTAGCAGAATATGGATTTAGATCTGCATAACCCCTCTTGACTACTAATCTGTGCCCTGAAGTGAGTAGGGCTGTTGTTTTCTGTAGCTATCAGTTCTCTTTCTTTTCAGCACCTCCAAATGATTTTTAATATTAAGGACACAGATTTATGGGAAGGAGTCGTTGAGTTTTCAAACTGATTTGTAGTCTCTTAATTTGCACATGCCTTTCTCCAGCAGGGGCATCTCAGAGATCATCTCAAGTAATGGGGCCTGACTTGTGTGATGAGTGAAAGAATCCAGGTTGGTAAAACAGATGGCCATCGAATGACCAAAAAGTAAGCAAGGAAGATTTGCATTGGAGTGACATGTAATTGATTAAGCACAATTCTATTTTGGAAAGAAATAATTGATGCCTGTGTCCTCCAAAATTAGCTTAATCTATACAAACTGCACCACAAAGCTACAAGCCACCCCAGACTGGAATGCTAAGGACCCAGGCCCTAGCAGAGGAAAACACACTGCCCAAAGCGAAGCGTTTGTAGGGTGTTTCATTTCGTGCCCTCTAATTCTATGTTTTAAATCACTTCTGTTTTTTCTGATCTCATGGCCTGACTTTACTGGACCATTAGTAACAATAACCTTTCACAGATTCTTTTTCATCCAGGTACCTTAATTTTTTTTTTTTTAAAGAAATACTAAACCCTTGAGTCCTCTCATAAAAAATATGGGGCCGCCTACTTGGCTGACTGCAGAACCAGGGATCAGGAATGCTGCCCACCCAGCTCAGCTGCCTTTGCCACGTGGTCTTAATCAGGGTCTCCCTCTGTGGCTTTAAAAGGGTGACAATCTTATTCTTGAGAAGGATTACTGTGGGAATGTATAAACTGAAGCATCAAGGCTTGTCCCATCTTCCCAAGACCACTCAGCCAATTTCTGTCTGCCATAGCATCTGGTTTGACCTTCACAATCCTCTACAAACCATGAGCCCATACTCCATGAATATTCCATGTGTGCCATATTTTATTTTATTTTTATTTTGCAACGAACAAAATGAACAGAAGCATATTGGGAGAGGAACTTTGAGGATTAATCTAGGCACTTTGCAAATGGATGATTGGCAAGAAGAAACTCAAACTAGGTCATATATTGGGTTTCCAACACTGGAAGGTATCTTTTAATATATTTTACATAACGGTTTTAAGCAGCAGGCTGCATTATCTGTTCAGTGTTGACAGTGAGCTAAAAAGCTGCATAATCGAGTGCAAAAGAAAGCCCCCCTAAGTCTTCTCCAGAGCATTTTGACCCTGCTGAATTTTTCAGAGGTTGTTTTAAATGTGTCCCAATGTCAGACTTGTTCAGAAAGAGAGCATTGTATCTCCCAAGAGAATGATAATTTGCTCTTTCTTTTTAAAGTGGAGCAAAATGCTAACTTTTAATAGACGATCTAGACTTTTCTGCACTGAAAAAGTCCTCCTTCAGAATTCCTATGCAAATATTCAAACTCCCGGGTTGGGAAAAGGTTAAAAGGAACTGAAAAAGTCTATAGTGGCTCTTTCTGAGATGCACTCCAACACTTGGCAGGATGAGGTGTTCATAGCAGGTGCTGGATTTGCTATAAATGGACAATTTATAAACAGAGCTGACAACTGGGAAAACAGAGCAGTGGGGAATGCTGGCATTCCAGGGGCCAGTGGTTGATTTCCTATCAGATGGTCCTCAGCATGGAATTATTGATAGCTGCTGCTCTGAAAGAAAGCCAGTTGGCTGACGCATAAAAGGGCTGTACCTCAATTCATGCATGATCTGCTGCTAGATATTTTAAATAGGTCAGTGCAAATTAGCTTCTTCAGGTTGGTACTTCCTTAATTAGCAATTTAATTGCAAAGTCTTTTCCTCCCTCCTCAACCTTGACTGAATTTAACACTCTTCCCTCCATGTAATGCCAGAGGAATGGGACCTGGGAGAAATCTAGCTTAATAAATAAATGAGGACCTTGAGGGAGTGGGGGAGGAATCAGAGCAGCCTTCAGTGACTAAAGCCAATACAGAACCTGGCTAAGACAAGTCATGTGTGAGCAAGGGCAGCATTTTTGGCCGTGTCCTGGGGCAGAAAGGAGCAGGGCCTTTGTGCATGGAGCCCAGGGGGAGAAACAGAAATGTGTGGCAAAGGCATCTCATTTCTCTTTTGCCGTTTGTCAGGAGCTGCCAGTACACTAAGACATTCCTGAGGTCCCTTCAGGAAGGTTCTGCTTTCAAAGTATTCCCATGGGTGCACTCTAATGATCACATTCAAAGTTCCCATGGGTGCACTCTAATGATCACATTCAAAGTTTCCATCGTTTTTATTTATTTTTGGACAAGTTTTTCCCCTATAGAGATGTTTGATGGTGGTCCCTGGATAGACGGCATTGGATAGCATTCCAATGTCTCTATCAACAGCCTTGAATCAGTGCAGAGTTCTGCCCAGAGCTAGTGGAGTGACCATACCTGTTTGTTCTAGCTGCATGAGTGGTTTTTCCAGGAGACATTTGTTTGGCTGGGACTCTATTTTTCTCCTGACCACACCCTATTGTTTTTCTCTTCAGAGGAACAGACTGAAGACCAGACTGATTCTGGAAGGACCTTTGACTTCCTTACAGGGAGTGAAAATTGCACGGGTCTGAAGACTAGGGTGTTGAATTAGGTGCACGTTCAGCACAAGGGATGGTCTAGGCATGAGGGCTGTTGGAGGCAAAAACACAGGGCTTTGAGGGAATCCAGAGCAGGGACTTCCGGGTGCCACATAAGGGCAAAACCCACCCAGAGTAGAGAGGGACCTAAGGCATTGAGGGGGTGGGGACTTTTTGGTGGGAAGTCATGTCTGTAAGTGCAAACTCCTAAGGACCTCTCTTTCCTATGGGAATCTCAGGTTCATTAGTTGTGGTGAGCTCTTTGATAAATATGTGACAAATCTTACTGAGCATCTATTATTTGCAAAGAACTACACTAGGTAGAGGAGATACAAGGAAGTATAAGGTACAGTTCTACCACCAGAAGTTTATGATGGGATTAGGGAGAGACACCATATTCTCATGAAAAGGTGCTAAGTTGGGAGAAACATGGCATGTTAAAGCCATAGACAACGAGGAAATGCTCTAGAAGTGCCCAGGAAGAGTGGCGGCAGGTGGACCAGGAATGGCTTGAAGGACAAGACCGGACTGGAGCTGGGCCTGGAAGGGTGGGAGAATTTCAGTAATTGGATATGTGAAAGAGAGACTATTCCAGGCAGGGGGAAGCTGGGCTGAAAGCCCTGGTGAGGAGCTGACCCCTGTGCTTCGGAGGAGAAAAAAGAAGGTCCTGGGAGGTAAGGCTGAGGGATCACGCAGATCCACAGATCTGATGGCCACACAGAGTGTAGAGTTCATTTTGCAGGATATCTCTGATCAGGGCAGGGAGATGAGGAAAGCAGTATCTGAAGAAGACAAAACAAGAGTGGCAGTCACTGCAGGAGGCCCTCATAGTCCAATCGCGAAGTGGCCAAGGCTTAGGTCTGAAAAGGTTTTTATTTAGAGCGTGGGGTGTGTTCTGCACCACTCTGCATGTACGGAGCCCTCCTTCCCCAGCCTCCCTCTTCCTCACCCACTGCCCTTGTTTACTCTAGAAGACAGGGCTAAGCCTCTACTCACTGGAGTTTCCCCACAAACACACAGAGCCAAAGCAAAACAAAGGCTGATTTAAAAAAAAAAAAAACTTCATTGCTTGACTCTTATTCACTCACTCTTGTATTCCCATTGGTGTCACCCTGATTTATTTGAGGCCTTACTGGACTATTTGGACTGTTGCTTATTTCCATAGCTAACTCGGAAGGCCATCTTTGAGCTCTGGAAGTGTCTGCTCAACTTGACAGAAGGCTAAGGCAGAGCCACAGCTCTGCGGTGGGTGGGGTCTGCCCTGGTGAGGGAGGGCTCACCTGCTGAGAGCTCTGACACTTTTCCCATTCTCTAATACCTCGACATACGACATACGGCCTGCAGACAAACAGCTTGGGTATCATCTGGAGCTAGTTTAAAACACAAAATCTCCACCCAGACCTACTAGATCAGGATCTGCATGTTATGCAAGATTCGGAGGGATTCATATGCATGTTAGAGTTTGAGAGGCACTGCTTTCAACCTAGCTGGATGGAAGAATCACCTGCAGAGCATTAAAAACATTCCCTGACATACTCCCTACTCCAGACAAGTTAAGCCAGAATCTGTAAGGGTGGAGCCCTGGCACTGGTGTTTTTTTTTTTTTTTTATACTTTAAGTTCTAGGGTACATGTGCACAACGTGCAGGTTTGATACATAGGTATACATGTGCCATGTTGGTTTGCTGCCCCCATCAACTCATCATTTACATTAGGTATTTCTCCTAATGCTATCCCTCCCCCAGCCCCCCACCGCCCAACAGGCCCTGGTGTGTGATGTTCCACCCACTGTGTCAAAGTGATCTCATTGTTCAATTCCCACTTATGAGTGAGAACATGCGGTGTTTGGTTTTCTGTCCTTGTGATAGTTTGCTGAGAATGATGGTTTCCAGTTTCATCCATGTCCCTGCAAAGAACATGAACTCATCCTTTTTTATGGCAGCATAGTATTCCATGGTGTATATGTGCCACATTTCCTTAATCCAGTCTATCATTGATGGACATTTGGGTTGGTTTCAAGTCTTTGCTATTGTGAATAATGCCACAATAAACATATGCATGCATGTGTCTTTATAGTAGCATGATTTGTAATCCTTTGGGTATATACCCAGTAATGGGATTGCTGGGTCAAATGGTAATTCTAGTTCTAGGTCCTTGAGGAATCACCACATTGTCTTCCACAATGGTTGAACTAGTTTATACTCCCACCAACCGTGTAAAAGCCTTCCTATTTCTCCACATCCTCTCCAACATCCGTTGTTTCCTGACTTTTTAATGATTGCCATTCTAACTGGCGTGAGATGGAATCACAAAATCATTGTGGTTTTGATTTGCATTTCTCTGATGACCAGTGATGATGAGCATTTTTTCACGTGTCTGTTGGCTGCATAGATGTCTTCTTTTGAGAAGTGTCTGTTCATATCCTTTGCCCACTTTTTGATGGGGTTGTTTTTTTCTTGTAAATTTGTTTGAGTTATGTGTAGATTCTGGATATTAGCCCTTTGTCAGATGGATAGATTGCAAAAATTTTCTCCCATTCTGTAGGTTGCCTCTTCTCTTTGATGGTAGTTTCTTTTGCTGAGGCACTGGTATTTTTATAAAGAGTTTCCAGATGATTCTATGTGCAGAGTGAGTTGAAAACCACTGACCTATGGTCTGGGTTAGCCAACTAGTTTCCAAGGCACTGAATTCCCCTCACAGTGTAAAACAAAACACCAGGAACCATTTAGCCACAGACTCAGATGGACTTGGAGTAATGTTAATTAAGCATTTATCCAGGAGCTGGTTAGGAAAGTTCTGGCCAGAAGCAGATGCAACCACTGGCTTCACTGGAAAGTGTCAAGATGACCACTTGCTACAATTTCTGGTCTTCAGTATGCTCTTCTGGTTTTGGAGGGCACCTTCACATAGAACCGGGCCCCTAATATCCTTTATATCTAAAGACACAATATCCAGGCCTGGCCCCCGAGAAGTTATGTTCTCTACCTATTGACAGCAAAGACATACCGAGGGATTGAGTATTGTTTTTCACACAAGTGCTCACTTTCAGAAAACACAAAAGTGTTTAAAAGCAGTTTTCCACTGGTCCTTGGGCTAGGATAGAATGCCAAGGTTTAATAACTCTCATGGTTATTTCAATACATTTTCTTTCCCCCTGGGCCTTTCAGTTACTGAACGCCAGCATGCTGAGATCCTTCCCCAATCAACACATCTCAAGCCAGTCCCTGATTTCTCTCAGTGTCTCCAGCTCTACTAAAATATTGAGGAGATTTCCACCAATAGATCGGGTGCCTGAACCGATCTTGGTCAAGGCTTGGAGATAGTAGCAACTCTGTTTCTTCTTCCTGCCTTAGACTTGGCTCTCCATGCACCTGATGTAGCTGTGGCCCTGAGCATGGCTGCATGAGCAGTGGTCTTTCTCCTCTTTCCTTATTATTTATTATCCTCTTAGAACTAGGTTTAAAGCATACCTGAGACTCCTGCTTACCTGGAGTCTACCCGTGCTCCTTAATTCTTCCTAGAGACTTTTTTTTTTTAGGTTAGGATCCTGCTTAGACCCAAGACCTCCTAGAATTAGCATGCTGAACCTCATCTGTTTGGGGGTCCCCAGATGTTCTGTGCACTCAGCAACTCAGACCACCATATACACTGGACTGTGTTGAGGTTAGGCCACACTGTGGTTTGGACTGCTGGCCTCTCCTCTTAGGGGCTGCCTTCTTATGCGCCCACCTTGGCTCCTTCCTGTCTTGTTTTCTCTCCTTTTCCTTTGGCTTGGCATTAAGGTCTCAGATCACTTCTCCTACCCCCACCCAAAATAATACAGTGGCAGCATCTGCTCAAATGTAACCATGGGGACAATGTCATCATGACTGCTATTCTCAATAACAATGGTATCACCAGTTTTTGCTGATGAGGAAACAGATTTGGAGATAAACCAGACAGTGGTGGCGAGAAGACCCCAACTTTCTCACTTCTGGTTTTGAACACCCAAGGCTTCTTCAGTTCCACATCATCACATTGCAAGAAGACCATTAAGAAAAAATCTGAAAACCCAGACTGAAATATAAAAATGATGCTATACCAAAGTGACATTTGTGTTTGGCATATACTGAAAATGTAACCAGGGTGTTTCTGTAATAAGCACCCAGTCCAGAAATAAAGAGCCTTCCTTTTCACAGAAGGTGAAATTGTCCTAGGAGGCTTTTGGGCTGCTGGTCATGGTTGTTCCTTCAGGGATAACAGAACACTCACTACTCTCTGGAAGCAGATTCATGAGGAAGCTCAGAGGATTTCAGATGTTGTTGCTGTCTGTAAAAGAATTTATAATTTGCATCTTCCTGTGCTCAACTTGCTCCTAGGCACCATCCTCTGGTGCTTGAAGTTGGTATGCCTTCTGTCCGGACAAGTAGCTTCTTAGGCTATTAATTATGTAATTAAAAGTCTAAACCTTCTCATTTTAAATGATAATACAATGTTTAAAGGTATGTTGCTTGTAAACCTATTTGGTGGTTTTTTTTTTTTTTTTTTTTTTGCCTTTCCATTTATTGCCATTCCTTGCCTTTTATCGTGGGCTGGCTGGCTGGCTGGCCAAGCCAAGCTAATTACCACCCTATTGTTTTTGGAAGTCTAGGTGACACCCAAGACTATTAATGAGTCTATAAATTAGGGCTACAGAGGAGCCTGGCTGCTTTCCTCTTACCCCTTCTCTCATTAGGCATGTTGTTCTGCTTTGGATAAATCTGAGAAAATGGGCACATTGGAGTTGGCTGCTGATGAGACTGAGAGCATGAGTTGATCAAGAAAACAGCAATGAGTGGCAGAGACTCCAGGGTCCAGGAGAGTAAGAGAACCAGGGGGACCAATATAATAGGAAAAAGGAAAGGAGAAGAATTCTAAACTGAGAATTGCCACCCTGTATTACTAGAAAATTGTCTACCATGTGATCAAGACCCATGGCTTACCATGTTAATAATGTTAAGTTAATTCTTACATGAATACACTCCCCTGAACTGGAATGAAACCCAGCAGTTACATGATGTCTATGGACAAGGTACACGTTAAAGTGTCAGAGCAGGTGGCTATGTATCTCTTCTTTGTATGTTATCATTAAATCTAATCCATTCTTAAAGTGACTTAAAATCTAACAAAACTTTTTATTCAGGACTCCCACTGTTTTTAAACTTTATAAAATAAAGATTATTGTCTTTTTTGGAGGAATAATGCCTATCACATAATGGAACTTAACAAATTATGGAACAAATGAATTGTTACTTTCTTGACAAAACTCTATTTGCCCTAAAAGTTGTATGGAGTATACCTTTATTTTGTTCTTAGGTTTTTTTTCTTTTTTAAATAAAGTGTATTTTTTTCCATTGCAAAAGTACTATGGTAACTACAAAAGAGTAAAAAGAAAAAAAATCATCCCTGATTCCAAAGACCACCTCTATTAATATTTTTGTGTATTTTCATGCAGATTTTTCTATTAAGAGTTCTTTTGTTTGTTTGTCTGTTTTTGGTGGGCGGATGGAGTAGAATGTGGGATATAATATAAATAGTTAATTTAAATTTTTAATTCAATTAAAATTGATTTGGAGGCTTCTGCCCTTCTTTGGAATCACTGGGGACTTTTTGGCATATTAGAAATATCTGCTGTAAGAACTTAGAACAGAGCTGGCATGTTGCTAATAAAGAAGCTGAGATGTAGAACAATGCAACAGCTTGCTCTTAGTTACCCAGTTAGCTGGGTTTAGAACTACGACTCCCACCCCAGGCATCCTTTCTGTGTCTTTCAATAAGTATCCTCATAATGTAGTCACAGCAAGGGAAATAACCGGAGAAAATTAAGGATAGCCTGGAATTCCTGCAAAATATCTTAATGTGAAATAAGCCAGTTCCTTAAGAAAGAGAAAATGAATAGTCTAAGCGCAATGGACTGAAGTTTTTGTGTCTCCCTCAAATGTATATGTTGAAGTCCTAGCCCCCAAAGTGCTAGTATTAGTAAGTGGAGCCTTTGGAGGTACATAGGCCATGAGGGTAGAGCCCTTATGAATGGGACTAGTGCTTACAACAGAGGCCCCAGAAAGACTCCTCATCCCTTCTATCATCAAGAAGCAAGAAGGCACCATCTATGAACCAGAAAGGAGGCCCTCATTAGTCGCCTAATCTGCCAGTGCCTTGATCATGGACTTTCCAGCTTCCAGAACTGTAAGAAATAAATGTCTGTTGTTTATAAACCACCCAGTCCATGGTATCTTGTATAGCAACCCAAATGGACTAAGACGCTAAGTGACCTCAAGTAACCAAAATGTGTGGCTTCAGGGCAACAGTCCAGCTGCAAATACTGGGTCCACCAATTAAAAGCTGGCCTTGGGCAAGTTTCTTTAATAATTTCTTTATTCAGCAAATATTTACTGAGCACCAACTATATGCCAGGTACTCTCTGTGCTGGGAAAATAGCAGTGGGTAAAGCAAAATCAGTTTCCCCATGAAGCTTACGTGCTAGAAGGGTGAGATAACAATATAAAAGTGAATACATGTGTGTCAAATAGAAACAAGTGGCAAGAAGAAAAACAAAGCCATATGAGAGGAAGAGGGAGTGCCAAGGTCGTGCTGCTATTTCACAAAGGGAATACCTCCCAGATAAGGTGACATTTGAGTAGACATTCAGAGAAAGTTCTTGATATGTTCCAGCCTCAGTCTCCTCATCTCTAAATGGGATAATGATAGTATATCCCTCACAAGGTAGCACTGAGAATTCAATGAGAAAATACATTAAAGCAAAATGCTCCATTGATGGTCACTATAGTTGTTATCATTTGTTTCCTCTCCTGTCAAATGGAAAAATTCAGCAGATTTATAAAAAACCTTTCCAGCAATAACACCCCAGTGATTCTTACTCTTTGACTTGTATGATGACACGTGCTCTTAATGGAATCCTGGACCTAATTCTCAATCCTTGTTTATGCTTAGTTCTACCTGCCAAAACTGCCAACCCATCTGGCATCAGGTGGAAATATTAATGCATACCTGAAAACAACTAAGCTATATTGAAAAAATGAGAACTCAAAGTTTAACTCCCTATGCAATGCAACTTTTCACTGCAACCTTTAAACCAAGATTTTATCTAGCAGGGGAAAGTAAATGAGTCTCCTATGCTTAGATTCATAAGGATGTTTCTGTGGATATAAGATGCTCCCTTGCTTGAAGGGATAATATTAAAACTCATTAAACTTTGAGTAGACAAATGTACAATGGTGCTATTATAAAGAAGCTCAAAAACAGCTACGGGCTCCACCCAGTTGGCATTTCTAAAGTTAATGTATGTTACCTAAAAAACAGCTCTCACATTTCCACAATCCTACAAGGCTCTGGAGTCTTTGTATTTTTCACCCAGTGTCTGAGAAATGACTTGCTGTATTTGCAAATTGAATAAAATGACGAAATCTGTATGCAAATGTTCATGTACCAGGAAAAGTGTTTTTGAAAAACTGATGGGAAATTGATTTCTAAAGTAAGCATTTGGAGAATTCCTCTCATGAGTTCTGATGGTGTTTCTTCCTTTTGAATAAAAACTGCCTACTTTAAACCCTGTGTTTTGGAATCTCCCTCAGCAACATGGGTCTAGACCTCACTGACCAGGCACTGATAGCGGTGAGTGTTTTGACGTCCTCATTGCCATTATGATACAATTGTTTTGTTTTGTTTTACTTTTTAGATGACTTGATTCAAAATGAGAAGTGGTTCTCCGTGACATTTTGTCTGACAGACGAGACTCTTGCACACCCCTGAGGCCTCTTCATACTCTGAAGAGGATGCCGGCTTCAGAAACATTCCTGAGAGTCAAGTTGTCTCGATTCCTTTGGCTTAGCATTGCAGAACTCCTTTCTTTCTGGCTAATTCCAGATCTATGAATGGGTTCTTGCTTATGGAAGAATGTGATCTCTCTGTTTTAAAGACATTTCCCATTTTTTCTTTTTTTTTAAATTATACTTTAAGTTTTTAAATTTTTTAAAATTATACTTTAAGTTTTAAAATTATATTTAAAACATTTGCACTCAGATTTCATCATTTTATTCAATTTGCAAATACAGCAAGTCATTTCTCAGACATTGGGTGAAAAATACAGAGACTCCAGAACCTTGTAGGATTGTGGAAATGTGAGAACTGTTTTTTAGGTAACATACATTAACTTTAGAAATGCCAACCGGGTGGAGCCCTTAGCTGTTTTTGAGCTTTTCTGCACATACATGTGCAGAAAGTGCAGGTTTGTTACATAGGTATACATGTGCCATGGTGGTTTGCCGTACCCATCAACCCGTCACCTACATTAGGTATTTCTCCTAATGCTATCCCTCCCCTAGCCCCCTACTCACCGACAGGTCCCGGTGTATGATGTTCCCCTCCCTGTGTCCATGTGTTCTCATTGTTCAACTCCCACTTACGAGTGAGAACATGCGGTGTTTGGTTTTTTGTTCCTGTGTTAGTTTGCTGAGAGTGATGGTTTCCAGCTTCATCCATGTCCCTGCAAAGGACATGAACTCATCCTTGTTTATGGCTGCATAGTATTCCATGGTATATATGTGCCACATTTTCTTTATTTGGGTATGTTCCAAGTCTGGATTAAAGACTTAAACATAAGACCTAAAACCATAAAAACCCTAGAAGAAAACCTAGGCAATACCATTCAGGACACAGGCATGGGCAAAGACTTCATGACTTAAACACCAAAAGCAATGGCAACAAAAGTCAAAATTGACAAGTGAGATCTAATTAAGGAGTTTCTGCACAGCAAAATAAATGATCATCAGAGTGAACAGGCAACCTACAGAATGGGAGAAAATTTTTGTAATCCGTCTGACAAAGGGCTAATATTCCAGAATCTATAAGGATCTTGAATCTACAAGGATCTTAAATTTACAAGAAAAAAAAAACATCAAAAAGTGGGTGAAGGATATGAACAGACACTTCTCAAAAGAAGACATTTATGTGGCCAAAAAACATATGAAAAAAGTTCATCATCAGTTCATGTCTTTGCAGGGACATGGATGAAGCTGGAAACCATCATTCTCAGCAAACTATCACAAGGACAGAAAATCAAACACCGCATGTTCTCACTCATACGTGGGAATTGAACAATGAGATCATTTGGACACATTCGGGGGAACATGACACACCAGGGCCTGTCGGGCGGTGGGGGGCTGGGGGAGGGATAGCATTAGGAGAAATACCTAATGTAAATGATGAGTTGATGGGTGCAGCAAAACAACATGGCACATATATACCTATGTGTCAAACCTGCATGTTGTGCACATGTACCCTAGAACTTAAAGTATAATTAAGAAAAGAAAAAAAAAGCTTATCACTGGTCATTAGACAAATGCAAATCAAAACTACAAGGAGATACCATCTCACACCAGTTAGAATGGCGATCATTAAAAAGTTAGGAAACAACAGGTGCTGGAGAGGATGTGGAGAAATAGGAATGCTTTTACACTATTTGTGGCAGTGTAAATTAGTTCAACCATTGTGGAAGACAGTGTGGTGATACCTGAAGGATCTAGAACCAGAAATACCATTTGAGCCAGCAATCCCATTACTGGGTGCATACCCAAAGGGTTATAAATCATTCTACTGTAAAGACACAGGCACACGTATGTTTATTGCAGCACTATTCACAATGACATTTCCCATTTTAAAGGTACATGTTGGCTGTTGTTCCTTTTTCACTTCTGGCAAAGGTGCATTCTTGGTGATCTAAAGGATGAGTTGGATTGAAGGGGGCTGAGCCAACTTATCGGCAGTGTGTATAGGCTGTTCCATGGTCATCTTGTAGTTGACATGAGATTGTTTTAGGCTGCTAAGTCTCCTTATTATCTTTTCTTGAGCCTCTTCACTATAAAAATAAGCCTTCCTAGAACACCACAGGGTCTAAGGTAGGTAGCTAAAATGATTTGAATCTAAAAGTCCTTCACTCTATATTTGTAGAAATTCCTGCCAGGAGATGTAGGTCTCAATATGTTTGGGTTAACTTTTTTTTTTTAAACAAAAACTCAGAGAATCTAAGAGGGAAACAAGATAAGCATTAAATTTCAGTGGTAATAGGAATATCTGGCATGCCACTGTGTAAGTGTACCACATACTAAGTAAGAATCTCCAAAGACAGGCAATCCTGTGTGACACATATCAAAGAAAGAGGTAAGGTGGCTTTTTTTGGTTATTTGATCTTACCATTTGGTCCATTTTATAGATCAAAGTGCAGGTAAAGTAGCTTTCACTGTGAGGGCCTCTGAAATGTTGTCTTTCTTACATTAACTTTTGTGGCAGCAGCAGGTCCATAAGATACTTTCCTACTCAATGTACCTTAGTGTGGTCTCCTTGCCTTGGTCATGGTCTTCACACATACTGGATTTACAGATTCATAATAATGCCAGATTACTTTTCTAGCTTCACGAACATAGCCATTAATTACATAAACAGGCACGTGGCTAAGAACAGAGATAATCAGGAATGTCATTGTGAGGCCCGTTGTGCCTCAACAATTTTCATGAATTAACATGACTTTTTAGTATCTGTTGATTGAGAAATTACATAAGGTGAAAAAGAAGCTATTGTGAATTCAGTTACGTGGTCTCTGTTTAAATATAATTAAATATAACTATTGATTTTTAGTTATATAACTAATATACATCTACATTTTCATTGACTAAATTAGATGCAACCCATAAAGCTATAGCCTCTTCTCATTTCTTGACCTGAGTTCCAATTCTAAGCTCAACCTCTAGTACTACTACTATAGCATGTATCTATCCATACCTTTTCTCTGTTCTCATATACGTATATATGCACCTATAAAAATATTTGGTACTGCTTCTTATATGTATATATATGTGGGTATGTATCACACTATATGTATCATGCTGCAACTTCAAACTATGTCTTGGAAGTCATTATTACTTTTTAATCCCTGTATAATATAACATGGTTTATTTATCATTCTCCTACTGTATTTACTTCCATAAATGCAAAACCCAGAGTCATGAATGCCTGCTCCTTCAGTAAAAGAGAAATTTGAAAACCGCCCACTGGCCCAGGGAAGCTCTCAGGAAATGCAAGAATACCCTGGGTTTCGATGGAAAAAATACTTCCCATGATAAATGGAAACTTCACAAGTGTGCCATGCATGGGTGTGGAATCCAAATTTACCCTACGGGTATGTTGGGGAATCCCAAGCTGAGAAATTAATGTAGAAACTGACTATGGCCTGATGAAAACATGGGGGCTTCTTTTAGATGAAGTCTCAAAATCACTCTCTATGTCCTTTTTTACAATTCCCAACATACAAAATACACCCCACCCCATGCCACAGAACAAAATGATAGAACAAAAAGCAGAAAAGTTTATATCGCAAAACTTAGGCAATATGAAATGTAGAATGCTACAAAATAAATATGTTTAAAGTAAGAAAATAAGGGAAAATCATAATAATGGAACAGAATAATAAAAAAGAGAACAGGTTCAGGGGCAAAATATTACATAAAACTTTAGAGGCTGGGAGTGGTGGCTCACGCCTATAATCCCAGCACTTTGGGAGGCCGAGGCAGGCCGATCATGAGGTCAGGCGATTAAGACCATCCTGGCCAACATGGTGAAACCCCATCTCTACTAAAATGCAAACAATTAGCTGGGCGTAGTGGTGCACGCCTATAGTCCCAGCTACTGGGGAGGCTGAGGCAGGGGAATTGCTTGAACCTGGGAGGCAGGGGTCGCAGTGAGCCGAGATCGCACCACTGCACTCCAGCCTGGTGACAGAGCGAGACTCCATCTCAAAACAACAACAACAACAAAAAACACTTTAGAAAGAAAAACTATATCTATTGAAAATAATCGTGCCTTGTAAATAAACACTGATGAAAGGTAAAGGTTTGGTTATATAACTAATATACATCTACTTATTTCAAGATCTAATTATTAGTGATTAAATAGTGAAAGTGAAGCAATAGTGCATATTCCATGCCAGTATTCTATAAATGCATTGACTTGTCATGTTTTTCCATTCATCTAATTTTAAGAGCAAGTCCTCTTTATCCAAAATAACATAAGCCACATAAATAATTACCCAAGGCACAAAAAATATAAATGAAATCCAAGGTCTTCAGAAGTCTCTGGACTGAAGTCTTTTAGTCTTCTTTGACTTTTGACTTCTGTTTTAGGAAATAAATTTGCCTGTGGAAATTGAAGGACCATACCACGTAAGTATAAAATAGTTCTGAAGGCAAAAGGAAAGTGCCTGTAAAAGTCAAACTTTAAACCTCAGGAACATCTTGCGTCCCATTAGAGCAATGAAGAAAATCTTGTTTTGCTTCTGGGATTTGGCATTGCAATAGCCTGGGGAACTGGACACTGCTTCCCTTCAGAAATAAAGTTGTCCAATATGTTTAGACTGCAAAGAACTTCTAATTGATGGTGGTGCTAATGAAGCAGTTGCATATATTCTATGCTGAGGGGACAATTGAGCACAAGAATAGGTCCAAATAATTTTTCCTTTATAAGTAGGTGAGGTGCCTTTTTTTTTTTTTTTGCTGCCTTGCTGCTGTTAGGAACTGCATCCTCCTCCCAAGTCACTGCTGAGAGTCTGGATCTTTTGTGTACAATTGTCAAGGGTTTTCTTACGCTTTCAAAATAAGACTATCCCAAGAATACTCATATTTTTGTTTCTACAACATTTGGGATGCCAATTTCTAAACTGAGCGATAAAATGTAATCTGCTAAATATGAAGGAATCTTTATTAAGATATCAATTATTGTCTGAACTTCTAATCCATCTCTTCTGCTTAGGAATTTTTTTAATGAATATTATTTGTCAATGAGAATATCAAGTGTTAAATGATTTATTAAAATAAGACAATACAGCTCTAAGTTAATTACCATAGAAAAGGTAACTTTTCTAGAGATCACAGTGTATACAACTTAGATTTATTGGAAGGCTTTAGAGTATATAAACTTTTTATATGAACCATTTGAAAAACTGATATAAACAGCTAAAGGGAAAAGAAAGAAGCTATGAAATTTACAATTGGGTGATCCTGAAAGAGAAAAAAAAAATCCTGTTAAGTTTACATAAAAACAACAGAAAGTAAGACATGGCACCATTCCTTTTGGGAATAATAGAATCCACGTTTAAATCCTGACTTGTTTCTAGACTGTAGGCTTCAGTGGGATCCTGGAACCAAATTTGGAGCTTTACAGTGAAGTCTGGAGAAGGAGGAGTGGCTGCCTGGTTGGAAAGACTTAATTATAAAGAACTTCTTCTGAGCTTCTTTTGTTTTGGTAGAAACTAAAACATGCCCTGGTGGTGTGTGTATGATGCCAAAACATCTGAATGAAAATCAAATCGCAGCCCCAATTTACAGATGCATGCCTTACATCCATTCCAAATGCAGGGGCAGTCTTTGGAATGGAAGCCTATTTTTCTCAGGATCAGGGATGGGCAGTCAAGAAACAGGGCTACCCTCCCCTCGCAGCTGACACTCTTTGGGACTTCCTTCTGTCCTCCAATTGGTTGTTGGCTTTGCTCCTGAGAAGAATGGCATCCTCGCACTGCTCCACTTTTGTCCTTGTTTCTTACTTAACCTCCCTGAGTCTCATTCCCTCTTCTGCAAGAGACCAATTCTTGATCAATGACAAGAACTTGGGAAATGTTCATTCCCTTCTTAATGTACCTTCATTTTCATCCAGATGGTGGTGGCGATTATAATAGCAAAAGGGAGGAAAAGAAGACAGGAAGTTGATTCTTCCATAGGTTTTCTCCCTTTGCTACCTGTGAGGTCCTTAAGTGGAATTCCTAGTCTCTGCCTTTAGGGTCTGGCTCTTCTTTCTTTTTTTCTGGGGCTCCATATTCAGAGAGGTCATTGACATAGAATGTTCCTCTGAAATGCAGACGCATGTTTTTCTTTAGACCTCTATGTGCTGTAAGACCTGCCTTATTTCCTACTGTCATCCTTGTCTTTCCCTATAGAATATTACAATTATGAGTTGACTCAGGAGGGAGCTTTGAATTTTCTTTTCCCAGTTTCCTAGCAAGGTGCTTTTTTGAAAGCCTCAAAAAAGATTTTGAACTTGCTTTAAGAAAAGGATGGCTTAAGAGAATTGGGAAGTGGGTCAGGGTAGAGTGTGAAGCTTGAGGCATGTGAAAAGGTGATGATGGCAGAAAGTCGAAGCAGGTAGAGCCACCCTGAGGTGCTCAGAGAAGAGTGTCCAGAAGCTGACGGACACCAAGAGGGCCCCGAGGAGGAGGCAGATTTCCCTGGAACCTTCTTTTCCCAATTCTGCTTTTTGAGTTTTCCACGTTTCTCCTCTGGAATCCTCATTCCTGCTGCTGGCTAGCTGGGGTGAAAGGTGAGAAAGAGTCACTGATCCCACCAAAGTGTTTGGAATTCATTTTCTCCCAGAGTCATCACTGAGCTGTTGGATGGAACTCCTCGCATGGCATGTGATGCCTCAGGTTCCTTGTCAGCTGCCCACCTCTTAGAGCTCGTTTCTTTGGGAGAAAGTTTCCTAAGAGCTCCAAACAAGCTTGAAAGCAGATTTTGGGAATAGTACCTGTTCAAAAGTTAAGTCCTTCCAATAATGCAGTCAATTATCTAGATTTTTCTAAATGGCCGATGGTCTAATATTAAATGCCATCTATTGGGTTAAAAGGTTTCTGAATGTTTGGGAAGACACAGTGCCATCACCAGAAAATGAAACCAGCCTACTGTAGCACCTAAAATCATAACAAATAAGCAATCTCTTATTTATAGGAGGTGGACTTTGATTGTAGATAGATACAGCTGTTTTGCGAAATAACAGCTGGCTTAGGTTTCTTTAGTGGCTTATACCATCGGTAAATCTTTCCTGATGTGCTTAGTGTTTTCAATTTAATTGGCTGCACTTAAAGCGTCTGAACTTGCAAAAACAATAGAGAAGTACATTAAATGAGTGCAATCAAACACAAATGGCTTAAAGTTACATCAAAATGGAAAATATAGATACATTATTTTATTTAATGTACTGCACTCAGACTGTTAAAGCTTGAAAAGGAATAGTAATTATGTAGTCATTTAAAAAATGTGTTTTCAAAGAAACACATTTAATTGCTTGAGAATGTTTCCATTATAATAAGTGGAAAAAAGCAGATCACAAAACGATATTTTGGAAAATCCCAATTTTGTAAAATAACTATATATATATATATATATATATATATATATATATATATATGCGTGTGTGTGCATACACACACATATGAACATACACAAACATAATGAAAACTTAAAAGACTTGAAAATAATAAAGAAAAATTAAAATATTAACAGTGATCATCCAAATGGTAGAATTAGGTGTGATTTTAATTTTCTCTTTTGTATTTTTCCATATTTTCTATAAGGAGCAACTGTTAATTTTCATATAATGTTTTTAAAAGAAAAAACACAGAAGAAAAGAAAATTAAAATGAACATAACCTAACTTTAAAATCAAAATCCCACTGCAAAGGAAACATTTCTTTCAAGTAAGGAAAGAGATATGCTCCTGAACCAGCAGGAAAAAAGAGAAAGGAAGATTGTAACTGGGTCAAGTACATGTCCAGCTTTCTCTGCAAAGCTCAGGCATTTTTCTTTTTACAACTGCATCCAACCTCTCCAAAGCTGCTTTCTTTTAATCTCTGGAAGGCAAGTTTCTGAACTAATCGCAAGAAGAATCACGTTTACTCCTGGCGAAGGAGTCCGATTGGCATTGCATTGGAGAGGAGCGTTTGTTTCAGGGTTGCTGACTGTACAAGCTGCTTTCTGTGCCGCTGTTCGGTCCGCCTTCCTGAGCTGGGTTGGTGTGGAACTGCTGTTGGCTCTCCTGGCTTTCCCTGGTACACCTACAGACACCTGGAAAACCCAGGTCTAATTCTGTCATGACCCATGGCTGTCATATTAGGAGGATGGGTCTCTCTCCAGCCTGAATGGGCTTCTAAAGCTGACAATTGCTCCACATTAACCAGTTGTCAGGTTCTCCCTTTTTTTTTGTCCTCATATTCTCTGATTCAACTTACTCAGAACCTCAGCTTTCTTCCTGAGATCTAGGACTCCGGCCACATGGTGACAGTGCTCTAAGGTTGCCCCAAATGCTGATCCCCAAAGAGAAATGTTTACGTCTCCTGTCTGGGCATGCCAGCCACACCCAGTGAGGTCGGCCTCTTATGTAAAGGCTGGGTTTGCAGACAAGAGTGTGAAATTGAGACAAAGACAACTTTAAAGTTGAGTTTAGAGGACTGTGTTATGTTCTCTTGGCTTGTTTCTGAGCCAAGATTTTTTTCTTTTTTAAATCAGGGCTTACGAAGTAGCTGGTGAAGTAGCTATAATTATTTCGGTTAAATAATTTCTCCAAAAATAATAATCTCTATCATGGATTCTGTGCTGTAGGCATGAAAGTAACAAATCTTTGTTCCAAAAAGATTTTCAAAAGAGATAATGTGCATAAGCGCTCAGCCTGCACCGCAAGCACTCAGCAAATGTTAACTCCTTGTGGTTGTCTAAAGTCCTAGGGCTGTAAGCTGGGAGCACTGGGCCAGTGTCCCCTATGGTAGAGAACAATTTTCATTATGATATTGGTGCTTTTGTTTCCAAACTAGAAATTTGTCTCAACTCCAGCGCTTTTCTTTCATTCACATTTTGAGCTTTCTACAAAGCACATTTTCTCTTGGAGCAATGGGGGATGGGAAAGGATAGGAGACAAGTTGTGGTACATAGTGATCTCTCATCCTGCTATTTCTGCATTTTTTTTTTAACTTAAAGGAACGAATCAACTATACAACTACCTGGAGAGAATTTCTCTTAATTAAGAGATGGGCTTGGCCGGGCACGGTGGCTCACGCCTGTAATGCCAGCTCCTTGGGAGGCTGAGGTGGGCAGATCATGGGGTCAAGAGATCGAGACCATCCTGGCCAACATGGTGAAACCCCGTCTCTACTAAAAATTCAAAAATTAGCTGGGTGTGGTGACACAAGCCTGTAATCCCAGCTACTCGGGAGGCTGAGGCAGGAGAATCGCTTGAACCAGGGAGTTGGAGGTTGCAGTGAGCTGAGATTGCACCACTGCACTCCAGCCTGGTGACAGAGTGAGACTCCATCTCGAAAAAAAAAAAAAAAGAGAGAGATGGGGCTTAATTAAGAGATCTCCTCTAGATGGCCAGAGGAATGCGGCCAGTGGCCTGATGAGATGGACGTTTTGTTCCAAAAAAACCCTCTTGCCTACTCAGTAGGTTCTTTAATTTTTTGTGTTTGTTTTTTGCATATCAGACTTGGCGATGATCAATTGCAGACAAGGATCTGAGCACTGGGAGGATTGGAGGACTCCTATCTCTCTTGGAAAGAAGACACTTAATTCCACTCTGGGTGGAGGGGATTAGCATGATTAAGTTGGTAAACTCCTTCATTCATGTGGCTGTTATCTAGCAGTTGAAAAGCAAAATTCAAAAACTCTTACATCTTGGCCAACCTGCTTCTCTGAGGCTCTCCCCAAAGGCAGGAGGAACCTGCTTGGGGAGGCTCTCCCAAATCCATGAGATGTAGAGAAATGAGCAGACTCTCTTAGAGCTCTACCGCGGTATCCTGCTTGGCCTTGAAATGCACTCCTTTTCCTCCTTTCCTCTCTTACAACAGTTTCTTCCAACTAATGGAATTAGGGGCTCCTTCCTCCCTTTCTCTCCTCTTCCTTTTGTTCCTTTCTTATACATTTTTTGTTTTGTTTTTTCTTTTGAAGGAACACATTTTGCATTCATTCATTCTTTGCCTTTTTTTGTTTGTTTCAACATCTTCTCTGTGATAGCAGCGTATTTCTTTTTTTTTTTTTTTTTTTTTTTTTTTTGAGATGGAGTTTCGCTTTTGTTGCCCAGGCTGGAGTGCAATGGCTCGATCTCGGCTCACCGCAACCTCCGCCTCCCAGGTTCAAGCAATTCTCCTGCCTCAGCCTCCCGAGTAGCTGAGATTACAGGCATGCACCACTACGCCCGGCTAATTTTGTATTTTTAGTAGAGATGGGGTTTCCCCATGTTGAGGCTGGTCTCGAGCTCCTGACCTCAGGTGATCCGCCCGCCTCAGCCTCCCAAAGTGCTGGGATTACAGGCGTGAGCCACTGTGCCCGGCCCGATAGCAGCGTATTTCTAATCACATAGAACACACACAAAAAAAATCTGTCCTTTAAATCCCTTTAGTTCTGTGAATCAGAACGTGCCCACCCACTGCTGGAAAAGGCACATGCGGAGCAGCGACTATTCCACAGTGAACCTTTCTTTGGGGAAGATCTTCCCATCAGATTCTTTCACAGTTCTCTGAGGCCTCCCATGCTCTCTCTGTCATTGGAACAGGATATTCTCCAGGGAAAGAATCCACTGCATCTGAATGGCACCATGATTATGATAGCCAAAATATTTTTGTTTTCACCAAAAAAGCTTACTTTCACCAATAACTCAGAGCATTTGTGTGGTCACTGGTCACTCACTTTTTTTTTTTTTTTTTTTTTTTGAGACAGACTCTTGCTCTGTCGCCCAGGCTGGGGTACAGTGGCGCGATCTCAGCTCACTGCAACCTCCACCTCCTGGGTTCAAGCGATTCTCGTGCCTCAGCCTCCTGAATAGCTGGCATTACAGGCGTGCACCACCAAGCCCGGGTAATTTTTGTATTTTTAGTAGAGACAAGGTTTCACTATGTTGGCCAGGCCAGTCTCAAACTCCTGACCTCAAGTGATCCACCTGCCTCGGCTTCCTAAAGTGTTGGGATTACAGGCACTCAAAAATCTTTAAAAACACTCATCTTTTCAGATTGTACACATATTGTAATTATAGTCAGCACATGTTAGATAAGTGCCCAAGGGTCTTAATCTCCATATTATCAAAGCATAGCTTTTAGTAATAGTTGCCTGATTGCTTCCTGTGAATTTCTAGAATGATGATGATTTTGATAATTTTCTTACAGCAATAGCATTCAAAATTTGGATTGAGGATTTGACATCAATCTATTCATTTCAAAGCCTCAGTCCTGGGCCATTGTTGGGTTAATATCTGACTTTGCATTCATGTCAAGTGGTAGGAGACAGAAAGAAACTCTCCCTGCTAATTACAGAACAATGGGATGCAATTAGTACCATAAAAGGAGGAGCTGTAAAGAGCATGGGAATCGAGGTGAGGGAGCAAGGTTTTTGACCTGACAAGAACCTTAAGAGACAATTTTCTAGTCTATCAAAAACTTGTCTCACAAAGAGAAAGTTGGGGCTCAGAAATAGGAAGACTTCAATATCTTTATTTTCATGAAATGCCTTGAAAATCTACATCAAGATTTCTGTCCCCAACACAGGGACTTTGCAAATGATACTCTTTTTGTTGTTGTTCTTGTTGTTTTCTGTGTGTATATGTGTTTGTGTGTATTTTGGTATCCAAATGAAAAAAAGTGTAAAAATTATGACATTGTTTTGTTTAATTGTTCATTTTACATAGTTATTTAGCTTATCTGAAATACCTTGGCCACTGGGACAATCCTTATCTTGTGTTAACTTGGTGAGTTGTTTATATAGTTGTGTTGATGAGCACACATGCTTCTCAAAAACACAATTTCTCAGCCACTGGGGACCAGACCAGCAGAGCTACTGATTGAGTATAATAACTCAGATATCTGGTTTTACTTTCTGCAACCTCACTCCTTGCAGGAAAATAAATGCATTTGGGAAAGAATTTGGTCAGATTTTGGCCCATGGTATGTTTAAAATCTAGGTACCTAAAGCCAAACAACGATAGCAAACAAAATAAACAAAAATAAAGAATGGACACAAGAAAGAAATGTCTCTTCACACCTTCCACTTCTAAGTGTCTAGCAGTGCTGGCAATAGGCAAGAAAAAAATATCTCTCCATGCACCCACTTCTAAGTCTCTAGCAGTGCTGAATACAAGAAGGAAATATTTTTTTGAACAGCATTATTCCTACAGATAGATCTCAGTTGATTTCTGAGTAGGAGGCTACGAGAACAAGGCTACACAAAGATATAAGCAGGAATGGAAGGCTTCCTTCAGGGGTAATGTTTAAACAGTTACCAATTGTTAAATTGCTCTCCTGGCAAGCTCTAATCTAGGGCAGACAGAGAATAAAAGGTTTTAATGGATTATAGCAGAGCCCTTGGCCATATGACTTCTAAAACACAGACCAGGTAACAAAATTTAGCCTGGGTATAATGGACAACTACATGGTTTTGCTTAATCCATGTGTTAATGTTTAATTTGTGGTCAAAAATAAGGCAACTCAATCTGATAATTTTTATATGTTATTATAAATCATTCTATCATATTCAGGTAGTCTAATATAGTGATAAAGAGCACAGATGATGGAACCATATGCCTAGATGTAAACGCTAACTCTATAAATATTATCTCTGACACACTGGACAAGTTAACATCTTTGTGCCTCCATTTCCTCAGATGTAAAATAGGGATGATGACGATGATAATCATCATCGTCATCATCATCATTCTCTTAGGATTGTTGTGAAGACTGAATGAATCAGTCCACGTGAAGCACTTGGAAAGCTTTCAGCACATAATACAAACTTTAAGTGCTATCCATTATTTCTTTTACCAGGGTTAACTTGTAATTAACAGAAAACCTGATGAACAGTGGCTTAAGCCATAAGAACACATACTGGTCTTAAATTCATTTAGCTTTTTTTCTGAGCTGATGAGGTGGGGATAGGATCACTGAGAAATGGATAATAAGGGTCTGTCAACAAAGAAGTGGGAGAGACGTTGTTGATTGAAAATGAATAGTGCCAATACAATTGTGTTTAATGTTTTTGGGGAGAAAACATTTTGACATGCTTTATTGATTGAGGTATATTGACTCTCTTAGGTCTATGGAAACCAATAAGACTAGTAGGAAATTGACTTAAGGTGCTGACCCACCTCCCAAAGCTGGGAGTATCAGAGAGCTCAGAAGGACTATGAATCCACGGTCAGAAGAGTAGCTGGTGGGAAACAGAACATGCCCTTTTATTTTATTATTTATTTGTTTTGAGACAGAGTCTCACTCTGTGGCCCAGGCTGGAGTGCAGTGGCACGATCTCGGCTCACTGCAACCTCTGCCTGCCATGTGCAAGCGATTCTCCTACCTCAGCCTCCGGAGTAACCAGGATTACAGGCATGCACCACCACATTTGGCTAATTTTTGTGTTTTTGGTAGAGATGGGGTTTCACCATGTTGGCCAGGCTGGTCTCGAACTCCTGACCTCAGGTGATCCACCCATCTCAGCCTCCCAAAGTTCTAGGATTACAGGCATGAGCCCCCATGCCCGGCCTGAGAACATGCCCTTTTATAGTCACATATTAGGCTCTGCTCCTTTCTTTCTCTTGGTTGGAACTACCAGGGCAAGTCTAAAGCAGTGTGGGGTAAGGAAGTGGGTGGGGAAAACTCACCATTCAAAACACACGCCTTTCTTTAAAAAAATAATTTTGACTTTTATTTTAGATTCAGGGAGTACATGTGCAGATTTATTACATAGGTATATTGCATGATGCTGAGGTTTGGGATATGAATGACCCTGTCATTCAGGTAGTGAGCATAGTACCCAAGAGTCAGGTTTTCAACCCTTGCCCTCTTCCTTCTTCCCCCCTCTATATTAATCCCTAGTGTCTATTGTTTTCATCATTATATCCACGAATAATCAATGTTTAGCTCGCACTTATAAGTGAGAACATGTGGCATTTGGTTTTCTTTTCCTGTGTTAATTTGTTTATGATGATAATGGCCTCCAGCTGCATCCATGTTGCTGCAAAGGATATGATTTTGTTTTTTTTATGGCTGAGTGGTACATAATGTACATGTACCACATTTTCTTTATCCAATCCACTGCTGATGGAAACCTAGGTTGATTCCATGTCTCTGCTATTGTGAATAGTGCTGCGAGGAACATACAAGTGCATGTGTCTTTTTGGTAGAAAAACGTGTTTTCTTTTGGATATATACTCAGTAATGGGATTGTTAGGTTGAATGGTAGTTCTGTTTTAAGTTATTTGAGAAATCTCCAGATCTCACTGCTTCCCACAGTGGCTGAACTGAATTACATTCCCACCAACAGTGTATAAGAATTCCCTTTTCCCTGCGGCCTCACCAGCATCCGTTCTTTTCTGAGTTTTCAGTCAATAGCCATTCTGACTGGTGTGAGATGGTATCTCATGTGGTTTTGATTTGCATTTCTCTGATGATTCATGATGTGGAGCATTTTGTCATATGTTTGTTGGTTGCTTGCAAGTCTTCTTTTGAGAAGTGACTGTTCATGTCCTTTGCCTACTTTTTAATGGGGTTGCTTTTTTGCTTGTTGAATTATTTAAGTTTCTTATAAATTCTGCATATTAGGCCTTTGTTGGATGCATAGTTTGTGAATATTTTCTCTCATTCTGTAGGTTGTCTGTTTACTCTATTGATGGTTCCTTTGGCAATGCAGAAGCTCTTTGGTTTAATTAGATCCCACTTGTCAATTTTTGTTTTCATTTCATTAGCTTTTGAGGACTTAGTCATAAATTCTTTCCCAAGACTGATGTCCGGAATGGTGTTTCCTAGGTTTTCTTCTAGGATCCTTATAGTTTGAGGTCTTACATTAAAATCTTTAATTCATGTTGATTTAATTTTTGTATATGGTGAAGGGTAGGGATCCAGTTTCATCCTTCTGCATGTAGCTAGCCAGTTTTCCCAGCACTGTTTATTGAATAAAGAGTTCTTGCCCCATTGTTTATGTTTGTTGACTTTGTTGAAGAACAGACAGTTGTAGGTGTGCAGCTTCATTTCTGGGTTCTCTGTTCTGTCCCATTGGTGTATGTGTCTGTTTTTGTACCAGCACCAAGCTGTTTTGGTTACTGTAGCTTTATAGTATAGTTTGATGTCTGGTAATGTGATGCCTTGGGGTTTGATCTTTTTGCTTAGGAGTGCTTTGGCTAGTTGAGCTCTTTTTTGGTTCCATATGAATTTTAAAATAGTTTTTTTTTAATTCTGTGAAAAATGACATTGGCAGTTTGATAAGAATAGTGTTGAATCTGTCGATTGCTTTAGACAGTATGGCCATTTTAACAATGTTAATTCTTCTAATTCATGAGCACAGAATGATTTTCCATTTGTTTGTGTCATCTATGATTTATTTCAGCAGTGTTTTATAGTTCTTCTTATAGACATCTTTCACCTCCCTGGTTAGACGTATTCCTAGGTATTTCCTTTTTTGTGTGGCTATTGTAAGAGGGATTGTATTCTTGATTTGGCTCTCAGCTTGAACATTATTGGTGTATAGAAATGCTACTAATTTGTGTGCATTGATTTTGTATCCTGCAACTTTACTGAAGTTATTTACTGGTTCCAGGAGGCTTTTGCCAGAGTCCTTAGTTTTCTAGGTATAGAATCATATTGTCAGCAAAGAAAGGTAGTTTGACTACTTATTTTCCTACTTGGATGATTTTATTTCTCTCTTTTGCCTGACTGCTCTGGTTAGGACTTTCAGTACTATCTTGAATAGGAGTGGTGACAGTGGGTATCCTTTTCTTGTTCCAGTTTTCAAGAGGAATGCTTCCAGTATTTGCCCATTCATTGTGATGTTGTCTGTGGTCATAGACGGCTCTTATTATTTTGAAGTATTTTACTTTGATGCCTACTTTGTTGAGGGTTTTTTATCATGAAGAGATGTTGGATTTTAGTGAAGGCTTTTTCTGCGTCCATTGAGATGATCATATTGTTTTTGGTTTTAATTCTGTTTATGTAGTGAATCACATTTATTGATTTGCATATGTTGAACCAATTTTTCATCTCAGGAATGAAGATTACTTGATTGTGGTGAATTAACTTTTTGATGTGCTGCTGGATTTGGTTTGCTAGTATTTTGTTGAGGATTTTTGCATCTATGTTCATCAGAGATATTGGCCTGCAGTTTTCTTTTTTCATTATGTTTTTTCCAGGTATTCATATCAGGATATGCTGGCTTCATGGAATGACTTACGGAGGAGTCCCTCCTCCTCGATTTTTTGGCGATAGTTTCAGTTGAATTG
Organism: Homo sapiens; assembly: GCF_000001405.40. Taxonomy (NCBI): domain Eukaryota; kingdom Metazoa; phylum Chordata; class Mammalia; order Primates; family Hominidae; genus Homo; species Homo sapiens. The sequence goes on along the minus strand of NC_000005.10, from coordinate 56,709,526 downwards.
GTACCAGCTCTTCTTTGTATGTCTAGTAGAATTTGGCTATGAATCCATCTTTTTTTGGTTGGTAGGTTTTTTTTTTTCATTACTGATTCAATTTTGGACTTGATATTGGACTGTTCAGGGTCTCAATTTGTTTATGATTAAATCTTGGGAGCTTGTGTGTTTTCAGAAATTAATCTGTTTCCTCTAGATTTTTTAGTTTGTATGCATAGAGGTTTTCACAATAGTCTCTGAGGATCTTTTGTATTTCTGTGGGATTGGTTGCAATGTCACCTTTGTCATTTCCAACTATGCTTATTTGAATCTTCTCTTTTTTTCCATGCTAATCTAGCTGGTGATCTATTGATTTTGCTCATACTTTCAATGAACCAACTTTTTGTTTCATTGATTTTTTGTATGGATTTTGGGGTCTCAATTTCATTTAGTTCTGCCCTGATTATAGTTATTTCTTTACTTCTGCTAACTTTGGGGTTAGTTTATTATTGTTTTTCTAGTTCCTCTAGGTGTGACAGTAGATCATTACTTTGAGATCTTTCTAACTTTTTGAGGTAGGCGTTTAGCACTATAAACGTTCCTCTTAGCATTGCTTTTGCTGCATCCTAGAGATTTTGCTGTGTTATGTTCGTATTTGCATTTATTTAAAAGAATTTGCTGATTTCTGCCTTAATTTTATTGTTTACCCAAAAGTCATTCAGGAGCAAGTTGTTTAATTTCCATGTAATTGTGTGTTTTGGGAGATCTTGGTATTAGTTTCTACTTTTATTCCACTGGTCAGAGAATATGATTGACGTGATTTTGATTTTTTTTTTTTTTTTTTTTTTTTTTTGAGACGGAGTCTCGCTCTGTCGCCCAGGCCGGACTGCGGACTGCAGTGGCGCAATCTCGGCTCACTGCAAGCTCCGCTTCCCGGGTTCACGCCATTCTCCTGCCTCAGCCTCCCGAGTAGCTGGGACTACAGGCGCCCGCCACCGCGCCCGGCTAATTTTTTGTATTTTTAGTAGAGACGGGGTTTCACCTTGTTAGCCAGGATGGTCTTGATCTCCTGACCTCATGATCCACCCGCCTCGGCCTCCCAAAGTGCTGGGATTACAGGCGTGAGTGATTTTGATTTTTAATTTATCGAGACTTGCTTTATGGCTGAGCATGTGGATCTTGGAGTACGTTCTATGTGCAGATGAAAAAGAATGTATGTTCTGTGACTTATGGGTGGAGTATTGTGCGGATGTTTGTTAGGTTCAATTGGTCAAGTGTCAAATTTAAGTCCAGAATTTCTTTGTTAGTTTTCTGCCTCAATGATCTGTCTAATGTTATCTGTGGGGTGTTGAAGTCCACCACTATTATTGTGTGGCTAAGTCTTTTCATAGGCGTAGAAGTAGTAGTTTTATGAATCTGGGTGCTTCAGTGTCGGGTGTATAATACTTAGGACAGTTAAGTCTTCTTGTTGAACCCTTTATCATGTAATGCCTTTCTTTGTCCCCTTTCACTGTTAAAGTCTGTTTTGTCTGTTATAAGAATAGTGACCCCTCCTCCTTTTTGTTTTCTGTTAATGTGATAGATCTTTCTTCAACTCTACTTTGAGCCTGTGGGTATAATTCCACGTGAGTTGGGTCTCTTGAAGACAGCCAACAGCAGATGGGCCTCTTGAAGACTCTCATACATTTCTACTATCAAGGGCCTGCTTCTAAACTTGCTAAAGGACTTAGGAATATCAGCCTCTTTTCCCCATACAACAACATTCTCCAACCACAGCTGGTATTTGGTTAAACTTAGTCTCCTACTTCATTCATTCTGATTCAGTTCTTCATGCTAATTCCAATGGCCATTCTTACTATTCCATTATCTGACACCCATTTTTTAAAAAGTAGTTGTTTAGCTTAGTAGCAAGAAGAGGGAAGAGTCTTCTATCCAGGACTTTTGGTTACAGGAAGAGATACATACTCAAACTAGCCCAAGTAAATGTGTTAAAGGATATTACTTTAAAAATACAAATAAGCAGCTGGGCACGGTGGCTCACGCCTGTAATCCCAGCACTTGGGGAGGCTGAGGCAGGCAGATCACAAGGTCAGGAGACTGAGACCATCCTGGCTAACATGGTGAAACCCCATCTCTACTAAAAATAGAAAAAATTATCCAGGTGTGGTGGCGAGCGCCTGTAGTCCCAGCTACTCAGGAGGCTGAGGCAGGAGAATGGTGTGAACCCAGGAGGCAGAGCTTGCAGTGAGTGGAGATTACACCACTGCACTCCAGCCTGGGCAACAGAGCAAGACTCCGTCTCAAAAAACAAACAAACGAACAAACAAAAAACAAATAAGCTTCATGAAGTATAAATATCACCAGCTCTCAGAAGAACTGGTCTGGGAAAGTGAGGCTCAGACTATTCTCTGTTTCTTGGGGGCTCTGCGTTGTCACTTACATCGATCTTATTTAAATTTAAATTCTAAATTTACTGTTTAGCATGACATCTCAATTCAAGTGCCATCCACTGGCTCAGTCCCTCATTGATTCAGTCCCTCATTGTCCTTAATTCTAAATTTCTGTGACAAACATTTAATTAGTTTCATGTATTACTTCAAACCAGGTATCGGTCATCATAGGAGATGAATTAGTGACTTGGTATGCAAAGATACTCTATTGTGATTAGGATGAAAAATAAATTATTCACAATTTGTAACAGGTTGTGGTAAGTGGACTAAGCACTGAATTCAGAGCTAAGAAATCTGGGTTCTATTTCTGATTATGTCACTACCTAGTTGTAAGATCTTAAATTCTGTAAAAGATGAAATTGAAATAGTTGTTCTCTAGAGTTTCACTTGCCATAATCTTCCTTTTTCTTGAGACTGAGTCTCGCTCTGTTGCCCAGACTGGTGTGCAGTGGTGTGATCTTGGCTCACTGCAGCTTCCACCTCCCGGGTTCAAGTGATTCTCCTGCCTCAGCCTCCTGAGTATCTGGGATTACAGGCGTGTGCCCCCACACCCAGCTAATTCTTGTATTTTTAGTAGAGATGGAGTTTCACCATGTTGGCTAGGCTGGTCTGAAACTCCAGACCTCAAGTGATCCACCCACCTTGGCCTTCCAAAGTGCTGAGATTATAGACATAAGCCACCATACCCAGCCTCTTGCCATAACATTCTGTGACTCTTCATCTTAGGATCTGTTTATGACATGTTATAATTCCTAAATTTATTATTTTACTTTGACTATGTTGTATATAGACTGATTCCAGATAGCAGTTCAAGAACCTTAAATTCATCAACAATACGTTTTGTGCATCCCACTGTGGTGCTTACTTCTGGGAATGCTTTCTATGTGCAGCTAATCTATGATGCCTGACTTTTTGTTTATGGCTGACGTAGATGATAGAGAAGGAAGCACGTCAAAGATAAATTCAGGACCTCTGGTTGAGGGTGCAATTCACTAAAATACACAGAAGAAATCAGAGTGTTTGTTGTTGCTGTTAATAAATACCTAATAAATACATCAATATTCATATCTTGCCACATTTATAAGACCTTATTAATGTAAGCATTACTTATATTAGTAAGATTCATTGTAACCAATTCAACATTTTGTTTGCATGGATGCTATTTTGAACATAGAACTAGTTCCAGGAACTTTATTTTTTGTATTAAAACAGGATTAAAATTGAATAGTCTACCATACCATATTTTGAATTCTGTACTTCTATAATGGCACAGGAATAAAAAGCAGATAGATGAAATATGTAAGGTAAAAAGCAGAAAAAAATTCATGTGTTTAATTTTAAGTGGAGAATTTGTGCAGGGGAGAGGTTGCCTCACGAGAGGATGATTGGTATGGAAACCATGTTTGTAACAGTCATGGCAGAAGGAATTGGAGAGTCTTTGGCTGTCTTCACATATTTGGGCATAGAGGAAGGAAATGACGGCTGTTTGTTTTTACAGCGGGAAAACCTGGATGAGTTAACAGTACGGGGTAGTGGATAAGAGTGTGGGCCCTAGAGTGAGAAATCATCACGGGCAAGTCCTGGATCTTCTTAGTGCCTTGGCCCGATTATCTTTGTTAGGTTCCTCCAGAAGTAGACCTAGAGATCAGGTTTCAAAATGCAAATACTAGAAGGTATTCCAGGAAACACTGGTAAGAGAGTGGGAAAGTGAGCAGGGGGAGGTAAGGCAGCCAATAACAGGTGAATTATCAAGCGTGTTACAATTGCAGACAAACCAGAGCTTAACCCCTCTAGGGAACTCTGGGAGCCAGTGTAGACCACATAACTCAGAGCCAACCCACTTGAGAAGCAATCCTCTCAGTCATTGATTGAGGAATGCTTCTAGGAGGTGTTAATTCTCTGGTACTTCTGACCAAACATACTGCAGGAAAGTGGGCTTTTGTACTGGAGAATGATCTCTGGCCAAGAGCTGCAGGTGCTGGCATTGGGGAGTTCTGCTTGCCTGCACTAAAATGGGGAGGCTTGAGGGGAGGTGGATAGGGCACAGGCAGCATCTGCTACACTCTACCTAGAAAATGGGTGTATAATTAATGAATGTATTTACCACATATGGTGCTTATGAAAATCAAACTGTACATGCAAAGCTCTTAGGACACTACTTGGCATAAAATAAGCACTTGATAATGTTACTATTATTATCATTAAAATCAGATTAATTATGTTTGGCAAAAATGCCCATCAACAAGCTGTCTGGTGATATCATTTGCTCATGTCAAAGGAGGGAGAACAGTGGAAGCTCCCCATTGAAGCAATCTGTAAAAGCATTCCTATGCTGCATGGGCAGCTGGGCTGGGGCCTGTGACGTGCCCTCCTACCCTGCATTTCCATGCTTATTCAAATCAACATGCCTGTGGCAGACATATTTTGTGCCCCGGGCTACATGCATTCTGCTCACCTGATTTCAGCTGCAGCTATGGTGAACAGATCCAGTTTTGCCACCAGGAGCCTACCTCAAGCACCTGCTGCAACATCTCTCAGCTTCTTTCCTTGAGATTTTTTTTTCAAAGCAGGGCAGATTGGATGTTCATAGGAGTTAGTGCCCCTGGGGGGCATTATAGATAATGAAAACATAGTCCTTATCCTCTGAGAGCTGGTGGGGCTGAGTAGAGATGGTAAAGTAAAATTATTAAAATATACCTGCTAAATTAGAAATATATTGGAGGTATGCTGAGTGGAGCTGGGGAAACCTTGAGAGAAGGAGACATATGAGCTAAATCCTGGAGGTTGAGTAGAAGTCAAACCAGCAGAGAAAAGGAAAAGGGTTTTCACTCTGAGAGGCCAACAGGCAAGAGGGTAGGGCACCAAAGGGAGAGCAGATGAGCAATCTACTGAGGCTGGGCCAGGACGGCATGGGGCACAGAGCTCCTGAGATGAGGGAGAAAGGTGAGCGGGGTGGAACAGGAAGGACTTGGTGTGTTATGCTAGTGTGTGTGGACTTTCCCCTGCAGGCAGTGGGAGCCTCTGAGACTTTTAAATCACAAGAGGGACATGACCAGATCTGTCCTTTACCAAGTTTTCTCTGGGGCAGTGGGAAGGGTAGACTGTGGTGGGAAGAAAGCACAGGTGGGCAGATGAATTAGGAGGCCATTCCAGCAAGGGAGAACAATAATGACAGCCTAAACTAGGACAACTGAGCAAGTGGGGACTGTAGTGATTTACACAATCAAGTTTTTTAAAGGACATGAATTAGAAGATGGAAAAAGAGATGGGAGGGAAGTGGCAGCTTTTCTCTTGTTAGAGGCCGAAGCAAAGCATTTGGAGAGAACTGCCCCATCAGTTTTTTTCTCAAATGGCTTACAGATGAAGTCTTTTTTTTCCCCTCTCTTGAAATAGGCCCCAGAAGGACAATGCCACACTCCTTTTTTTAAATCCACTACTAACTCATATCCAGATTCATTTCTAGAAGGCTTGATTCAAATGAACCAATATCAGCATCTCCTTCACAGGTCTTGGACAGAATATTAGATTCCTTGGCTGTTTTTTGTTTCTTGATGTATGGAGCTCTTTCCTAAATGGTACATTAAAAGATGCCTTTAAAACATGCATTGGAATGCGGAGGAAATAATGTGGACTCATGCCAGCCATTTGCAAGCATGATAAATGATTTGAAGAAAGATGCTTGCCAGGTTCATCTTCCTACTCAGAGGTTGGGGAAAATATCAGGTGCAATATAAATATAGCCCTTTAGGGGAAAGTCGGAAAGAAGAGTATCTCTACTAGAGATGGACAAAAAACTAGGTCAAAAAAACCCCTGCGATTATAAAAGAACGAGAGATAGGGCAAGGGAGAATGATTTTCATCCTGTGACCTACAGAACTCTGGAAACCCATCTGTAACAGTTTATGATTAGAAAAGTGCAGAGATACCAACATCTATATGATACATTCCAGAACAGTAATGTTATACTTTTCCCTTAATGAATAAGGAATTATTATACAGTAAAGGAAAATTGTCTCAGAAAAGCACTTATTTGCACTCAATGACAATGACTTTATTCTTGGATTTTTACCACCTCCACCTTTCTTGGACTGTGTTATTTTCTCTCCAGATGTGCACAACATCTTACAAATTAAACTTCAAGATAGAAACAAAGGTTTGATGCTTGAATACCGTTTGGTAATACATGCTTGCTTATATTTGTAGTGTAGAGACTATTTTAATCAATTTGATGCATCTTAATAATTATGCATTTGATAGAGAATATTATGTTCTGTAGCATTTCTGGGTCAATTCCCTATTAGCTCTTGTTCTGCTAGTCTGCTTGTAACATTCTGTAGACCCCTGGCACCATTTTCAAAACTGAGGTCCTGAGTGCATTTGGGGGATTGGCAAGCAAAGTTGGGTAGTAAACATGGTACACTTTCCTGTAATGTGTTTCTTTATTTGATTGAAATGCACAAATATGGATATATTATAGAATAGAGGCAAAATGTATATGCATTTCCAAGATAATATGACATCGTGAAGAAATTCCACATCTAGAGCTGGTTGCTCTGAAATGCTTCCTGGACCTCTCTGCCTCTGTCCTCCTTACCTCCTCTCCCTAGGTTTGCTTTCACTCTACTCTTGTTCGGGGTGCTCTGGAGGAATTTACTGAAGCATAACCTTGGAAAGATGCTGGACTGGAGTTAGGATAATCTTGTCTCTACTACTTAGTAACCATGTTATTGCAAGCAGAGACCTTAGATGATCTGATCTGAGCCTTATTTCTCTATCTGAAGCATGGAGAGATGTTCTTACCTATCTCACACAGTCACAAAGATTGAAATGTAATTAGATTGCTAATATTAAACTTGACTTTGGTCTCCCATGCAGTAAAATGACTATAAAAATTCAAATCTTTTTTTTTTAATTGCAAAAGCAGGATTCTTGAAGATGGGACCCTGATCTTTCTGTGTGCTATTCCATGTTTTTTCTTAACCTTAATTTATTTCCTAACGGCCTTAAATTCTTTTGACTCAAATGCTCGTTGCGTATTAGATACATTGGAATATTTTTTTCTTCTACAAGGAAATATACCCTCTCAGCACTCACCTATCTAGTCACTCAGGTTTCTCTTCAGACATCACTTGTCAGAGAAGCTTTCCCTGACCAATGACACATCTGCCCCTTTCACCCCATCCTAACTAATCCTCTTCTCTCACCCTACCCCTACCTTTTCCTCTCATGTTTCATACCACTACCTGATGATATATTATGTATTTGTTTATTGTCTATCTCTCGCAAATAAGAAATAGCTCCTCAAGTGGGGGGTAGAGGAGAGCATTGTCTTTTTTTTCTCATTGCTATATCCCCAGTGTTTAAAACAGTACCTGACTCATAGTCGGCCCTCAATAAATATTTGTAAAATGAAGGAAAGAATGATTTTTGCTTCTTGAAAGATATGCCATCCCTCAGGTCTTTCATGTCCCCATATTTGATAGCAACATGGGAAAAGGATATTTCTTTATGCTAAAATACCAACATTGTAATTTTCATGAGAAATGGCAACTGATCGTTGACTTTAGAGTAGGGCAGACCTATGGGAGTAGTGGGGACTGGGTGTGTGGGTGCATGGCTCATCTATCCGGGAGGGAGGGGTCAGTGGAAACTTCTGCTCTGGCCTCCTCTTACATTGCAGTAGTGTGGGCCCAGTGTTGCCATAGCGTCTGATCTCTAATAAACATGCTGGAAAGCTGCGTTACGAAATGGAAATCTTTTGATTTTTAAATATTGGCTCAAAAATGTTTTTCAAATAATTTGCATGCTGAACAAAATACTACTTTGATTGCTTTGTAACCTCTTCAGTACGCCCTTTTCAGCCCCCAAGAAGCCTGAAGGATAGGGAGGGACACATACACATGCTTAAAATGTCCTGCTAACCCTTATGCCCTACTTCTAGCCACTTGGGCTACAGAATGGGTGGGCTCCGAAGCTCCATGAATGGCCTGATTAGGTCCAACAGAAATTTACAGGTTGTGACAAGGGACATGGAGCGAAGAGCCCTAAACTCCAAATTCAAAATTAACCCAGTCCAGATCCCTCTCCCTGTGTGGGCCTCACTTTACCGTGCTCCCTTCTGCAGCTCCTCCCAGCTTCTGCTAATTTTGTTTTGCTCTTTCATGTGTATTAGGCTCAGAGCACTTCCTACCCATACACATCCTTCTTTGAGCCCTGACCACGTCCTGTATAAGCTCCTAACATGGCATTGGTATCTCCCTCACAAGCTCATAAGAAACCTGGGGATTTCTGATGGCTGTGAATTACTGATTTTTGTCCCCCAACAGCGCCTAGTATGAAAATTTGCCCATACATCCTGCACAAGAAACATTGGTTGAACTTGAGCTTCACAAGGGCAGGGATCTGGTCTGTCTAGTTCCTAGAATGATGATTAACACTAGAACAGGGTCAAACGGTAGTATACAGCTGGCACTCAATAAGTACTTGTTGAATGAACGAATGACTGACTGCTTTCCTCACTTCACATTTTCTATGTCTTTGATACACTGAGCCGCCTTGACTGGGACTGAATTTCCACCGTTCATTGCCTCTTCCACACAGTTCCGACCCTGCTATCCTGATGCGGAGGGAGCCATTACCATGAGTATGAGAACCATGCCCTTGAAATCCTTCCACTAGCAGATGCTCAGCTTGAAGAATGATTTTCCTTTAGGATATGTTTTTTTTAATTGATATCTATTAGATAGATTATCATTATATGCAAGGCTCATATGTCGTGAAAAAAGTTAAAAGAAAGTCTTCAGAGCTGAAAACAGCTCCTGATTTACTAATATTCATTCTTATCACAGGAAAGCACAAGTGATGGTGACCAGCAGCTTCTAAACTCTGTTGATGCGGTGGCTTGATCAAGATAGTCAAACATCTGAGTTTCTGTCTGCCCCAGCAAGTCACATGCAGCATCCAAAGGAATTGCAGAACAGTTTCATCCCCGGCGTGGTTCACCCAACAATTTACTCTGCCTGTGGACACTGTCCCCTGACCCCTACAAGATTTTCTCCTTTACCGCCCATCCCCTGATATGTCCTCACACAAATCCACTTTGCAGTGACTTTCAATATCAGTTGAACTGGGGGTGGAAAAAAAAGAAAAAAAAGAATCTTAAAGGAAAAAAAATCTTCTTTGCACAGGTGCAATGACCTCCCTTGATGAAGAAAGGCTCCCCGGGTGCCTACAGCAGAACCCAGTTCTGCACAATAACGCCGGCTGCAATGTGAGGCTCCGGAGTAATGTGATCTGTTTTCACACAGCCTAGTGTTAGGGTGCTGCTGCCACTCACTCTAAAGGTTACTATCTCTCTTTTATTGTAATTACAAAAGCTAACTGCAAAACCCGAAACCTTGCTGGGAAATTGCCTGCCTACACAAAGAACACAGAGACCCTATCGTTTCAGAGTTTAGTTCTTTCCGAGCTTCTTTATAAAGGAGTTTTTGTCTGCCTCTGAGGCTCCAACCATGGAGGAGCTGCGGATCAAGGTTAGCTGATGGCTTGGAGTGTTTCAATGGAGAAGGCTCTCTTTGGAGGTTGGCATATAGGTGCTTTACAATTTAGCTTGCAAAAGTTAAGTAAAACTGCAGCTGTGCTACAGTGTAGATGGTGGGAAGAGCGAAGACAGAGAGAGAGAGATTCCTACTAAATGATGTCTTCTGTTATTTCAGATCCCATCAGCTTTCCTTGAAGGAGGTGTTATAGTGTATTCATTCTCCCACTGTTTGCTTTCATCACTCTCACACTCAAGGTTTGAATACAATAATCACAATGCAGAGAGTGTTGGGAGGTATTTATTTTTATCCCAACTGCCAGCATCATCACAGTGTGTGTGATCCAAATTTACACTCTGCATATACACAGCATGTGGCCCTGCTGCCGAGCCAGCTGCTTTCCCTAAGGCTGAGGCATGGTTAAGTTTCAAGTTTTGCCTTATCAAAACTGTGATAGCAAAAATGTGTGAGTGAAACCCATACTCAGGGCAGCTTACTTAGCAAATATTGAAACCTGTGATTTGTTGTTCATTGGAAGTCAAGAAAGAAGACTGTGTGTGTGTGTGTGTGTGTGTGTGTGTGTGTGTATGCTAGTTATTGCAGACGGGGCAAATTCTCTAAACCAACACCCATTCTCCCTGCTCTCCTTACCAACAGAAGCTTGATTTCTCAGGCCAGCAACGTGCTCAGTTCAAAGATAGCTTTTCCTTTGAGATAGGGTGTGGCTGTGTGGCCCTGCTCCGGCAGACTAGATTTATTTTGTGGGACTTCCAGGAAGGCTTCTTAAAAGGGAGGGAGGAGACTTTTGTCCCAAATCCTTTCCTTTTCCTCCTGGCTGGAAAGCTGATAGGAAGCTAATGCCCTCATCAGCCATCCTGGACTCTGAGGTGGATTCAAAGATAGGCTATGTGTGTCAGTGTCTGGAGCAGAAAGACAGAAGGTCTTAGTCCTTGGAGACTCTGCTGCGCCACTGCACAGCCCTGACCTGCCTACCTTAAAATGCATTTTTATGTGAGAGAAAATACCTTTGCATGTTTGAGCCACTATTTTGGGGTCCTCTGTAGCCAAATGCAATTTCTAACTGATAGATCAACTTGAGGTTTAACACTAACTGAGGCCAGATTCTATGGGTTAATTTGCACAGAGTACAGAGAACAATGCTGGCACTGAGTGCATAAAGACTAGCTGTTAATACCTGCTTGGGGAATTGTTACATTTACTAATCATCTCTGAGTTTACACTTTAATGCAGAAATATCCATTGTGATTGGCTTTATGCTATGATTAAAAGGTCTCTATAAAAATGTAGACTGAACTTGGTTGTCCTATTCAGCATTCGATCCATGAAATTTGAGGGTGTATTAGTTTGTTTCTTTATTTATTCACTCAGGAAATATTTATTTAGTATTTGCTTTGTGTAAGGCAGAGCTTTAGATATTGGTGGGACTTCTAAGGGGTAGTTACACAAAGAAAAACTAGAGGTAGACCCTGACTTCAAACTAACGGACTAGGAAAGGAGATAATTAAAAATAATAATAACCATGTTTACTTAGCACTAACTATACCAGATGCAGTATTTATATATATATATTATCTCACTGAATATTAATAACAATCCTTTGAAATACATGAGTTCTATTATTTTCTTCATTATACAGGTAAAGAGAGATGTACAAAGAGATAAATAGTTTGTGCGAAGATAGAGTAAGCAGTGAAATGGGAATTTACCAAAGACATTTGTGCACTCTTAATCTCTGCAATACCTATAACAATTCAACAATTTATTTGCAAGGCCCTGCACTGTGTTGTAGGGGAGCGGTTCTCAAAGTGTGGTCCTGGGACCTGCAGCTGCAGCGTTGCCTGGAAAATGTCAGAAATGCACATCATTGGCCTCCCCCAGTCCTACTGAATCAGAAACTCCGGGGTGGGTCCAGCCATCTGGTTGTTTTGTTTTGTTTTTGTTTTTCTGAGATGGAGTCTTGCTCTGTCGCCCAGGCTGGAGTGCCGTGGCATGATCTCCACTCACCACAACCTCCACCTCCTGGATTCAAGTGATTCTCCTCCCTCAGCCTCCTGAGTAGCTGAGACTACAGGTGCTTGCCACCATGCCCAGCTAATTTTTTTTTTTTTTTTTTGTATTTTTAGTAGAGATGGGGGGGGGTTTCACCATGTTGGTCAGGCTGGTCTCGAACTCCTGACCTCAGGTGATCTGCCTGCCTCGGCCTCCCAGAGTGCTGGAATTACAGATGTGAGCCACCACGCCCAGCCCCATCTGGGTTTTAACAAGTCCTCCAGGTGATTCTGATGCCCCTTGAAGTTTGAGAACCACTGTAGTAGGGAATAAGTAGATAAGTGAAACTTATTTAAGTTAGTAAGAGGGAAAAGCAAGTATAAAAATAACTATAACTCAAGGCAGATGAGTTCACGTGCACAAAGGAGGCCTGGAATCCTGCCAAATTTGAGTTTGCTGCCAGATTTTCTGACTTTTCAAGAGAAACAGTGAGTCCAGATTTTAAGAGGGAATTTCCCAACTTTAAATGTGAAGATGAAATCAAGTTAAAAAAAAAAAAACAGCCAAATAAAACCTGTCTTCAAGGCCAGTGCCAGCCTGAGAGCCCCTGCTGAGGACAGCAGAGAGGCAGTCAAGGTAAATTTAGGCACACACAGGCAGGAAAGAGTCTACTTCTCTGTGTAATTTGTATCCAAAAACTAATAGGAAAATCAGACAGAAAGGTCAAAAGATAGGTTTGTATGTTCTGAGACAGTTCCTATTCCTCAAGAGCTAGAAAATTTTAATTTTACCTCCCTTTTAAGACATAATCTTCAATCGTATATATCTAGATTTCTACATGTTTTTTTCTCATCTTTTTTCTTTTTATGTTTTGTATAATTGAATCCAAAGTCAACCAGCTTAATCTGATGTCTGAATTGGGATTAAGGGCTCATTGCTTATGGCTTTTCTGAGGATTCTCATTTTTCTTTTAATTGTATTAAATCTAGCAACCTGTACTTTTTAACACTATCCACAGTTTTCATTTATTCATTTTCTCATGTTTTCATTTAAAATAACATAGGCAAATGCAAGAAGAAAGCTTCAATTTTTTTTTTTTTTTTGCAAAAGTATTGTTTTTTTAAGGGAATCCCAATAAGTAAAAATAGATGTCAGAGGAATTTCTCTGACTCAACCAGGAAGAAGTGAAGAGATACCTTCTGGGGGCTCCACTTGGGACCCGTTGGAGCTATGTTTGAAAATCACTCTAACAAAATATCCAAATATTAGGTTGGTGCAAAAGTAATTGTGGTTTTTACCATTATGTTTATGGCAAAAACCACAATTTCTTTTGCACCAACCTACAAGTGCAGAAAGAAAATCTGGAATCCTAATAAAATGGTTATACTGCCAACTTTTTGCTAGAAGATAGCAGCCTGGCACAATAGTTTGAAATGTTCATTCTCCAACTTCTTTATTTGATAAACATTTATCGAGTGCCCTTGGCACTGTGGCTGTGTGAAAGTTCCATAAAGGTGTATGAAATAAAAGTTAGAGGGTCGATGTCTGGCAGACGTTGCTAGTTGCCTTCTGTGGTGTCTGGACTCCAAGACAGCCCCAGAGATGCCCAACTCTTGGTATTCACACCCTTATGTAATGGAGTCAGGGTGCCCAACAGAATACAGCAGAAGTGATGGAGTATCACATCAGAGATTAGGTTATAAAGGCCGTGACTTCCATCCAAAAGTCTTTTGTTCCCTTCATCCTTGCTAATAGGTCTCCAGTTTCTTTCAAAGCAGCAATGTGTCCAAAAACAAAACTAGAATGACAACTGCGACAAAATCACATCTCCTCTCCTGGAGTTTCTCCTCTCCTGGCCAGCGTTATACTTGGAAGGTTTCTAGGAAAGCTTTGGTTTCCCTGTACAGGCACCACCCTCTTCCTGCTCTTCTTGTTTCCTGTCATATAAATGTGATGTTGGTAGTGGAGCAGCCCTCTTGTAACCATGAAGCAACTATGAGAATGAAAGCCACATGGTTAGGAGAATGCAGCAAGAAGCCAGAAGAAATCTCCATCCCTAATGGCTTTGTGAATCTATTATACCTTCTCTCCACTATCTACCTCTAGAGCAGAGCTGATTTGTATGTATATTGTAGCATGAATGGTGTCTCCTGGCATTGTGAGTGCCAAACTTTGCCTGGGGCAAAGCTGGATGATGTCTCGCCTACAAAGAACGAACTTGTCAGTTTGATTGTTGATACTTCTCACTTTTGGGAATGTGCTCACATGCTAAGAACTACAGAAAATTGTGTTCTGATGGATGGTAGATGGGAGGGTAGGGTGAGAGAGAGCATGAGAAAATAAATAAGCACTTCACTCGAAGTGTCCTGTTTTCACGGCACTGTGCCATATTTTATTTATTTATTTATTTATTTTTTTTTTTTTGAGATGGAGTCTCACTCTGTCGCCCAGGCTGGAGTGCAGTGGCTCAATCTCGGCTCACTGCAAGCTCCGCCTCCCGGGTTCACGCCATTCTCCTGCCTCAGCCTCCTGAGTAGCTGGGACTACAGGCGCCCGCCACCACGCCCGGCTAATTTTTTGTATTTTTAGTAGAGACGGGGTTTCACCGTGGTCTCAATCTCCTGATCTAGTGATCCTCCCGCCTCGGCCTCCCAAAGTGCTGGGATTACAGGCTTGAGCCACCGTGCCCGGCCCGCAGTGTGCCATTTTATAAGGTCATGTCCTCTCCGTAAACACCTCTGATATCTTCCCAGGTCTAGTTTTTGCGTCTGCCTCTGTGCTGTACTTTATTCTTGTCCTACCCACTTCGAAACTGTCCTTTGAGGGCAGGGATCATATATTGTTTTATTTCATATTTTTTATAAACTTTTTCCAGCTTGATGTTTCACAAATATGTAAAATAATTTTTAATGGTTATGTGTTTGCTCTCTTTAATTAGGGAAAGTAATATAAGTTTCTGTCCATAGCAGGGATAAGCTTTCCTTTAAAAATACATTTCTTTACTTTTTAAGAAATGAGTTGATTTAAATAGAAATACTGACAGCCCAGGTCATGTGTAGAAAAGGCACAAGGTAAAAATTGTGAAGGTGGCACTAGAGATTGCCAAGCACTGACACAGGTGCTCAGTTAATGTCATTGGAACTGAACTGGGAGGAGAAAGCAGATGTGCTTGGGTCTGTTTTGGTCGGGGGAGGGAGGAGAAGGATGAGGATCAGCACAGTAAGGTAGGGGGGATAAGGAGAGGGGGAGACAAGAAGGTGAAAGGGGACGGGAGAGAAGCTTTAGGGTTGGAAGCAGGGTGCATCAGAGCCACTACTTGAAAAGGGAAGGGAACAAACAGTTTTATTGTGAGTCCACAGAGTATCAAGCCCTGCACTGGGTGTTTTATACACATTATTTAATTTCAACATGAAGGAGAATGATGTAGGGAAAAAGAATTGGGGACCATGTGGGGAGTATAAAAGAAAATGAGCCCTAAAACTGGAGAAAGGGGATGAAAAATGTGGGAGATGCCCTACATTTATCTAGAGGGAATCTTATTTAGGGCATGGGTGGATGGATGGTGTGTATGGAACTGTTTTGTTATGCAGCTGCAGGACAGGCACTTTGCCCTGAGATTTATGTAGAACATTCCCCTTGTTTTCCCACAATGCACTCCTCATAAAGGGGCTTCCTTCCCAGAGCATGTGTAAACTGAGGTCAGAGTGTTGATTAACCATTGAGGTATCCACTTTCAATCCTGTGTTGTGTATGGCAGCGTAGGGGACAAAAAGGAAGATTGCTCATTTATTTATTTGTTTATTTTATTTATTTATTTTTTTGAGACAAGATCTCGCTCTGTCACCCAGGCTGGAGTGCAGTGGCACGATCATGGCTTACTGCAGCCTCAACCTCCTGGGCTCAAGTGATCCTGCTGCCTCAGCTTCCTGAGTGGCTGGGACCACAGGCGTGTGCTACCATGCCTGGCTAATTTTTTTAAGTGTTTTGTAGAGATGGGGGTCTCACTATATTGCCCAAGCTGGTCTCAAACTCCTGGGCTCCACCTCCCAAAGTGTCGGGATTACTGTCATGAGCCACTGTCCCTGGCCTAGTTTTTTCTTTATAGTTTAGATTTTCCCTCTGATAATTCTTCGCTTGCTATTTTTCAAATGTAATGGCAGCCTGGGGACTGGTGGGCGAGCGGTGGGGGTGCAGGATGACTCACCCAGGAGTCAAACCGAAGATCTCAGAATGTCTCTCTTATTTGTACTCTGATAAAGGCAAGTTCAGTTCATATTTATGAGAGAGTACCATAATAAAAGCAAACAAACAAAACAACAACAACAACAAAAAAAAACAAACAAAAAAACTCCCCAAAGCCAAAAAAACATTAAATCAACCTTTAAGTTCCGGTGTGGTGCAGCAGTCCTAATTTACCCTTTGTGATTTCTTTTATGTCTTGCTTCCAAATGGCAATGAACATGTCTTTCCACCACTCTGGGGAGGAAATAAGAAGTTACTCACAAAGACAGGTGGGGCTCAATCTGCAGAGCCAGGACACCTTGGACCTTGGCTGTTACAACCCAAAATACCTTTTTCGTTGTGTTTTAGATCTATACTTGTTTAAAAGTTGTTTTTAACTCATCCTCTGGGGAGCTCGGGTGATGGGGAAATAACTATTTCAACAGTTTGACCCTCTCGCATGCCCATCTTGGGAACCAGACGGCTGGGCTTGGCCAAGAATAAATGGAACTTGAGTTTCAAAACCTTCCTACCCAGTAAAGTTTCAAATTTGTAGCCTTTGAAGACAGAGAAGATGTGAAATGTAGCAAACTGCGTTGGACATTAACCAACAATTGTTTGGAGAATTCTCTTGCTTTTTTGGACAAGAAACCCTTGACAGCCATGATTTTAAAAATCCTTCTTTATAATCTTCTGGGTAACTGGGACTGTACGACCTCTGAAACCCTCTTATCTGCCTAAACATTCTTTGATCCACCCACCTTAAGCAGAACAGGAAAAGGTTTTGTTTGGTTTTGTTTTTAGGCGTTGTCGCACCCTAATGGAAACTTTTTAGGTTGTGTATTAGACTGGCCAAATTAAAAACATCTAAATACAACACCTCAAAACGTGTTGTTTATAATTCAGTGTGGAAATGAATAGAAAGTAAATTCAGCTTTGGGTTAAAAAAAGTTTTAACAAAAGTTATCTCAGTTGAGGAAACTCCATTCTGTTAATTTGATGTTCTCGTCCTTTCCAATCTCCTCACTCCCTTTTTGCTGTCGTTTGAAATCATAATCCATTGAAATCAACTAAATCTATTAAAATCTATCAAATCAACTTCTGATAACTGTTAAAATTCTTTTGTCATGTTAGGACTTCAAAAATGGCATCAGTTCAGTTACTTTGCTATTATAACCCCTTTGCGGGTAGGGAGATTAAGAAGTAATATGTAGAACAAAAGAAGAAACCACACAAGAGATGAAGAAAATTAAATTAATTTCCAGCTATGTTGTAATCTTAAGAGAAAGCAAAATGTACCTCCTAAATGAGTATCTATATATTCCATATATATGTATTTACACACACACTCACACACACACTCAATTTCCTTGGAACAGAAAATTATCAAGAGAATTTGAACTTTTAGTCAATTATCATTTCCCCAACATATGGATACCTTGTGATATATTCTTAAATAGAGGTGCTATTAGAATTTTTGGAGCTAAGTTATACTGAAAATATGACCAAACTTTAAAAAATACATAAGAATGAAGGAAATGAAACTGAATACTTACTAGGACTTCTGAAGCCTACTCTGAATTAAAATGAGGTAGAAAAAATAAACTATAGTTGCCAGGTGAGGACTCACATTGTCTCACTTGGAAATGGGGACATGAGCCCTTGGTACAATCATCTTTTTATCACTGGAAGAATTAAAGGACTTCCCACATCAGTTACTCTTTGATTGTTCCAAAACCCAAGTCCAAGTTCCTGTAATGCCTGGCAGTAACTTCTTCTGACCCAAAGTAAAGGTTAGTAGAACATAGCATTTCCAGGCTGTGATGTTAGAGGCACAAATATGACATGCTAATGTTACTTTTTAAACGTTACTCTAAGAAAAGATTTAATCTCTGCACTATTACTTGTGTTACTATCTACTGATGTAAAGAAAGCCATGACTTCTAGATTGGTGGATGGATTTTGGTGACAATCTTGAATTAGAATCTTGGCTTTACTACATTTTCATTTTGTGAACCTAGGCAAGCTAACTTCTCTGAGACATAGTTTCTTGCCTGTAAAATAGGTATAATAATAACCTCTAATGGGGTTTTGTGAGGATGGAGTGAGAAAATAGGTAAATCACCTGCTTAGTAGAGATCATTCCCCCATTGTCCTTTTCTAGGACTCACAGGTTTTTAAATTGCTAACATTAAGGATTCTCACACTTTACCATTGAAACTACTTTTTTAGGTTTCTTGGAAGTGTTTTTGTCTCTCCTGATCTTTAATATCCTTCTTCTATGTGTTTCCTTTTTCATCCCTATTCTTCCCTCCTTGATCTGATATTCACCCCAATACATATTTAAACCTCCCATCTTGGTTTTCTCTATCCAACTTTACTTTCTTCCTTTTTTCTTCCTGGCAACCAAATAACTTCTTTGATCCTGAGTACTTTATCACTCTCCAGGAACAATTCAGCTATGCATATTGCCTGTAAAAACATTATGGCATTACAAATAATTTTCAAGGAAAAAATTCTACCAATACATCCTCTTTCTGTCTCTGATCATACGCTTATATTTTAAAAATGCATTTTGTAAATAATATTTGTAAATAGTGTAGTGCAACGGAAAAAGTACAGAAAGAGGGAGATCAGTTCCTGTTCAGCTCTTGTGATCCTTGGTCGGTCCATTTATCTCTTAAAACCTCAATTTCTTCATCTGTTAAAAAAAAAAAAAAAGGCAGTTGGAGAGGTTATCCCTGTGTTCTCTTTCAGCTTTAAAAATGGTCTATGAATTGGTATCTCTATAAAAAGGCAATGTTCTTCCTATACTGGCTAACCCAGGAATGCAACTGATCACATATCATTATTTGCTTTTTTCACTGAGTTCCTTTGTGTGAGTGCAGAGAATAAGCAGAAGACAAGATTCTGTAGCACAGGTAGTAGGTAGGACATGCTGCCTGATGGGTCAGTACCCTCTTGGCCACCTTCTACCACTTGGGCCTGCTGATCTTTAGCCACACTGATGCTCTCGAATGGTTCTCTTGCTTGGTCCCCTGTAGGACAGGTCTCATAACCAAGTTTATGAAATGGCTGGACAAGATTAGAAGTTCAAGCTTTGGCCATGGAAAACAACAGATCTATTGGTCTGTGCCAGAAACAGATCACAAAAATCTCTCTGCTCTCATGAGCAGCAGCAGCAGCAGCAGCAGCAACATTTCACCAAGAGTGCAGGTCCAATCCGATGGGGATATCAGCTTCATGGGAGGCTGGGGGAGGACAGCAAGGAAGATCAGAAACAAACATGTTTAGAAAAATGTCCCCATTTTTCCACCTCAGGAATTGATTCTCAGAGTATGGTAAAATGCTTCCCTCCCCCTGAATGACAGTGAACCGAAAAGCCAGGACAGAGGTTTCTGTGTTAAAATGTTAATGTGAAGTCTCACTGTATTTTGAGTGCTTAAGGGAAAGCTAATGGGAACTTTCCAGGGAAGATGGTGGGTGTTGCTAACATGAAAATATGTATGAGAATTCCTAAATGGAGGCTTTATATGGTTCAGTTGGAGGATAATGAAATCCTAGCTTGTCGGGGATGGGTGGGTAGGGCAGAGGATGGGACTGGGTGAGAGTGGGGAGAAAGGGTAGAGAAGAAAGCCTGCTTTTGGACTCTGTGGGCTGGGGAGCTGCCTGTGTGAAGGGTCTAGAATGAAGGCTGATGGGGAAACAGAGCAAAACCGGGGCAGTGCCGGATGGAGAAACTTAAATGGCTGGAGAGCTAGACAGGAGGGAGGCCCCTGCCCAGAATGAGGATAGAAGCGTGGCACTGGACATGGAAAATACCAGGGGTTAGTTGAAAAAACAAAAAAAGAAATAATTCTTGAAGGACCATACTGGGAAGGACCTGTGGATTGAAAGGAAAGTGGCCTTTCAAAGTCCCGGTGAGTGATCATCAGCTTTGAACCTGTGCCAAGACAGTCAGGGTAATGGTTGCTTGGCTCTTTCTAACCTTTGTAGCTAAGGCCACGGCTGCCCAATTTGTCTAGGACTTGGGGGACAATCTTGTTTTTGCAAAGAAACTGGAACCCAAAGTTATAGTCCACAGTCATCATGGTGACCTGGGTTTTCAACTCCACTGCAGGGCCTGCTCCATCTTGTAACTGGCCTTTTGCCTTATTTCCTTTTGACTAAAACTCCATTTTGGGCCTTAGGAACTGCCCCTTTGTTTTACAGTTATATTTGATTGAGTACTGGCTACTGTGCTGGCACTCAACCTCACTATCTCATCTGTTCCTCATAATAACCCTATGAGTAAAGCAATTATTCCCAGTTGATAGATAAGAAAACTGAGGCTTACAGAGTTTTTGTTTTCTTGCTTGCCACAAATTATGGGTCAGAGCCAGGGTTTAATCCAGGCATTTTACCCCCAGAGCCCAGTGCTCTGGTCAGTGTCTTTCCCCCCTGCACCGGCTTCAACATTCAATCTCTGCCCTAATTCTTTGCAGCCCTGATTACACTGGGATGATCCTCCTGTATGTGCTGCTTTTAGTCCAGCCATTGAATACCTTCTACATTGTCTGCCTCCCTCATCTTTTGCTGATGATGCTCAGGGGTCTGCCTGCTCCCTGGGTCATGGTCATCTGACATGGACTGGTCCTGCTGCTTAGAGAGAACTCTGCTGGTAGTCCCTGAGCTCTCCTGCAGAGCTCCAACCATAGCAAGGTTCTCTCTGACTTAATCTGCAGTGAACTGGAGTTATGTGGGTGTACTCATGAGGACAGGCTGGAAGCAGTGTTCAGCCAGATAAGATGTGCACTCAGGGTGTGATGTTGGCTGGAGTGTAGGATCAGGCCTTCAGTGACCCCAAGTAGAAATGAGTCCTGTAGATTTTATTTCTAGATGAGCTGAGGAAGGACATTTTCCCCTTTAACGGTGAATTGGGGTCACTCCTTATGGGAATTTTTGGTATGCCTTGAAGGATTCTGCAGCAATTCATCTTGCACATGGCCTGCCCTTGGAGTGTGGGGCCTGGGGCTGTACACTGACATCCTGTTTTGGTTGGGCAGAGGTTCTTAGCCCTCGCCATTCATCACAATCACCTGAGTAGTTCCTAGGAACAGCTGAGCCCTGCGAGGCATCCTCAGAAGTGCAGCTTCAGATGGCCTGGAGTGATATCTAGACATCCATAGTTTTATAGAAATGTGCATAGAAAAGTGCAAAAATCAGGTGATTTTAATGCCCAGCCTGTGTTGCTAACCCCTCATGTGCTGGGTGGTTCTTGGGCAGGAACAGGAGCAAGGCAGGGTGACCTGATATTTTGCACTTTTTTATGAGATGCTTAGTTAGCTGTGGCCACAAAAGGAGACAGAGGAGAAGCTCAGCAAAACAAAGTTTATGCTCACAGGTCCTCGTGACAGGAGGCATGGTCGTGCCATGCAGGGGCACATGGAAAAACACCAGGGTGGTAGGAAGCAGAAGATAGGAACTGGGGGAAGATTTGGCCAGTGCCCCCAATAAATGGGGTTTT
Source organism: Homo sapiens (assembly GCF_000001405.40). Taxonomy (NCBI): domain Eukaryota; kingdom Metazoa; phylum Chordata; class Mammalia; order Primates; family Hominidae; genus Homo; species Homo sapiens. The sequence continues at coordinate 56,687,831 of NC_000005.10, read as the reverse complement.
CATGAGAAAGGCAGGGCAGGGTAGACAGTTTAGGATTGGCTAGTTTGAATTATTTGGGGCAGCCTCTAAGATAGAGGGGTGGCCCCTAGTTGCCTGATACCTGGCCCTGGGTTAATTAAGGCAGAGGAATATTGCCTCCTTGGGTGCACAGGCAAGACTGGGTAGTTTTCTTATGAAAGGCTGGATTGGCTCATTTTCATATGAAAGGCTGAGCCCTTTGCCATCTCTAAGAATTGACTAGCCCCAAGAGAAACAGCCTCTTTCCAGCTAGAAAATAAAATAAAATTACACACACATGCGTGTGCACACACACACACAAAACCTGAGAAGAAAATAAATCGTTAATGTTGCTTTGCATTGTGAACCTTGAATATTGAGGAATGTAAATCTGATCAAAAAAAAGAAGGCTAGGCTCAGTGGCTCATGCCTATAATCCCAATACTTTGGGAGGCTAAGGCAGGAGGATTGCTTGAACCCAGAAGTTTGAGGCTGCAATGAGCTGTGATCCTGTCACTGCACCCCAGCCTGGATGACAGAGTGAGACCCTGGCTTAAAAAATAACAATAATAATAATACATAATAATTTTTTAAAAATTTAAAAATGAAAAAGAGCCAGGTAGATTCCTTAAAGTGTCCCAGAATGCTAGAGGAAGCTCACCATGTACTTGAAAGGTACCATGAGCCAGAGATTTAGAGAGGACACTGTAGCTGGGAGGCTGTTCTATGGGACTGGGAGTTGCTCAGCAGCAGCATGCATGAGGGAGCGTGCTTGGCTGGCAGGCTGCAAACTCTGAATTCTATGTGAATGTGGCCCCCAAGTTGCCCTGAAGCTTTGGACTGTTGTCTAATGAACTGCTCAAATGTGTTCAACTCTAGTAATCAGAGCTGCAAAGGCAGAAATGTGCTGGTGGGTGGGGGTGGGGGGGTGGGGAGAGAAATTTGGTAATTGGTTCCAGCCTGTGAAAGGCCAAGTAAAAGCGTGGATCATTATTTAAAGTGCAGTGGTCTTTGGATGATGGTTATGATGGTCCACATTTGATGCAAAAGAAAGCCAAATATATTTTAAACAGGATTCAAGAAATACAAAGTTAAGGATTTTCTTAGCAGAAAAGTAGAAAAGTGTGCATGCTGTTTACTTAGTTTTGCTCACATTTTTTTTTTTTTTAACTTTTTCAGTTCCTGTTTTTTAGCTTTTGTTTTTAAGCCTGTGGGCTCTCAGGGTCAAACTTAGGTTAATTGACGTGTTTTTTAAATCAAAGTTTTGAGATAAACCAAACTTTCATAGCTAGATAGTAAAGCCCTGATCACAAGGGTTTTAAAATCAAACAGGGGGTCTTTGCACACACGGAGCTCTGTGGCTTTGTGTCTGCATATGCATATGGCTACGTGTGAAGGCAGGAGTAAATGTTCCTTCAACTTGCTGAGCCTCCTCTGTAAATTGAGGGGTTTGGAACAGTGACCTGTAACTACAGAATATGGGCTAACAGTTGTTGGGCGCTTACTGTATGCCAGACACTAAATTCTTAACATGGATTATTTTATTTACTCCTCACCATGTTCCTAGATGTCCATACTATTATGATCACTGCCTCTGTTTAGAGATTAGGAACTGAGGTTTAGGGAGGTTAAGTAACTTTCTCAAGGTCACACAGCTAGTGAAGGCTGGAGCTGGGATTTTGATCCCAGACCCCATGATGATAATCACTCTGCTTACATGACCTCCCAAAATAACTTTGTCTCCACTTTGTTAAGATGAGTTCTCCAAGGCCAGCCCTCCACTGAGCCTATTTCCTCCTAGCCAAGTTGCGTTTTGTCATCTGTGCTGAGACATGAGTGGTTACACTGGGTCATGACTGTTAGGCCAACAGGTTAAGCTAATTCCAAATGTGGATAACTGAGTAAGAAGGACTTTAAGTTAGCTTTTCTTGATAACAGGAATGTAAGACTGTGAGCTGGAAGGAACACTACAGAATGAATCATTTTCATTAACAGCAACTTGCTGGTGCACCCATGTTCATAGCAGAGCTATTCACAATAGTCAAGAAGTAGAAGCCACACAAAGTGTATACGGATGGATGAATGAATAGACAAAATGTGGTATTTGCATGAGTAGAATACTATTCAGCCTTAAAAAGGAAGTTACTACATGGATGAACTTCAAGGACATTATGCTAAGTGAAACAAGCCAGTCACAGAAGGACAAATACTGTATGACTTCACTTCTATGAGATATCTAGAGTATGTGAAGTCATAAAAATAGAAGGTAGAAGGTGGCTGCCAAGGGCTGGGGAAGGGAGAAACAAGGAGTTGTTTAATGGATAGAAAATTTTAGTTTTGCAAGATGAAAAGGTTCTGGAGACTCATTGTACAACAGTGCAAATATACTTAACACTATTGAACTGAACAGTGAAAATGGCTAACATGATTAATTCTATGTATATTTCACCACAATTAAAACACAAACAAATAAAAGAATAAGTAACATTCTTGATCTGTGCACTGAAAATTGGTCTTAAGCCAAAATAACCTTACTGTCACATACCTTTAAAGAGATGCTTACAGTCTTTCTTTATGGGGGGAATTGTGAACATGAATTTAATGATTTGTCTTGAATGTTAATTTATTACTCTGAGTTTATTGTGCATCTATAGTGGTTAGAGGGCACAATAATTGTACCTACAGCATAGGGAATGTACAATGCATTTGGATCACTTAGCATAGTGAAAAATAAAATATTTGGAGAAATGACAAATTTTAAAAAGCAATTTTCCAGTTTTAAAATAGAAATACATAGTTTCTCCAAATTAATGCACTGGCAGATTGCTTTTTCACCTTACAGAATCTCTAAACACATCCACACGATTATATGAGGACCAGAACTGTCTTTCTGGATAACTGAGTACAGAACTATGCCAAGCCTTCCGTATAGACTAGTGAGCAGAACAAGTCTTCCTGGATGAACAGCCACTTCTGGGAAAACTAGGTGGAAATGCAGATTCAGCAACTCACAGCCCGGAACCTTTAGGTAAATTTTAACACAAGAGAATTGTCTCATGTACTGGCAGTAGCTCCTTCTGGAATGTATGCCCTGATGGACTTCATTCAGGGCAGGTTGCTGAAAATTTGTGTAGGATGTAAAAATCTGAATAACAGATTAGGAAGGAGCCCCAAGAAACAGTGTGGTTCATCAAGCTGCAAAGGCAGGATGTCTAAGTTTGGTTCCCCAAAAGCAAGCCCGACAGTAGATCTCACGTGCAGGTAGTTTATTTAGGAGTTGAACCCAAGAAGCAGGAATGAGGGGATGGAGAGAATGTGGCAGAAAGGAAAATATTAGGGTATGTTATCAAGGCTGATGCTGTGGACAACGGGAGCATGGTTACCCTGGCGTTCTAAGAAGTGCATGGAAAGTCTCCAGATTGTCCTTTGTTATGCTGGAGCCTGGGGCACTTCTTCACAGTTCTCACGCCTCATTGCTTGAGGATTTCCAAGCTGACTTGAAAGTGGCCTGCCTGGGCTCCCACACCTTCACAGGAGGTCCTGAGGCAGAAAGCAAGAAAATGACCTGAGATTTCTAGAACTCAATGCCAAAACCAGGGCTGAAATCAGAGGTGGGCTGAGGAGATGTGATGTGAGCACAAAGAGTTGACTGGGAAGTCACTTAATATGAGTCCTTGTAAGCCACTCATATTAAGTCCTTGTGGCATACATGGAGAAAGGCAGTGTGGTGTAGTGGTTAAGCCTGTGGGCCTGTATCAGACAGCCTAGGTTTGAATCCTGATTTCATCAACTTTATCAGGCACATGTTCTTGAAGAAGCCACTTTTCTTAGTCCATTTGAGCTGCTGTAACAAAATACCTTAGACTCAGTAATCTGTAAACAGAAATGTATTGCATACAGTTCTGGAGGCTGCAAAGTCCAAGATCAAGGAACTAGCAGATTCAGTGTCCGGTGAAGGCTGCTCTCTCTGCTTCAAAATGGTGCCTTCTTGCTGTGTCTTCACATGGCAGAAGGGGCAAGGGAGCTTCCTTGAGTCTCTTTTATAGGGGCACGAATCCCATTCATAGGGCAGAGCCTCATAACTTATCACTTTCCAAAATGCCCCACCGCTTAATACCATCACACTGGATATTAGATTCCAGTATAAGAATTTTGGGGGTACACAAACATTCAGATCATAGCAATGCTTAACTTCCCTATGCCTTGGTTTTCTCATCTGTGAGATGGTGCTATAAAAGCTTCCTGGCAATGTCACATAGATGGTCTAGATCATCCAGGTGGCACACTTAGCATTCTGGCAGTTATAATGATACAGCAGGTTGACTTTCCCAGGGCCTCAGAATTACTTAGAATGACTCAATCAGAAAACCTGCTGTGTAAGCTTTTTGTCAAAATCCTGAATAAGCCCAGACCAATATGTCAGTGCTGGAAAGGATTAATGGCCTTAATTGATGGCATGGAAATAAGACTTTTCATCCACTCATCTAGGATGGATTTGGCAAATTCTGTAGAAGATGAACGAGATGCCTTGTTTTTTAAACTAGATTTCCACTCTCACCTTTTTAAGGGGCCTGCTAGTTTTCCCTGTTGACAATATTCCTTTAAAACACCAAATCCCCATGATCCACGTGACATGAAGAATTGCCCTGAAGGTACAGCCACAGGCACCTTCAGCCTTACCCCTAGAATCATTCTTGCTCTGGAGGATGCCTATACCTTAAGGAGATGCCTCTGGTCCTTTCTACTAGGTTTTATGGTTTTAAAAAATTGTACAGTGGACATTTTCCTGCATTTTGGAGGGAAACAATCTGGAGAGGCTGTTCAGGAATGGGCAAGACTAATATCTCTATGGCCATAGACTCCTGACAGAAACATCGCTGATGTGGTCCCAGGAAGTCAGTGACTGATATGAAAATCCCAAATTGAATTTTAAGCCTGGAGTTTAGCCATTTTCCCTCTATTGGGAGTTTTCATAATGGAAAATAATACAAGTTATTCTACTAATTCGGAGCATTTTTGCATTATACAACTTCTCTTGATTATAATGGGTGACTGAGGAACGGGAACCCCACGGGGGAAGAGAAAATTAAGGCCCTGCAAAGCCTAGCAAGATACTGTTGCATGTTTCCTTGGTGAGCTGCTCTGAATTTTTGCTTATATCCTTCTCTCTTTGGTTTAAGATTGGGTGTTCAAATCAGCAGAATCACAAAATAAAAGCCAAAGGAGATGGAGAAGACTGATATTACTGAGTGTGTGGTTTGAAACACTTGGGTTTATTCTGTCAACCTTGACCAATGGGGTATGTATATTTTAGGTTATGATAATAACATATAACTATGAAACTCCTCTATTGTTAGTTATCATGTCTGAAACTTTCCAATCCTAACCCTAATCATCTTCCCCTTCCACTGAAACAACTATCTTAATATCCCAGTTTTTGATAAAACATAATATTTAAGAATCTACTATCACATTATAGCAGAACGAACGGTCCTGTTGGATGTTTTAGGGACTTAGTTCCAAATACTGCGAAAACTTCTATCTGTCCCCTACAATTGTTTGCTATTCAGTGATCCTGACATTGTTTATTGCTCAGGGTGGTTATGACCTGTGTTACCATCATGCTATGTTAAAGTTCAGTGGTGACCTGACCTGTATTCTAGTGTTCAGAGCCATCATTTTGCATTAAGTAGACACTCACTGACCTGCAGGTGTTTTTAGTTTCTGCCCACTCTTTGTCTAAAAAGCAAACCAGAGAAAGAGAAGACACTGAAGCAACAGAAGGGAAGCCACAACCACCCTGATGGTGGTGCCTTCGCGCTGTAAGGGTATTTATTTCTGCGTGATGATCCAGAGCGGTGGGGGGGAAGGCAGCGTGGAGCATAGTAGGTCTGAGCACCTACTATGAGCTCAGCACTATGGTAGGGGATGGATAAGAAAGTACAATAAAGTTCTCTGTTTTCCATGATCTTAGAATCTGGTTGGGGAAACAAACCACGAACTCTTGGGGGGCAGTTTGGTCCCGAAGCAGTGCTCCGTGCATTGGGTCAGAATGAGTGATGTGCACAGCTAATGCCTTGGGAATCCAAAGGCAAGGGAGGCTCTGTGTGTGCTGCTGGGGTCAAGCAGTGCTGGGAAGGATGGGTAGATGACAGCAAGGCACAGAAAACCAGAGAGCAAAGTCCCTAGGAGCGATTTTTAAAGAAGTGATGTGATCTGGAATTTTAACTACATGAGTTCATCTTGTTGAAGGTACACAGCAGGAGGCAAATCAAGTCTTTGCACATGGGGTTGTTTTGAAGAGAAAAATAATCACCCCTCTTGTTTTGCTTTATCTGGTACTGGCATTGTGCCCACATGACACATAGAAGATTTTGGCTTCTTCAGATGTTTTTGGTTACATTGGCCTTCTGCAGAGAAGGTGGGAGATTGCAAATATTGCTGTTCTTCTGACAAAAACATTTTTTCTTATGGCCAGCTCTTCTTGAAATGACACTTCTTTCTTGTTTATCCATGGCTAGAAAACTTCTACATGCATATGAGCTTCTTTGAGAGTGATAGCAAGTTTATTTGGAGAGAGTTGTTCATGGGGCTAAAGAATCTATCGCTTTATTTGGATTTTCATACATAATATTTTTCTTTTGCTGCCTACATTTTTATTTGCCATTTTCTTCTGTGTTTTTGCTCTGCTTGGTGGCATGGACTACATTGGATTTTTGGTTCCCTCTGTAATTCCATTTTTCAGAGACTTATCATAGAGTTTCTCAGTTATGGGACATAGCTTCACTTTGCTACCTTTACTTTGTCAAGCCTGAAATTTCTGGTCCTGGAATGAAGATTCCTTGAAGATTTTTGCAATCAAGCCACCATGCTTCAGGGCAATGACATGAATGCTGAGAGGCAGCAGAAATTCCATTACTCTGAACACTCAAGGATGATACAGTTTCTTTAATGTCCAAATTTGCAAACTGTAATGAGTATTGTTCCGACAGTGAGGACATACACTGGGCTTGGTAATCTTTGTAGTGGCCTCTGTAGAGATTTCTGTTGGAAGGTCAAGCTCCGCCCTGCAATTTCTTGCTTGTGTAACTGCCTAAAAGAAACAAACAAACACAATTACCAGCACTTCTGAATTTTTGCTGTTACCCTTTCATTTACTTCTCCAGGTTCTGTCTTCGGTTTTTCTTAAATTTCTTTTAGATTCTTAAAATCCAAGAATGCCACTGACTTGGAGAAATCTAGTAAACAGATTCCTGTATAAGCTGTGAAAATCATGTTATTATTTACATTATGTTATTATTTACAAATGCCTCATGTGGAAGTTCTTAACACACAATTTTACCTCTAAACAATGTTCTGGCTAGATGTTTCCTCAGCAACTGATTTTTTTTTAGAGGAAGGAGATAATCAAATATTTTTAAAACCTGATTATAAAGGCAATATATACTGGGCAGCTCAAGCAGTAGGAGTTTAGAATGACACCCCTGCAGTAGCCAAAGTACATGTCTGTAACTTACCCTGACACTTTCAATTGTTTATATGAATGATGATCGAAAAGTATCTAAAGAAGCATTGAGTTTAACATGTAGGGCTAAAATTTTAGTTTTAAACATCCATGAAATGCAAAGTATAGTAGGTTTTAGGGTATAGATTATGCATTAGATACGGTCTGCATAGGACTGTAAGTCAGGCAGACATGGAATCAAGACAGGGTCTGAGTGGTGGTATGCGTGTATACAAGGATGTTTGTATAGTACGTGTGTCTGTCCAGTTTGGATCCACAGAGTTGAGAGAGGTTGAGGGCTGCCTGTGAGGAAGAGGAGCTGTGGAGGAGGAAGAAGAGTGGGTCAGTTTGCATGCTGGATGGAAGAGCCCAGTGGAATAATGACAGGCCCTTGACCCCCTAAAACCCACTGGAGAAGAAAGGTTATCCATTAACAACTCCTTTCAAAGTAGAAAAATCCTTACCTTGAAGGGAGAGAAAGGAAAGGCAAAGAAGCTCTGGCTGGGTAAAGTGCTTGGGGAACCAGCAGAGTAAAATATGGGGAAGGACATTAATTCCAGATGGCCTGGCCTCTCCAGGTCCCCAGGTTCTGAGAAAAGAAGAGGCTCCATAACAAGCCCCGCATCCAAGAGCCCACATCAGGTCAACAGGAGAAATGGCAACTGACTTAATCTTCCTGACCTCCAGTTCCTTATTTAACATGAAGAAATTAAATTGAAACAGTGATTTCTTCAAACATTTTTTCTTTAGGTGGTGCTTTTTGTGTTTGTTAATTTTTGCAATTGTGAAGTAAATGATAAAATATTCACACGGAAAGATTTTAAAGGGTGAGAAATAAGATGTTGCCAGCACCCCAGAAGTCTCCCCTACTTCTCATCCTGAATCTGAATCACAACTTTCTCTCACCTGCTTTCCCTCCAAAGAAAATATTCTTCAGACTTCTGTGCTAATCATTTCTTTGCTTTTCTTCCTGGCTTTATTACTCATATATACATCTCTACATAAGATAGATTAGTATTGCCTCCTTTCCGACTTTATATGGGTGGAATGATTCTATGTTTTCTTTCACATCTTGCCTTTTTTAATTCAACATTGTGTTTGTAAGATTCATTTATGTTGTGGCACAAACCTCTGGTTTATTACTTTTCCTGCTGTATAGTTTTCTATTGTACAAATTCACTGCAATGTATTTATCCATTGTACTATGGGATGATTCTGATTTGCAGCCATCATGAACAACAATGCTGTGAGCATTCACATACATACATTCTGGGGCAGATATGTACCAGTTACTCCAGGACACATACCTAGGAGTGGAATTGCTGGTTGCAGGGTTTGCACAACTCAAACTGCTTTCTAAAACGGTTTTAGTGGCTCTTTTACTTCCTAAACATAAACTTGATACATAAGGCCAGGAAATAAAATAGATGACGGCGGAGTTGCTGTGTTTAGAGCAGAGGTGACATTCTCAGGGCTTGGTTTTCTTTGTACTGTGTTCTGTTGATGTTTTCTTGTGGTCCTTAGACATCTTGTTCTCCCACATTCTATATTCTCTGTGATGCTTTGGAGGACGATGGATTTCTCATTCTAAGGGCAAGAGGAGATCCTGGCCTTCAGACCCTCAAGGAGCAGCCCTACTCAGGATTATTTTAATTTGGAAACCCAAGATTCTACTTTTAAAAACAGACCCTTTCTAAGGAAATTCCTATTATGTAAAGAACTAGAATATATATATATTTTTTAATGCACAGGCCACTGCCTCTTGGACCTGTCTGTCCTTTTCATGATCTTGAATTAGCTTGACTTGGTTCTTGGTTGGAAGCAGAAAAATTGTATTCAACAGTTATGTAAGAGAATAGCTGGAAGCAATTGGATTAAAATATTCAAGCGGCTTAAGCCCAGAGAGGATGAATCAAAATATTGAGTACTGTTTGAGGTGCAAGGAGAATATTTGTACAGCTTCTGATGTGCTTGGACATTGATTGTCTTGTGGTCATGAAGCCATGTTGGTAGTTTAAAGTTCAGAGGGAATTCATGCTTTAGGAGTTATCCCTCCCAAAATGGCAAAACATCACAATGAAGACTTTTCCCAATGCTGTTCTTTGCCAAAAGCATAAGACTAAAGCAAGATTGATGCTGGAACAGTCTGGGCAGTAGACAGGCCAATGCATGTAATGCATATCATTAAAAATAGTTAGCACAAAGAAATGGTTGTTATTGTGCTTCGTCCAAGTTGGACTTAGTAGCTAATTAAGTACAAGCTCCTTCTTTTTTTTTCCATGGCCATATGCAGTTTTTGAATTCTTATAACACAAATTGTTTTAAAGAAGTTAAATACAGAATGCATTGAGTTTGGTAGAGAAAGTTTAAAGGTCTGCATTTTCCCACCAGAGCTATTTAATATCAGCTGCAGAGTGGGTGTGTGTGTGTGTGGAAGGGTTGTGACCTCCCTTATTTTTACAACCATTGCCATGATTTCATAATACTGGCAGCAGTCACCCAGAGTGCAGAAGTAGACTTTATTACAGTAATTATATGCCAGAATGTGGGTATTAAAACAGAAAAACTTTTCTACTGATAATAAATGTCAAGGGAAAAATGACTTTACGCAACAAATAGCCCTTCATCCATGTTTTTAATGTATTAATGGCCTCAATGAAGACTGAGATGTGTACATTGGTTAGAAGTTCAGACTCCATATAGCCTTTTTGCCTTACTTGTAGATAGTAAGTAGGGAAGTTGAAGGGTAGAGGCATGTCTTGGCAAGTTAGATTTATTTTTCTCCATGGCGTAAAGTCGGATATATATTCACTTGGGCAGATATAGCTATTGTTTTTTGCAGATGGGTAAGTCAGGACCATAACTGAATTAAGCTATTGTTTCTGGATTACCATATTGATTTTCTCTAATGTATTTTGATGGGTTTCTGAGAGCTGGGAGAAGTAATGTGGCATGGAAATTTATCTTGAAATGTAGTTTTCTGACTATTAAAAGGCTCAAATAAGGACAATAAAAGACCTGAATAAGTACGAAGAAGTGTAACTTTTTGAAAATAGCCATATTCTGAAAAATAAGCTTGTGGCTACTAAATTATACTTATCAAGCATTAATTGTGTGGTTCATTAATATATTGCTGAAATAACAAATAAGGTCTAAATGTAGAAAGTCTACACCAGGAAACATTTTTTGCACTCTGCAATTGAATTTGGTGACAGGTTGATTAATCCCAAGAAATTCTAAAATTACAGTCTTTTATCTTTGATTTCAATGGACTTTGAAGTGGGTAGTTAGACCTTTCTCTGAAGTACTCTATTAGTTTGAATATACAGAATAGATTCAGAAACTCAGTAGCAAAACTCAGAGCAGGATTTAGGTTTCCAGCCTCCATCATATAAGAGTCTAAACATCACACCTTTCTTAGATTTCTGGTCAGTTGCTAAAGCCATGAAGACTATTTGAAGGTGCCTGCAGACTTTTCCCTGAATAGCGTGTTTAATCCTGCACAGTTGGTACTTAACAAATACTTGAGGATGATGAAGATTTTCATTTTGGGCCCTGCTTTACTAGCCCTCTGCTTAGTTATATGGAAGAACGTGGGTTAGAAACCTCCAGATGTGTGTTGATTATTGATTATGAACTGAGCTGTATCTCAGGGGAGCCCTGGGCTGGGAGGCACTGATAGCTGTGACTCATAGTAGCCTTAGGGGATGGCCATGGGCATGCAGTTTCTTTGCTCAAAGTCCAGATCAGTCTCTAGAACATGACACTAATTCCTCTTCTGTGTCTTCTCTGTTCTCTGCAGTGGGTTTGTCTTGAACAATGAGCCATTCACAGGCGCCCAGGGAACTACCCTGGACCGGGGAGATGACTGCAGGCCCTGCAGGCAGTTGGCCACTCTCCAGTCTAGGTATTCTTGGGAATGTGGAATTATTTGAATCAAAGGGAAATAAATCTTTTGCAAATGTTAATACAAATGACTGTGGGAAGGACTTGGTGCTAAACGAGGAGCTGTGAACTCTTGGTGCCTACTGAGTTAGTTTTTGGCAGGGAATAATACTAGGTTGCTATGGGAATGATGAAGACAAAATAATAGTCATATTTTAATGGTTGCTCTTACTGTGTCATCTTCAACTGCTCTAGGCTGAAAAAACTTGCTATTTGAATGGTTTTATTACTCTTACTTCATGTTTTGTTTCTTTTTCTCCTGTATTTGAGCTTGCAAACATGTGTCCCTAAATAAGTTCATGAATCTAGCTTACCACGTTTTCTTTGAGCCTAAAGGAATCAGCGCATTTGATGTTGATCCTGTTGATTATATGCCTTCTGTGTCATAAGTTTAAATTAGAAAAGGGGCACCCTGGGGATCTGAAATTCCATGTGCTTTTCTGATTGGGTGGAGAAAGAAGGAGAGAGAAACTGTGCAGTGTGGGACAAAGGTCAGCTGACCTGGGCCAAGCCTCCCCTTTGGCACATCTAGCTGTGTCACTGGGCAGAGGTTAGTACACCTCTCTGACCTGGGTCTCTGCATTAGTAAAATGGGGCTAATTATATCACTACTCTGGCGTTGTGAGCTCCTCAGATGATATACGTAAAATCTTAGTACAATGTCCACAAACACCTGGCAATTGTGAAGCCAATTCCTTATTGTATACATAGCAAATATCACAGCTCAATCCTTTTCCTTTGAGCAAAGAGGCAGCCTCAGAATCCCTCTCAGCACAATGCTCCAGGTAGCCACTACCAACCCATCACTGTTGACATGTGATATTTACTGAAGCACAATCCTTGGGGCATGATAGACATTCAATAGATGATAGTTCTTTATTCTTACTATTCCTTTTTTTTGAGGTGAAGTTTTGCCCTTGTTGCCCAGGCTGGAGTGCAGTGGCACGATCTCAGCTCACTGCAACCTCTGCCTCCCAGGTTCAAGCAATTCTCCTGCCTTAGCCTCCCAAGTATCTGGGATTACAGGTGCCCGCCACCATGCTTGGCTAAATTTGTTTTCATATTTTTAGTAGAGACAGGCTTTCACCATGTTGGCCAGGCTTGTCTCGAACTCCTGACCTCAAGTGATCCGCCCACCTTGGCCTCCCAAAGCGCTAAGATTACAGGCGTGAGCCACCGCGCCCGGCCTATTCCTACTATTCTTGCTATTATTGTTGTAACAGGAGACTGTAGATATGACAGCAGGAGATGCCGGTGGCTATTTTTTGCTTTTCCCCTTATAATTCAGCTTGCCTCTAGAATCAGCAGAATTAGGCATAGCTGACCACCTACCTGACTCGGGAATACTGCTCTCTAATCTTTGTCTGCCTCTCTGGTACCTTCCTCTGCCTTCTTTGCTGCTTTCTCCTCATCTCAATGACCTGCAAATAATTGTGTACTTGGTCCTTCCTTGTCTTTTTTTATCCACCCTCACTAGGTGATCTCATCTGGTCTCAGGGGTCTGTATAGCCTGCAGAACCATAAGCCAATTATCCATATGCTAATGACACAAACATTTATGTCTCTAGGCTAGAGACAAATCTCCATTGTGTTTCTAACTGCATTCTTGAGATATATCTCTAATAAAATGTTTCATTACTTGTATCAATCAGTTCTGTTAATTGGATATCTAACAGGCATCTCCGGCCCAGCATGTTTAGTGTTGAAGTCCTGATTCATAACCCACGAGCACTCCTCACCCCTCTGGCAACCCGAATCTATTCCAGCCTTCCTCATTCTAGCAAAAGGCAATTCTGCCCAAGAGTTGCTCCATATTACTCTGTTCTCAGACTGCTATAAAGAAATACCTGAGACTGGTTAATTTATGAAGAAAAGAGGTTTAATTGGCTTATGGTTCTGCAGGCTATACAGAAAGCATAGTGACTGCTGCTTCTGGGGAGGCCTCAGGAAACGTCCTATCATGGTGGAAGGCAAGGGGAAGCCGGCACATCTTCCATGGCTGGAACCAGAGCAAGAAGGAGAGAGGGTGGGAAGTGCTACACACTTTTTTTTTTTTGAGACAGTTTCGCTCTTGTTGCCCAGGCTGGAGTGCAATGGCGCCATCTCGACTCACCTCAACCTCCGCCTCCCAGGTTCAAGCAATTCTCCTACTTCAGCCTCCCAAGTAGGTGAGATTACAGGCACCCATCACCATGCCTGGCTAATTTTGTATTTTTAGTAGAGATGGGGTTTCTCCATGTTGGTCAGGCTAGTCTCGAATTCCCAGCTTCAGGTGATCTGCCCGCCTCGGCCTCCCAAAGTGCTGGGATTACAAGCGTAAGCCACCGCGCCCGGCCGGTGCTCCACACTTTTAAACAACCAGATGTCATGATAACTCTACCACTATACAGTACCAAAGGGGGGATGGTACTAAACCATTCATGAGAACTCTGCTCCCATGATCCAATCACCTCACACCCAGCCCTACTTCCAACACTGGGGATTACAATTCAACGAGAGATGTGGGTGGGATCCAAACCATATCATTGCTCCAACCTAAAACCTTGAAAGTCATTCTTGGTTCTCTTTTCCTCATACTTCCAATCCATCAATAAATCCTGTCAGCTCTACCTCCAAGAATCTTACTACTTCTCACCACCTCCACTGCTACCACCACTGGTCCAAGCCACCATTATCCCTGGAGTCTTGTAGTAGCCAATAATAGATAGCTACAGTTGTTTCTCAATACACAGGCAAATTGATTCTTTTAAATGGAAATCAGATCATGTCACTCCTGGGTTCCACAGTTTTTAATGCCTTTCCACCTCACTTTGAGAAAAAGCTGAAGCCCCGGCAATGTCCTACAAAGCCCCACACAACTGGGCCTCAAGACAACATCTCCTTCCACTGTCTCCTCGCTCACTCTGCTCTGGTCACCCTGGCCTTCTCGCTGTTCCAAGAATATGCCACTCCTACTTCAGGCCTTTACTTTTGTTCCCCCTCTGCTTGGAAACGGCTTCCTCCAGATGTACACAACGCTTGCTTCCTCATTTCTTTCAAGTCTGTTTATCAGTGAGTCCATCTTATATATGACATTAGCAACCACCCTTCCTTACTGCTGCAGTCTGGTACCCACTCACCTACTTTCTCACTTTCTTTTTCCCCATGGCACATATCAATATCTGACATATTATGGCTATACTTGTTTATTGCTTGTCTGTTTCTTGCAGTAGATATGAGATCCAAGAGTGCAGAAACTTTGTTCCCTGCTGCGTCTCCATCACCTAGAAAGTACTGGACACATGGTAGGCATTCACATTTTGTCAGACTATTACGTGAATGAAATGAATGGCTCAACATAATCACTGCTAAGAACAAGAGCTCTTGCAAAGCCTCTGTAACCACAAGTAAAAATATTTGTGTTTACTAAAGTCTTTCAGTACCTTAATTTGTTTGCTTTGGTAAATAGAGTCAGAATTTAACATGGAAAAACTCTGAACTCTCCTAGTTGATTTCCTTGAGGCTGACCAGCTTGGAGTGGTTATAAAACACAGACAGGTATTTAAAATTGCCTGGATGTAGCCAGATGCAGTGGCTCATGCCTGTAATCCCAGCTCTTTGGGAGGCTGAGGCAGGCAGATCACTTGAGGTAAGGAGTTCTAGACCAGCCTGGCCAACATGGTGAAACCCTGTCTTTACTAAAAATACAAAAATTAGCTGGGCGTAGTGGTGCATGCCTGTAATCCCAGCTACTCAGGAGGCTGAGGCAGGAGAATCACTGGAACCCAGGAGGCAGAGGTTGCAGTAAGCTGAGGTTGTGCACTCCAGCCTGAGCGACAGAGGGAGACTCAGTGCCTGAATTTCTGTAAGGGATACTAATCTGGTTGGAAAGGAGATGTGGGTCTCTAAGCTGAATTAAGGTGGTTATTTGTATAAGAACATGAGAAAAACATCAACTGCTCATTTCAAAGAACGAAAGAGTGATAAAGGCTGCCGATAGGATTTGGACAGGGAAGGAAGGTACCGAAGCTGTCTTCCTCAGAAGCATAAACACATGGGAGTTAGTCCTACTAAGTAACAGTGTGGACTCGAAGTAGTCCCTGAAATTTCTTTGAACCTCAGTTTCCTCACCAGTGAACTGAGGGGCTTAGATATATTATTTATAAGGTCAATTCCAACCCTATTTTCTGGTGGTGAGATCAGGTCTCAGATTTATATTCTCAGACATAACTTTCATTAAATTGGAAATTTGAGATCCAGTTTCTTTTTCTGCAAAATGAAAAGTTTGACTAAAATGAACTCTAAGGTTTTTATTATTATTTTTTAACAGGTCTAATATTCTTTGTTTTCATTGTGTTTTTGGATTTTTTTTCTCTGCCCAATTGGCTCTGGTAAAATTTAACCTCTTCATTATGATTATTGGTTGCTTCTTTTGTTCGTTTCTTTGAAGTTGTGGTCACACACACACACACACACACACAAAATGTGAAGATATGTCACATACATTTGTAGATGCAGTGTGTGCTATCTTGCTGTTGGTGACCACTAACTTTGCCTTGAGACAGGGTGTGGAGCAGAGATACATCCTTGAGGTTTGTTTTATTCTCTAAACTTGACAGTGAGAGGACAGGAAATGGTCCATTGAGAAACTGGTGACCAAAAAATGCTGAAATTCTTCTTTAACCTCAGTTCCAGTCAATTCACATTGGAAACCGCAGTGCTTTTAAATTGCGCATTCCTAATTCTCTGATTTCTCACCCCTGTGGCTTGTTTTAGGGTCTCTAGGTGTATATTCAGTCAGCTGAACCACTCGAAGGGCCTGGTCACACCTGTGTCTTACCTTTGTGCCTCCATTTCTACAAGTACAAAGACATGGAGGAAACAGAAATTTTGCTACCTCCTTTCAGTGTTAAGTTTGAGATATCCTGATAAAAACCTTCAAAAAAGGGACTGAATGTTATTATTATTTTTTAAAGTAAAGACAAGAGGTTTATGTCCTACAGTTCTGGAGTCTGGGAAGTCCAAGGTTGAGGGTCCTGCATCTCTGAATGTGAATTTTTAACAAATGTGTTGGGGCTGGAGGGTTGGGGTGAGTTGGAATGGGGACAGAGCTCTTGAAAGATGCTTATTAAATCTGCAGTCCTTTCTAACAGACTTTTACAGGTAGGAACGCTTTCTTTGAGAAAGATGCACAGAGCTTGTCCTCTTCCCTTGAAAGCCATGGGCAATGAATGATAAAGTAGTTAGTCATCACAGAGCACTGGTGACTTAACTGCTCAAATCAATAAATATTCCCATTTCCATTGACTCATTTAATGGGAAAAGAAGGTCACATGTCAAGAAAGAGGGAGGGGATGGAAGAAAGGAGAGAATGAGTGAGACAGGAATTTTGAAATGTATTAGAACGTGTTTTTTTCTAACATTTTAGTATGAAGATTCCCAAATTACAGGAAAGTTGAAGGAATTAAACAGGGTATACCCATTTACTCACAACTTGGATCCTGCAATTAATATTTTGCTATAATTGCTTTATTACCTCTATTGATCCTCTCAAGAGTAGCAGTCTGTGAGTTTTGATGAAGGCTTACTTGTGTGACCCAGTCCTAACCGGATATAAAATATAACCTTCATCTCAGAAAATTCTTTCTTGCCCCTTCCCAGGTAATCCCTGCTCCTACCTCACAGCCAGAGGCAACCACTATTCTAATTTTTAAAACTGTAGATTAGTTTTGCCTATTTTTGAATTCCATGTTAATAATACCATACAGTATGAGCTCTTTTGTATGTGAAGCTTCTTTCATTTACCATAATATTTTTGAGATACAGTCAGGTTGCTGTGTGTAGCCATTTATTTTTTAAACCACAATAATCTCTATTCATTTTTAGAGAGTCTCAGGTTAAGAGTTTCTTCTAAAAGCAACAGGAAAAATAAGCTGTTGTTTTTTTTTTTTTTTTAAGATAGGGGAGAGAGAGTTGAAAGGAACCTGAGTGAAAGGTACTTTGGCCTCTTAATTTTCATGATAAAGAAGTTGAGGCCCCGTCATTGCTCTGGGGCACGCAGACTGAGCTGAAACTGGAACCCAGGTCTCCTGATTCACGGCTTGAAAGGGTTAGGAAGGCAGCTGAGTAGGGTGGTTGTTTGAGCTGAAGCCATGTGAGAATAGAGAGTTTCGACAGAGCTTTGCTTTAGAGGATGTGAAACTACAGTAACCTCATGTGACAAAAAATCCTCCGAGGCCTTGGTATGGAGCCAGAGGAGGAAGTTTGACATGGCCTCTGGTTACCAGCTCCACCTCTGAACCCACTGGCCCAGGATGACTTATGGTGAGCTCTCTGATTTGCAATAAAACTAGACATGGGACAGAGAAAGCTTTTCTGCACCATGCACAAGGCAGGACAATGCTAAAGGAGGGGGGGGAAAAAAAAACAAGAAAGACACCTTCAGCCACATGGCCTTCCCATAGCAGGGGACCCAGAGCTGAAAATAAAACACCCAGGGAGGAAGGGATGCTGTGGTTACAGACAGAGCCTTTGTCTCCCAAGTGCATGTTCCAATTCAGCCCAGGATGACAATGACCTGGAGGTTCCTGCCTGCCAGCTGTTGGCTGGCCTTTGTGAAAGTCCCCGAGCTCCAGGCCAATGCTTAGCGGGCAGGTATCCATATCGTGAAGCCAATTGGCACTGCTGGTACCTTTGTTGATGATGTGAGCACAGCCACTGGGAACCAAGGCTGCTGGTGCACTCTTGCTACCAGCTGGCAGGTGCAAACCCATGGGCAGGTGCCCTGGGGAGAGACGGTTCATGCTGCCATGGTAACCGATAAAAAAAAGGAGGTTTCTTCAAGGTCAGTTTGCCCTTTTTTCTGCTAGAGGATATTGTGAGGAAGAAATGAATTTGTGGCAGCCCTGACTTGTGTGTAAATGTGTCCTTCATCTGTTTTGAATTGACACTTCTAATTGGATCTAATATTAGTGTCACCCACTGGGCAAATCTGGGTATTGGTGGGTCTCCTGGGCTATGTCATTGTGGACAAAGATCAAGTCACCAGAGAAGTCCCAGAAGAGACGTTCCAGTGTAAACCAAGCAGGATTGAACAAAGAATTCCAAAAGTGATTTTGAAAAGGCTGACAGTCAGGTTGGACAGGTTCTTCGGGCTATTCCAGGATGTGAAATTAATGCGGACTGTCTGAGGCGTGTCACCCTAGATGTCCTTTAGCCAAACTGTCCTAGGTGCAAGGAAGAAGGGACCCTTGTCAGCTTGCTTGGTGCCTCACGAGTTTGTCACAATGCATTCATTGTAAAGAAGCAAGCTTTCCTTATCATCATTGTCCTTCTCTCTGTAAACCTTCTGCTCATGCCTTTACCTTGGGCAAATACATTTTCTGGCTTTGATTTAAAAGTTCAGCTTCTTGATATTAATATTTCTGCGCTTCATTCTGATAAAAGTTGTTCTGACTCAGGTCATTGGCTTGGGTGTCAGTAATTTTCCCATTTAGCCTCTCTTGTGTGTTTTTCATATTCTGAGATTTCTGTTGGCAGAAATAACAGCATTGTATTAATTAATTAATTAGTAGCATTGTGTTATTGCAGGGGCTTCATGAACCCCTGGGAGAATTTTACTCTGTTCTGCTTACTGGGATGCTACCAAAATTATTTAGTACCCTGACAATCAGAAATATCATTTTTTTGGATAAACTCTAAGCAACTTGCCTGCAAGTATAACCATGGAGGTTGGCCTCAGCTTCCCAATGTACAAAATGAAAAGATTAGATTAAATGATGTCTTCAGGTACTTGCCAGCTGGTTTTCTAAGATGTTTGATTTTAACATAAAAAGAAAACCTGTGAATATATTCAACAAATAACAAATGGAATTTACAAAGCTCTGCACTGGATCCTTGTATGCAGTAAATATTTATAATTCATCTACCAAGTCTGGGTGCTGGGGCTATGGAAGCGGATACAGCATCATTTTCTATTCTGAAGGATCTCATAGCCTAATGAGGGAGGGGTCACAAGAAAAAAATTCTTCTCAAAATTGGCAGGAGTTTGAAGACAAAATTCTGCTTGGGAAAAGAACTTACCTTTTGGTTTGGAAGAGCTTCTAAACTGACATGTTTAATGTAGAAAGATAAGTCTTTTTCCCTGAGCCCCCTCAACTGGCAGGGCCATAACTAAGGTGATATTGAGTGAGGCACTTGCCTGGGATACAAAAAAAAAAAAAGGGGTCGAGGGGGATGTCAAAAAACTTCGTGGTTAAGATAAACTGCACTATAAAGTAGTCTTTTAAAAATCAAAATTAATGAAAACAAAATCCCTGATGAACAAAGGATGAAAATTTAAAATAAAGAGAGGATCTGATCCTGCATGTGTATATACCCTTTCCTCACTTTCCTCCCCCTAATCTTGGCCCTGGTTCTATTAAAATTTTATACAACTTGTAATTTGATTTTTAAAAGCATAGCATTAAAATATTAGAATATTTTAATATTAATATAATTGAATATTTTATATTAAAATATAAAATATCACAATAATATTAATTAGCATAATTAATTTTAATATTACTATTTATTAATATTAATTTTATTACAAATCTGGAGGCATCACATTACTGAACTTCAAACTGTACTATAAAGCCATTGTCACCAAGGGATGGGGGGGTGGCGAGGTATAACAGACTACACATAGGGTACAGTGTACACTGCTTGGGTGATGGGTGCACCAAAATCTCAGAAATCACCACTAAAGAACTTATTTGTGTAACCAAACACCCCTTTTCCCCCAAAAAACTATTGAAATGAAAAAGTTTTTAAAAAAGAACATTAAAAAAACTTGCCAATTTGATTTTAAAGACAATTGCATTAAAATAGTAAACTATTTTAATATTAATATTAATGTAATATTTTATATTGAAATATAAAATTTTATGCTAAAATATAAATATTAAAATAATAAAGTTTAGACAAAAAAAGAGTAGAACAGAATTTAGGGTTTTAGAAGGCTGTCAATAGAGGGAAAAAAGAAGTCTGTGGAAGGAGCCTGGGTTTCTAGAAGATGGTGGTACATAGCTGAGAAAGTCTTCATAGTGGAGAATGGTTTGTGAATATTTATGAAAGAGGTATCTAATAAGGGTTTTGAAGTTGTTCCTCACTCTGTGTTGCCTTTTATCCCCCTTTACCCACTATCCTTCAGTTAGAAATCTGATACATACAATAACCCTTGAATTTATGCTGAGTTGAGAAATAGGACGGAAGAAGGGTGTTGTCCAGCATGTCCAGGAAGTGGGCTAATGAGAGAGTAGGAAAGATGTAGAAACCAGGAAGGATGTAGCAAGGACCGCCTCAGGAGAAGGGAGAGGACTGCGTGGGTGGGTGGCTCTGGATATTCTGAAGTACAGAGGGTGCAGCCTTGAGCTCTAGTGTTTTGTAAAATTAAAGGGAATCTCTTAGGCAGCAGACACTTGGCATGCCTGCGAATCAATCACGACAGTACGTTGTTGTGGCCAGTCTTTGGTTTGTCCCTCCAAGGGAAAGGTCCACTTTCTTCCCTTGGAGGCTGCCCTGTATGGACCACAGGAAAGGGCTCCCTTGACCCTGGATTCCAGCTGGAGTTCCCTCCAGCACCAGCAGATAATTGGAAGGAGGGAGGAAGAGCCAAACTCAGGGCTTTTCCAGTGGCTCCTTTCCTGAGGGTTTGCTCCAGACTGGCTACATTCCTCTACTCAAGGTTGCAGTTCCTGTGAAGCATCCCTCTTCTTCTCCCTCCAAGCTCTGAGAACTACTTCTTCCTCTTACCTTTCCAGCCTAGGGATAGTAATAGAGCTCCTCTTAATTTGCCCAGCGGTATGTACTAACTTTTGTAGTCTCCTTATACTCTGCTTCTTTGTAAAGAGTCTCTGTTTTAAACACTCTTCAGTATGAGGTTTCTGAGACCTGACTCATACAGATGTGAGAAGGACTAAAAAAGGTTTGTACGAAGCATTATAGGCTGGAGGTGGAGAACGCGATCAGCTGCACAGTGGGAAGGGAACATGGGGTAGGGGCATGGAGGGTTACATGAGTGAGGTTTGAGCTGAATCATGTGCAAGGGGATATTTCCCTGGGATTAGGGTAAACTCCAGCCTGAAAACAGACTTGCATCTGCCAGGCCAGTGTCTCTGTAAGTAAATCTGAATGATTTTCATGGTCATAAAAGATAATGGTTACCCAGTGGGCTTTAAAAGACATGGGCAAATACTATCCAAAGCAATCTACAGATTCAATGCTATTCCTATCACACTACAAATGTCATTTTCACAAAACTAGAAAAAACTATTCTAAAACTCATATGGAACCAAAAAAGAGCCCAAACAGCCAAAGCAATCCTAAACCCCCAAAACAACAAAGCCGGAGGCATCACATTCCCCGACTTTCAGCTATACTATAAGGCTACATTAATCAAAATGGCATGCTACTGGGTACAAAAACAGATACAAAGACCAATGGAACAGAATAGAGAACCCAGAAATAAAGGCGTACACCTATAACCTTCTGATCTTTGATGAAGTTAACAAAAATAAACAAGGACTCCTTATTCAACAAATGGTACTGGAATAGCTTCATATGCAGAAAATTGAAACTGGACTCCTACCTTTAACTATATGCAAAAACTAATTAATGATGGGTTAAAGATTTAAATATAAGATTATATTTAAATTATAAAAATCCCAGAAGAAATCCTAGGAGCACCATTCTGGACATCAGTCTTGGGAAAGAATTTATGCCCAAGTCATAAGCAATTGCGACAAAAACAAAATTGACAAGTGAGACCTAATTAAACTAAAGAGCTTCTGCACAGCAAAAGAAACTATCAAAAGAGTAAACAGGCACCCTAAAGAATGGAAGAAAGTGTTTGTAAACTATGTATCTGACAAAGGTCTGATATACAGAATTTATAAGGAACTTAAACAACTCAACA
This sequence comes from Homo sapiens, assembly GCF_000001405.40. Lineage (NCBI taxonomy): Eukaryota > Metazoa > Chordata > Mammalia > Primates > Hominidae > Homo > Homo sapiens. The sequence goes on along the minus strand of NC_000005.10, from coordinate 56,665,449 downwards.
AGCAAAAGAAAAACCCATGAAAAAGTGGGAAAAGGACATGAACAGACACTTCTCAAAAGAAGACATACAATCAGCCAACAAACGTATGCAAAAATGCTCCACATCATGAATCATCAGAGAAATGCAAATCAAAACCACAATGAAATACCATCTCACACCAGTCACAATGGCCATTATTGAAAAGTCAAAAAACAGATGCTAGTGAACCTGCAGAGAAAAGGGAATGCTTATACGTTGTTGGTGGAAATGTAAATTAGTTCAGCCACTGTGGAAAGCAGTGTGGAGATTTCTCAAACAACTTAAAACGGAACTACCATTCAACCCAGCAACTGTATTATGGGTATACACCCAAAGGAAAATAAATTGTACTACAAAAAAGGCACATGTACTCACATATTCATTGCACTACTCACAATTCCAAAGACATGGAATCGACCTAGGTGCCCATCAATAGTGAATTGGATAAAGAAAATATGGTACATATATACCATGAAATACTACACAGCCAAGAAAAAGAATGAAATCATGTATTTTGCAGCAACATGGATGCAACTGGAGGCCATTATCCTAAGTGAATTAGCATAGGAACAGAAAACCAAATACTGCATGTTCTTACTTATAAGTAGGAGCTAAACATTGGGTACTCATGGACATAAAGATGGGAACAACAGACATTGGGAACTACTAGAGGGGAGAGATAGGAAGCAGGGCAAGGGCTGAAAAAAACTACTTATGGGTAGCATGCTCACTACTTGGGTGACAGGATGATTCCCATCCCAAACCTCAGCATCATGCCATAAATTTATGTAACAAACCTGCACAGGTAACCCCTGAATCTAAAATAAAAGTTGGAATTATTTTTAAAAAATTTAAAAAAAATAAAAAGCCCAGGGAAACTGAAACAAAATAGCCATCACCCCTGCTCCTTTAATTCCTGTTGATAGTCTGGCATGCTTTCCTCCAGATTTTTTATGGAGTTGAAGTCACACTTCATACAATTTTGGATCCTAATTTCCCTAAACATTATATAATGAGTAATTTTCCTACCATTGAAAGACACTGCAAATAACTGCTGGGAGGCTGCACCTTATACAGGAAGCCAAATAACCTTAAATAACCAAATGCTATTACATCATATAGATGTACTATGATTTTTAAAAATGCTGTAGTGATTTTGCACATTTATATCGTAAATTTTTTTTTGCTTGTTAAATTTTTTGCTTGCTAAACATTTTTAATTGCTACTAAAAAATACCCACAAAAACAAAACCTGACTGCAGACATGTCTGCATTTTAGGATTGCTGGGTTATTAAAGATTTTGGTCATTTGTTTATTTTGTTTTCTTTCTTCTTCTTTCTTATTGTTAAAGAAGATTGAGTTTTCCCTTGGTGAGTGAGGCAGAGAGGATAGGGTGCCAGAGACCCCATTCTGAGGGCAGGCCCAGTAACTTAGCCAGGAAGGGACTCCTTATGGATAGACACTAGCTACAGTGATGCTGAGTCCAATTTTGCATAGTGCCTTTCCAAAATTTCCAAACCTTCAGTGTAAGTCCTATTCAATACGGCTGTACATTAGTGGTGCCTTGCGGAATGAAGGGGAACAGTGTACCTGCAAAGAAAGGAGGGCTGTGAGGGTGAGCAAGAGGGTTGAGAAGCTCAGCAGGAGCCAGGAGCAGGGGTTGGGAAATGAGTGACCGGCACCCACCCAACAGAAGCCTCCTATGGCAGAGCCTCTGGAAGCTTGAGATGGATACCAGACTTCCTGCAGTTCAAATAATTACATTTGAATACTGAAGAAAAGAGAGGCCCCCGAGCCTGAAGGATTCAGTTGTTATGTCATTCTGACAGCAAATAAGGGAAAACAGAGGAAGGGTTGAATGGGGACATATTATGAGGGAAAGATTTGGTCACTTACTGTGTCAGAAGGTGATGGGCATTAGACCTGGAGGAGGGAAATGCTATTTTATCAGAACAATTCCTGCAAAATGATCAAGAAGGGTACATGAAAATTTGTTCAGGGTTTTTGGAAAGAGAAAGGCTAATCCCTTCTGGAAGGCTTCTTTTATAAGGCTGAAATGTGGCAAGGTGAGCTATGATCCAACTTATTTGTAATAGAATCTTATAGGAGAGGAATTCATGCTCTGATGGGCTTGAACTCCAAAAGAAATAGAATTACTTGGGTTTTTCTTGTTCATTCCATGATGAAGCTAATTCAAATCTCAACTTAGTTGTGACTTTTTACTTAGTGACTTTTTTTCCCCATTAGAATCCCCAAATAAGTGACTTATTTATTCTCATGTTATTATTCAAACCATTCTTCAGCTCACACTCAACCTCTGTTAGACATGAAGCTGGGAAACGGCTGGGAGAACTTCTGATTGGGACATGCTTGCATTTTTCACATGACTTTGCCAAAACGGGTTTCTGTATTCAAACTGAGAGCTTCTACCTTGAAAGCTGTCTTAACTTAGCATTCAAATCTACTTTGCAAGATCTTGAATTTAGAATTTCAGCTAGTTTTCACAAGTAATTCGTAGAATGGTTCTATTTTTCTTGGGAAATGAAAACAGCACCTCTTTGGGCAGGATTTAGAGAACCCTAGGAAAATACAGGGCTAAGGTTTTGATGTGTCTTTTATTGTCGTATTGATTGGATAAGCGGTAATCTGGGAATCTCTCTTAGAAAGGAGCACATAGGACTTTGGCAAGAAGGCTGTTTTAATAAAAAATAATCTTCTTTAAAGGTCAGAGGCCTGTTATGTAATGTGTAAGGTAGGATAAAAGGCTGTTCTTTCTGCATCCATAGAATCCTATGTGTGCATAGTATGAAAAGCAATACCAAACACCCCTATCCAATATCAACTCAAGGAAAACAATAGAATACTTTCTTATGTCCAAAAATGTGGTATTCCTTTATGTGAAGTGTCTCTGGACTGGGAAGCAGGACTGAACTCTCCAGCATCTGGCATCTGCTTTTGTTGTATCAACATGGCTCTGAACAGGACATGGTGATGTCTCTGACATTTGGTCTCGAATATCTGAGCTTTTTGGTCTTATCTTCACTTTCATCAACAAGTTGAATGAAAATAGAGAAGACATATTTAGATGTTTGTAGATTACATAAATTTGAGAGGTTTTACTGACTGAATCAGTATTTCTAAAAGAGCTCCACATGTTAGATCAATGGACTGAAACTAAGGGGATAAAGTTAAATGAGGAATGAATATCAGATCTTCGGTTAAAAAAAACAAATTGACTGGAGATGACTGGCTTAACAGAAGTTCATGTGGAAAGTCTCATGAGTTTTATCACCGAGGAAGTCCAATGGGAGTTGGTTGCCACGTGGTGAGCATCAAGTCTTAGAGTGCATTCACAGGAGTAGAATCCTCTGATAAAGGATGGCAATGGCCTGTCTGCATTTTAACTCTAGTCAAACTGCAGCTGAGTTCCATATACTTAATAGGGTCAAAGACAAATAACAAAAAACAAAAAACAAAAAAGCAGAGTTTGGAGACAGTCAACCAGCTGGTTAAAAATCAGGCAACTGTATCATATCTGGAACTGTTGCAGAAATTGCAGAAACCATGATTTAGCCCAAAATGGAAAAGCTCAGGAGGAGGCATGAGTGATTTCTCTATGGAAGGGTTGAAGAGCTTATGGATTTTAGAAGATTTTATAGATTTTAGAGTGCATGTAGTAGTGGGGCAAGACCAGGATGAATGTCTGCATGTTTAAGGGAAATCAAATGGAAATTGATGCAAGAAAGGATTCTCCAATGATCTAATGAGTAAGATTTGTTCAAAAGTAGAATGGACTGGCATGGGAAACAGTCCCCTGACCCTGAAGAATGAGGCCAGGTCCCAACCTTCTGGCAAAAATTTGTGGGGGGAACAAAGTTTAAGTTGTACCAGATCCCCCTACAGATTCTGTTCGTTGCAAAGTAGGTACAGGTTTTTCCTGGGGCTGTTCCCTCTCCCCTTTATCACAGCCATCACTCTGGGAAGGACAGGATCAACTACATAGCACCCTAAAGTTAATCACCTGTAAAGCTTGATGTCTTGAGCCCATGGGTATTTACACTTCAGCAAAGTTCCACCAAAACAGACATACTTCTATTCATGCAGAATACACTTGCTTCCACTAACAAACATGGAATATCACGAGAATAGGATTTTCATGTGCAACAATAAACTCCTGGAAGGAGACATTTGGGGAGGGGGTCAACTTGCATCTCTTAAGTGAAAAGACACAGGCAAGACTTTATATCCTATAGAAGTAGAAAGTCAGGAATGATTCTTCCTCACCTATCTGTTCTAGACAGTATGCTGTCTCTTTCCTCAAGGCAATTAGCAATCATTACCTAATGGGCTCAGGAGAAATAGAATACAGGAACTGTTACTGTTCCTTTTTTTTTTTTGAGATGGAGTTTTGCTCTTGTTGCCCAGGCTGGAGTGCAGTGGCACGGTCTCTGCTTACTGTAACCTCCGCCTCCTGAGTTCAAGCAATTCTCCTGCCTCAGCCTCCCTGAGTAGCTGGGATTACAGGCATTCGCCACCATGCCCAGCTAATTTTTTGTATTTTTAGTAGAGACGGGGTTTCACCATGTTGGCCAGGCTGGCCTCAAACTCCTGGCCTCAGGTGATCTGCCCACCTTGGCCTCCCAAAGTGATGGGATTACATGCGTGAGCCACCGCGCCCGGCCTGTTACTGCTCCTTGGTGTTGTTGTGGGGTTGAAAGATCAATGGGAACAGTAGCTGTGATCTTGGTTTGTGATGAGAATTTTTTAGCTACCACTTTCCACTCTAGGTCACTTTTATCTCAGCAGAGGAAGTGGAAAATGAAGATTAAATATTTGGACATGGCTACAATCATAAACTCTCAGCTTTAGAAGATTATTTCTCCTTTTTCTTCTTTCTCCCAGCCAGCAAGAAGGATAGAACAGGGAGGGTATCCAAGCTGCAGGAAGGCAGGCTACCAAATATTTTTGGGGTGAAGAGTCGCTATCCCAGGAGACGGGAGAAAGGGCTGGGAGGAAGGAAAGAACTGAGGAGTATTTTTCTCCCTCATCCAGGAGGCGCCTGGAGACCCTTTCTGAATCCGGCATCCTCCGGTTGGTGTCTTTGCAGGGATGTGCAGGGGCCCTGTGGAGTTCCTGCAGAATCCTGCAGCTGTTGGGGCCTCGGAGGAGATAGGCAGTGTGTCTCCCAGTCCTTGTTAGTCCCACAAATAGCCCATTGAGGGGAGCAGGAGAAGGGAGAGGCATCCAGGGCTGCCCCTGGGGTCCCTCAATGGGGGCACTGTTTAGGCTTGGGTGGAGGCCAGCCCTGACACCATGCTGGTTGTTAAGACCTCATTCTTCCCAAGGAGGCGGCTGGAAAGGCAGCAGAGCAGCTGAGGCTCCAGAAAAGGTACCGCTCTTGTTCCTCACAGGGCCCGACTGACAAACGAGAGGAAGCCACTTCCTTTTTAATTATTTTCTGTTGTTCATTCCATTTACATCCCAAGCGTTTTCCCCCCTTCCCTCTCACTCTGGTTTTACTACTCAAGACCCGAAACTGATGGGTTTTTCCTTTCTCTCCCCAGTCTCAACTGAAACTTAGAAATGATGTCAAATTTTTCTGTTTTGTACCAATCTCATTGGGCATCCCATCCAAGAAGCACCCTGAGAATGGCTGCAGTTTTGCTGTTGCTCTTGAGTAGTTGAAAGACTCTTTCAAAATGAAGAATGAGGCTTTGGAGATAGCAAAATACTAGTTAACCACTCCGGGAAACAGCTGTTGTATTTCACGTCTACCATTTATACGCCTCTTTCTGATAACACCACCTCCTTCCCTACTCAGCCCACGGGCTTTGGTGGGGTTGATCTGACCCATGGGTCCCCCGTTTCAGGGGTGAACACAGCACCTGCCAATGGAAGCCTGCATCTTTTATTCTTCTGGCTTGGGTGAGGGGTACTTGGAACCAGACTGGTCCAAGTCACAGTCCATCCTGAAATATTTTGCTGGAAGCATTGAGAAAGAGACTCCATTTCTACTGAGATTGATGAATGGGTACAGTGTAAGTTGAGAAAAGTAAAAGAAAAAATAATCACTTCTGCTACCACATGGGGAGAGTCAGTGTGAGAATACAGGTTATAGAGGAAAGCTGAGCCAAAGTGACAGACCCCTGATGACATAGGGTACAGACTGGACCCAGGTATGTCTGAAGCTAGCACCCTGACCTTTCAGTTATGCTGGTCAGTATATTCTTTTTGTATTTGTTTGTCTCATTTGAGCTGTGTTTCTGTTAGCTGCAACCGAAACTACCTGGTATGTCTGAGTCATGCAGAGATATTAAACTTCTTTCTGCTTCCTAATCCCTGCTCAGGCTACTCTTATTTAATTATTTGCTACAGTGTTTTGTCCCAAACAGTACCAGAGCCAAGATGCCTTAACAATATCCAAGATTTTAGCCTTGATGAAAACAGGACTTATCCACTCAGCTCCTCTATGACTGGACTGGGTAACAGGCTATATTGGAATCCCTACCTGCATCTTGGATCTGTGGTAAGAGCCTCAGCCTTTCCCATTCATCCAAGGATCATTTATTCTGTGTCTACTGCATGCCATGGAATGGCTTGAAGCATCTCACAATCAAGCAGAGAGACATTGGTGTAAGAGCAAAGAAGTATGGTGGGCACTGCGATGAGAGTCTACCTCTGCTTCCATGGGGAGGATCGAGGAGGGAGTGGCCAGTTCTTAGCAGGAAGAAGAAAGGCCTCACAAAGGAGGCAATGCTTGAACTGTATCTTCAAAGAAGAGTAGAGAGTTTTCAGCTGAAAAAAGTGTGGGACAGACAGACCAGTCCAGCCTAGAATAGAAATGTTAGCTGGACAGCCTTCTGGCATAAAAACCTATCAATTGAAGGACAGAGAGGCAGTTCAGTCTTGCGTGTTTATCACGTTTCATTTGTGTGTTATACTATATAGAACACAGAAATGTGTGGCCACAGTTGTCCCCTCCTTCCTGTACTTGCGAAACTCAGAAATACACATAATGTTCTCTTACTGCTAAGCAAGGTTATATAGATGGTTGAGTCAATTGTGGCAGATGGACCAGCATTCCATGTCTAGTCACCAGCTTTGTGGGGATATGTCATTCTGGAGGGGACAGCAGTATTGGTAGCAGCAGCATCTTTGCTACTTCCAGATCCAAGTTAGAACCGTATGCCATTAAAATACATTATCCATTGGTGGACCCTGAGACTTCCTCTTCAGCCCTTTCAGTAATTTCATAAACACTCTGTTCCTACACTAAATCCTTTTTGTTTCAAATATCTACAGTATGTTCTGTTGTCCATTCTGAGCCCTGATGGATACAGTGTATTAATAGTGTTTTTAAAAATGTTTTGAATTTTATGATGTTTTGACATCTTGAAAATTTTGCTGTCCGGGGAGAGACTGACCCTCCTAGGGTCTGTCTTACAGATAACAAAAGGCTCGCCTTTCATAGGCAAACAAACCAATAGAACAACAGAGTCTATACCTTCAGTAACCCCCTTTAACTCTCATATACCAGTCCGGTATTTATCTGCCCTAATTCATTCCAGGGCCAGGTATCAGACAACTAGAGAACACTCCTAGAGCCCAAAGCCTGCCAGAATGATTCAAACTAGCCAACCTGAAACTGTTTACTCTGCCCAGTTTTAGTTCTCCTGCAGAAACCCCAATGAAAACTCCAGCCTAGACTTTCCCCTCCTTGCTCCTGCTTCTGCCTCCTGACCAAAACCGGGTGCTCCCTAGGTGGCCTTGCATGGTGTTGTGTGCCTTCTCTGGGGGAAAGGTAAGTGATAAATATCTTCTTTTAATAGCATCAGGCTCTTTGTGTCATCACTTGGTCACCTCCATAAATTAAAATCCTGTGGATATAGTCATCGAGCCATAGAGTTCCCCACTGTGAGGTCTGTAAGGGTCAAGACCTTGCTTATCTTGTTCTCCATCATGTCCCTAGTACCCAGCTCAGTGTCTGGCAGCAGTAGGTTGTCAGTAAACAGTTTTTGAGTAAGTGCATGAAAAACTGTAATATGCACATGCATGTATATGTGTATAAATACACATAGTCTAAAAATTTCAAAAGATGCCTTAAGGCTGAACATGTCAAGAGATATCTTTCTAGCAACAAGTGTTATGTTGTCATAGGCTAGTAGTTACTGTGAGCTAGACTTGATGGAGAAGTCCTGGTAAAAATAAACTGGATTCTGGTGGATAAGAAGAAATTGGATAGGAAAAAAAGGGGGGGGGCATTCTAGGTATGAGTCCCCAGTGCTACTATCACTGTGCACTGATGACTAATGTGTACTCACTCCTGAAATGAGGACTAAGTTCCCTTTCAAATGCATATGGGCTTACAAGTGAAGGGAAAAGGTCTTGGCATAGTGTTCTTGGGTTTTGCCAAGCCCTGATGTTGTGTTTGGAGCCCTCCTCTGCCCCCAGGCCACAAGAATTCCCCTGTCCCTATCCCATACCCACATCAAGCATGTTTCTAAATCTTCTGGGAAGCCACACAGTCAGCAGTCAGATCTCTGATCCTGCTTCAGAACAAGCAAGGCAAGATCTGAGTTCAATTAGCAGAAATTTCCATGGGGAGCATTTGTCCAGAACATTGGCTGACAGCCTCTCATCCTCCTGAGCTCCAGGAGTGGGTGAAAGGTTTGGTGGACAAAGCTGTCTTCATTGTACAGGGATTACAAGGGATGGGATGGGATTGAGGACATCTTTACCCACCAGTCCCAGGTGGATCAGTGTTACCAGAAAGCCACTAGCCTTATGAGCACTCTTTTACCTAGGAACCAATCTAACGCAATGCCAGTTTCTCATTTCATGGTTTAGCTATAAAAAGAAGCTATTACTGGCTTTAAAAATGGAATATAAGGAACGCTTGGAATTGTGTTAAATAGATAAATAAGGTTTTACCACAGTTTGAAGTTCGGACACCAGATTGACTGGAGGTCATCAAATTAATTAATCAGAGATGAGCCTTGTTATGTAAATGTAAGAGAGACAGCAGATGTCTACAGAAGCTTTGCAAGGCTGCAAGACCTGTTCTCACACCACATTCGGGGTTAGAAACAGGGTGAGTGGATGAGGCAAAAGCTCTAGGACTTCTGAACATTTTGTAAGGAGGGGCCTGTCCATGCCTAGAAGAACACTTGAGAGGACTGTGCCCTGGGGGCTGTGCTAGTACTCTGTACCCCCAGACTTCACTTGATTGATGTGAGTTATCTTCCTCTGTGTTTAATTGAAATCAAGTCTGGTCATTGGGAGGGCTTAAATTAGGAAATTCCTAATTTTAGAAAATAAATATGGGAGTTCACAGCTGTCGTATTTAATATGCTCTGAGATCTTATTGCTTTGATGTCTAACCTAAGCCTTCATTCTATTAAGCTAGTGGATTACATTTCTTAATCTCCCTAAACTTTAGTTTCCTCATCTGTAAAATTCCTAAGGACTTGTTGTGAGGCTTAAATGAGAAAACTCACATATATTTCTTAGCCTATCCTGGCACAGAGTAAACCTTCAATATGTATTAGCCATACTTATTATTATTAACATATATAAGGCCATCAGCTCAAAGAATTGTGGACAAGTGAATTGCTAAACCATGCTAGACTAGAGATTATAAATCTTGAGATATCTCCTAGTCTCTGCCCTTGGCTTGTTGTGTAACTTTAGGCACTTCCATGAGCCTGGGAATGGGGAGAGATTGGACATGGCACTGCAGCAGGTCATATGCTAAGGGCTTGGAGGGGGCATGGTTAACCAGAAGCTCACGGGACCTAGGCAGGGTGGCTTACCTGGATAAAGAGGCCCCTAAGTCTGAGGCTGCATAGGTCTGTAGGATCCATAATGAAGGAGGTGGTGGTTGGACTCACCTAAGAGCGCCAGGGATTGAGAAGAATACTGACAAATTAAAGAATATTACAGGATGATAGATGTTCGCTGGACCACGTCTCTTGAGGTCCAGTAAAAGGAATGGAAAGATAGATTAGGGGTAGTAAGATTCAAGCTCCAAGTAATTTGAAGGCTGTTCTAGGGTAAAATCTAAGATCATTGGATGAAAATTATGGAGAGGCATTTTTGGCTCTACTGCCAATTAGGATGAGAGTGGTAGAACCTTCTAGGAGATAGCAGTGGACTGGACTGCCTTGCAAAGTAGAGTTTCTGAGGCCATTCTCACTGTCTAGGCTGGTTCTCAGGAACACTGAGGAGGGTTCTAACCAGGAGCATCTGGAAGAGACTCAGTACAGCATTATGGATGGAAGTGATGGCCAAAGAAGATTTTCCTGAGTAAATAGACCCCAGGAAGGAGTAGACATTAGACAGACAAGATTGGGGAGTCAGTGGGGGAAAGAGGAGAAGGGAAGGAGAGAGGGCACGAGGGGTGCTGGGAACGGTAAGTTGTTTCCATGGCAGGGGCACAGAAGTGGTGGGGAATGAGTGGAGAGGAGGGCAGAGAGTGCTTTCAGGGCTTTTTATGTTATCTTGAGGAGCTAGGACTTTATGCTGAGGGATATGAGGAGCCCCAGAAGGGTTTTAAGCAAGGGAGTGGCATGGCCACATGGTGTTGTAGAAGGATCACTTTCATGGCATCAAGGACCTATGTAAAGGAAGAAGAGAATCAATATTTCCTGAGAACCCACCACAAACTTCAGGTAAGAGGGAGAGCATCCCACACCCATGGCCATCCTGTGAACGGCAGCCATCTCTACTTCATACATGAGGACATTGAGGACCGGAGGGGTTAAGTGGCTTTCTCAACACTGCCCAGTTATTATTAAGTGACCAAGCAGAGATTCAAAACCAAATGGATTTGTTTTCAAAATCTGTGCTTTGTTTCCATTCAATGAAAACAAAACAAAACAAATCCCCTTTTTGAAACTATACCCAAATATCAAATCTTCAGAGGAATTTTACTTAGCCATCTGCAAGATTGTGATCACGCCTGAGCATGCCTAGCTGTGGATCGTTCCCCTTTCGCGTGACCCATTGTTCTACGACCCCTTTCCTCCTGGTTGAGATTGTTAGACAAGGGCCAGTCTGATACTCCTTTCCAGTCTGAAACTGAGGAGCCAGTTTTCTTTCTGTGTAGCTGGACACTTGGGTGCTAAGGGACAGCTACAGCCCACTGCATGGATGGAGAAGCAGAGATAGATAACTGCAGAGAGAAAAAACACTGCAGATGGAGGAGCTAGGACTTTATGCTGAGGGATCTGGGGAGGCACAGAAGGTTTTAAGCAAGGAAGTGGCCTGGCCACATGGTGTTGTAGAAAGATCACTCTCATGGGGTCAAGGGCCTACGTAAGGGAAGAAGAGAATCAATATTTCCTGAGAACCCACTGCAAACTGGATGCTTCAGGTAAAGAGAGCATCCCCTACCCACAGCCACCCTGTGGATGGCAGCCATCTCCATTTCATAGAGAGGAGAGGCCCAGAGATGCCAGGGCTCTACAGATCTTCTTATGGTCCATCTGGATTTCCTGAGACCCTCTCATCCTAACATATTTCCCCTTTTGGTTTAAGTTAGCTAGAGTTAGCTTCTGTTACTTTGGAAGAAGATTGAAAGGAATGGATTCATGAGAGTTCCAGTGGGGGTGTCAAGGAAGGCAGGCAGTGGGAGGGTGTGGAGTTTACTCCCCAAGGGGCTGAGATAGGGGCAGCAGGAGCTGGGGATGGAGTCCTGCGATGCCTTCTCACAACTCCCCATGGAGTTACCAAACTCATGAAAAGCTGAGTGAGCCTGGGTTTCCTGTAGAAACAGAGAAGGGGTTGGAGTCTGTGACACACTGCTACAGGGCTCCATTGAGGCAGCAGGGCCAAGGCAGAGGACGAAGAGGAATAAAGGCAGGAAAATCACAGGGAGGGGATTCATCCATCTTAGGCATCATATGCGGGGTACAGACCAAGTATAAGGGATCCACGACAGTGGAAATGTTCAAGCAGACATCTGGTTTATAATTGAAATCAGAGGCTTAACTAATATTGCAAAGTTCTATTTATTTTATTTTATTTTACTTTTATAGAAGAAATACATGGAGGTATTCTTGTAAAATTCCAAGTTATAAATATATGTGGAGTAAAAAGTGAACCCCCTCTTCATCCACCCTTCACTTTTTAAGGGTGAAATTCCAGGTGGAACCTGGCCAAGCCCTGAAAAGCCCAGTTCAGGGTGAAACGTGACCCAGGCTGTAGGTAGCAGGTAGGAGATGAGCACACATCACTGTCCTGCCTCCTGAGGGATGCCGTACCAATGCCGAGGGTCAGAATTAGTTTTTTGAAAATTTAGTGTAGAACAAGCATTCATTAATCATAATCTATTATCACATAAAATGCTTTTTTTGAGAAGAAGGTACAGAGAATTCCCATATACCTCCTGCCCCCACACATGCATAGCTTCTCCCATTACCAGCATCCCCACCAGAGTGGTACATTTGTTACAACAGAAGGACCTACATTGACACATCATTAACACCCAAAACCCATAGTTTACATTAGGGTTCATTCTTGGTGCTGTGCATTTTATGGGCTTGGACAAATGTACAAATGCTCCTCAATTCAGAAGCGGTTATGTCTGGATAAACTCACTGTAAGTTGAAAATGCATTTAATACACCTAACCTACCTTAAACATGCTCAGGACACTTACATTATCCTATATTTGCATAAAATCATCTAACACAAAGCCTATTCTATAATAAAGTGTTGAATATTTCATGTACCCTGTCACTAGCTTCGGAAAAGATCAAAATTAGAAATTCAAAGTGCATCGAAATTGCAATGGTTTCACACCATTATAAAGCCAAAAAATTGTAAGTCCAGGACCATCTATATAGTGACATGTACCCACCATTATAGTATCATACAGAGTGGTTTCAATATCCTCAAAATCCTCTGTCCTCCACCTATACCTATTCATCCCTCCCTCACTCCTTCCCACTGGCAACAACTGATGTTTTCCTGTCGCCATAGTTTTGACTTTTCCAGAATGTCAAATAGTTGGAATCAAACCCTGGGGGCAGGATTTTGAAGCCTCCTGGACTCTTTCCCAAGGTAGGTAGAGAGAGCTGGGCCAGTTCATGTCAGTATTGGGTCCCCTGAGATTTCTCTGTAATTGTAAGAGAACAACAAAAAGAAACCTTTTATTTTTCTGTATTGGGATGGGATGAGGGGATGTTAAAGCACAGAATGGTGAAGAGTGAAGAGAAAGGAACATTCCAAATGCACACTAGCAGGGGGATAGGAAAAGAGAGGCAAAGTTGGAAGTGAAGGAGGCAGCCTGCTCTCTTGCTCCCCAGCTTGAAATTGGGGTGTGGAGATGGGCATGGGTTGAGGGTGTGGTAAGGAGGTAGCTGCACATCTGGGATGACTTTCCTTCTCAGGTTCCACTGCCATTGCTAAATTGACCCTTTCTCCCTTCTCCCTCCTTCTCTACTCCCTTTTCTCTGTAGTTCAACCCTAGCCTGCACAGTGAAAAAAGTCACATCTCATAGAAGACATGAGAGTGAGTCCTGTGCTGAGGACCAGCCACCTTGGTGTTTATGTGATGGTTCTTGGGGATGGTTCTTGAGGTTGAACTGCAATGCCCCTTCCGTGCCACATAGTTTTGCTGGGTAACTCTCCTCACTAAAATGTTCAAGAAAGGAAGGAGACATTTGCAAGATATAGATGCTACGAGAATGAGCCATTTGGATCCCTGACAAAAGCCTGCATTTGACCCTGGCCCACTCCTATTCAGAGATTGGCTTCCCAGTTTGGGCATCGCTCAGGCTCTTTGTTTCTTGTTTGCTTTTTTTCTGAAGTATCTGGTTGTTGGGTGTTTTGCAGCTCAGGCTCACTTTTAGTAACGGAAAGAGAAAAGATACATTACAAACCAAGCAAGCTTGCCACTTGTTAGCCACTAAAGATTTGGCATGGCAACAAGCTAATGCTAATGTCTCAATTCAAGGTTTGGGATTGTATTAGTCAGGAATCTGCAGAGAAATAGAACTCATAGGATATATGGAAAGAGATTTATTATGGAACTTGGCTCTCGTAATTATGGAGGCTGAAAAGTCCCACAATCTGCTGTATGCAAGCTAGAGAGCCAGGAAAGTTGGGGCAGTAGTTCCAGTCCAAACCCAAAGGTCTGAGAAGCAAGGGAGGGTGTGGCACTAATGTAAATCCCCGTCCAAATTCAAAGGCTAGAGAACCAGGAGGGCTGATGTCTGAGGGCAAAGATGGATGTCCCAGCTCAAGCAGAAGAGACTGACTTCTCCCTTCCTCAGCCTTTTTGTTCTGTTCAGCCCTCAATGGATTGATTAGGTGATGACTGGCCATATTAGTGAGGATGATCTTCTTTACTCAGTCTACCAATTAAAGTATTAATCTCTTCCAAAAATACTCTAACAGACACAACCAGAAATAATGTTTTACTAGCTATCTGGGCATCCTTTAGCCCAACCAAGTTGACACATAAAATTAAGCATCACAGAGATTACGTGTGAATTGGAGGACAAGCTAACAACTGAGAATATATGTTCTCAAAAGTGAGAGGCGAGGAAGCAAGTGGAGCAGGGGGTGGTGGGAGATGGTGGGTGGCAAAACGAAGAGAGGAGGCTGGGAGGTGGAATCCTCCCTTCCCCAAGCTCTGGAGTTATGCCTACCGCAGACACAGTAAACTTCCTCCGGAGAGAAGAGGAGCATTAGTGCTAACTTGTGGGGCAGCTTATTATTCATGTTGGAAATAGGGGTTAAAAAATAAGGGAGAAGTAAATGAGAAAAATCCCTGCCGTGCTGCAGAGGGTGGGAGGCCTCATTGAGTCCTCGGATGTGTTGTAAATGTGGAGTTTCTCCAGGCTGATTAAGTGGAATTAACTCTGTGGTCTGGGATCTTCCAACCTCCTGTTGCTCTCATCTCTCCAAACCCTTGTTTTACCTCTACAGAGCCTCCTGGAACCCTGAGGAATTTATTAATGAGGTCCAATTATGAAAAATTTCAGGATTTTAATCAACTTTGGATGCAGGGCTGAAGGTCCATCTCCTACCCCACCCCCCAAAACCGTACATTAAACAAGACCTAAGATGAGCTCACACTTGATTTCCTCTCATTCCCCCACCTCTAGCCCTCTCATCCTTTTTGTCCACAGCCTCTCCACCCCGACTTCTCCTCCGCCGCATCCCCCACCCCTGGCCTTCACACAGAGCAGAGGACTTCAGTTACCCCTTAGTTTAAAAACTGCAGGACAGGCAGGCCAGTAGCCCTGGCTGGCTTCTGTCCAAGCTCTCCCCACCCTCATTTGTGGCTTTCATCTAGGTGTTCAGAAGAGACTTTTCCTGGCCATTTCCACCTTGTCTTCTGCAGCAAACAATCTTCATTTCCTCCTCCAGGATATTTTTGAAGACAGATTAGAGGCTTGAAAAAGCACTTGGAATAACTCTTTAAAAAGGTTTACTAAACACCGGTGGAAGGAGACAAAGGCAGGGTGGGAGAATCAGACCCAAATTATGCTCTATTTATCAGCCTGTGTTGCCTCAGGCCCCAGGTAGCTTGGGTTCTCCTTGGCCTGTGCAAACTTCTGGGGCTCAGTCTCTGCAGCTGCTCCTCATGCTGGGAGACACGGCCCCTCCACCAGCTGCTGTGGGAATGCCACATCTGGCATTCCTGCAGCTACTTCCTCTCCAGGGAGAAGCCAGGGCTCCACCCTGTGCAGTTTCACAGAATGATGCCGAGCCTCCTGGGAGCAGGGCTGTGAGCTGCTAACATCCTCCCAGGTTCTGCAGGGGTTGGAGGCTCCGTTCAGCTGATGAAACATTCTTCATCTGGGAAGACATTTAAAGGGATCGTGGCACAG
This sequence comes from Homo sapiens, assembly GCF_000001405.40. Lineage (NCBI taxonomy): Eukaryota > Metazoa > Chordata > Mammalia > Primates > Hominidae > Homo > Homo sapiens. Next base: position 56,649,586 of record NC_000005.10, on the reverse strand, counting down.
CATGGCCAGGTTTTCCAGAGTTGAAAATTCCTTTTATCAAAGTGGGGGGCATGGTTATTTCTTCAATTTTTTCAAAAAAATGAAACTAAGTCGTCTGGAAAATTGGCCTTCAGAGGTGGGCGCTTTAGCTCTGTCTCTTTGACGAAGCCTTCCCTGTCCACTGTAGCCAAGAGGGACTTCTTAAATTAGCTAAGATTCTTTTGGTTGCAAGCAACTGAAAAGACACTTTATCTCTAGGTTGAACAAATTAGAGCATTTGTAGGCTCCTGAAATCAGGGTGGGAATAAGTTTATTCTTAGGAATAAATGGAGCCTGTGGGGTGCTGAATGTGGCTCGCGCTAGTTCTTGAGAGCCAACTGTTTGATTTTGAGGGATTTTGTAAGCCAGTTGTTAAATATAACATTATTAAAAAATAAATGATATAAACTCATGAGTAAAAATTGTATTAAATACAAAAGTAATAAACTCTAAAACCTCATTACTTCTCAATTATTTTACCGCATTTTGCTATTATCTACACCTTTGAGATTCTTCATATCTGTGGTATTGGTATGGTGGAAACCCTGTACAGTGGTGTGCTATTATACATCTCTTTCCAACTTCATATGTATTGATGTCATGTTGGAAGCTTGAAAATGTCCGTAGTGGAGGCATTTAAACCATAGAAATGAATGAATGCTTAAAACCAAGGCTTAATCTATTGTTTTGTTGATTGTCTAGATTCTAGACTTAAGAAAGTGAGGAAGAAAATGTTGACAATGCAAATTGAACTTGAAAGTGTGTTGTATCTGCAGTTCTTACATTGTGAATAGCATCGAAAATTGCTAAGATCTTTCAGATTTTAAGAACAATTATTTGACTTGGCAAAGCAGTCAGTCATATCACTGAAAAGTGAGTCAAGCTCCAGTATGTGTCTTTGTTGATTTACTTTCATTTTACTCACCTAAAGAAAATTACCAACCACCATTTGTGTCAGAACTACATTTGGAGAACTAGTTGTTAATGACCAGCACACTGCTGTCTTTGATGTCTCTTATTTCATATTTCTAGTTATTTCTTGGTATTGACTCTCTTTCCTCAGACCAGCATCTTCCAACAGGCTAGAACTATGTGTTTTGGCAACCCCAAAGTTCATGTGCCCAAGCTTCATTTCACAAGAGGGTCAGAAAGAAGGAACTCTCTCACCTTAGTTCCAATTTGAAGACACCAAAGAAGAACTCTGATTGGTTTGATTTGTATCACACGATCAGGAATGCAGAGGTCTATGATTGGCCCAATAGAAGCACATTTTGTGTGTGTGTGTGTGTGTGTGTGTGTGCATGCACTCGCGCATTAGGGACAGGGGGATCTTGAAGACCAGATCCTCAGAAGAAAGAGATTGGGATTGAAAAAAAAGAAGAGGAGATGTAGATAGATGAAACAATAGATGTCTTTTTTACCATGTGACCATGTGAATTTAGGCAAGTTATTCAATCTTTCTGAACTTCAGTAAAATTGAGATAATTTAATCTCTTTCATCGGTTATTGTGAGGATTAAGTAAACAATGTGCACAAAGCATTTTGCATATAGCAAATACTCAGATAATAGTCGGGGAGCATTATTTGAGGTCGCATCATTTTTCCTAGAATGTACACTCTGAGAGGGTAGGTTTTTTGCTAATATTTTACGCCACTTTTAGCATCCTACGCAGCATTTTTCTTACACAGCATAAGTGAATATTTTTAGAAAATTTTAATAAATATTTCTAGCAATAACATCTTCACTGAGATAGACTCTACTGTAAATCTACTATGCTTATTACGTACTTACCATTTAATAGATAATGGAAATCACACCCTAGGCCTCACATGCCATCAAAAAGTTCTAACAGATTGAGTGTTTCTTTGAGCAGCAAGTAAGTGTGCATGCCTGGGAAACCCCAGTTTTTCCTGCCTGTTCACAGACCAAAAATAAAAAAGAGAGAGAGAATTCTTTGATCTAAGACAGATTTGCAGATAACCACTTACCTGGAACATATATCATTAGTTTACGTCTGGCTGGTGGAACTTTTTGTTTTCTTTGTCTGTGTTTTACTTTGGGGAGAAACAACCATTAGTGGCCAGCCATTGTTTTATATTTACATGCAAAAAAAGAGACAGAGAAAGGTTTCGAACTGAGGCCCCAGGTCCTGGGGACTAGAATATGCTTTATCTCTAGTATTCCTATCCAAGTTCCTGAAGCTGTCTGGGTGAGGCAGCCTGGGCCCTGTGCACGGGGCCTTGCTTTGCCTGTTTTTTCCATTCTCTGCTCTAGACTCCTCCCTATCTTATCTCTTGCTAAATCAGGGTAGTTCCTACAGTTAATTTGCCCAACTCACTTTGCATAATTTTTCCTCTGAGTTACCCCAGAAAGCTCTAACCAGGTTCACTGATTCCCACTCCAATCCTAGCCTCCCTCAATTATATTTCTGGGCAGCAGCATTCAGTCAAGCAGTTTGGTTTGTTTCAATTTGTGCCCATCTTCTCCACTGAGCAGTCCTGGTACTCTCGCCTCCCTATGGAACCACAGGGCCCTGCTTGCCCAGTGTGGCATTCATTCCCAGCAGCTCCATCTGGATCCAGTGGCCAGCTCCTTCTACCAAGTAGAGCTGATTGGGCAGCAGACAATGGCAAGGAAAACTGAAGAATGTCACTGGCCACAGGCCCGCTGAGAGTGAGACTCCTGTGCTCCCACTGTGTCATTTGTGATTTCCCTTTCTTGTGTCTTCTATGCCAGCATGGATTCAAACCTTTGGTTTTGTCTGGAAGTGTCCAGGTGAATAATTGTTATTCTTAAAATATTCTTCGATGTATGTGCAGAACTTCTGAATTCCATTATATGGAGAAATAAAAGCATCCGTTTTCTTCAGTGCTTCATTTTATACCTCAAATTCTGCTGAAGTGATTTAATTTTCTGGGAACCACCCTCTTTTATACTTTCCTGGTGAACTTCCTTTCCTAGGTTGACAAAGCAAGCTGAGGATTTTCCTACTAAGATTTTGAGTTTCCCTGTAGTCCCAGCTGCTCGGGAGGCTGAGGCAGGAGAATGGCGTGAACCTGGGAGGCGGAGCTTGCAGTGAGCAGAGATCGCGCCACTGCACTCCAGCCTGGGCGACAGAGCGAGACTCCGTCTCAAAAAAAAAAAAAAAAAGATTTTGAGTTCCAAGCAACAGAAGTTAACTTACCTGTGTATTTATCTATGGGTGTGCAGAGCAACTCCTTGTTATACTTTCATTTACAGAAGGGCAATAGTGACAACCTAACAATGCTTAGGTCAAAAGCAGGTCCCTGCTGTTGCAGAATAGAAGCTACCACAGAATGAGCGTGTACTGTGTGGCTACTATTGTACCAGGTACTTAATACATGATCTCATTTAGTCCTCAGAATAACTTGTTATGAGGAAACTGAGTCCCAGAAAGGTGAAGTAGCTAGATCAATATAACATGGAACCAAGATTTGGACTCGGACCTCCCCAGGCCTAGCACAATCCTCTCTTCATTATACTGCGTTGCTTGTTTTTCTTGTTGATAGGAAAGAGATTTGGCGAATTATCTTGGTGTCCCTTAAATCACACCAAGCCAGCATCTGTCTTTGTCCAAGGAGTCAGGCAGCGAGTCTTGTGTGTGTACATTTTCCCACCTTCAGAACCTTTGGCTCATGCCTTTACCATCACTGTTTCCCGCTGATTCTAGCAGACAGATGGGCCTCTTTCCCAACCTGGGTCATGAGCAGAGCGGTTCATGAAGGAGTTGTTCAGAATCCTGATTCCAGGTATAATCTGCATGAACCCCATTGAGAAGGAGCCCCTTCTCAGAAGGTATCAGTGCTCTTGTGGATTGGCAGGGTTGGTGGGGTGGGGTGGGGGAGTGGGCCTTACACAGTTCTTTCAGCCCAGGGCTACTGAATGTGTCACTGAACCCATGACTCTGCTTCCATGCTATTTCACAGAACCATTTAAAGAGCAGCATATGAAAGAAAACATTAAAAAACATAATTTTATTCAAGAGTACATTCCAAATGCCTTGGTATCGAAATCGCTCCTTCTACACCTTAAGTTGATTTCCCCTAATTTGGTTTTCCAGGTATGTGCAAAGAAATCATCCCTGTGTTTTAGATATTTGAAGTTTCCTAAAACTTCCTGTTCATCTCTTCTGAGCAAACCTTTGCTTTTCTCCCCAATCTTTTAGGTATTTCCTAGTCCGTTTGAGCTCTTAGCTGGTTTTGCATTTTTCTCTGCATCTCATCTAAATTTACCACCTGTTTAGGTTTTAATGTGATAATTAACAGAGTATATTAATATGCCCTGACTTGGAAATTCAATTTGACAAATATTTACAATTGGCTTTTCTGTACACAGCACAGCTATATGCTCTGTAGGACAAAAGAATGGGTGCTGGCAGGTCCCCACTCTTAACTGCCTTACCACCTGGTAAAATAAAAATGTAATTGTCTCAAAATTGGTCTTAGGGCCAAAGAGAAATGTTTACCACAATGATTTCAAGATACCACTTTCCAGATTTTTTTTTTATCTTTAAGACAGAGAGCTTGCTGTAATTTATAATTTTTCAGAAGATTTGGTCTCAGTGAAATCTGTTGTACTGTCTTCCATGCTGATGTCTCCCTTCTCTGAGTTATTTTAGTGCATATGGCCGGTACTGCACAATTTATTTGTTCTCTAGTTGTTTCCTGTATGTGTCCCTTTTCTACTACCAACCAAGGTGTAAGGTGGGGAAGGTAAGGACAATCACTATTACTTTTCTCTCCCTTAATATCTGCTAAAGTGCCAGACAAATAGTTATGCAAAAACCAGCTGGTTTCTTGGCTTATGGGCTGACACCCAGGAGAACTCTTCTTCTCTCTAATGTCTACACACTTCTGATATGCTGCTTTTCATCCACCAACAATGGGCAAAATCGAATGAAAAACTTGTTAGCATTGTGGACAAAATAAGAGTACTTAGCTCTGAGTGATATTCTAAAAGATCTCTTGTCAATGAAATTCACAACCATGAAATATAGATGTTTAACATATTAATGTCTATTTTGCCTGCTCAGAAGCTTCCCTTTTCCAAGCTCATTCTTACTTTTTGGTTATTTCAATATTTTGAACAGGCTGAGGTTAGATAAGTGAGTTCTGAGTAAATGTGGTGTCATTATCATGGCCTTCCAAATAAGTTTATAAATTGTTTTTTAATTTTCAGATCCAGAAAATTGGAGCTTCTCGTAACTTTATAGCTTTTGATTGCCGAATGGCATGACTGGATTTTTGGTAGAGTTATGAAAAATCTAATGAAAATATGATATTTATAATCCAAAGTATATTATTTTGTTTTCAAATATCTGAAAGGACTAAACGATTCACATTCTAAAAATAATTCAAACAAATCCACAAAGTATAATTAATACATTAAAGTTTATACAAGACAATTTTACATAAGAAATCCTTTCAACAAATCCCTGTAACTAATAATTTTTTTTTTTTTTTTTGAGACAGAGTTTCTCTCTTGTTGCCCAGGCTGGAGTGCAATGGCCTGATCTTGGCTCACTGCAACCTCCACTTTCCAGGTTCAAGCGATTCTCCTGCCTCAGCCTCCCAAGTAGCTGGGATTACAGGTGTGCACCACCACACCCAGCTAATTTTGTATTTTTAGTAGAGACGGGTTTTCCCCATGTTGGTTAGGCTGGTGTCAAACTCCCGACCTCAGGTGATCCACCTGCCTCGGCCTCCCAAAGTGCTGAGATTACAGGTGTGAGCCACTGCATCTGGCTGTAACTAATAATTTTTTATTGGTATTTAACAAAGTGATACAATTCATAACAGTATTCCCCATTGGTTATGAATGCAGAACAGGAAGGGATTTGGAAAATCAACCCAGGTATACTGAAGAGGGAGGTTACAATTGCACCTAAAAAAAATCTTTCAAACACAGGGATTAGAATTTACATGAGATAATATTGGATTGTTCTTGTGGAAAACTCAAGTTGGCTTGGGTGGCATGGACATTGGAAATAGACTCTCCCAATGCAAGACAATTCCACTAGGATTTACTGAGTGCTTACTATGAGCATTATTCCCACGCAGGCCCTCAACCAAGTATTAACCAGACACAACATTGCTTACTTTCAAAGATACAATGAAATTGAGGATATGAAGGCTGATACAGCCTCATACCCCAAGCAAGTATTTATTGAGTGCCTAATGTGGGTCAAGAACTGTACTATTATATTACATCCTTTTTTGTTTTATTATTATTATTTTTTCAACAGAGTCTCACTCATTGCCCAGGCTGGAGTGCAGTGACATGATCATAGCTCACTGTAATCTTGACCTCCTGGGCACAAGGGATCTTACTGCCTCAGCCTCCTGAGTAGCTGGGACTACAGGTGTGCCCCACCACACCCAGATAACTTAAAAAAAATTTTTTTTTGGTAGAGATGGGGTCACGTTGCCTGGTCTGGTCTCAAACTCCTGGCCTCAAGCAATCCTTGTGCCTTGGCCTCCCAAAGTGCTGGGATTACAGGTGTAAACCACTGTACCTGGCCCCATTCTTGATTATAGATGAGAAAACTGAAGCTCAGAGAGGGTAGTTAATTTGCTGAAACACAGGAGCCAGGGTTTGCAGTCAGGCCTAACTCCAATGAAGTAGCTTCCTTTCTGTCCCATTGTCTCCTATGTGGCTGCAACCAGAATTTCCTACCTTGATAGGATCCTTTCTCCCCTTCATTGAGCTGTGGGTACCACAGTGACCTGGGGCAGGGGCCCACCTACAACTACATAAGATGGAGACAGAAGGGCTTAGATGTCAGGAACAGTCAGTATGCCGTATGAATGGGAATTCTAGTTCCCTGACTTACAGAAATTCTGAGAGAATTGGCACTGGTATTAGCAAGAAGTACTTTGGGCATCTCAGATGAAAGGCTCTACGTGAGTACAGAGGGTGGCTATTAGAGACTGGCATGGAATTTTATATGAAGGAGAGTGCTTACTAATTATAAGATAGCTACTCATTAGTAGATTTATTTTCTAGCTTAATCTCTCATTGTTGCTATTACAAGGACTTAGAAAAAAATGCCCAAAGGTTTATGACCAAGACTCAAAAGCTAAGCTTGCATGTCCTGAATAGACCTATCTGATTAAAATAATAAAAATAATAATAGTAATTAGAATAAATTCTGTTTACACCTTGTCTTTGCCTGAATGGCTTTAGAGTCCTGTAAAACTTTGCCTTTAGTATCTACATTCGTTCATTGGTCTGTGCTTGCCTGAGCATCTGAGAACATTTTAGAAATATTAGAAACTGACAGGACCACAGAATTAATGAGGCATCATCTTTGGAGCATACCTGTTGGGAGGAGAAGAAGGGAAAGGTGAACTTTGTTCTCCTGTAGCTAGATGGCCGCAAATCTTCCAATTCCTTTCATGTTCTTAGCCAATCCTGGTTCAGCCCTAAAGATTGTTATTATAAAATCCCCTCGAGTTAATGTTTCCCTTTGTCTATTGTTTAATTAATGACCCAGGCAGCGGCTCAGAAAGGAATGCAATTCTCATAAAACATTTTCCCACATTAAACAATCAAAAATTATTTGGGGGGAAAAAGAGAGAGAAAAGCAGGACAGGAACTTGGAGTTTTAGGCAACCTTTTACAGAAATTTGATTGGTATTTTTCTTTTCTGGCTATAAATAGAAAGCCAAGGAAAGGTTAAGTGCTAGGGGCGGGGTCACGGAGTAGATGGGAGCTGCCAAGCAGGAGTGGACGTGGACTGTTCAGGTCGTGAGGTGCACATTCTTTGTGTAAAAGAACATTTCAATATTCTTTATTTTGGAGTCCTGTCTTCAAAAACCGTCCATAGATACCATCTACCAGCCTCTTCTTTCTCCCACCTGTTTCTCCTTCCTCTCTTATATAATTTACACTTGATTATTTAAAAATGCAGCCATTGGTCTCCTCAGTCACCTCTCTAGCCTCATCGTGCTATACTAATTAAGGTAATGATAGCTGCTCTAATAAACTCACCCCCAATTGTACATTGGATTGAACAATATAATTGTTTTTTTTTTCTTGGTGATATAGAGTCTAAAATGGTTGTCATGACTGATAGGTCTCTATCCTCCAAGCAGTGATCTGGGAACCTGATCCTTTTGTCTTGTGGCTCTACCATCTTCAACATTTGGCTTCTGAAGTCACCCTGAATGTGCGCACACAAGGATGGAAAACAGCACAGAGAAAGGCAGAAGGTCGGTATGTGCCTGGTCTGGAAGTGACCCATATCATTCTGTTCACATTACTTTGGCTAGAACTCAGTCAGGTGACCACACCTAACTACAAGGGAGTCTGAGAATTGTAGTTGGCTGCATGTCCAGGAAGAAGAAATGGGATTGTGATCTGACCAGACTGCCTGGCTTAACCACTTTCTCCAGCATTGGCTTCTGTGGTTCCTCCTCCTTTCATTGGATGCTTTTACTGATCCTCTTATGTCCTCCCAGTAGCAAGTACAGCAGAATCTCCTTAGAGAGACTTTGGTCTTCCTTTGTCACCTCTTCTTCTCCAGACTCATTTTCTGTGGGAGCCCCTTGGCAGCCAGCCTGCTCCTAGCCCTGAGTGGTGCTTCTACAGGGTTCTGCTTCCCCTTTTCAAGCTTCTCTGTTTCGTTTACCTCATACATTGCAGGAGAACTACAAGCTCCCTGTCCTCTCACTTCAGCCTCCTCAGTGCCCACCTCCCCTCTTTCCTTGTGTGCCCACACCTTGTCTTCTAAACTAGAAGCTCTGGGCTTTTATTTAGGTAATACCATTTGCATAACCCTTTTGAGTTGACAGAGAAATTTCTCAGAAATTATACTAATCCCATATACAATCTGAAAGACAGACATCATCCATGCCAATCCACCCATCAGAAAACAGATCTGGGGAGAAAAGTGACTTTCCCAAGGCTATGCTGTATACACAGGGTGAAGACTTAAGCTCAAAGCCTATTACTGCTTTGAATTTCTTAGGGTCTTAGGGCTTTTAATTTAATTCACCTAAACCACCTGTTGCAAGGACTTACTCTTGCTGCCTCTATTTTTCTACTGTTCCAGCCTCTTGCCTCTTCTGCTGTCTGTGGTCAAAAACATAGAGCACCTTCATGCCTTGACTTTATATCTGTATTAGTCTGTTTTCACACTGCTATAAAGAAATACCTGAGACTGGGTAATTTATAAAGGAAGGCAGTTTAATTGACTCACAGGTCTGCATGGCTGGGAGGCCTCAGGAACTTACAATCATGGTGGAAGGAGAAGGGGAAGCAAGGCCAGTCTTACATGGCAGCAGGAGAGAGAGAGAGAGAGAGCGCGCACACAGGGGAAACTGCCACTTTTAAACCATCAGATCTCATTAAGAACTCCCTCTGTATCACGAGAACAGCATGCGGGAAACCGCCCCATGACCCAATCACCTCCTACCAGATCCTTCCTTGACATATGAGGATTACAATTTGAGATGAGATTTGGATGGGAACACAGAGCCAAACCATGTCAATGTCTTTAAACTCAAGACTGCAGACTGGAGTGGAATGCCCCTGGAAAGAGTATATGCTGTATGGCTGAGATTCTGAAATGATAAGATTTGTAGACTGGGGAAAATTCTTTAAAATGTTATTTTAATATAGAAGAAGTAGTGTGTGGAGGATGTAGGACTGTGTACAGAATGTAGGACTATAGACATCAAATGAATGACTGACTGAATAAACAAATAGCCCACTACTTGGCTGACAGTTTTTTACTCCCAGCTACATAAAATTTTGTGTTCGGAGTTGTGAGCCACACACAGAATGAATGAGAGTCCCTGCTCTCAAGGAGGCTTAGAGAAGCACGAGAGATAAGACTAAGCCCAGATACTGATAATAAAACAGGGAAATGATAGTGCCAGGGAAGCACAAAGTTCCCCTGTTACTTCAGATGGACTAACAAGAATATACCCAGCTGGAGAGGCTGAAGGTTGAGCTCACCAAGGAAGTGAAAATTTTGAACTTGTCTTTGCATGTATTCATATAGTTATTAACTTGACAACTGATTTAAGCACATACTAAAGACCCTCTTTTAGAGAGGTATCACAGAACACAGCATGTGCAGTTTTTGTCTTTAGGAACTTACTGTCTAGCAAGGGAGAGAGCCACCCCACTGATGACTGCACAAATCATTACTTAATGACAGGAGGGGTAAGTGTTATGAAGGAAAAGCACAAAGGATGTGAGAGTGTATAATAGGGAGACACTATGGAGTCTGCACCAGAGGGATTAGATTTGAATATACTGAGAGAGAGTGGGTAGCAGGGAGACCTTCTAGGTGGAAGGAAGGAGGAATAGAGCTGCACAGTAAAGCAGTCTAAGCTGGGCTGGAAGGGAAGACAGGAAAGGTAGACTAGTACCAGCCCTAGGAGGGCCTCTTCAGACGTCAAGACTCTAAAATTGATTTGTTAGGGAATGGAAAACCACAAAGGTTGAGGTAATCAAGAAGAACACTTGTGACCCAGTTGAGAACAAGGCCACGTGAGAATTACGTAGCTCTTGTTTTTGTACATAAAACCATGCTGGTCCCTGTGAGAGGCAAGACAAGACAAGATCAGCAGGAGAAGGGTTGGACGCATGGTACCTTTCCATGGAAATCCTGTCTGGGGTTCATGACCCAGAGTCTTGGTCTGTTTGCTTGTCTCACAGTGCACAAGAGGCAAGAGCTTAGAAAGCAGATCAGGGAAGAGTGGGGAGGAAGGTATTTGTGCATCCCTGTGGGGGAAAGGTGGGCACTTCCCAGCACAGCCCGGGACAGTGCGAGGAATGGCACAGAGGAACACTCTGCTTTTTGGTTCACAGTATGGCCAGGACAGAAATGAGACCTTTCTCTACATCCTGAGGTTTTATTTTCTTTGTCTTTCTCAGGTGGAGCAGTTAGGTCAGGCCAAGCCTGGCCCTGTTCTGATACAGCTCACCTAGCAGATTTGAAGTTAGACTATTTACAACAAGAAGAAGGCATGCCCTGCCATGGCAAAACCTCACCAGGTCTCCCTGTATGATTCTTGAATGTCTTCTTTAGCAAGGTTACACCTGGCACACAGACCCTATCAGCCACTGACTGCATTCCTTACAAACCCAAACCCATTGGTGGGCAGAGCGGGAAGGTGGCTGGCCACCATCCAGACAGTAAACAATAGAGGCAATTATTATGCAGCCATTAATCTTGTCAATTACACATTAACCCAGGCTGTGTGTAAACAGGAGCACAATCCTCATTCTTTTTCTCTGCCTTTCTCAATGGCTTCCCACCCCACCTCCTCAGAAAATAAAAAGGGACTGCATTCTACCACATTCTCAATATCATCCTTAATTCCACTTTTTCACTTATGGAAACAATCATACCAATCTGGAAATTCCTTTAACCTGTGTATCGATTTTATCTTTTTGTGTGTGTGTGTGATTTCTATTACATATGATACTCTGCTGAGTGCTTGGGAAGCTGATTTTGCTGTTTTCTACAAATCTATGGTTCCTTTTTCACTTTGAACTCCCCAGTTGAAAAGGCTATATTCATATATATTACCTCATGAGGTAATATAATGATTGATAGCACAAATTTATTACATGTTTTGAAGTCGCTTTCTAATATACCTGGATAAGGATCTATTTCCTATTCATCTTCATCTGGGTAGATGCCACCCAAAGACATCCTTGTCCACTTAAAAACCTGTAGCAGTTGGCTTTGTGGTCAAAGGAGATTTTTGTTTTTTAAAGTGAGGAGCAGTTCTGGAAGCAATTAGATCTGGCATTGTTCAGGGCAGATGGTGAAGTGGGCAGAGATTCTCTTCAAAGCCTCTAGCCTTTCATTTTCCTGTGCTCACTCTTCCTTTAGTACACTTGACCTCTCCTTTCCCTCCTCCTCCTCCAAAGCCATCTCTAAGAAATGGCCCACGTCAGTCATTTATCTCTTCCTGGGCATTAAAGAGTCTGGGGAATGCTCATTCCTGCTGTGTTTTCACTGAAAGCCTTATCTTTAATTGTGGAATGAAAGGAATTTCAGGTATTGGATCACAGCTCAAAGTTCAAGTTTTTAACGTTCTATTCACATAGCAGTCAGGAAAAAAAAATCCTTTTTGATTGGAAGGAGGGCAGTTTTCACAGGCCCTCTTCTCAGGCTCTGGTGGTGATCCGTCTCTGTTCTCTCCTCTTTGTGGAGCCATTCTGGAAGACAAGGCTTGAGGTTGGGGTGGGCAGGACAAGTAGCACAGAGATTTCTCAAACGTTGCTGGATAAGGTGTTTGAGACCGATTTCAGTAGAACCCTAATACACATTAGGTAAGATTTCTGAATCAGGAATGTGAGAAAGGTCTGTTGAAACTGGGCATCAATACCCTTTTTCCTTGGGATATGTCAGGGAATTCCCCAAGAGGCTTCAATGTTCAGGGCAGCCCTGCTACCCTATTTTTTGGGTGGTGGGGTGGGAACTTGGAAAGAGGTCTTGCTGGCTGAAATTAAATTAGCATGTTGTTTCGAGGGAGTTGGGAACATTTTCAAGTTGCTGTGCATAAACCTGCGAGCTCATTTTCTCAGATTTGGTTCATGCATATAGGGTGGTACTATGTATTCACTAGAAAGGGTTCAGACTTGTTGCATCTTGGTTCTGTCTCTAGATCTAGGATAATGCATTTATTCCAAAACTTAATTTTGGTAAAACGAAAGAATCAACTAGGCAATCACTGAGGTTCCTTCTAGCTTCAAAAATCCCGATGATCTCTGAGATCTATGAATTAAAATTAATTGGTGCAACTTGTGGGATGTTATTTAAGTGAAAATTCTTAGAGTCAGGGCACTAGTGAAAGGTAAGAGCCAGGAATGCAGGGGATACTGGTCATTTTCCATAGCTTCTTTCCTCCCAAATTGTAGCAATTCTGGGGTTGTGGGAAGAAGTAGAGATATGAGTGGCAAATCAATACAAACTGTGTCACCAATAAGGTTGTTCAGGGAAATAAGTTTATAAAGAGTGGAAAGGAACAGGCTGAGCCTGACAGGGTTAAAGGAAGCACCAATTTCTACCAATGACAGTGGGTTTTGTTTGTTTTTTACAAAAGGCATGTTTCTCATTTGAGGAAATGATTACATTGAGCCATGGAAAAGTTCCTGGGAGGAAAAAAAAAAAACAAAAAACAAATTGAAAGTCAGCAGCCATCAGACGATCAGAGTGTTTATTTCACAAATGATCAGCTATTTAAAAAGTACTCTCGGCCGGGCGCGGTGGCTCACGCCTGTAATCCCAGCACTTTGGGAGGCCGAGGCGGGCGGATCACGAGGTCAGGAGATCGAGACCATCCTGGCTAACACGGTGAAACCCCGTCTCTACTAAAAATACAAAAAATTAGCCGGGCGTGGTAGCGGGCGCCTGTAGTCCCAGCTACTCGGGAGGCTGAGGCAGGAGAATGGCGTGAACCCGGGAGGCGGAGCTTGCAGTGAGCCGAGATCGCGCCACTGCACTCCAGCCTGGGCGACAGAGCGAGACTCCGTCTCAAAAAAAAAAAAAAAACAAAAAACAAAAAAAACAAAAAACAAAATAAAAAGTACTCTCAGCCACCAGACCTTCAGGTTAAAGGTGTCCAGTAAGCATCGTACCTCATAAATCAATGGAAAGACAATAGAAAGAAATGTAGAGGAAGCTGATGATTTCAGAGTTTATTAGGATTTCTATTTTGGCAGAGTGTTTCTGTCTTTGATGCCACTGTGGGTACTTTCTTCAGTAACACATTTGATTAGAGTAGGGTGTTAGCAGGGCCAGGGTCCGGGGGTGATTCCCATGGGCCTGTCATCTCTAATTCAGTAATAATTGAGCAAATCCCTTTTGTCCTTAATACTTTGCCAAGAAAGACAGGACAAAAGAAAGGCAAGATACATTCACAGCCTTGGAAGAATTTAGAATTTAGCAGAGAATGCAAAAACACACAATGAGTAACAAACTTGGAAAACTTTTAACCTTACAGCCAGACTGTGTCATCTGGCCAGGTGTCAGGGCTCACACCTGTAATCCCAGCTGTTTGGGAGAATTGCTTGAGCCCAGGGGTTTAAGCCTGCAGTAAGCTATGATTGTGCCACTGCATTTCAGCCTGGGTAACAAAGCAGAACCCTGTTTCAAAAAAAAAAAAAAAAAAGTGTTATCAGCCCTGATGAGCCATTTCCAGAATGGGGGTCTCGAGAGAGACCAAATAAAGTTGGATAAAGGTATTTCTCACAGAATTAACTCACCATCACTCTAGAGCTTGTGTGTTTCTCTGTTTTAGGGTACTTATTCCATACACAAAGATTCGTGTATTTTCTAGTTAGAATGTTGATAGCTATTTCTTTCCTTAGTAATAAAAACAAGGATTTGGTGATAAAAGGACTATGGTTTTAGAGTTTAAGTTCCTCCAACTTCTTCTAATATGCACAAAGTAAAGATGAGGAAAGTTGTCTATGATAAATAGGTGGTAAAAATCTGTTAATAGGCTAATATTTTTTGAAAATCTAGTCTATAAAAGGCCCTTTGCCAGTTCGCAAATTCCTTTTGTACTCCCTACTCACATAATCCTATGGGATTGATTAGCCATGTGTTTTGATCCTCTGAAGGGCTCTGCCTAATGGCTGAAGCATAAAGTTTTACTGCTCCTTCAAGCAAAAGCTGGTGTTAGAAGCCAAAAGATTGATAGGTACTTGCAGACCCTCTCATTCCACCCTTACCTGTGGACAGTCGTGTTCCTTTTGTAAGCCTGATAGAGGACAAACTTGTTGAATATGAAATGGCTAGCATTCTTGTGGTTAGCAGCTTTGGAAGGTTTAAATGTATTTGGGATTTCTCCTGCTGCTCCGTGCTTAGTCTTGAAAACTATTAAGATTAAAATTAAAAAAAATTGACTAAGTTGCATTTATTCCAAGAATTCTAGGTTGATTTTGTATGTTGCCATGTTACCAAAATGAAGGGGAATAAAAGCATGTGATCATAAGAATAAATGTGAAAATTTTTTTACAAAAAATATCTTCCATTCTTGATATACACTCTTTAGGAAACTGGGAACAGAAGGGAATTTCTTAACTGGATACACAACATGATACATAGCACAGAAACCTATGGCAAACATCATGCTTTGTGGTGAAATGTAGAGTGCCTTGGGTCAGGTTCCCCAGAAGCAGAGATTGAGGGAATGTTGAGGGACAGCTCTCAGGCAAAACCTGTGCCAAAGAGAAGGAAGCAGGTCAGGGCAGGGGAAAAGGCCAAAGATGTGAATTCAGATGAAGCCAGCTTCTGGTGATCCCATAGGGAACCTTACAACAGGAATGGTACCACAGAATTATCCCATCTTCAGGCAAAAGGGCAGGCCTTTTTGGTGCCTCACATCTGTTAGTCATTGGTTACTGGACACCCCGGGAACCATGCATAGCTTTCTACATACTCTGTTTCCAAGTGGCTGCCATTGGTCAAGGGCAGTTCTCAGGAGAAGAATATAGCTGTGAACTGATAGCAGCTCTTTACCTCTTCTGCAAGTGGGAGAAGAGTATTTCAGCCCATTGAAGGCAATGTGGTAGGCAACAACAGTGTCTGCTAATTGACACTTTATGTTAAAAATAATTTAATTGGCTGGGCGCGGTGGCTCACGCCTGTAATCCCAGCACTTTGGGAGGTGGAGGGCTAATCACGAGGTCAGGAGATCGAGACCATCCTGGCCAACATGGTGAAACCCCGTCTCAACTAAAAATACAAAAATTAGCTGGGCTTGGTGGTGCATGCCTATAATCCCAGCTACTGGGGAGGCTGAGGCAGGAGAATAGCTTGAACCAGAGAGTCAGAGGTTGCAGTGAGCTGAGATCTCACCACCGCACTCCAGCCTGGCAACAGAGCGAGACTCCATCTCAAAATAATAATAATAATAATTTAATTCAATTCACCTAGAGCTAGAAAAACCTTCATTCTGACCATTTCTGGAGATCTGTCTGGCTCCATATTCCAAGTTTTGATCAGTAACATCTTCCTTCTACCTGTAGAACTTCCTTTAACAATTTTTGTAGTGTAGGTCTGCTGATAATAAGTTATCTCAGTTTCTGTTTGTCTGAAAAAGTCTTGATTTCTCTTCAATTTTTAGGATTTTTTTCCACTGGGCATACATTCTGGGTTACTAGTATTTTTCTTTCAGCATTTTAAAGGGATCATTCTACTGTTTTCTGGCTTGCATGGTTTCAGATAAGACTCCTGCTGTCACTCTTAGCTTTGTTCCTTTGTATACAATGTTTTCTTTTTCAACTTTCCTCAAAATTTTCTCTTTATCTTTAGTTTTAAGCCACTCGACTATGATGGATCTAGATGGGTGTGGGAGTGTATGGGTTTCATTTTTCTCCTCCCTCCTCCTGCTCCTCCTTTTTCTTTACCTTGTTGTTTAATCTCTTTAGGCTTCTCTGAACTCCTTGGACCTGTGGATTAATATATTTCATTATTTTTTGGAAATTTTTCAGCTGTCATCTCTTCAAATATTTCTCCTACTCTACACATATATTAGACCCACAGCTCTTGTATGCTCTGTGTTTTTTTATTTTTTTGTCATTTGTCATTCATTCCTTTTTTTCCTTTGTGTTTCTGTTTGAGGAATTTCTGTTTATCTATTTTCAAGTTCATTGATTTTGTTCTTGGCTTGTTGAGTCTCTCGATCAGCTAGTTGAAGGCATTCTTTATCTCTGTTATGATGTGTGTCATTTTTAGCATTTTCAATTTTTTTCTATAGCACTTATTGCTCCACTAAAATTTCTCATCTATTTTTATGTACTACTTGCCTTTTCCACTACAGCATGTAAGATATTATATTAAGCAGTTATTTAAAATTCCCTCTATGATAGTTCTAACATCTGGGTTATCTCTGAGTCTGGCTCTGTTGCCTACTATGTCTTTTTTACAATTAGTTATTTTTCTTTGATTTTTGTGTGTCTTCTAATTTTTGATTGATTGCCTGATATCAATCAATCAAAGATAGAAAGGTAGAGACTGAGGTGAATAATTCCTTATGCCTAGAAATGGACACGTCCCTTCTGCTGGGCTATTAATCAGGAAGGAGGGGGTGATGTTGAATCAGTCTAATCAGGAGCTGAATTGTGTTTGGCTTTTGCTGTTGCCATGGTTGCCCTCAGTGTGTCATTGAGTTCAATTCATCTAATTTTACCTTGCCCTTGGGGTGGAGGTTGGATTACTGGAGGATTTTTTTCAATGCTTCTACTCCATCTTCAGCTTTAAGGCTGCTTTATGCCCTGTGCTTCAGAGACAGTTTCCGTTTATGTTCTTGACACTTATCCAGTCATAACTCCTGTTTCAACTAGATAGCCTGGTGGTGGGAGCAGAGGGTTTCTCTGTTGCCCT
This sequence comes from Homo sapiens, assembly GCF_000001405.40. Lineage (NCBI taxonomy): Eukaryota > Metazoa > Chordata > Mammalia > Primates > Hominidae > Homo > Homo sapiens. Next base: position 56,632,184 of record NC_000005.10, on the reverse strand, counting down.
GGTTCAGAGTTTGTCTTAGAGAAGCTTTGTGTCTCTGTATCTTTTAAAAGGCTTTCTGCCTGGAAAATATATTCAAATATATTTTGATAAGTGAATCAACAAGTAGAGCCTTGGCACTAAAGCCAAAAGAGACTCCAGCATTAGCCCTGAGGTGAGATCAACACAAGGTTTTTTAGGTAGCCAGAGAGTTCTCCTCTTCATTTTTACTCTCGTATAAATGTAGGAAAACAGCCTGGGGCAATGCTGCACTACTCCAGGGGAGACCTTCACATAGAATATAATACAAACAGTATACCTGGAGTTGTGCAACCCAGCAGTCCTGGGTGAAGTCATATTCTAAACGACTGTTGGGACTTTGGGGAAGTTGATTGAACACTGTGGTGTATAAGGACATTTCTGGGTATTTGAAATACCTCTGAGCAGTTGACTTCCAATGTTCTTGGAGTGGAGGGACATGGTAGCTGATAGTGAGATGGGAAAAAAAAAAGTACTGGGCAACTTCATGTCTCTGCTGATGTCTGCTACCCTGTCAATCAATATGCCATACCTAGAGAAGAACCCTCTAGTCTCTTTTTCAATCAATTTCTTTATGACCCAGATTGAGGAAGGAAAATGTAGGGGGAAAATACCACTTCCATTTGCCTATTCATGGAATAGAAATGGAATTTCTATTCCATGAATAGGCCTATTCCATGAATTTGCCTATTCATGGAATAGAAATAGAAAAAAGTTTTACTCTTTTCAAAACTCTGCTGGGATGTGATTAATATTACATTTTTGAACAGGTGACTAGCTAGATCCCCTGGGTCCTTTTTCCTGCCTCTCCCTGTTCCTGGGGAAAGGCTTGATGATCTCCCTGCAGATGACCTCTGTGCTTGCCCACCTGCAATCCATTCTCTACACAGAAGCCAGAATGATGTTTAAGAAATATGATGAATTGATTGGTTGGTTAATTTTGTAGCAATTTTTATAAAGAATTATTCTAGTCATTACAATAAAGTCATTCAAAATGTAATGCAAAAATTCTAGTCATTACAACCACTGTAGAGATTTTATAATAGAAAAACATTAGAAGCAACATAAATGTTAAAAATATAGAGGCTTAGAAATATAATATTTTGTACCTATCAAAAGAACATTTATGAAGAAGTTTTAATGGCATGGGAAACTGCTCGTAGTATTAAAAAAGCAAGTTTTAAAAAGTATATGTATCTTCTCATCACCACATGGCACATACTCTCAAATCCACCACATAATTGGACATAAAACAATATTCAACAAATACAAAAGAACCCAAATCATACCAAACACACTCTCAGACCACAACACAATAAAAATAGAAGTCAAGACTACAAAAATTGAATTGCTCAAAACCATGCAATTACATGGAAATTAAATGACATGCTCCTGAATGACTTTTGGGTAAATAATGTAATTAAGGCAGAAATCAAGAAGTTTTTTGAAAATAATGGAAACGAAGATATAACATACCAGAATCTCTGAGACACAACTAAGGCCATGTTAAAAGGGAAATTCATAGCACTAATTGCCCACATAAAACATTAGAAAGATATCAGATTAACAACCTAACTTCACAACTGAAAGAATTAGAGAAGCAAGAACAAATCAATCCCAAAGTTAGCAGAATATGAGAAATAACACAAATCAGAGCTGCACTAAAGGAAGTCAAGTCATGAAAAATCATTCAAAAGACAAATACCATTTGACCCAGCAATCCCATTACTGGGTATATACCCAAAGGATTACAAATAATTTACTATCAAGACACATGCACATGTATGTTTATTGTGGCACTGTTCACAATAGCAAAGACTTGGAACCAACCCAAATGCCCATCAATAATAGACTGGATAAAGAAAATGTGACACATATGCACCATGGAATACTATGCAGCTATAAAAAATAAAATGCCCAAGAATACAGCTAACCAGCAAGGTGAAAGATCTCTACAATGAGAATTACAAAACAGTGCTCAAAGAAATCAGAGAAGACACAAACAAGTGGAAAAACATCTCATGCTCATGGATAGTGTATTAGTTTGTTTTCATGCTGCTGATAAAGACATATCCAAGACTGGGCAATTTACAAAAGGAAGAGGTTTAATTGGACTTATAGTTCCACATGGCTGAGGAAGCCTCACAATCATGGCGGAAGGCAAAGAGGGGCAAGTCCAATCTTACATGGATGGCAGCAGGCAAAGAGAGAAATGAGGAAGACGTGACAGCAGAAACCCCTGATAAAATAATCATATCTTGTGAGATATATTTACTTCCAGGAGAACAGTATGAAGGAAACTGCCCCCATGATTCAATTATCTCCCACCAGGTCCCTCCCAAAACATGTGGGAATTATGGGAGTTCAATTCAAGATGAGATTTGGGTGGGGACACGGAACCAAACCATATCATTCTGCCCCTGGCACCTGCCAAATCTCATGTCCTCACATTTCAAAACCAATCATGCCTTCCCAACAGTGACCCAAGGTCTTAACTCATTTGAGCATTAACTCAAAAGTCTACAGTCCAAAGTCTCATTTGAGACAAGGTAAGTCCCTTCCACCTATGAGCCTGTAAAACCAAAAGCAATCTAGTTACTTCCTAGATACAATGGGGGTACAGCCATTGGGTAAATGCAACCATTTCAAATGGGAGAAATTGGCCAAAACAAAGGGGGCTACAGGGCCCATGCAAGTCTGAAATCCAGTGGGACAGTCAAATCTTAAAGCTCCAAAATGATCTCTTTTGACTCCATGTCTCACAACCAGGTCACACTGATGCAAGAGGTGAGTTCCCATGGTCTTGGGCAGCTCCGCCCCTGTGGCTTTGCAGAGTACAGTCTTCCTTCCAGCTGCTTTCACTGGCTGGTGTTGAGTGTCTGCAGCTTTTCCAGGTTCACGGTGCAAGCTGTTGGTGGATCTACCATTTTGGGGTCTGGAGGATGGTGGCCCTCTTCTCACAGTTCCACTAGGCAGTGCCCCAGTACACTCTGTGTGGGGACTCTGACCCCACATCTCCCTTCCACACTGCCCTAGCAGAGGTTCTCCATAAGAGCCCAACCCCTGCAGCAAACCTCTGCCTGGGCATCCAGGCATTTCCATACATCTTCTGAAATCTAGGCAGAGGTTCCCAAACCTCAATTCTTGATTTCTGTGCACCCACAGCCTCAACATTATGTGGAAGCTGCCAAGGCTTGGAGCTTGCACAATCTGAAGACACGGCCCGAGCTCTATGTTGACCCCTTTCAGCTACGGCTGGAGCAGCTGGGATGCAGGGCACCAAGTCCCTAGGCGGCACACAGCAAGGGGTCCCTGGGCCTGGCCCACAAAACCACTTTTTCCTCCTAGGCCTCCAGGCCTGTGATGGGAGGGGCTGCTGTGAAGACCTCTGACATGCCCTGGAGACATTTTCCCCATTGTCTTGGGGATTAACATTTAGCTCCTTGTTACTTATGTAAACTTGTGTAGCCTGCTTGAATTTCTCCTCAGAAAATGGGATTTTCTTTTTTATTGCATTGTCAAGCTGCAAACTTTTCACTTTTATGCTCTGTTTCCCTTTTAAAGCTGAATGTTTTAAATAGCACCCAAGTCACCTCTTGAATGCTTTGCTGCTTAGAAATTTCTTCCTCCAGATACTCTAAAGCATCTCCCTAAAGTTCAAAGTTCCACAAATTTCTAGGACGGGGGCAAAATGCTGCCAGTTTCTTTGCTAAAACATAACAAGAGTCACCTTTGCTCAAGTTCCCAACAAGTTCCTCATTTCCATCTGAGACCACCTCAGCCTGGACCTTGTTGTCCATATTGCTATTAGCATTTTGGTCAAAGCCATTCAACAAGTCTCTGGGAAGTTCCAAACTTTCCCACATTTTCCTGTCTTCTGAGCCCTCCAAACTATTCTAACCTCTGCCTATTACCCAGTTCCAAAGTTGCTTCCATATTTTCGGTTATCTTCTCTGCAGTGCCACACTCTATTGGTACCAATTTACTGTATTAATTCGTTTTCATGCTGCTGATGAAGACATACCCTAGATTGGGCAATTTACAAAAGAAAGACGTTTAATTGGACTTACAGTTCCACATGGCTGGGGAAGCCTCAAAATCATGGCGGAAGGCAAGGAGGAGCAAGTCCCATCTTACATGGATGGCAGCAGGCAAAGAGAGAAATGAGGAAGACACAACAGCAGAAACCCCTGATAAAACCATCAGATTTTGTGAGACTTATTCACTACCAGGAGAACAGTATGAAGGAAATTGTCCCCATGACTCAATTATCTCCCACCTAGTCCCTCCCACAACATGTGGGAATTATGAGAGTTCAATTCAAGATGAGATTTGGGTTGGGACACAGAGCCAAACCATATCAGATAGTAAGAATCAATATCATTAAAATGGCTATATTGCCCAAAGCAATTTACAGATTCAATGCTATTCCTATCAAACTACCAATGATATTCTTCACAGAATGAAAAACTATTTAAAAATTAAAATGGAAGCAAAAAAGAACCTGAATAACCAAGGCAATCCTAGGCAAAAAGAACAAAGCTGGAGGCATCATGTTACCTGCCTTCAAACTATACTACAAGGCTACAGTAACCAAAACAGCATGGTACTAGTATAAAAACAGGAACATAGATCAATGGAACAGCATAGAGAGCCCAGAAATAAGGCTGCACAGCTATGACATATGATTTTTGCAAAGCTGACAAAAATAAGCAATGTGGAAAAGACTCCCTATTCAATAAATGGTGCTGGGATAACTAGCTAGCTGTATGCAGAAGGTTGAAACTGGATCCGTTCCTTATACCATACAACAAACAAACAAACAAAAAACTCAAGATGAATTAAAAACTTAAATATAAAAACCCTGGAAGACAGACAACCTACACAATACCATCCTGGACATATTAATAGGAATGGGCAAAGATTTCATGACAAAGACACCAAAAGCAATTTCAACAAAAGTGAACATTGGAAAATGGGATCTAATTAAATGTAAGAGCTTCTGCACGTATCAACAGAGTAAACAGACAACCTACAGTATAGAAGAAAGTATTTGCAAACTATGTATCTGACAAAGGTCTAATATCCAGCGTATTTAAGGAACTTAAACAAATTTACAAGAGAAAAACAACTCCATTAAAAAGTGGGCAAAGGACATGAACAGACAGTTCTCAAAAGAATGTAGCCAACAAGCATATAAAAAAAGCTCAGTATTACTGATCGTTAGAGAAATAAAAATCAAAACCACAGTGAGATACTATCTCATAATAGTCAGAAAGGCTATTATTACAAAGTCAAAAAATAACAGATGCTGGTAAGGTTGCAGAGAAAAACACACTGTTGGTGGGAATCTAAATTTTTTCAATTATTGTGGAAAGCAGTATGTTGATTCCTCAAAGAGCTAAAAGCAGAACTACCATTTGACCCAGCAATCACATTACTGGGTATATACCCAGAGGAATATAAGTCATTCTACCATAAAGACGCATGCATGTGAGTGTTCATTGCAGCACTATTCACAATAGCAAAGACATAAAATCAACCTAAATGACATCAATGGCAGAGTGGATAAAGAAAATTCCATACACCATGGAATACCATGCAGTCATAAAAAAGAATGAGATCGTGTCTTTGTGGGAAGATGAATGGAGCTGGAGTTTATTATCCTTAGCAAACTAACGCAGGAACAGAAAACCAAATACCACGTGTTCTCACTTATAAGTGGGATCTAAATGATAAGAACTTATGAACACAAAGAAGGAAACAAAAGACACTTGGTCTGTTGTTGATGGGGGAGGGTGGCAGAAGGGACAGGAGCAGAAAAAATAACTATTGGGTACTGGGTTTAATACCTGGGTGATGAAATAATATGTACAACAAATCCCTGTGACATGTGTTTACTTATGTAACAAACCCTCATATGTACCCCCAAAGCTAAAATAAAAGTTTTAAAAAGTGTACGTATGATTGTTTCTTAACTGTGTAAAAATATAAGGTTCATATAAGAAAAAGGCTGAATGAAACCTACCCAAAATATTAGCCATTAATTCTGGGTTGTGGGATTATGGGAGATTTTCCTTCAAAACGTGGGACAAATTCTTTATAATCTTCCTGATTTTCCACCTTTTCTTTAGTGAGGAAATACTACTTTTAAAACCAGAAAAAGTGAATAGGTAACAAAGTGAATGTAATATTTAGCAATTATGAAGGACTAGAACAAGTGGCATTTTTTCATTAGTGATTATCTTTATGTGAAAGCCCTGAATTTTTGTGTAAGTATTGAAAGAAACCACACTATTTTTGCTTCAAGTATTTTATGGATATCTTAGCCATGATTCATTGATTCTGGATTCTTGCTGTTATGCTCCAAGTACACTATTTACGTATATATGGAAGGAATGCAATGCTTTCTATGTTAATATTTCCCCCTCTCTTTTTTGATTAGAGGCCAAATCTGTGTGACTTAAGTAACGTATGTGGTTTGTTTGTTTGTTTTCAGTATTTTTGGTGTTAGGAAACTCTTCCAGATGAAATCCATTCAACTCTTTCTTGGATAAATGAGCAGAACAGTCAATCACCATTTTTGTTTAAGAAGTTTCCCAAATGGGAAATGTTTCTAATGAGTCCCAAAGAATGTTGCAGAAATTTATCTCAATTTTGGAGACATAGGTCACCAGTAGTTCTATAAATATTTTCCATCCTTAGGAAAAGATCTTGCAGCACTCGACACAATATCTGATCTAGAGGAGATCTTTAATAAATATTATTATTATTGATATGGCTAATTTTTTTATTAGTACTGCATCATTGTGTCTGTAGACCGTAATGATGTCCTGTAGTGGATGTGATTTGAGTAGACTGTTTGTTTCAAGAAACAGATCAAGAGTTCCTACATTACTTTTGTTTAATCACTGAAGTTCAAGGTTTTACTTTTGTTTTTCCAATATCTGTTTCACATATTGAACATAGATATTGAACATCATTTATTTGATTTGAGAATATTATAGAAGGAGAATGAGAGATGCATGTAGATGATTTCATGATGGACACATCAATGTTCAAGATTCCTCTGATCTTTTCTCCCTCATTATGGGACTGATCTCATATGCCACATTATTAATTCCCCCTTGTCCAACAAAATCTGGAGGATATCTACCTCAAAACCTTTTTTTCCCCTTTAGTAATATTGGCAGGCTGAGTTTTTCCACTGTCATGAGAAGTTCCTCGATCACATCTGGATCTTAATTCTTCTGGAACATACTATTAGAAAGACAGGAAAGAAATTCTTTGGGTAGAGTCATCCTTGTATTATAGATAACAGTTGACCCAAGTCAGACACATTTCATTCTAATGCATTTCCATGTAACTAAAGACAGTTTAAAATGATTTTCCCCCATTACCTGTGTGTGTGTGTGTGTGTGTGTGTGTGTGTGTGTGTGTGTGTGTGTGTATGTGTCTGTGTGTGTGTGTGTGTGTGTGTGTAGGAATTGGGTTATGTTGGCAAGTAGGTCAACTGCTGCTACAACTTTGAGTTTAAACAAATAAACAAAAAGACAGTACTTAACCACATGGGCAACTGATAGCAAATTGGGGCTCTAATTGGCACTTGTCAGCCACTATAGAGTGGGAGAATGTAGTATGCCCTAGCTGTGGCTGAATTGCAGAGCAGGTCAGTGGCTTAGCCTCCTGGTTCCACCTTCCCAGGGGAGGCCTCCCTGCTCCAGAGGAAAGGCTTCATGACCTTCCTGCAGATGACCTCTGTGCTTGCCATCCTACAATCCATTCTCTACACAGAAGCCCAAATGATGTTTAAGAAACATAATGAATTGATTGATTTTGTATCAAATTTTTATACAGAATTATTCTAGTCATTACAATAGAGGTATTTTTAAAAGAAATAGGCTGGGCACAGTGTCTCATGCCTGTAATCCCAGTACATTGGGAGGCTGAAGCGTGAGGATCACTTGAGGTCAGAGGTTCGAGACCAGCCTGACTAACATGGTGAAACCCCTGTTTCTACCAAAAATACAAAAAGTAGCCGGGCACGGTGGCCCGCACCTGTAGTCCCAGCTACTTGGGAGGCTGAGGTGGGAGAATTGCTTGAACCCAAGAGGCAGAGGTTGCAGTGAGCTGAGATTGCACCACTGTACTCTCCCTGTAGACAAGGGGAAATGGCACAGGGTGAAGACCAAAGGAAGGTCAGAGAACAGGTTATGGTGCTTTACAAGGGTCAGGGTAAAGCCTTTGTATGGTGTTTAAGTGTTATGGGACTTCCTGGTAGACATTTCCCCTTGTCTACCGTGCCCTGGCACAGCGGGCTTCTTTTGGCCTCTGGAAGTGGTTAAATTTGTTGCTGCATTAGTGCCTTGCCTCCACCTGCTCTCTGCCAGCAATATTCTTCCATTTCCCCACACATGTTGTCTCTTTCTTGTCAATCAGAATTCACCTCCTCAGAAATGCTTCTCTGATTGCCTAGTTCATTGATGATTATCATAACCCTCTATTTTCAATTCTCTGCATAATAGTTATCACTCTGTTATTTTTCTTATTTCTTTGTTCATTGTCAACCTCCCCCATCTGCCAATGCCTGAATAAAAGCTTCATGGGTACAGAGACTTTGTTCAGTCTTATGAATCTCTAATCCTTCTGTCTAGAACAGTGCTTGGTACATAGTAGGCCTTCAAAAATAATTGTTAAATGAACAAATAAATGTGAAATTGAAGCAACAACACTGACCATAAAACATTATTGTGAAGATTAAATGAGATAATGTCTACAAAGTGCTTAAAATGGAAAAGACACATAATATATTCAATAAACCATACTTATTATTAGTGTTGTCATTATTATTTTGTTATTTCCCTGGTGTTTACTCCCCAGTCTTTATAACTGGGAAGTTCTTTCTTTGATGTTAACCAATTCCTGTTGCAATTATCTAATTTTCCTTTTTGTGGGTCATACAAAGTTGTAATTCTTCTGACCTATTAGAAAGTAGCACGTTTAGCTTTTGATATTCTTTCTTCCAAGTCGAATAATTCTAATTCTGTTCATCTTTTCCTATAGTTATTATGCTTGAAGAAGTTTAAAAATACTTATGGTATCCTGATCTGAGTCCTGAGGCAGGGCTACTGAACTGAGCCATCAACACATACTAATTAGCAAATTCCTGCACAGCTCTAATTTGTCCAGACATAAAGGAAGCTACCCACACACTATTCACTTGAAAATGACAACTTTGCAATAATAGTTCTACCTACTCCTAATGAGCAGGGGAATCCTTGCACAGACATTCTCATATACACTTAAAAAAATAACATTGGTTGCTAAGGGGTTCTGGTCTGTTCAACTCTTGGTTCCTTAGATATTTTTAAATATCTCCCCTCACTACACCTTAGATTTCCCCATTCATAAAAATGACATGATCGTTAAAATTAGGATCTGTGAAATCATTTCATATCTGAAGTACCTACTATATTCCAACACGATTGGAGAAGTTATTTGTTCTGAGTTTTTCAACACAGACGGCATTTATTTTCTGGGGGTTTAATGTTTAATTTAGATCTTAAGAATTGAAAACACTATGATTGCTATACCTTTCTTTTGTTACTTTGGACAGGATTTTATTTAGGGTCTCTTGATTTTGATAGAGGACAGTTGCTATTTCATTAAAAAAGAAAAAATAATGTACAAATCTACTTAATGTATCAGAGAAGTTGATGGAATTTTTTAACAGTCTGAGAAACAATTACAGTTTACATATTATAGAACTGTATATTTGGAAGGGAATTCATCAGCCCTCTCTTTGGGTGCGGCCAAACTTACTCATGTCTGGCTACTTTCCTAAGTCTCTTCTCAAAATGGAATGTACATTTGGAGAAAAGAGACAAAAAAAGAGCATGTAAAAACATCACAAATGCCAAATTTGTACATTTATATATATGTTATATATTATATTTACACTTTTTTCTCAACGATGAAGTCAATTATCTTTTTTATTTTCACTCTTCATACAAGTTTTAAAACATTGTGAGATTGAGGCCAGTTTAAATCTGAAATACTATGGAATATTCATGACTGCAGCCTGACTAGCCATTTTGTTAAAGCAATTTAAATGACATTAGAAGTAGTAAAAACAACATTGATACTATGAAGAACTAAAATTAGTGAGATAAAAGATAGAATTGAGAAAAATCCAAAAATAACTGAGGAAAAGAACTGAATTGCGAGAGATTAGAAATGACATTATGGCTATGAAGAATAGTCGATGGAGATTTAATACACAGAAAATAGCAATTCATGGACAAGAAAAGAGAAAAAATAAAACATTCAATGATATAATATAAGAAAACTTTCCTAGAATGAAGGACAATCTGAATCTGCAGATTGAAAGGGATTATTGTAACCTGGGAAAACTTAATAAATAACAACCCATATCAAAGTATATTCTGGTGATGTTAAATAACATCAAAAAAGAAAAGGAAATGAAAAAAAGAAATTTCTGTAATCATCCAACAATAGAAACAGAAGCAGATCACTATTACTTTATTTCTACCCCTACCTCCATAAAAATCAGCCCACAAAAACAAAAACAGGCCAACAGTTTAGCCTGATCTCAAGCACTTCAGGATCATTTTCTGATGAAGACAATGGAATAACATCTAAAGAATGCAGAGGGGAAAGAGTGTCACTCAGCCAAGATGTCTTTCTCATGTAAGGGAAATACTAAAATATTCACAGGAATGGAATTATTCATGTACCCTTCCTGGAAAATTTTTTGAGAAACATAACTCAGCTAACCAGATTAAATGTAATAACAATGATGTAAAAAGAAAGAAAGAATCCTAACTTTATAAGTGAAATAAAAAGAACTGGAAATAACATCGAATTGATTTAGATTTTAAATTAAGGGCAATAATTTTAATTGAAAGTATAGAGAAATTTCTTCCTATACGGATACCTGAAATTAATATTTATAAAGGCAGGACTGAGCTGGTGGTAAAGTGGGGAAACAATTGGAGGCCAGAGACGGAAGAAAGGATGATACCACAGGTAGAAGTGAACTCTGATCTGTGTTTGCCTTGTGCAATATCCCCTTATACTCCCTTAAATCCCTGGAGGATTTTGTCTAGATTTCCATGGGCCAGATATTCTCAAGGGACAGGAGCAAAAACTGGAGCTTAATCCAGGACAGGGTGGATTGAATGCCTTCACATAAATTTAGAACTTCTAAAAGATGTCATCTTCAGTGAGTAAAAAATCAATGAGGCAAAAAAGGACTATTCAATTAGAAGTAATGGGAGAAAATTGGTTGTCCTTACAAAGGATAAAAAAATTAAAAATGCCTTTCTCTTTAGACCTTACACAAAAATCATTTCCAGATTCATTCATGACTTAAAAATGGAAAGGCCAAATTTAAGCCTTTTAGAAAAAAATAGGAAATATCTTTATGATTTTGAGGTAGGGAAAGACTTCCTATGCAAGACACCAAAAGCATCTAAACATAAAGGAAAAGATTATTATACTTGACTATATTAAAATCAAGAACTTCAGCTTATCAGAAGAAACCTTATTTTCTCTGAGAGAGAAAAAATAAGAGTCATAAAGAGGGAGAAGACATTTGCCACACATGTGACCAAAGGGCTAGTCTCAGAATGCAAAAGAACCCTTTGAATCATTAAGAAAGAGAGGAATAAACTAATAGAAAAATGGGCAATTTTCATGAACAGTCATTTTCTAGAGGAGGAAATACAAACAGCCAGTAAATATATAAAATATTATTGCTCTTATTATATGTCAAGACAATGTAAATAAATACTACAATAGTATCCTTTCATATCAGATTAATGACAGTTAAAAAGTCAGTTAATACCAAGTGTTGGCGAGAAAGCAACAGGAGCTTTCAAAGGCTGCTTGTGGGAGCGTAGCTTGTTACAATTGCTTTGTTAAACAATCCAGCACTAACTGGTAAAGGTGAATATGTGCATACTCTAAGACCCAGGTATTTATCTTCTATGTATAAATCTTAGAGAAACTTTTACAGGTGAACCAGGGCATGTTCAGAAAAGCGTTATTCCTATTAGCAAAAATCTTAAAGTAATATAAATATCCATCAACAATGAATTGGATTAAAAAACTTAAGGATATATATATACTGTACTACCATGTAGCAGTAAAAATAAATGAACATGCTGTATTCTATCTGTATATGTAAACACATATGATGCTGAACCACAGAAGGAAGTTACAAAAATATAGAATGATTTCGTTAAGAAAAGTTGAAACAAGGCAAATGAAATGATATATTGCTTGGAGGAAACACAGGTGGTAAAACTATGAAGAAAAGCAAGGGAATGCTCAGTGCTATTTCAATGTAGGATACGGCTGAGGGCATAGAAATGGACAGATCAGAAAGCAGCACATAAGCCCTCTGCATGGATCAGAGCACAGTGTGAGGGACATGGGTGTCATTTTTTATTTTTCATTAAGTAGTGAAAATATACTGTATGTACTTTTAGTACATACAATTTTTAAGTATTTTAAGAAGTTAAATGGAAAACTATAATAAATATGGTGAAAAGTGATTTTATTGTAATAAACTGACAAAAGTACAGGTGTACATCAAGAAAATTAATTTAGTGTAAAAAGTATTAATAAAAGCAAAGCAAATGATTTTATATGTTGGCTCAAATACAAAATTAAGACAATAATTATAAAGAGAACACATAGGAGCCAAAAAGAGGCAGCTTTTAAAAAAATAGGATGCAAAGCCCAGAAACAGACCCAAGCACATATAGAAATCCAACATGTAAAAGCAATGATAGCTCTTATTTTGATCACATTTACTAGGTACATTGCTGCTTGAACTTAAATTAACTCCTGATTTAAATGTAGAATGAAGCCATAAATATAAGACTCAGAATGCAGCTTAAATGTCACTTCCTACAGGAAGTTTTCTTTGACGTCCCTGGAAGTCCATAAATGCTCCTGCTGTGGGCTTCCAAGCAGCCTATATATTCCCCATTACTACAGATAACATTCTTCATAGCAGTTCTGTGTTCAAATCCACCCCATTCTAACCCCCTAGAAGACTATGAGCTCAATGAAGGTATGGTACTATTCTTGTTTTTGTGTTTTGAGACAGGATCTCTCCCTGTAGCCCAGGCTGGAGTGCAGTGGTGTGATCACAGCTTACTGTAGCCTCCAACTCCTGGGCTCCAGCAATCCTCATGCCTCAGTCTCTTAAGTAGCTAGGGCTACAGGTACATACCACCATGGCCGGCTAATTTTTTTTTTTCATTTTTGCAGAGACAGAGTCTCACTATTTAGCCCATGCTGGTCTCAAACTCCTGGGCCTCAAGCAATCCTCCTGCCTACGCCTCCTGAGTCGCTGGGATTACCCATACGAGGCATTACACCCAGCCCCTTATTTTATCTTATTCACTAGCAAAGTGGAGAGTGCCTGGCACAGAGTAGGTGTTCAATAAACATATGTTAAATTCACACATAAATAATCAGAGAAATGGATTTCAATTTGATATGGGGCAGGCCTATGAAAGCAAAAGCCATAGCAGCAAATAATTGAATAATTGACTACATCAGACACAAAAACACAATAATTCTATAACCAGAGAAAAGGCAAATGGCAAAATTGAGAAAATGTATGGTATTGAGATAGAAGAATAGGGAATTAGGGTAACCAGGGGTTAAGGCATAAGCAAGGGAACAGCAGGTGCAGCCAGTTCTAGGCAAGATTAGGCAGTAAACAGGCCACATATTCACTCCTGTGACAACAAGACAGAAGTCTCCACTTCAGCCTCGGACTGGTCGTAGGGCAATCCTTCATAGGGTGTAACCAATTGGAGGCCTGTAAAGGGCACCTACGGGTGTTACCAAGTTTTTTGTTTTAGCTTAATAAAAACCCTAAAGAACATTGCAATGGGGTGGGGGTGGCTCTTGAGCCGCTTGCTAGAGCCTGCTCACACTCTGTGGAGTGTACTTTTGCTTCAATAAATCTGTGCTTTTGTTACTTTTTTCTTTTGTTGCTTTGTTTGTGTGTTTTGTTCAACTCTGTTCAACAAGCCAAAAACCTGGACAACTTACAGTCAAGACCTTTCATTTGGTAACAGTATTAAAATGTTAGGCAAAGAGTTACTATCCCTCACTTACAAAAAGCTCTTATAAGTCAATAAGGAAAAAATGAGCAAAGTAATTTCATACCCACTTCATATATATGCACAAATTTATTATGTCTCGTGGTTCTGTGAATTAATGGGCCTCAGCTGGACAATTCTTGCTTGGCATCTTTCATGAAGTTGCAGGCAGGTGTTGGCTGGGGCTGCACAACCAATATGGCTGACTGGCATGGTCAGCAGCTCCTGATGGCCGATGGTTGACAGCCCAGATGAGGCTGTTGACCAGAGTGCCTATGTGTGGCTTCTCATGAGTTTTGAGCTTCTCACAGTGAGATGCTGGGTCCATCCTAACAGTGAGTATTCCAACAGATCCGGGGGAAACTGCACAGCCCTAGTAACTAGCCTCAAAAGTTATGCAGCCCCATTTCTGCCATATTTGTTGTCCAGCTAGGCGCCAAGGATAGCTCAGATTTCCAGATGGAATTAGATTCCCATCTTGATGGGGGAAGCAGCCCATGTGTCTAGGAAGTGCAGGCATTGATGGCAGCCATCTTTGGAAGCTATCTACCACACCCACATATCTGTTGCCTGCTTATTGAACTATCCTGGACAAAAGTGCTCAGATTTCTGTCCCAGGAAAGGTGCACATCTGTTCTACTGGATCTTGGTTTGAAACCACTTGGTGTTCAGTGGCCGTGTAATTTGTGCTCTGCTCTGCTCATGGTTTTATTATTTTTCTTTAAATCATAATTTCTTTTTCAAAACCAGCTTACTCCTAGAAATCTGTAGTGACTTTTTTTTCTTTTTTCAAATGACTAGCTTTGATATTCATCCTTAAGTTCATCTAGACAGTGAAGGTGGCTTTTGAAAAATGATGACCAGGTCTGCTTCCTCCCACCTTTTTGAATTGTCCCTTGCAGTTCTCAAGTTACAGGAAATTTTGTCATGTTTGCTTGCAGTGTGTGTGTGTGTGTGTGTGTGTGTTTGTGTGTGTGTGTGTTGGGGGAGTGTCACTTCACTAGGAAAGCTCTTTGAATTTGAAAGACAGTTTTGCATTTATTTGAAAGCTTTTATTTGTGAGCTTGAGTAGTCCAAAGTGTCCTTGTGTACAAGCCCCGCCTTTGCTAATTCCTATTATTATCTTGCTACAGAAGGTCATGCCAACTGCTTAATTACATGGAAAGTTATGAAACAGCTAGGGCACCAGAACATTGTTCAACTGTGGGCTCCTAAAGGAAAATAAACTCTTCTTACACTGAGAATGGCTGCCAATAACCAGGCAAGTTTGTCTGTTTGTGGCCACATGTATAGCTCGCTTGTATAAAGGCATTCTGTGCCTGGGCAAAAATCCTGGATTCACCTTTGCTAACAGCACCAGCATCTTAGTACAATAGAACCCTTTTAATTCAGAGAGAGATTATATCTGACTACTTCAAGTCAGACTTTTCCTTTCATTGAATGTAAACAATAAAACCTCTCTATGAAAGCTTTCCTGCTTCACTCAGAAATAGGCTAGTATGTTTCGTGGTATATCCCTAATCAACCGTTGGTGCGGTAAAAATGTTCATTTATTAGAGACGATTATGTAGTTTAGGTTCCTATAATCCACCTGCCCCTCAGTGA
The DNA here is from genome assembly GCF_000001405.40 of Homo sapiens. Taxonomy (NCBI): domain Eukaryota; kingdom Metazoa; phylum Chordata; class Mammalia; order Primates; family Hominidae; genus Homo; species Homo sapiens. The sequence continues at coordinate 56,616,414 of NC_000005.10, read as the reverse complement.
TCTGCCTTCAGGAAAAAACAATCTGTGCAAAGAAAATTCATGTTCAGAGAAGTGAGGGCTTTTCATTTGGTTCAACCTGTCAGATTCTTGTTTTGGTCTAATTCTCACCTTGAAAACAAACAGCATCGCCTTTGCTTTGTCCGCCTTTATGCAAAGACCATGCTAATTCTAAGTAAACTCCTTGGAGAGTTAGGCATTGAAAGAGAAACAGAAACAGACCCCTTGAGAAAGAGTTTTTCTCCTGAAGAAGTATTTTTTACAAGGAATAACTGGGATAGCCACTAACTCTTGCTTCTACAGGAAACAGCTTGCCCTGCTGCAGAGGGTGGGGCGCTCTCTTATTTCTCTAAACACTTTTGGAGAAAAAAAAAAAATCAGGCTCCAGTGCCAAAAGACAACTTTAACCCTCAAATCCCAGAACCTAAGGTCAACCAAAGGTCACACATGCAGTGCTTAAAACAGAAGGTTGGCAAGCTCTCTCTCCAGGCAGTATCTGTCCCTGCTGAAATCGAGGCCATGGAAACAGGGCTTGTGCATTCTAAGTCCAAGGTACCTGTGATTTATGAAGTGGTGTTAGGCACTGGTCAGGACATAAAGTTAAATACTGAAAAAGGCTCCTGCTCCCACGGCTGCCCTTCCTTCTTGAAACCTAATTTAGACCATATCAAAGTTTTTATAAAGACATTCCTGATACCATTGTGCTGTAAATCCTGTCTGATCCAACCTTCAAATATTTATGTAAACTGAAATATGTCTGGAAAGAAGTCAAAACAAAACAAATATGCCACACCATCTCATTCCAGCAGGTCCTTCCTTCCTCATTTACATTCAAGCGTAAACCTCTCCAACTGGCTTCCAACTGTTAGGGCTGATTAATTAGTGATAATTGCAGAGACTATTTCTTTGAATGCCCTGATGGTCTTATGTCTTGCAACCAATTTAGCCTGGAGTTTTTAGCACGTGTGAAATGCGTTGGTAGCATTAAAAAAAAAATCATTACAGATAAGTGCAGTTGGTTTAGTCTTCCTGTGCCAGCTGTACCAATAATTAGTGCTTTTGAAATATCTACAGGTTGGTCCCAATGTATTCCTTAAGCTCCGCACTCAGCCTTTGCTTTTACTCTGTCATTAGAGTGGGCTGTTTCTTCTTGGGATCCTTATGGGTGAAGTGCTCTCAGTTTCAGATGCAGTTTGCTAATGATATTTTGCATCACTTGTAAGTTGTAGCAACATGAAGATCTCATGATCTATCTTTTAGTCCATGATATCATGTAATTAGAGAGAGTGGAAAATAGGAAAGAATTTAAAAGTGGCTGTGTACTCACATTACAGCTTTGAAACCCAAGGGAAGAAAAGAGGAGGCAGCCATTTGTGTTAAGAATGGAATGCTCTTATGCCCTTTGGAAGGTATGTTGTACTCTTTTGACACTGGAATTAAAAATGGAAGTAAATGAGCTTTGTCTACACAAAGTATGTTTAGAGAGACAAGAATGAATGAGTGAATGGGGCACTGAAACTGCATGGGGGAGTTCACTTTCACATACCATATCTTATTTGAGATTTACTACAGTTCTGGGAGGTAATGAAAGGCAGATGTTAATTACCCAATTTCTGTCCTTTGCAGGTGAGGAAATTGAAGTGCAAAGAGGTTAAGTGACTTGCTCTTTGTCATACAACTAGTGGGAGCCAAGATTAGGAACCAAGGCTCTGACTCCAAGTTTAGTCTTTTTTCCTGACATCTTGAGGTCTCAAGGTTGGGAAATGGGACAAATACAAATAGGCTTGTAAAAAAAAATGGCAGCCATAGTCGCATTCCATTGACTAATTCAGTTATATATACCAGAGCTAGGTCTTCTGGCCAGTAAGAGATGCAAATATATAGGGAGAACCCAGGAGTGATGAGAGTTCCTACAGACATGGAGTGTGCTCCTGTGTGAAGCTTATGGGGCCTTTATTTTGAATTAAATAAACATTGCTTCAAGTTTGTAAATTTTCTTAGGGAAAGGTGGTGATAATGATGATGATGGTGAAGAAGAATAGGAAGACACAAATAACAGCGATTGAAACAACAGCCAGGGGTTATATTTAGTGAGTGTTTACTATGTGTTAGGTGCTCATCTAAGCACTTTTAAAAGTATTAACTCTTTTAATCCTCCCAGCAACCCTTTGAGGTAAATATTATCATCCTAATTTGACAAAGGAGGAAAAGGAGGCATGTAGAGTTGAAGAACTTTGACCCAGGATGTCCTGTTGCAGGTGTAGGATTTAAACTGGCAGTCTGTCTCTAGCACCTTCTGAGCAGTTTTGCCTCTCAATCTTCTTCAGCTGATGCTTCTCCCAGTAGATGAAAATATATGTAAAACCTTTCCCCATGGTTTCAACTCTTGGAACTGAAGTCTTTCTCAAAACTTGCCTGACCACTATTTCTAATCCAGGTGGTGCAGAGAAGGGGCCAATAAAAGTAAATTTGGGTATTTACTGATGTGGGCTCGTAGTGGTGAGCAGCTTGGGAGAAGGAGGCTCAGACTAAATGGAGAACTGTGAGAGGCTGTCACCATGTTTCTCCCTATAAAGTGGCCAGTTGCCACACTGCCCTTTGTGCAAAGTGAGAAGACAATCATGGCTGACTGTCCTAGGCGATCAAGAGGGAGCCTACTGGGTTCTTTGTGGCTCATCAGTGTGCTCCAAATGGGGAAGAAGCAGTTGCATCCAAATTGGTGCAACCCCTCCAGGAATTAGAGCCTCCACTTGTAGATTTCTAAGGAGCTGCTGTCTCTCTGTCTGTTTCATAACTAAAAGTTCTGTGGTATAGGTCTTTTTTATAGGCTAAAGTCCTTTAAATGGGTGCATAATGTACCTCTATTGATTTTTCTGTTGACTATTACTTTATTATATGATTCAATCAACTTAGCTTTACACCATTCCATATAAAGAAATAGGTATTGCATTTCACTAAGAGTTTCATTTTAGGCATATTTTGACTCTTACCTGTATGGTCTCTTAACTTTCAATAGATATTCAGTATGCCTGCTTTCAAGTGGACTGTTTATTCAGTCTCTTCAGATACTAGAGGAGAATGGCAGTCAAAATAGATTGAAAAACAAAGGGGAAGAGTAAAAACAAATTTGAATAAATGTTTGTTTGCGACTAATGTCCTTATATTTATAAAGAGTGCTTAAGAAGTCACCGCTTGAAAGGTGTAGTATTTTGAGATTTGGGGTGCCTTATGCGGAGATTATATTCCAGCTACTCATGCCTGAGACCTGCATTCTTGTCCTCTTTGAGTGCTGCTTAGAGACCAGTTAGTTTTATAGCACAAAATCAGAAGGTGAGCCAGTGTGGTAAAGCTGAGTAGGTCTAACAACTTGTTTTAGGTTGGGTTGCTAGAATCACACCCAGTATACAAGTTATTTAGTAGTAAAGTGTTCTAAGAAGAAACCAGGAAGGAAGTGGGGAAGCAAGCAAGTAAGAAGGGAAACCAAGCAGTGGTGTGATTTCAGGTGAACTCCCATCCCTTAGCAGAAGGATGCAAAGCTGAGGGACTAACACACAGATCTGGGTGGAACATGGCAGAATTTGCTACACAGACTATTCCTCCAGGTGCAAACCCTGGACGAAGAGTCCAGATGTGTCCCTAAGGGCTCACAGAGGGGAGATATTGTGGCATAATTCTGGAAGGGGAGGAATAGACAGCTGTGCTTGGAGGCATAGAAGTAGGCAGCAATTCCCTCAAACTGTGAATGGGACAGGGCTTGCATCCCCAAAGGATGGACCATTGCTACGCTCTTTCCTGGAAGATCAGAGAGATGAGAGGACTGCTTAGGAACAGATTGCTCCCAGCCTTGGCATGAAACAACTACTTGTTTTCAGTGATTAATGAGCATCTCAGGGATGACTCCTTTGGAGAAAATCTCGAGGCTCTTGTAGCATTTTCTGGTTACAAATCAAGCCCTGAGTTGACCTGGATGGAGACCCTTGATGGAGAAGAAGGGATCCAAAGTAGGTTTCCTAATCCATTTTGGGTCAGTTTGTTGTTTTTTTGTTGTTGTTGTTTTTTTGTTTTTTTTTTAGTTTTTAATTTTCGTTGGTATACAGTAGGTGTGTATTTTTATGGATTACATGAGATGTTTTGATACAGACATACAGTGAATAATAATCACATCATGGAGAATGGAATATCCATCCCCTCAGGCATTTATCCTTTGTGTTACCAACAGTCCAATTATACTCTTTTAGTTATTTTTAAATGTACAATTAAACTTTTATTGACTATAGTCACCCTGTTGTGCTATCAAATAGTGGGTCTTATTCATTCTTTCTAAATATTTTCTGTAGCCATTAACCATCCCATCCCCACCTCCTCCTCACCCACTTACTATATGTCCTGGCCTCTAGTAACCATCCTTCCACTCTCCATCTCCATGAGTTCAATTGTCTGATTTTTAGATCCCACAAATAAGTGAGAACACACACTATTGTCTTTCTGTGCCTGGCTTATTTCACTTAACATAATGACCTTCAGTTACATTCACATTGTTGCAAATGACTGGATCTTGTTCTTTTTTATGGCTGAATAGTACTCATTGTGTATATGTGTCTTTGTAGGAAATGAGTTCACTTTAGGTGTGTGGATTTGTTTCTTGGTCCTCCGTTCTGTTCCATTGGTCTATGTGTCTGTTTTTATGCCAGTACCATGCTGTTTTGGTTACTATAGCTCTGTAGTATAATTTGAAGTCAGATAATGTGATTTCTCCAGTTTTGTTCTTTTTGCTTAGGACAGCTTTGACTATTCTGGGTCTTCTGTGGTTCCATATAAATTTTAGGGTAGTTTCTTCTATTTCTGTGAAGAATGTCATTGGTATTTTGATTGGGGTTGCACTGAATATGTAGATTGCTTTGGTTAGTATGGACAGTCTAACAATATTGATTCTTCTAATCCATGAACATGGAGTATCTTTTCATTTTTTGGTAATATGGTTTGGCTGTGTCCCCACTCAAATCTCAACTTGAATTGTATCTCCCAGAATTCCCATGTGTTGTGGGAGGGACCTGGAGGAAGTCATTGAATCATGGGGGCCAGTCTTTCCCATGCTGTTCTCATGATAGTGAATAAGTCTCACGAGATCTGATGGTTTATCAGGAGTTTCTGCTTTTGCTTCCTCTTCATTTTTCTCTTGCCACCTCCATGTAAGTAGTGCTTTTCACCTCCTGCCATGCTTCTGAGGCCTCCTCAGTCATGTGGAACTATAAGTCCAATTAAACCTGTTTTTGTTCCCAGTTTCAGGTGTGTCTTTATCAGCAGTGTGAAAATGAACTAATATATTTGGTATCTTTTTCAAGTTATTTCACCAATGTTTTATAGTTTTCATTATAAATGGGTCTGAAAAATTTTTATGTGCCCACTGTACATTTGTAGCACTGTATCTTAATTCTTACAGGATCTCAGTTGAGACCCTATAACTGTCACTCTCAGCAAGTGGAACTCACAGAGTTTAAGCAGAGCACAGCTACTTTCCTTTCCCAAACTGCCTCTTCAAATTTATCCTGGTGGCTGGCCCCTCTCAGGCAACAGATAGTGGTCTGTCACTGCTAGTCAGAAAAACAGTCTCAGTTTAGTTATTATTATGTCCAGTCAAATGTAGTAATACAAATGTACACTTATTTTGAAGTTAAAGTTTCTATCACTGCTACCCCACCCCAAGCCCAGACCTGCAGTGGAGGAGAGAGGACTGGCTTCTCCATCTTACTGCCTTGATTTTTTTCTGCCTTCTCATTCACTCTCTAGGTTGCCTTGGGCCCCTACTGGGTTGAAGCAAAGGAAGGGGAGGAGTGCAGAGGTAGGACCATTCTGACTTGACAATCCCATTGTGAGTCATCTCAGAGCCTACGTGTGTTTAAGGCTGGCTCTACCAGAGAATTTGGCAAGTTCTTCAGGTATAGTCTGCCCATATGGGGATAGCTCATGTGGTTCTCTTGCTGGTGGCATAAAGTTTCTCACCTTGGGGGTGCTGGTGGTTTGCCACCAAAGGCATGGGGGATCTGTTTGCCTCTCCAGACAGTCCTCTTGTTTAGGATCCAAGGTGATCTCAGCCTGCCGTCTCTTCTCTGTGGCTGATATCTGATCTATGGGAAACACTCAAGCTTTCTCTACTCTGACTGCCTCTGGGTGAACTGTCTGATCACAGTGCAGCCATCCCTCTTTTATTCCACTGGAGAGGTAGCCTGCTAGCCCTTACTACTCACCCTTTACGTGGTTTATGCATGAGACAGACACCCGACCACTGTGACCCCATTTTCAGTCCACACCTATTAGAGTGGACCATTTATGCCAGCTTCCCTTGATTTCAGATAAAGGAAAAGCACCCACAACGCTTACCCCATGGGTGGGAGTGGGACTCTCAGCACACCCATAGTTCTCTCCAAAAATCTTATTCTATTTAGTGCCCTTTCACTTTTTAATTTAATAGGGTGTACTCCGAATGTGGCAAATGGCTAATCATGACTAAACCCTGGTTTGTAGATACTGCCTTTGCAAACCCTACCTTGTAATCTCACATTTCACTTCAGAGTGTGGTGTCTGTTTTCTGGTCCCTAAATACAAGTTATTATTGATGAATTATTGCATGTATTGATTCCTTTATTCAATGAACATTGAGTACATTCATTCAACATGCTAATACCTAGAATATAGCTATGGTATATGCAAGAATACATATTTTAGAACTGTGAAATCCCTTCTATATATAAAAACTGTAAGTTATTGTCAATGGTATAGTTTTCATGTTGAGTGGTAATTTTGTGGATATTTAGCATAAAATGAATACATTAATAAGAAGGACATTAATAAGAAATACATTAATAAGAAATAAATACATTAATAAGAATACATTAATAAGAAGGACCACTCACGGATCAATAATGAGAATACATCATAAATCAAAGATTATAATTAATCTAATTCTGTATACTCAAGTTTTTTTAAAAAGCCTTCTTGGGGATCTCTTGGGGATCTTGGGGACACTAAAAGCGACAATCATAAACATTTATCAAGCATGACTATGTGCCAGGCATTGTGCTATGTGTTTTACAGACATCACTTCATTTATTCTTTTTAACAGCCTTAAGAGGTAGGTAGTAATAGTCTCTTTCCCATTTTATATATGGGGAAACTGAGTCTCAAAAAGGCTAAATAACTTGCCCAAATTCCCATGGCAGAGTGTGGAACCAAATTCATGTCTGGCTGACAGCCAACCTCGCCACTGCTTTCCACACATACATGTCTGAATATTTAATGGGTTGTGCTCCAAGTCAGGAAGAGATGGTATGTTGGCCTGGAAACAAGAAAGCCTTTGCAGTCAGTCACAGCTCAATTCAGAGATGGCTTCAGTACTATTAGCTGTATGATTAGGGGTGAATTCAAAGTGATAGAAACTTTAACAAATCAATCTTGACCACTGAGCCCAACTATAAACTGGAGGATGACAAGACTTACTTTTCAGTGTTGCTGTGAGAGGAGATTATGACTCTGCATCAGCAGGCACATTTGAGACCCTCAATAAATCATACGTATTATGGTTTCATTCCTGCTCTTATCCATAAAATGTCTTGTGAGCAGAGAAAAGGAGACAGGCTAGACTGGGATCTCAAACTCCAGTGATCTGGAACGTTTCCGCTTGGGGGATCAAGTGCCACTGATCTAGAACTTGTCTCTATTATGGTTAAGCTGTATGGTTGTTAAACCATGCTAGGCAGTGGAGTCACAGAGCAACCTTGGGTGAAGGGCTCAAGATCTATATATCTCCTTGAGTTGGACTTCTGAATACCACATTCTTCTCCCCACCAGAAAACACACACTTCTTCCCAGGGCCTTGGTGCTTCTGGCCAGCATGTGATTTGCATCTGGCAAAAATCTCCCTTCTGGCAGGAGAGCAGTTGTGTTTTGGCTGGGGCAGATATTATAATGCTGCAGAGTCACTCTGCAGGGGACAAAACGAGAGAAGCCCAGGGGTTTCCATCCCCCGCTCCCTGCCCCTGCAGAATTCTCAGCTGAGTGCAGTAATAGCATGACTGGGCACTTTAAGTCTGCCATTGTGCCATAACTTCCTCCTTGTCATTGCCCGTTAGCATCTCCTTTCTGAGAGGGTGGCAGGGGCAGGGCCACATATGAACTTGAATGGTGAGGTGGGGTGCAGTTGCTATTTCTTGCCAATACCCAAACTTCCAGCTGCATATTCAAGTCTCTGACTTGGAGCCGGGCAGCCAGAGAGGCAGGAGAGAAGGACCTGGGCAAGAAGAACAAAAAGGCCCCACTGCACGGCTCCATCCCCATCCTCTCTGTCTGCATCCCTCCAGTGTGGAGCTCAGGTGTGGGGTCCCCAGCACCTCCTCAGCAGGTAGCTTCCTGAAGCCCAGTACACTCTCACTCCCAGGCCTGCTTCCTCTCCACGCCTTTCCCGCTCCTCCCTGCATCTCAAATTGGTTCTTAGAACCCCTGCCACATCCAAGGAACTACTTGTGAAATACCTTTGTGATTACAGTTTATATGTTTAATTAGAAGCTGGGAATTAAGCTTCCAAACACCACAAAATGAAAGCTTGAGATTCTTCCAACAAACCCCAGCTTTCCACGAACATGGGCTGACTCATCCGTCTCCTGCTCTCCCCTGTCGCCCCAGCCCTGTCTTTCATGCTGAAGTCATTCACTTTCTTCACCTGGATTTGGAAAACTGCTGATGTCTCGTTTAGCTTCATTCCTAAGTTGTCTTTCAAAAGCAGGGACATGCAAAGTGGCTGCCTGTGGCAGAGGCAGCAGGAGAGGGGCACACTTGTTGAGTCTGAGAACTTCACAAAGACTGTTAATTAATTGCTCATTTCGACAAATGAGAACAGATTTCAAATGCATAGTTGAACGTGGAGCAGGAAGAACATCTTGCTCTTGTGACTTGGTTTTAAACGTTGCATCTAGAAGATGGGGTGATACTGAAAGATGTCACTTATTTCCTTTTGTGAATTGAGATAAAATGGTTCTAATTCTTTCACTGCTTTCTGGCTTTAGGGCCCTGCGAAAGAATGTTTATTCTTTTGCTCTTGGTGGGAATTGGATGTCTGTCGATTTAGCATATGTTTAAAATATTTTAGCTTTGGAAAACTGCCCTGATAGCCTTCTCCCTCTAGTCAAAATTAATCTCATCTTCCCGCAGCTCTCACAGCCAGTGATTCATGGCTCTAATACAGCCCTTCTCATATTCTTCTTTATTCTATAAAGACTTACTTTTCTATAAAGACTTTTATTTCTGTTTGTCTCTTACATCAAATTGAAAGTTCTGTGTGGAGAAGAACTCTGTCTTACACATCTTTGTGATTACCTGAGTCTAGTCTGGTACATTATATTTGGCAGCATTCAGTACGTATTACATTGAATCTGGAAGATCACACAGAGAGGGGGATTCTGAGGGGTGGCAACAACCACTTTTGTAGCAGACGCTGTTGGTGTCCAACCCATGTCCCCTTGGCCACCCCAGAGTTTGGCTGTAGTCACATGCTGTGTAGACAGACAACCTCCTGCTTCTCTCTGCCTGAGGGCATTCTTCAGCCATAGAAATGAGCTTGGAAGCGGCTGGGTATGGTGGCTCACACCTGTAATCCCAGCACTTTGGGAGGCCGAGGCAGGCGGATCACAAGGTCAGGAGTTCAAGACCAGCCTGGCCAATATAGTGAAACCCCATCTCTACTAAAAACACAACAAATTAGCTGGGTGTGGTGGCGGGCACCTGTTATCCCAGCTACTCAGGAGGCTGAGGCAGAAGAATCACTTGAACCCAGGAGGCAGAGGTTGCAGTGAGCCGAGATCGCACCATTGCACTCCAACGTGGGCAACAGTGCAAGACTCCATCTCAAAAAAAAAAAAAGACAAAAGGAAAAAAGAAAAAAGAAATGAGCTTGGAAGCACACAGGTTAGTCTGCAAGTGCCAGGGAATTATTGCCCAAGGAATGACCCTTGGCCAAAGAGGGAAAGTCCTGGCTGGATAAATAATCCAAAGTCCTTGCCCTCATTCCAAGGAATGTTCTGCAGTCTCCTAAGGGTTTCCTGCTAGAGGAAGCCCTGATTGCCCAAAGCTTCTTAACACATTCTTTATTAGCTTTCCTCTCTTCCCTGTTTCATATTCCCTGTGCTCCCCTGGGATCAACAGCCAAATGAACAACTTCACCTGAGCCCTTACCTCCAAGGAAGTGCCACAGGGGAACCCAAAGGCCCTTAATCATTAAAAAAAACTTTAGAGATGCTGGCTGAGCCATCAGTGAGAACATGGATGCATACACAGAACCTACATCTTGTCATCTCTGCTCTTCGAGGAATGGAGCTGGAGAGGCAGAGAAGCAATGAAGCCGAATTCTGTGAGTGGGACTTCTGCGCAGCGGGGGAGGGAATTTCTACTTCTGGCCAGGAAATAGAGCTGGTGCCTTGTAGAAAGGCTCGAGGTAATGCAGTCAAAGGGCAAGCTTAGAGCAGTATGTGAAGGAATCCACCAAGGATTAGAACCAGCCAAGGGTCAGACAAACCAAATGAGACCAGAAGAGGAAAGTGGTGTCTTGGCAGAAAGGGCTTCCAGACCCATAGTCACAGGAATCTTCAGGAGAGGGGTGAAGAAGAAGGCATGGATCGCCAGGCCCAGGAGAGTCTAAAGCTGGTTTGGTGGGGAAGAATTTGGCCACATCTGTGCAGGATCCTAGAGAGTGGGGCAGAGGAGCTGGGCATCTGCTGTCAATGAGGCCAATTAAGAACAGTCTCAGGCTTGGGTCTCAAGCCTCAGGGATCTAGAACTTATCTGGTTTTAGCTGCTCTATATTCATTTCTTAGGAAGAGAGAGAGAGAGAGTATGTGTGTGTGTGTCTGTGTCTGTGTATATGTGTGAAATTTCTCTCAACTGAAACACAGGGCAGAACACTAGATGAAACTAGTGCTGTACTTTTCTGCTTATCTGTCGACACAGTCTTAGTGCGCAAAGTCTTGGTCTTAGTGGCTGGGTGTGGCAGTTTCCCAGAGGTGGGGGGCAGTAATAAAGAGAGAGAAAGGGAGACCTGATAGAAGATGGAGACCAGATAGAAGGCATCTGCTACGTGCATAGGTGCCCCTTTCTGAACAAGCTGTTTTTTGGTTACGAGATCCATTCCTGAAATCGATTTTAAGATATTCTGTGTTGGGTGATGTCACAGAAGCACTACTGGTGCACGGATTTGAAAAATAGTGGCTCATCCCGCCTCAGGGTTTGACAGCTTGGTAACTTGCAGTGAGGTTTCTTTTAACAATGAAACCAAGTCCTTTGAAAGACAAAAAAAGAACAAAACATCCACTAATTTTTGCGTGCAGGAGTAAGACAACAGTATTGGGAGATCTCAGCTATAAATGTGCCAGCTCTGGGAACTTTGGTTAAGTCATTTCACCATTCGCCTGTTTCCTCACCTATAACCAAGGAGGCAGCCAAGCCATCCCTAGTATTTCCTGGAATTCTGAGATCCTAAGTCAGATTGTTGAGTCTGGAGAGGCTGGATTCAGTGATTGACTAGGAGGGGCCTGTTTGTGTGGCTGTGTTCTATATGGCAAAACTTTGGTTCAGCACTTTGGCCAAGTCGGCCTCCACAGAAATGAGGATGTAAGAGCCTTTCCAAAAATCATATTAATTGAAACTATGTGGAGTCTGACTTAACTTCCATCTATATGCCTCCTTTCCCTTCTTCTAAGTTGTTTTTTCCCTAGTATTCCCTCAAACAACCACCTTTGTTCAAGTCTAAATGAATGTCTTTGGTTTCAAGATAATTCTCCCTTTTCAAGCAATTTCTGAACACCCTGTCCTGCAGAGAGTGGCCCGGGGCGGGGGGAAGAGTGGAAGCTTGGCTTGAGGAAGGAGACTGAGGGGCCTGTGTAGGCGACATGTTTGACTTGATCTGCCCCAGCCCCCAGCTTTCTGCACTTTGGGAGTTTTGCTTAGTGCTGTCATAAATTTTAGTACTAAAATGGCCAGCAGAGACCAAGTAGTTCATGGCAGATCGTCTCACACATATAATTGGTCTTCTCTGTTGGCACAGCAGAGTGTGCAGACTTATTATAAGGAATGTTTGGTTATCCTGAACTCAGTCCCTGAAGGACAGGTGTATGTTTTACAGCTGCACGCAGGGAATTTTATTCATGGGCCAGCTTCCAACTGCCCTTAGCTTGGCTCTTGTACCATTTCTCCAGCTCAGCTCCCCACCCTTCCCCCCGCTAATTTTGGTATTGGCCTAAATGAACAAATAAGATCTTAAAAAAAAAACAAACCCTCATGGCTTCTAGAGATGTTTATTTTTGTTGTTGCTGTTGTTGTTGTGTGTAAGTGTGTGCGAGAAAGGTGGCACATATGTTTTATAGATTTGGAAAATGTAGATGAATGAATTTAAACTATTTGCCTAAAGGTCAAAAATTGGGAGCATGTTAACTAGAACTACACTCATCATTGCCTCCTTCAAAAAACAATGCTCCACAGTTGATGTGCGTCTGGAGCCTTTGTGCTGGGCCCTGCATGGTCTAGAATCTGACATTGAGTTCTTTTATGCAAACTTTATACCTTTGAAATTGTCTTCCAGTTATTCAATCAGACACTTTTTTTTTTTTTTTGTGACACCCAGGCTGAAATGCAGTGGCACGATCTTGGCTTACTGCAGCCTCCACCTCCCGGTTTCCAGTGATTTTCCTGCCTCAGCCTCCCGGGTGCTGGGATTAAAGGCACGTGACACTACACCAGGCTAATTTTTGTATTTTTAGTAGAGACGGGGTTTCACTATGTTGGGCAGGCTGGTCTCGAATTTCTGACCTCAGGTGATCCTCCCACCTCGGCCTCCCAAAGTGCTGGGATTACAGGCGTGAGCCACCGCGCCCAATCTCTTCAAACACTTTCTACAGGATACCTACTGTGACTTTTGCAGTCAAAGTGAAACTTGATCAACAATAAAAGCTACTAGCGAAAAATCTTGTGGTGATAGTGGGCAGGGAGAAGGGGTAGAGGAATCCCTTATGATTGTGGTCTATGGTAAATCATTGCAACATTTACCGTTACTACTGACATATTGACATTACATACGAAAACAAATGGACTAATTTGTGACCACTAAGATGTATGGTTTGACCCCCTGCTTTCAGAGTAGCCCCTTTGGTTCTGTTTTCTCTAATCTGACTGTGGAGTCTCAGACTAACTCCAATTTTTCAGCATTTATTGAGTACTTGCTATGCTCTTGGTGCTAGGGTCACACAAATGTTTTTTATAACACACCCCTACCTTTGAAGGAAAGCCAGTCTGCCTTTCTCATGTGCTGATTTTTAGGGGATTTAGAAGATGGCAGTTGCTGGGCAAGGTTATTGTTTATGTAGAAGGTATCATTGTTAGGAATCTAATCGCTCTTTTGCTGTGACTCATAATTATAAGATCATATTCGCACGATGCTCTGCCATTTAGAAAGAGATTTTGCATGTTCAATTTCATTTGGTCTTTACAACAATCTTTTGAGGTAGGTTACTGGAGTACCCTTATCCTCAGTTTGTAGAGAGAGAAACTGAGGCATGGAGAGGCTAGTGACCTGCCCAAAGTCAAAAGCTAGCAAGTGGAGAAGCCAAATCTCAAACTTCGATCCCATGACTCTTCTGATTCAGAAGTCTCATTATCATTCTGGCTCTTTTAGAAAAAAGGGAAGAGCCACACTGTGAACTCATCTGAGGGCAGAGACCTTGTCTTTGTTACCTCAGGATCCTCCCTGTTCCCATAACTTCTAGCATAATGTCTGGTATACATCAGGCTATAATACAGGTTTGTTGGTTGAAATCACATCAAATCTCTGTCAATGAGAGAGAAAAAAGAGATGGCCACCTTTCTCCCTTCATATTACCAGACATTAAAGATTATGATGATGACCTACTCTACTTTATTCTTGCTCACCACCCTGTATAGAATTGCACATAAATATTTGTTAGTGTGGAACATTTCATTTCCCAGCAGTCTAGAGCTTCGTTGGGTAGATAGGCTGAAAGGTGACACTACTGAATTTGCAGCATGCTTCACTCACATTATAGCCTATTTATCTTCAGTATCATGACAACTTTGAGGAGTTCATCGGAAAATTTGGATTCTGTGACTGCTCCAGAGACAGGCCTAGTGGACGATTTTAATAACCTCCCTGTGAATGTCATAAAGGCAGGCAGGAGGAGAGGGGTTATGAGCAGTCTTTTCATATCTACCACTATGGAAATAAGCCAGTTACTTGTCTCAGAGTTCAGGCTCCAGAAAATACTCCTCTTGTTTCTATCCTCTAGAATCATCCTCAGCAAAGGACAATTTATTTCAGGCTAAAATAAATGTTTATTCTAGTCTGAAACCACAGTTGCTCAACTCCAAGAAAGCTGCATAACCTCAAGCAGGTGACATTTGATGGTTTTCCCTTTTGTATCAGATGAATTTTAATTTTTCTCTGAGGTCAACAGGCACGATGCTGAAATACTTCAGTGGATGCTCATTGACCTGAGCTATCCAACTTGCATTCAGCAAGTACAAAATCTATTTCAGATGAGTCTCTGTTCCCATTCTGCCCTGTCAGCAGGGAAGAAAGGGAACAATTATTTGGTGATAATCACTCTGACGGCAGTAATCTCTGGCAGCTGCTAGAGAAGAGACATAATTGCCTCCTACACCCCTAACCTTTAGAATAGAGCTCTGAAAGCTTGATAAGAGGGGCTGAAGATGTGTGAACAGCCTCGAAATAACTTTCTGTCCGCTTCCATCACTCGGGCTTTAATTAAACACAATTCATACCTCTTCAGAAACTTGAGATGATGCATGTGAAGGAGCTTTATAAGGGCAGGGCCATACGAATGTCACACATTGTCATACATTGTTCAGTTCCTCTTAGCCAAGTCAGGGGTCTTTCAAGGCTGCTGCCCTCAAGCCTGCCTTTTCTTCCTGGGAGGAAGGGGGTGGCCTTGGAGAAGAATCATATTTTCTCCTGGAAATTTTGAAAGAGGATTTTGAAGTGGAAGATCTATGAGTAAATATGGAAGATAAAATTCAGATAAGTACTATGGATTGGCAGTCTTACGCCATGAAGCCCTTTCCCCATGTTAATGGACTCCTTGAAAACTAAGAAACCACATCAGGCCTTTTTCCACAAGGGCATTTTCTAGTCTTTTTGCAGCTGTCTGTGGAACTTAACCGTCCTCCTCACTACAGGATTTGGAAGTAGAAGGATGCTAATTCAGTTGAATGTTGTGATTTTTCTGGCTGGTCTCTGAAAGGCAGAGAAGAATGAGGGCAAAGAAGCATCATCAGAGGCAGGATCTTGGTGGCACAGTTGGACTGGTTCACTTTCACATTACACCCAAATAAGCCTATTTTTATATGTTTCATAGAGACTTTGGGTGCATTTTTAAAAATCTGATAAAAATGCTCTGGTATGGAAGTTTTTCTGTTCAGTTTAAACCATTTCATCAAATATTCTAATCATAAATTGTCACAGATGTTCCAAAATTCAAAGGTCCTTAAGAACACATGTGAACTTATTTAATGAAAGCCACAGATCAGCATCTGTTGTTAACCCCTCTCTACTTTTTCCCATCCCTATCTTAAGCCTGAAACTCTGTGCATCATACTGGTCACAATTCCCGGTAAGTTGTAAAACATCCCTCCCTCTCCTTGCCTCTTCCTTTGTCCTTGGCTCCACTTCACTGATGTTGTACAACCTGTTGTCATTACACCTTCCAGTGCCTCCCTGTTATGACCTGGCTGCTGGTTGAAAGTTTATGATCATGGCCAGAAAGACCAAGACCAACTTGCTACTTTATAGGCCTTGTGAGTCTGAAAGCACAATTCTGGGCTTCCTGTGGGAGTCATGCAGCTCCATGGGTACATTAGCACGTGAATTTTTTGCTCCTACCTCAAGAGTTCACCACCACATTGGGGCCATTAATTTAGGTGAGTAGGAGTGTGTCAGGGGGCCTTTGAACAAAGGTGCTGTTCTCCTACCCTGGTGAGTAATGTCACAAATGAGCACTGTCCCTTTAGAGTTGTTTCATGGATGTGACAGAATAAATCTGCCTTTCCTGACCACCCTCAGAGAATAACCTGGTGCAGTAACTGCTTTGGTTTCTAATGTTCTAAAACAGCCCTTCTCGAATCGTAATGAGCACACAGATCCCCTGCAGGCCTCGCTTAAGTGCAGATTCTGATTCCATAGATCTGGAGCAGGGCCTAGGACTCTGCATTTCTAACAAGCTCCCAACCTTTCTGGTCCATGGGCCACGTTTTGAGTAGCTCTGTGAGATGGAGCTCTGAGCAGGTGCTCTCTGCAGGGAAAGGCGGGCATCTGGAACAAATGTTAAATTCTTTGGTGGCCCATCCTCAGCCCTGGATATAAAAATGGTGCCCTCTTCAAATACTTTAGAAAACTGAGGACTGTTGCTGAATATTTAAAATCGTTTATTATTATTTGTGGAGTATTTATTTTAGAAAATGGCCTTATTGTACACTTTTAGTGGTCAATGCATTTCAGCAGGCCTAGCTTGTTTTATAGTTCTTTATTGCACATGGCAGATATTATGCTTTTTACAAATTGAAGGTTTGTGGCAAGTTTATCAGCACCATTTTTCTAACATATGCTTGCTTCGTGTCTCCGTGACATATTTTGGTAATTCTCACAATATCTCAAACTTTTCCATGATCATTATATCTGTTATCATGATCTGTGATCAGTGATCTTTGATGTTGCCATTGTAATTGTTTTGGGGCACTAGAAAACACACCCGAGTAAGATACTTAATTGACAATTGTTGTGTGTGTTCTGCTGCTCCACTGACCCACCGTTCCCATTCCTCCTCCTCCCCTCAGGTCTCCCTGTTCCCTGAGACTCAACAATATTGAGATTAGGCTAATTAAGAATCCTACAATGGCCTCTAAGTGTTCAAGTAAAAGGAAGAGTCACACATCTCTCACTTTAAATCAAAAGCTAGAAATGATTAAGCTTAGCGAGGAAGGCATATTGAAAGCTGAGATATGCTGAAAGTTAGGTCTCTTGCTCCAAACAGTTAGCCAAATTGTGAATTAAAAAAAAAAAGAAAAAAAAACTCTTGAAGGAAATTAGAAGTGCTACTCCAGTGAACACAAAAATGAGAAAAAAAAAAAAAAAAAGCAAAACAGCCTTATTGCTGATATGGAGAAAGTTTCAGTGGTCTGGATAGAAGATCAAACTAGCCACAACATTCCTTTAAGCCAAAGCCTAATCCAGAGCAAGGCCCTAACTCTCTGCAATTCACTGAAGGGTGAGAGAGGTGAGGAAGGTGCAGAAAAAAAAGTTTGAAGCTAGCAGAGGTTAGTTCATGAGGTTTAAAGAAAGAAGCCCTCTTTATAACATAGAAGTAGAAAGTGGGCTGAGTGCAGTGGCTCATGCCTCTAATCCCAGCACTTTGGGAGGCCGATGTGGGTGGATCACTTGAGGTCAGGAGTTCAAGACCAGCCTGGCCAACATGGTGAAACCCCATCCCTATTAAAAGTACGAAAAATAACTGGGGGTGGTGGCTCATGCCTATAACCCCAGCTACTTGGGAGGCTGAGGTAGGAGAATCGCTTGAACCCTGGAGGTGGAGATTGCAGTGAGCCGAGATTGTGCCATTGCCCTCCAGCCTGGGCAACAGAGAAAGACTCCATCTCAAAAAACAAACAAACAAACAAAAAGTACAAGTGAAGCAGCAAAGCTAGTGTAGAAGCTGCAGCAAGTTACCCAGAAGATCTGGCTAAGATCATTGATGAAGGTGGCTACACTAAACAACAGATTCTCAGTGTAGTTGAAACAACCTTCTATTGGAAGAAGATGCCATCTAGGACTTTCTTTTTTTCTGTTTTCTTTTTTTTTTTTTTTTTTTTTTTTGAGATGGAGTCTTGCTCTGTCACCCAGGCTGGAGTACAGTGGCGCTATCTCAGCTCACTGCAAGCTCCACCTCCCAGGTTCATGCCGTTCTCCTGCCTCAGCCTCCCTTGTAGCTGGGACTACAGGTGCCTGCCACCACGCCTGGCTAATTTTTTGTATTTTTAGTAGAGGCGGGGTTTCACCGTGTTAGCCAGGATGGTCTCGATCTCCTGACCTTGTGATCTGCCTGCCTCAGCCTCCCAAAGTGCTGGGATTACAGGCTTGAGCCACCATGCCCGGCCGCCATCTAGGACTTTCATAGCTAGAGAGGAGAAGTCAATTCTTGGCTTCAAAGCTTCAAAGGACAGACTGACTCTCTTGTTAGGAGCTAATGTAGCTGTTGACGTAAAGTTAAAGCCAAAACTTGTTTGCCATTCAAAAAAATCCTAGGTCCTTTAAGAATTATGCTAAATCTCCTCTGCCTATGCTCTCTAAGTGGAACAACAAAGCCTGGATGATAGCAAATCTCTTTACAGCATGGCGTCTTGAATATTTTGAGCCCATTATTAAGACCTATTAATCAGAAAAAAAGATTCCTTTCAAAATATTACTGTTCATTGACAATGCACCTGGTCACCCAAGAGCTCTGATGGAGAGGTACAAGGAGGTTAATGTTACTTTTATGCCTGCTAATAATATTCATTCTGTAACCCGTGGATCAAGGAGTAATTTTGACTTTCAAGTTTTATTATTTAATAAATGTATTTTGCAAGGCTATAGCTATCATAGATAGTGATTCCTTTGATGGATCTGGGCAAAGTACATTGAAGACCTTCAGAAAAGAATTCACCATTCTAGATGCCAGTGAAAACATTCGTGATTCACGGGAGGAGGTCAAAATATCAACATTAACAGGAGTTTGGAAAAAGCTGATTCCAACCCTCATAGATGACTTTGAGGAATTTAAGTCTTCAGTGGAGGAAGTAACTGCAAATGTCATGGAAATAGCAAGCGAACTAGAATTAGAGGTAGAGCCTGGAGATGTGACTGAATTGCTGTAATCTCATGATAGAACTTTAACAGATGAGCAAAGAAACTGGTTTCTTGAGATAGAATCTTCTCCTGGTGAAGATGCATTGAACACCGTTGAAATGATAACAAAGCATTTAGAGTACTCCATAAACTTAGTTGATAAAGCAGCAGCAGAGTTTGAGAGGATTGACTTCAGTTTTGATAGAAGTTCTACCGTGGGTAAAATGCTGTCAAACAACACTGCATGCTTCAGAGAAATATTTTGTGAGCCGGGCGTGGTGGCTCACACGTATAATCCCAGCACTCTGGGAGGCTGAGGTGGGTGGATCACCTGAGGTCAGGAGTTTGAGACCAGCCTGGCTGACATGGTGAAACCCTGTCTCTACTAAAAATACAAAAATTAGCTGGGTGTGGTGGTGATTGCCTGTAATCCCAGCTACTCAGGAGACTGAAACATGAGAATTGCTTGAACCTGGGAAGCGGAGGTTGCAGTGAGCCAAGATCATGCCACTGCACTCTAGCCTCGGTGACAGACCGAGATCCTGCCTCAAAGAAAAAAAAAATTAACGGAAATATTTTGTGAAAGGAAGAGTCAACTGCTGCAGTAAACTTCATTGTCCATGAAGAAATTGCCACAGCTACCCCAACCTTCAGCAACCACCACTCTGATCACTCAGGAGCCATCAACATCTAGGCAGGACTCTGCACGAGCAAAAAGATTATGACTTGCTGGAGGCTCCATATTGTTAGCACTTTTTTTTTTTTAGCAATAAAGTACTTTTAAATTAAGCTATGTGGATTACTTTTTAAAACATAATGCTGTTGCACACAATAGACTATGGTGTAGTGGAAACATAACAGTTACATGCAGTAGGAAACCAAACAATTAATGTGGCTTGCTTTATTGTGATGCTAACTTTATTGGGATAGTCTGGAACCAAGCCTGCCATCTCTGAGGCCTGGCTGTATACCACTTGCTGTTTATTCACACTGATCATCTTCATCTTCACCTTGCCAGTGTTGCTAATGTGCACACTCTCAGTCCACAGAACATTATCTCATCTGGAAAACACTCATAGCTGGGAGGATTAGCAACAATGCTCCCTTGGTACTAACAATGAGCCACAAGTCATTGGAGCAATCATCAATCAGTGGCTCGTGATCTTGTTCAGTCTCAGTTCACATGTCATTGGGAGTCTGGTTACTCAATGGTTATATCTCTGCCTCTTCCGTTTAAGGGAATGGTGACTTACCCATGATAGACGTGCTTTCCCTCCATGAAGATTCTTCCTCGGTATCCCTGCATGAGAGTTGGTTAGTAGAATCAACTTCTACCAGCTCCAAGTTTAAATAGAAGAAAACAGGTTCATTTATTTACCTTATTTCAATGGCTTAAGAGGAAAGTATACCACATTTTCCTTTTTCTTTATTTCTTCTCAGAGGCAGAAGGTATAAACCCCAGACTGTAGGTCTGTGGAGAAAGGACTCCCCCCAGCCCTGCCTCTCCCATTTACTTCCAAGCTCTCCTCCTTTGCCTCCTTCCCCAAGCCTGTCACAGATTAGGAGTGGTCCCACAGGGCTGTCAGGGAGGTGGAAAAAGAAATTTGCTAGCTCTCCAGGCTGCCTCTGGAGCTGTGGTCTGTGGTAATTGGGAGGGCAGAGGCTAGGTGACCACAGTGGTTGAAGAGTGAAGGAGGATCCAGGCTATTTCCACAGCCACAGGGCTTGGAGGGTGGTCGCCTCAGGATGGAAGCCTACAGGAAGGGAATTCCTGAGCTGACACTTGGGGAGTGGGCTGGGAATGGCAGGATGGGGGGAAGTATCTAATGTGGTTGAAGCTCTTGGCACCAGAAAGGCACTGAGCTGGTGCTTCCCACATCTCACCTGATGGAGTCCTCGTTACAACAGCTCTGTGAAGCCAATCCTCATGGCCCTGTTTTACAGGGAAGAACCCACAGCTAAGAGAGAAAAAGCAAAATGGTTGGCTCAACTGGACTGGTAAGAGGCAGAACCAGTATTTGAACCTGGGTTTGTTTGATTTGAAATCCCTTCACATCCAACTCTACGAAGCAGGTCATTATAGGAACCTTTTGTAACCTAAGGCAGGTGAACAGGGTGGCAGGCTGGCTGAGGTCCAGATACCAGCATTGCTTTGGGTTATAGTTTATGTTGTTTTAAAATCTACTGCATTTGGTAAATACACATGCTGGTGGTTGGGAGACTAGTTTTGCAGAAAATGAATGAAGTGCCCTTTTAGAATTCCATTTGTACTCTGTGCAGAATTGGATTTCTAAACGCTACCTGGCTGTGGCTTGTTATAACAGTACCTCCCAGGTGTTCCAGTGATAGTCCTGATGGCACATCCCTCAATGCTGGAGGCCAGAGGTTCCCCACGGGATGTTTCATAAAAGATCATAGAAGTCAGCTCAGCTTCTTTGTGGTCAAACCACAAAATGCTAAGGTTTCCTTAAACTCCCAGAATTCCAAAGGGTGTGGGCCCACCCTGAAAAAGAATGCTGAGCTCTGTAAAACCCTAAAGGGAGGAGCAAATTCTACTTATGGAAACTTGGGCATGAGTTGAACTCCTGACGTGTTCATTATGGGGAATTGGAGATTTTAGGTGTAGGAGTTATCTATGCCAGTATGGGTCAAACTTTACTGTGCATAGGAATAAACTTGCTAAAATGCAGATTCCGGTTTCCCAGGTCTGGGGTGGGACCTGAGATGCTACATTTCCCAAGCTCCTCGGTGATGGTAATGGTAATGCTTCTGGTCCACGGACTGCACTTTGAGTAGCAAGGGTCTACAGTATGGCACCTCTCCCCATTGTCTCTGTTCTCCTTCTCCAAGCTGAGCAGAGATTCATTTACTTGGGGATAGTTTTTTCAGGAGGAAGGGAACATGAGAATCTTCTGAATAAAGTATCTTAAGAAGCTTTATTGCAGCATGCTTTGGATGTAAAAAAGTGTTATAAAGACAACAACAAAAAATGTGGGGATGGTTTGTAGTCAAATACGCTTTGGAAGTGTTGGGTTTAAAAGTTAAATAGGCTTCTGTATTTCATGACTTTCCAGACCTTTAATTACCTAATGTGCATTGTAACTCTCACAGGGAAACTTCTCTTAAATTCATTTGACCAAAGAATAGTACTTTTTGAAGACCATCTTAAGAGCATAATGTTCACTGAGGCTGGCTGTTTCAGACATTGACATGGGTGGGCACATGAGAGAAGGAACTCTTCCCTAAAATATTGTGTAAATGTGAATTTGCTCCCATTCTAAATAGGTTAAGGGTAATTCTGAAATAAATTGAACTTTAGAAATAAGAGTTGAGCTGTGAAATGGACTGACTGTGGAGTTACATGCATGTAGAATCCTGGGCACATATGACTTTGGAGGAAGAAAACTGATACAAATGGATGAAAAAAGAGTAAAGAAAATGAAAATATTTGAACAGGGATATGGGGCAGGGAGGAGTCACCTAGAGCATGCTTGTATGTGGAGAGTGGTCAATTAAGGACTTAGTCAATGAGGCTAGCACGGGTAGAGTGAGGAAAGACTCGGGAAATAGGAGCCGAGTCCATTCCAGGGGATGGCAGGCAGTTGTCAGTGTTTTAGATGTCCAGTGACTGAACCCCTTTCCTTTTGGGGAGGAATTCCTGAGCTGATAAGGCAGAGGCTTCTCTCATAGAAAAGCTGAATGTGGCAGACCTGTGTTTCCTCAGCCTGCTTTGCAGCGAATTTATGGGCACGTTAACCTGGGTTCCACCAGTCAGAATTGCCTTTCCTAGACTTTTAAAATGCTTTTTATTTAATTTAATTAATTAATTAATTAATTTTGAGACGGAATTTCACTCTTGTTGCCCAGGCTGGAGTGCAATGGTGTGATCTTGGCTCACCGCAATCTCCACCTCCTGAATTCAAGCGATTCTCATGCCTCAGCCTCCCACGTAGCTGGGATTACAGGCATGCGCCACCACGCCCAGCTAATTTTTTGTATTTTTAGTAGAGACGGGGTTTCTCCCTGTTGGCCAGGATGATCTCAATCTCCCAACCTCAGGTGATCTGCCCACCTCGGCCTCCCAAAGTACTGGGATTACAGGCGTGAGCCACTGTGCATGGCCCCTTTCCTAGACTTTGAAGCAGCGCTAAAAGAGGCACTATGGACAGACCTCCATTCTGATGAGGGCAAGACAGCAGTGACTCTATGCTTAGTTCCCAGAGGCAACAAGGACTGTGGTTCCATAGCCAGCATCCAGCATCCAGGGCCAACCACACACAGTACTTGGAGCTGGCCTGTGCCTGGTGTCAACTGCAGCAGCATCTTTCGTGGCCCAGCTCTGTGGCCTGATGTGGGGTATTGTTCTTGAGGGAGAGCCCTTGCACCTGGTTCTGCATCATTCTAGAAACTCCGAGCAGCCTATTTACTTTTGAGGACTTCCTTTTCATCTTAGACGAAGGAGTTCGTTCCCATTTCTTGCAGCTTAGAACACTTACAGACACAGTGGATAATGAAACCTCCCAATTCAGCTTCAGAGAGCTCCAGAAAGCATTTTCAATCTTGAGTTAAAATTCTAGGGCAGACTTTGGGATTTATGAAGGAAGGTCTGAGTGGCCTGAGAGTCAAGCTTCCCTGAGAACCATGGTGAGCCTGTTCGGGTAATAAAAGAAGTAAAGCAATTAATATTACTGCATGAGCACTCACAAAATGCCAGCTAGATGTTCTTATCTATATGTTTCTCATAACAATCTTGTGAAATAAACATGATTATCCTCATTTTGTAATAGGGGAGGCTGAGATACAGGAATTGTAATCAATTGTCCAAATAGTAGGTGTTGGAGCTGGCATTCCAACTAAGGTCTGTCTGACTCCAATTACTGGTACATCAGGCTGCCTCCCAGTGGTTTGGTCCACATGTGGGGGCACCTTCCATGTGTCAGACATGAGGATAATCGTGGCCCATACATGCCTTTGTGGAAGTTAAGATCTGCTGCAGGAGATACAAACTAATATGTTGCTACAAACTGTGAAGGAGAGGAATAATGGGACAATATAGTAGAGAAACCTGCCCTAGATATGAGTGTCTGTGAAAGGAATTGGTTTCTCTGAAGGGGTGCTCTTTGAGCTGAGTTTTGAGGGCTAAGAGAAAACTACTTTGGATGGGAGACAGAAGAGCTTTCCTAGCAGGGAGAACTAAGTACAAAATCAGACATACCCCATGCTTGGTTTGTACCCTGAGAACTCCCCCAAGTACAGCAAGCTGGCCTTGTGATTTAAATGGTCTCTGCTCTATTAAAGACAGATACAGAAGAGTAATGAAAGGAAAAGGCTAAGAGTTCCAAAGTCACAGAAGATGGAGGATAAACCTAGTTCTTGGGTAAAATGTTTCTGGAGCCACCTGTCTGCCCAACGTCTTATCCTATCTTGGGAAACGAGCCCCCTCCTGATTTCTGAATAAAGAATGAGAAATCGGCCGGGTGTGGTGGCTCACACCTGTAATCCCAGCACTTTGGAAGGCCAAGGTGAGTGGATCACCTGAGGTCAGGAATTTGAGACCAGCCTGGCCAACATGGAGAAACCCCGTCTCTACTAAAAATACAAAAATTAGCCAGGTGTGATGGTGTGCTTCTGTAATCCCAGCTACTTGGAGGCTGAGGCAGGAGACTTGCTTGAACCCAGGAGGCAAAGAGTGCAGTGAGCTGAGATCCTGCCACTGCACTCCAGCCTGGGTGGCAGAGCAAGACTCTGTCAAAACAAACAAACAAACAAACGAGAAATTGGGCTGACGACAGCCTCACAACAGTGTCAGACTTTTTGCTGGCTGCTGCAGGCATGTGGTTACCAGTGAGGGAAGAGGGGCGCAGCACACATGGAAGCCTGTCATCTATTTTATATGGGCTTAAGAGAGACTCAGGTGCACCAGACTGCTGGGTTCTATTTCTCTGGACACTGCCCTTTTTCTTTCTTGGTCTCCTTGGAGATGCTCCTCATCAAGGTATGTGTAGCAGGATGATGTTGTAAATATTATTCCTATTTTTATATAGAAATTTTAGGGGTAAAAATCCAAATATAAGGTCCAAATGTATGGTTTGAAAAGCCAACATCGCCGATTTTTGTCGATTAAAATCCCATGTGACATTAAGGTCAAGCTTTAAAGTCACCGCCTCCAGGAAGTCTTCCTTGATTATCCCAAATAGAAGTGATGTCTCATCCTGTGGACTTCCTGGTACTCTACAGGGCACCATTCTTGGGGCATAGAGCATGTCTGCTTTGTATGGTTGTTATTTGGGTCTATGTCTTCTTATCTTCTCAGCTCTAGTGAAAGTTTAATGAGTAGAGGCGCTATGTACCATATGGCATTGTAATGATCAAAGTGTTTTGTACATAGGAAATGCTTTCGGAAAAAAATTGCTAACAGAATGGCAGCTGAAAATCAATTTCTTGGCCAGGTACAGTGGCTCAAGCCTGTAGTCTCAGCAATTTGGGAGGCTGAAGCAGGAGGATTGCTTGAGCCCAGGAGTTCGAGACCAGCCTGGGCAACATGATGAAACCCCATCTCTACAACAAATACAAAAATTAGCAAAATTAATTGAGCATGGTAGTATGCACTTACAGTCCCAGCTACTCAGGAGGCTGAAGTGGGAGGATTCCTGGAGCCTGGGAGGCAGAGGTTGCAGTGAGCTGAGATCACACCACTGAGCTTCACACCACTGCGCTTCAGCCTGGGCAACAGAGCAAGACAGTGTCTCAAAAAAAAAAAAAAAAAAAGAAAGACAATTAACTTTTAGTAAAAGCCTTCTTTTTTCATGATCATTTGAATGCCTACCATATTTATTTATATTTAGAATATTGTTGTTATATTTTATTATTGAGGAGCTAAAACAAGCATTGAAAAGACAGGGCTTGGTACCTGTTATGGAGTGAATTGTATCTTCCCCCTCCAAATTCATGTATCCTAATCTCTGATACCGCAGAATGTGACTGCATTTGAAGAGAGTCTTTAAAGAGGTAATTATTGTTAAATGGGGTCACTGGAATTATCCCGCTAGGATTACCAACGTGACTGGTGTCTTCATAAGAAGAGAGTAGGACATAGACATGTACAGAGGGAAGAGCATGTGGAGACCCAGGGAGGAGGCGATGGCCACCTACAAGCCAAGGAGAGAGGCCTCAGAAGTAGCCCACTCCTTGATCTTGGCCTTCTAGCCTCCAGAATCGTGAGACAATAAACTCCTGTTGCTAGCCTCCCAGACTGTGATACTGTGTTATGGCAGCCCTGGCAAACTAATAGAGTACCTATGATTTTGTTTATTGTGTGGGATAATCAAGGAACTGAGCCCTTTATTAAAGACTTTAAATATGCCTCTACAGTATAATGTGAGATAGGAAATCTGGATTCAAATCCTGGTCCTGCTACTTGCTCACTGTGCAATCTCAGACAAGTCACTTAACCTCACTGAACTTTGATTTTCTCAGTTGTACACATGTGGAAAATGCTATATTTAACTTGTGGGGTTGTGGAAATAACTAAAAAAACAGCATAGAGGTGCCCTCTTCCCTCACCCTCCTGTGGTGGATACTCACAGAATGGAGGGAAGGACCCTGGTGTCCTGTTTCCCAGCTGAGCACATGGAATTCTCTGGTTGCAACTTGAACAGCAACCTGAGAGATGAAACGTGAGCTAGCCCAGCACCCCACAGTTTGAGGCAGGGCGATATGGGTGCTTGCTTCCGAGCGAGGGCATCTCTGGTCCTGGATGTCCATTTGTGAGTTTACAGGCAGGGCAATTTGCCCATTCCCCAGTCATTTTCACAGCAGCTGGTGTCATAAATTACCACAATCACAAGTCCTCTCAAAGCGGGGCATTCCTGACATGGAATGAAGACCTACAGCCCCAGAGCATCTGATGAGATTGGATTTGTCAATAAGGGCAGTAGCCAGGCCCACGGGTGTTTGAGTACAAACTCTGGGGTCAGCAGCTGGGGCCACACCTTGGGAAGCTGCCCACTTTACTTAGGTTGTTTGCAGTAAAGTAGCTTCCGCAGTGGTTCTGAGGAGGAGGCTCCCGGCGCTCTCCCTAGGCGACATTCTGCTCCATGCCTGGATCTGGGCGTCCCACCCTCTCCCTGGGGTGCTGACAGTCAGAAACCCAGGCGTGTCAGGAAGAGCTCAGAGTTGGGCAAGCTCTGAGAACCATTTCAGCTCAGTGAAAGAGGCCGGTTAAGTTTTTGGTTTCAGAGGAGATACTTTCAGGGGGGTGAGAGGAAAGGGAAGAGGCCAAGATGCAAGGTCTGGCTGCCATTGGTCAGGGTCAGCCTGGGCTGTGGTGTTAAGGGGGTTTCAGCAGCCACTGTTGTTTCTGTTGCTCTGGCAACCAGAGGAGAAATACACAACGCCCAGTGCAGGTGCACAAGTGTTGAGTGCAGGCCCATTTCCTCCAATCGGCCCCAGCCAGCCCAGAGGCAGCGACCTAGGGGCTCCTCCCAGGATGGCTAGCTGAAAGTTTTGGTGTGTGGAGGCTGAAATGTGGAAACTAAATTTGAAGGGCGTTGACTACAGGGGCTGTGGGCAGCACCTGGTGGCACCCTCCCTCTCACGCAGGAAAGCCGGGCCTGGGGCTTGGATGGGTCAACTGGATCTCCTGCCTGTCCCTAGTTGGTTTTCCTGCTTCCGGTGGCTGCAGCCCCAGCAGCTACATCCTGGATCCTATTGAGGAAGCTTGGTGCTAGGTCAGACCCGTGACTTGCAGCTCCACCCTGGAGCTCTGGTGCGAAGCTGTGGCTGCCTGGGAGGGTGTGAGGGTTCCCTTATTCTGGTGCCTCCCTTTGCTGAGCTTGCAGCGACCCCCGACCCCCAAGCCACTCTGCTAGGCTCTCCCTCTGTAAAGGTCTCTGATTAACAGCCCTGGGGACTGGTAGACACAGGTTCAGATCTCCGTCCCTGACTGATTGAACTTCTTTGAGATTCTGGTTTCCTTACCCATGAAGTGGAAGTAGTCAAACCCATCTCAAAGATTTGTGAGGAAGAAGTTTCTGTGAAAATACCTAAGGCAGCACCTGACACATAGTAGGTGCTAAATAAATGGGGTCTTTGCCTCTTGCGTAAGAGCCAGAATTCAAGAGGCCTTGATTTCTGATGCATTTGCACTCTCTAAGCTGACAGCTGGGCCTATTCCCTTGCCAGGAGTTTCAGGACCAAGGCCATCCCGCAAGCCCAGTCCATCAGCACTTCCTGAAGCTCTCTCTTCTCAGTATATCCAGAAACTCTCCACTCCCACCTCTCTCACTGCTACCTTATCCCAGCTCCATCACCTCTTACCTGGATTACTGCAGCTGCCTCCAAACTAGGCTCCCTGCTTCTGTCCCTGACTGCTCAAACTCTTCCTACTCAGCAGGCATCCTGCTATGCCAGTAGTCATCAGATGGTGCCTCTCCTCTGTTCAGAGCTTGCCAGAGTCTGCCTTTCTCATTCTGGGCCCCGCTTCTATTACCTCATTTCCCACCGCTTCCCTTTACTCTTTCTACTCCTGGCCTCTTTGCTGCTTCTTCAAAGTAAGAAGCATGCTCCCAAACAGGACATTTGCACGTGCTTTTTCCTCTCCCTGGGTGTCCACTCTGATGTCCTTATGGCTCATGCTCGCTTCCTTCAGCTTTCCACTCAGCCTTCCCCTTCTGAGCAAGGGCCTCCCTGACCACCCATCTAAAACATCACCCTCAATCCCCATCACTTCCTACCTCCCTGCTTGCTTTTTCTTCATATCCCCTATCATAACCTGAAATATACATTTATGTGTTTATTTTTGTCTTACTCTACCAAATGTAGGATTACCAACATTTCCTATCAAAGTGCAGGAAATGCGGTTTCTTCCTGTTGAGTCTTCACTGCCTAGCCAGTCTTCACCTGGCTCTTTCTTCCTGTTGAGTCTTCACTGCCTAGAACAGTGCTTGGCATACAGTAAACACTAAATGAATTTAAGTTGAATAAATGAATGAATGGATGGGATAGGGGAAAGAATATATATACATGTATCTACATATATTTAAATCTACATTAAGTGAAAGTGTTCATATATTTAGTTATACACATATATTTCTCTAGGGATATCTCCTTCGAAGAGAACATATGGAGATATATATATATATATAGATACACACACACACACACAAACACATATATCCTGAGTTGCTTCTGTCAGTACAGTACAGTCACTACTGTATTTGGGTGGCCTGTCCTAGCCCTTCTCTCAGATGATGATAACATTCTTGGGGCATTGGCTTGGGTGTAGGAGTTGGTTGGTGTGGGATCTGTGTAGACTCTTTGTGAGAGACCTGTGGAGAGCTGCATTTGTGTTTGTTGATGGTGGGTGACTGAGGTAGGCTTGTTGGGGGGAGGAATAAGGACATCGAGGCTATTGGAGGAGGCAGGAAGATGGAAGGGAAGTCATTGAAATAATCTTATGGCCATGGGTTTGAAATTAGTATCTGTCCATAGAGAGGTAAATCAGAGGCATCCAACGGGGAGGAGAATATCTCCAATCAGGAGGTGCTCACACAGTTTAGCGGCTTCCTGTCAGGTGCTCCCGGTGACACTCTGGGTCTTTTCTCCTCTCCCCCATAATTTTCTTTAAAACACAGTGTAAAGATAAGGGTAAGAATCACTTCAAGTAATGTGAGAAAACTGTAAGGAAAGAGGAAAAATGAAAATGCTGCCAATGGCAGGAAACGGCACATTTTAATCTTCTCAAACTAAATGGACTCCGCGTTGCATCTGGAATTGTGTGTGCTTGATAAACCTAATGTGGAAGCCCTTTGCTAAACATCTGACAAGAATCAGCCTCTCCATGAAATGTGAAAAGATGCCCCCACCCAGTTGTTAAGAGGCTGCATAAGAGAACAGAAAAAGTTTGCGCAGCTAACACAACACGGGGCTTGCCAAAATCATCCTGCCCTAATTCTCTTGTCAGCAGAGCCACTTTTCTGAAGAGCTAGCGACTCGTGACTTGGTTGCTGGATTCTGCCTGCCCTTCCTGCTGTGTATCCCCCACCCCACCCAGGACCCCTGAGCAGAGCACACCCTTTCTCTGTATTTTCACTTGTTGGGTATTCTTCAGGGCTTGAAGCCTCAGAAATTCCGTTGAGAACACAATGCTCTACGTTCAGGATGTGAACGGCTACAAATGTCGTATTGCTTATCTCGCTCTGTGCAACACCCAGCAGCTGCTGGCCTTTAACGAGGAGGCGGCACAGGGCTCAGGGAATCATCCTGTGTGTGCTTTGTTCTTGCATTTTGCAGCTGATTTAAGAGCAAGAAAGGAACAAACCCCATCTGATGTCTTTACTCCAGAGATCATCTCACATCCTTCCTAGGGCAGGAAGAGCAGGTGACTGGGACACCGGACATTTGGCAAGCTGGTGGCTTTCCTGCGTTGGCATGCTTTGCCGGGGTTTTCATGAAAAGACAATGACCTTTACAAAAAACAATGACCTTTGCAGAGATCTCGAAACCCTGGCAACTCAGCAGCAAACTCAGTTCCAAAAGCGTTCCTATTGCCTTTCCCAGCAGAGTTGAATAATTGGAAAGTAAAGAAGGACTTTTTAAAAATCACCAAAGTTTTTGGCAAATTTTAGGAGCTCTTTCCCCCACCCTGTAATTAAAGCAGAAGTAAACAGTAAAAGAATATCAAATTGCAGCTCGCTTCAGGAATAGATGCCCAAATAGAGCTGCTGCTTGTCCTAACCTGTGCTTTGAGACAGAAGGACAACCTCTCTGGGGAGCACTCCAATAGGTCCCCAGATCTGACACATCAAGATTAAGACATGAAGATTTGGAGCTGAGAGAGGAGAAAGGGTGAGTCATCTGGGCATTATCCAAAGAAAGAAAAAATGTCTTCCTCTTTCAAAGTTGCCTTCTCTGCACCATCCCTGAGCCCCTTCTGGTTGTTGGAGGTCATCTCCTGCATGGTACTACCTCACCTTGAAGGGGTTCTTAGGTCCAAGGCGATCAAAGCAGTCCTGCTCCCTGCTACACAGTGTGTGTGAATACTGTGTCAGACTGACTTGGTCTGTGTCTCATCCACTCATCAGCTGGTAACCCCAGACAAATTGCTGACCTTCTCTAACCTTCAGTTTTCTCAAGTCTACAAAGAGGGAACAATAGTATTTACCTTATAGGGCGGACATGGGACTTAAATGAAACAGTGTAAAGTTCTTGAGGCATAAGAACCACTCAAGCATTGATGTTACATGTATCAATAGTTAATTTCTTTTTACTGTTGTCCCATTGTATGTACATATCACGATTTGTTTATTCATTCACCTGTTGATGGATGTATGGATTGCTATTGCAAATAAAGCTGCTACTGTTTGTGTACAAGTCTGGTATAGATACATTTTCCCTTTTTTCTTTTTCTTTCTTTCTTTTTTTTTTTTTTTTTTTTTTTTTGAGGCAGAGTCTGGCTCTGTCGCCCAGGCTGGAGTGCAGTGGCACAATCTTGGCTCAATGTGACCTCTGCCTCCCAGGTTCAAGTGATTCTCCTGCCTCAGCCTCCCTAGTAGCTGGGATTACAGGTGCATGCCATCACATCCAGCTAATTTTTGTATTTTTAGTAGAGATGGGGTTTCTCCATGTTGGTCAGGTTGGTCTCGAACTCCTGACCTCATGATCCATCTGCCTTGGCCTCCCAAAGTGCTGGGATTACAGGCGTGAGCCACTGCACCTGGCCATTTTCCCTTTTTTCTTGGGTAAGTACTTAGGGATAGAATGGCTAGCTCAGATGGTAGCTGTATGTGTAACTTTTAAGGAAACTGTCAAACAATTTTCCAAAGTAGTCACATCATCTGGTGTTTCCATCAGTGGCTTATAAGAGTTCCAGTTCCTCCACATCCTTATCAGCACTTGGTGTGGTCAGTCTTTCTAATTTTATCCATTCACATATGCGAGTAGTGGTAGGTGATTCACATTTACTTTGGCTTGTAGTGAAGATATTTAGGTGAACATTCTGTGCAACTATATCATTCATTCATTGCACAGTGCACAGGCCTCAAAGCTCAAATATTATCTGAAGACAACCTGTTGTGAACTTAAATCTTTGATGGACAGTTGGATGCATCTGACTCTGAAGATTGAGTGAATTTCAAGTAGGAGCAGCCTAATGATTCAGGGCCATAGACTGTTACAGGTAGTTAGGCATGAGCAGGGCAGGACAGGGTTCTCCCCCAACCCACTAGAAATGTTGGGTGATGGTTTGGCAATTATTGCATTGCCTCTCTAAAAATATGTATTTGGCAGCTCCAGGGAGAGGCCATTTCCTGATGGTCCACACCTGTTAACCTCAAAATGTTAATTGAATGCAGGCCCCAGGGAGAAGCAACTTCCTGGGCATGCGTGTTAAGAGACAAAAATGGTGAAGTATGATCTTCTGGGGGCACACTCCACCGGAAAAGGGAAGAAAGCCTTAGATGGGCATGTGTATAACTCCCTAAATACATTGTGCATTCTCAACTCCAACGGGTAAGGAAAGCACTGGGCATGTGGAAAGCCCACCCTAAAGGAAAAATCTTGGGAAAGAGGCAAGCCTATAAAGTCCTAGGATCAAGGTTAAAGGCCCCTCTTTTTTGCTGTCTTCTTTTGCTCTCTTTTCTTTCTTGGACCTTCAAGCACCCGCTTGGGTCTCCTACAAGCGAATTTTCCTCTCTTTCCTGTTCTAAAGCCTTTTAAATAAACTTCTACTCCTGCCCCGAAACTTGCCTTGGTCTCTTCTTCTGCTATATGCCCCTCAGTCAAATTCTTTCTTCAGAGGAGGCAAGAACTGAAGTTGCTGTGGACCCCTTATGGATTCACTGCCGGTAACTTGGGTCTCTTCCACTGGTAACAAGACCACTTAATTTTCTTCTCATTACTTCTACTAAAGCCAAATAATTGCTGTGATTTTATTAATTCACCTACAAAGCCAATAATGAACCCTGGTTCATATCACCTTTAGCTCCTGTTACTAATAATAACAAACATCATAAGATTGGCAACGCTATTAGTTTTGCCCTGTGTTTATAATAATGAGGTTAGGGAAGGTATTCTTCACTACTTTTGGGGACTCAAAAGAGAGAATCCATAGGAGAAATTTAACTCTGGCTTTAGTTCTAGAAGTAGCTTTGTTTGTCCTGAGCAAATGGTTTGTTTTTCCTGATGAACAGTGGAAATCGTGCTGTTTCTTTCTTCACGCTGGTAACCAGAGACTTAGAGCCAAATTTGCCTTCTACTCCATAGCAAGTTTATCTGACTTTATGCTATGTATTTAGTAAACTAACCTATGCCTGGCTCCACGTTACTTTCCTATTTTAATTTTCTATTTGCTTTACTTTCCATACTAGTTAAAATATTTTGAATTTAAATGAATTTTTAAAACTATGTGTTTATGATCAGAATCCAAAAGGCATAATTTAAGGTATCTCTCACTCTTGCTCCAAAACCATCTGTTCCCCTTTCCCAGGGGAAACTGCTTTTATCAGTTTGTACTGTGTCTTTGCAGAGAATCTAGGTGACTAAAAGTATCCATGAGAATAGAAGTATAGTATATGTATGGGTGTGTGTAGTACATATTTGTAAGCAGTCTATTGAACAAGTTGAAGTTGGTAGGGTATAAATAGAAAGCAACTTTATTCCTGCTCATTGTTGACTCTTGAAATTCACTCTGTTGTTTCCTTGCCTGCCTATGGATGAATTCTGTGGCAGATACCTTGGCTTTTCTAGTTACTTTCAGATATAAGTAGGTAGTCTAACTTACCCTTAAAAAGTCTAGACTGCTGGTGAGGATATGGAGAAAAGGAACACTTGCACATTGTTGGTGGGAGTGTAAATTAGTTCAACCATTGGGGAAAGCAGTACGGCAATTCCTCAAAGAGCTAAAAGCACGACTACGATTTGACCCAGCAATCCTATACTGGGTATATACCCAGAGGAATGGAAATCATTCTACCATAAAGACATATGCATGCAAATGTTCACTGCAGCACTTTTCATAGTAGCAAAGACATGGAATCAACCTAAATGCCCATCAGTGACAGACTGGATAAAGAAAATGTGGTACATATAAACTGTGAAATACTATGCAGCCATACAAAAGACAGAAATCAGGCTAGGCACAGTGGGTCATGCCTGTAATCCCAACACTTTGGGAGACTGTGACGTGTGGATCACTTGAGGTCAGGAGTTCGAGACCAGCCTGACCAACATGGTGAAACACCGTCTCTACTAAAAATACAAAAATTAGCTGGGCGTGGTGACGGGCGCCTTTCTTGGGGGTTGGTGGAAGGTGAGTAGAGGGGAAAATTGGGCAGGAAATGAGGACTCTACTGAAAAGATTAGGCCATGTTATGCGATTTATCAAAATATTTTTCCATTGGGAAAATGGGACAAGTACTGTCTGACTGAGTTCTTGCAGAAATTTCTGAAAATACTCAGAGATTTAATGTTCTGCTTGAAAGGAACTACAGAAAAGCAACACACTCTTTTAACTCATTGTTTAGCATGAGTAGACTTTAAATTGCTCTAGAATGAGTTTTGTACTTTGACGGTTTTTTGGTGCACATATCATACACAAACAAAGCCAAAATGAAAAAGTACAGAATCTGAAAAACTATATCATTTGGGTTTCTCCAGACTAAACAAAACATTTCCAGTATGGCTAGATAAAAAGATTTTTCTAACCCTCCCTGTCCCTCACCCCACCTTCCTATGGGAGGACCAAATTTGCAGCACAGTTCAAGAATGTTGAATTAAGAGCCTTGAATGGTTTCTATTCATGGTAAATCTCTTGGCTTTGGGCAGAGGGCAAGAACTCAACCATACCACTGGACAGGTTTGTTGGAATTCAGTCAGTGAGTGTTTCCTCTAGATTACAATTCTTTCCACAAAAATATTTTTCTAGGCAAGTAGTTCCATAATTTATTAGCTTCAAGAACCTACAAAGTCAAATAGAGGTAAACTTTGACTGGGAGAAAATAAATAGTAGATTTTAGAAGATGCAGACCACAGCGATTTGGGAAAATATCATTTTCCATCATTGCTATCAATGCAGTGTTAGTGCTCTGTGAACCAGAACCGCTATTCTCTTTCCTTGCCACCTCACAGTCTTACCTCCTGCAAGCCAGTGCACCAGAGTGACATATAATCACAATTACGTGATCATCTACTGCTACCAAATCTTTAGTAACTTCTTTTCAGTATTGGGTCAATTGAGTCCTCAAGATCTGTTTTATTGCCTTGTCTTTAAGCAGTCCAAAAAACCGATGAACGTATCTTCACATCAGAAGCCTTGACTTTACTGAAGTTATTATCAATTTCTTGTGTGGGTCTAGAAACAACACTGCACACTCCTTGTTTCTACTCTGCAGGCTAGTTTCCTGGGGTTGGCTTTCAGTTCCCCCAGGCTTCTTGGCAATGCCTCTTCTTGTTCAGAGATTGACTTAGCCACTGAAGTTCTAGGTTTCTAGCAAGCAAGCTGGACAGAGAATCTTTGTGGAATATTACCTCTCCAGCTGATTTCCTCCTGCCTGTCTTCCTTGTTCCCACTCTGTGTTTTCTATTTTCTTGTTTTTCTCTGCTTCTACCCTCTCCTTCTTCTTCCCCTCTAGACATCAATTAAGCATTTGTAGGAGCTAAGGAAGACCCAAAGATAGACAAGACAAAGTTCCTGCCATTGAGATGCTCAATATAAAGTTTTATAACAGATAGTTTTATACAGTTTTATAACACATAATGATCAGATAGAATGCTTTCACCATGTGGGTGTCATTGTGCATGCCCTGTTTCTTGTTTCTAAATCCTATGAACAACCATGCCCTGTCAGACTTCAAGGGTTCCTCAAATCTCCATCTTTGTCTTTTCCTCTTCTTACTCTACATGTTCTGTCTCGGAGGCATTATTCCATCAATTACTATAGCCTTCACTACATCCTAGTATCTCCTAAGTCTCCCTGTCAACCCAGATTCCACCCTTCTCTGCCTCAGGTCCATAAAGTCCGTACCCAGCTCAGTAATTGAGACACAGGGGACAGACATCAGCGTGGCCAAAGGAATGCAAGAAGGTGGTAAAGAGAAATGCCCTTTCAATGAGTTTCATATGGATTTCCAGCAATATAGCTTGAGGAATTCAGATGCTGTATACCTCGGTTGGCTTACAAGTACAATGATTAGTGAATAAACTTAGATTTGGACTTTAGGACAAGTATTTCTTGACAAATATTTGTCAAGAAAGTTTTCTTTCTTACCTTGGTCCTCACAGGTAAACCTTGGGAAGAGTGAAGCTCTTTTATTCTGGAGCCCAAAGATGGCAGGATTGCTTGGCTTTGGCCGTGACCATGGCTATTGGATGAAAGGTTGCAGTGGCTCCCACTCTATAATCCAGAAGGGAAAGTTAATGGGTATCACCTCCTCTTTTGTTTCACTCTTGCCAACTTGCCTGGAAAGACAAGTAACTTCTGGCTTTCTTTGCTTTGTGGGACATAGCTTTCTGAGCTGGAGAAGGCACTACTTCTTAAATGATACACTTAAGAATCCCTAGTGCCAAAGGCATTCATATATTTGGAAACTATTACTTGAAGTCTGACTTGTAGACAGAATACTGTAACTTGATTTTTACCCTCAATATTCAGTTTCTACAAAACAAATATCAAGGCTTCAGTAATGATCTTTCACATTTTTCTAAATGTAATATCTCAACCAGCATAGCCATCTCAGCTTTATTGTAATCATTTTTAAGGTAATATACAAAACCCACCTTTAAAATGACTAATCTCTTGTGGTGGAATAATAGATGATCATATTTTCTTCTGTGTTTTCTGAACTCTTCAATTAATTTATAGCAATTTATTAATGGAAAAATTGACAAAGTGGTTTTTAAAAAATAAAAAGGGATCATTCAAAGAATAATGGCACAATACACAGTATGCACTCATCTGCAAAAGGAATGAGAACAACGCAATGAGATTCAGTGGGTTTCTCTTATTTTTTATTTTATTTCACAAAAAGGTCTTGTTATTAAAAATGACTACTGTCTCCTTCAAAGGACAAGCTTGAGAGACAAGTTTGGGAGGCTTGTCACTTGTTTTTGTAATCCTCCATCACTTGTCACAGTTTTTTTTAAAAAATCACACTTTTGAACTGGTATTTTGCAATTGCCTCAGTGATGGCCAATCATCTTTGTTAAGGGGGGGTTTTGATTTTGATTGTAAGCTAGGCCAACATCTTTCTTAATTAAAGACAGTGTAATTATAAAATAATGAGTTTCATTTTATCTGTTATTGTGTTACGTGCAGCTGTGAACTAGCTCTAGGGGCAATTGCAAAAGAGGAGTTTTTGTTGGATTAAGTACCTTCCTAGGTATTATTTTAAAGGAAATGATATTCACTTAAGGTTGGTATGTGTTTTTAATCACTTTTAAAATAAACTCTTGAGTATTCTATGTACATTTGTTTAAGATTTTATTTTGTAACTCGATCAAAACAATTTTTTGTGTGTTTGCCCCTGAAAGCCTTAAATAGCAAAGTACCTAATTATAAAAATGGCATAAGTAAATAATTTTTAAAAAGTTGTTGGTATTTCTTGGTGTAAGGTTATAAACATTTAAGGTAAGCGAGGATATCAGCTTTCTTAGAAGTTGAGGATAACGAGACAGGGAACAAGGAACAGTAGAATGGGATTCATGCAAGTTGTATACATAACATGGCTTCTCTGCATTGGAGCCTGGAATTGCTGCAAAAAAACATGGGCTGTTGCATCTTTAGAAACAATGAATACAATCTTTGGTGAACACCAATGAGATGTGATTGTGCCTTTAGCACCTGGGTCTAATTCTCTTTTGTAGAATAGAAAACGTGGAAAATATTTAGGAGAATTTCTCTGAAGACTGTGCTACCAGATGCCCTCAGCTAGCACAGACCCTGAAAATACATTAAGCCCCCTACCTACCCCAATGTTCCCATGTGCGTGAGAAACCTGTTTTCCTAACCTTCCTCCCTTACTACAAAGCTGGCTCTGACACCGCCCTCAGTTAGTCAACTACCCTACATCAGTCCTTTAGTACTCCACAGAGAAGAAATGATTCCCATCAAATTATCTCAACTCCTTTGAAGGTGATTTGTCAGCGTTTTGTCTGTCAAGGTGAGCCTCCTACCCAGCCCCCACCACACATTCTGTCAAGCAAGTCCATGAAAAAAAGGACAAGGGATTAAGCCAAGGTAAGGCTCTCCCACCTACCCACTCATGCTCATGTCCCTGTGTGAGGCACCTACCCCCGAATTTCTAGTTGAACCAGGAGTTTGGTTGTATGGTTGGGAGTTAGCTCCTCCTATGTTCCACTCAGGATCTCAGGCGGCCATCCCTGAGCCAATTATGGGGCAGATATGCTCTAGGGATAAAGTGGTTGTCCCCCATCTGTGGCTCCACAAATCCAACTCCATTCTGTGAAGTATATGGTGGATGCTTTCCAAGCTGTTAAGTGAATTATTTAGTAATCTCAACAAAGAAGGATTAGAGGATATACTTCTCCAAACAGGACACAGTAGAATGTTGAAGGTTTTCTGGTGGGGGTTCAGCAGAAGTGGAGTAAGCGTTTCTATATGATTAGAAAAAGGAATTTCTAATACTATTTTGACTTTTTCAATGTTTATTGAGATACAATTTTTATATTATACAGTGCAGAAATTTTAAGTGTACAGCTTAAATACGTTTTACATATTTATATATTCATGTGACCATCACCTAGATCCAGACCTAAAACATTTCCATCATTGCTGAAAGTTAGCTCATGACCTTCTCCAGTCAATAACACCCCACTTTCCTAGCCCAGGGTAACATTTATTCTTACTTCTATCTCCGATACTAGTTTTGCCTATTCTTGAAATTCAAATATAATTTAAAAGTTGTCCTCTATAGTGGTTGATTTGATTTCTTTTAGTCAAAGTATTTTAAAAAAATTTTATCCATGTTGTTATTGCCCAGAGTTCATTTCTTTTTATTGCTGTATAGTATTCCACAAATGGTAGGTAGTTCCATTGTATATACTACAATTTGCTTATCCATTCTCCTATTGATAAACATTTGTGCTATTTCTACCTTTTTGCTATTATAAATATAGTTTTCATGAGCACTGTTATACAAGTCTTTTGTGGGCATATGTATTCATGTATCATGATTATAAACCTAACAGTAGAATTGCCAGGTCAAGGAGTTGATGATGTTTATTTAACTTACTCAATTAGAAATCAACAGACATGTTTCCAAAATAATTGCAACATTCTCATTCCCACCAGCAATGTATGTGATTTCCACTTACTTCACATCCTTGACGATACTTGATATTGTCTTTTTTCCCTGACCATTCTGATGTGTGTATTATGATATCTCGTTGTGGTTTTAATGTGCATTACAATGATGACTAATAATGTCGAGCATTTTTTATACCTTTGTTGGCTATTTATATACTAATTTTTGTGAAGTGCTCATTTGGGCATTTTACCCATATTTAAGTTGGGTTGCTTGTCTTTTTATTATTAATTTAAAAAATATATTCCTGATACGTATCATGGAGAACTTAAACTACTTAATTTCAGATATCATTGGAATAATATGATAGATTTCAGATAGAAATGTGATCAATATAATAGAATAGATAAACCTTTGTTAGATATTTTATTGCACATGTTTTCTTAGTCAATGGCCTATCTTTTCACTTAGTATCTTTTGATAAGGAGAACTTATGAATTTAAGTACTATTTATCAATTTTTCTTTTGTAATTAATGTTTTAGTGTCTAAGAACTCTGCCTGTTCCAAGTTAGTGAAGATATTTTCATGTTTTCTTTTAGAAGTTTTATTGTTTTAGCTTTCATGTTTATGTCTATCTCAAATTAATTTTTGATGTGATGTGAAAAATAAGTCAAGTTTCATTGTTTTCCATTTGAATAGCCAGCTGTTCTCACAATCATTTATTTAGGTTAGTGCAAAAGTAATTGCAATTTTTGCCATTACTTTCAATCACAAAAACCACAATTACTTTTGCACCAGCCTAATATAAAGACCTTCCTTTCCTCATTGATTTTTATTAGTGACTTTGTTGAAAATCAGTATCTGTATACAGTCATGCATCACTGGACAGGGATAGGTCCTGAGAAATGTATTGTTAGGTGATTTCATCCTTGTGCGAACATCATAGAGTGTACTTACACAAACCTAGCCTACCACACACCTAGGCTATATGGAACAGCCTATTGCTCCTAGGCCACAAACCTGTACAGCATGGTACTCTACTGAATACTGTAGGCAATTATAACACAATAGTAAATATTTGTGTATCTAAACATAGAAAATGTATAATAAAAATACAGTATAAAGGTAAAAAATGGCACACTTGTACAGGGCACTTACAGGAATGGAGCTTGCAGAACTGAAAGTTGCTGTGAGTGAGTCAGTGAGTGAGTGGTGAGTGAATGTGAAGGCCCAGCTCATTACTGTACATTATTATAGACTTTATAAAAACTGTACACTTAGGCTACACTAAATTTCTTTAAAAATTTTTCCATCAATACTAAATTAACTTTAGCTTACTGTAACTTTTTACTTTATAAACTTTTGAATTTTTAGAAACTTTTTGACTCTTTTGTGAAAACACTTAGCTTAAAACACAACACATTGTATGGCTTAAAACACAACACATTGTATAGTATTTGTTTATAGAAAACAAAAATATTTTCTTTCTTTATATCCTTATTCTATAAGCTTTTTTCTATTTAAAAAAGGGTTTTTTTTGTTTGTTTGTTTTTTTGCTTTTTAAACTTTTTTGTTAAAAACTGAGCTCCAAACACACACATTAGCCTAGGCCTACACATGGTCAGGATCATCAGTATCACTGTCTTCCACCTCCACATCTTGTCCCACTGGAAGGCCTTTGGGAGCAATAGCATGCACGGAATTGTATCTCCCGTGATAACAATGTCTTCTGGAATACCTCCCGAAGGGTCTGACTGAGGCTATTTTACAGTTAACTTTTTAAAATAAGTAGGAGAACACTCTGAATTAAAGATTAAAAAGTTTAGTATAGTAAACACATATACCTGTAACACAGTCATTTATTATCATTATCAAGTATTATAAAGTGTACATAATTGCATGTGCTGTATTTTTTTTTCTTTTTAGAGATAGGATCTCACTCTACTGCCCAGGCTGGAGTGCAGGGGTACAATCATAATTCACTGCAGCCTCTATCTCCTGGGCTCAAGTGATCCTCCCACCTCAGCCTCCTGAATAGCTGAGACCACAGGTGTGTGTCAGCACACCTGGCTACTTTAAAAAAATTTTTGTAGACAGGTTCTTGCTATGTTCCCCAAGTTGGATTTGAACTCCTGGGCTCAAGCAGTCCTCCTGTCTGAGCCTCCCAAAGCTCTGGGATTATAGGTATGAGTCACCTTGCCTGGCCTGTGCTATACTTTTATAGGACCGGCAGTGCAGTAGGTTTGTTTACACCAGCATCCCCACAAATCTGTGAGTAACATGCTGCACTATGATGTTTCTAGGCAATAGGAATTTTTCAACTCCATTATAAACTTATGGGATCACTATCATATATCCAGTCTGTCATTGACCAAAATGTTCTTATGCAGTGCATGACTGTATATGTGTTTCTATTTCTCTTCTATTTCTATTTCTCTCTCTTCTTTTCCTCAGATCTTTTAGTCTATCTTGGTGACAACACTGCAGCACCTTGATTACTATGGATTAGTTTGCAATAAGTTTGGAAATCTGGTAGTTTAAATTCTCCAACTTTGTTTCTTTAAGATTACTGTGGCCATTCTAGTTTCTATATTTCCATATAAATTTAGAACCATCTGATGTAGTTTGGATATTTGTCCCTGCCCGAATCTCATGTTGAATCATAATCCCCAATGCTAGAGGTGGGGCCTGGTGGGAGGTTTTTGGATCATGGGGGTGAATTCCTCATGGCTTGATGCTTTCTTCATAATGGTGAATTCTCATGAGATCTAGTCATTTAAGAGT
The DNA here is from genome assembly GCF_000001405.40 of Homo sapiens. NCBI lineage: Eukaryota > Metazoa > Chordata > Mammalia > Primates > Hominidae > Homo > Homo sapiens. Next base: position 56,574,428 of record NC_000005.10, on the reverse strand, counting down.
GTATGGCACCTCCCCCTCACTCTCACTCTCTCTCTCTCTCGCTCCTGCTTTTGCCATGTGATGTGCCTGTTCCGCCTTTGCCTTATGTCATGATTGGAAGCTTCCTGAGGCCTCCTCAGAGGCAGATGCTGCTATGCTTCCTGTACAGCCTGCAGAACCATCACCCAATTAAACCTCTTTTTAAAATAAATTACCCCATTTCAGGTATTTCTTTGTAGCAATGCAAGAATGACCTAATACAGAAAATTGGTACTGAGGAGTGGGGCATTGCTATAAAGATATCTGAAAATGTATAAGCAGCCTTGGAACTGGGTAACAGGCAGAGGTTGAAGAATTTGGAGGTCTCAGCAGAAGACAGGAAGATGAGGAAAAGTTTGGAACTTCTTAGAGACTGGTTAAACGGTTGTGACCAAACTTCTGATAGTTATATGGACAGTGAAGTCCAGGGTGAGGAGGTCTCAGATGCAAATGAGGAACTTATTGGGAACTGGAGCAAAGGTCACACCTGTTATGCTTGAGTAAAGGGTTTGGCTGCATTCTGTTCATGCCCTAGGGGCCTATGGAAGTTTGAGCTTGAGGATGATGACCTAGGGTATCAGGTAGAATAAATTTCTTAGTAGCAGGTGTTCAATAGGTGGCCTGGCTGCTTCTTACAGCCTATTCCCGGATGTGGGAGTAAAGGAATGCTTTAAAGTTGGAACTTATATTTAAATGGGAAACAGAGTATACAAAGTTGGAATATTTGCCTGGCCATGTGGCAGAAAAAGAAAAAGCTTTTTTTGGGAGAGGGATTCAAATAGGCTGTAGAACAACCGCTTGCTAGAGAAATTTGCATTACTAAAAGTGAGCCAAGTGCTACTTGCCAAGGCAATGTGGAAAATACCTCGAAAGCATTTCAGAGACCATGTTGTCAGCCCTTCCCATCACAACTCTGAAGGTGTAGGAGGGAAGAATGGTTTTGTGGTCCAGACCCAGGACCCCACTGCCCTGTGCAGCCTCGGGATATTGCTCCCTACATCCTAGCCACTCCAGCTTGAGCCTTGGCTCAAAGGGCCCCAGATACAGCTCAGGCTGCTGCTTCAGAGGGTGCAACCACACATTTTGGTGGCTCCCATGTGGTGTTAAGCCTGCAGGTGCACAGAATGCAAAAGTGAAGGAGGCTTGGGAGCTTCAGCCCAGATATCAGAGGATGTGTGGAAAAACCTGGGTGTTCAGATCAGAAGCCTGTTGCAGGGGCAGAGCCCTCCTAGAAAATCTCTACTAGGGCAATGCCAAGGGGGAATATGGGTTTAGAACCCCCACACAGAGTCCTCTCTGGGGTACTGCCTAGTGGAGCTGTGGGAAAGGGGCCACTGTCCTCTAGACCCAAGAATGATAAATCCACCAGTAGCTTGCACCCTGTACCTGGAAAAGCTGCAAACACTCAACAACTGTGAGAGCAGCTACCAGAGCTGAACCCTGAAAAGCCACAGGGATGGAGCTTCCCAAGGACTTGGAAGCTGACTTCTTGCACCAGTGTGCCCTGGACGTGAGATATGGAGTCAAAGGGGATTATTTTGGAGCTTTAAAATTTAATAACTCTCCTGCTGGGTTTTGAGCTTGCATGGGGCCTGTAGCCCCTTTCTTTTGGCCAATTTCTCCCTTTTGGAATGAGAATGTTTACCCAATGCCTATATCCCAGTGTATCTTGGAAGTAAGTCACTTGCTTTTGATTTTAAAGTCTCATAGGTAGAAGGAATTTCCCTTGTCTCAGATGAGACTTTGGACTTTTGGGTTAATGCTGGAATGTGTTAAGATTTGGGGGAACTGTTGAGAAGGTCTGATTGTATTTTGCAATGTGAGAAGGACATGAGATTTGGGGCCAGGAATGGAATGATATAGTTAGGATATTTGTCCCTGCCCAAATCTCACATTGAAATATAATTCCCAGTGCTGGAGTTGGGGCCTAGTGGGAGGTGTTTGGATCATGAGTGTGAATTCCTCATGGCTCGGGTACTGTCTTTATGACAGTGAGTTCTCGTGAGATATGGTCATTTAAAAGTGTGTGGCACCCCCTGACACACACCTCTCTTTCTGTCTTGCTCCTGCCTTTGCTATGTGATGTGCCTACTCCACCTTTTCCTTCTGCCATGATTGGAAGCTTCCTGCGGCTTCCCCAGAAGCAGATGCTACTATGCCTGCAGAACTGTGAGCCAATTAAAGTTTTTAAAATAAATTACCCAGACTCAGGTATTTCTTTATAGCAATGCAAGAATGGCCTAATACACTATCTTACCAACTTGTATTTTTAAAAAGCTTGCGGGGATTTTGATTCGCACTGCACTGAATCTAATAAATCAATTAGGAGAGAAATTAACTTTTTTTCACTCCATGAACACTTTTAATTTAGGTCATTGTAAAGGAAGAATAATATTTAATATTAAGTAGAATTTGTATGATTAGAAACAACATCATACAATTTTTAAAGCTGACTGCCCCTCTCAGAGTATAAAAGAATTTCTTTTAGGGAGACAATTGCTCTTTTTTTTTTTTTTTTTTTTTTTTGTAGTATAAGGTGTGATCTGGAAAGAGAATTGAGAGATTCAGGAAGAATCAAATTGCTTTCTGAAATCAAGTAACAGAAAGTCTCTCTGGTACTTTGATGAGTGAAGAAAACAGGGGTACTCAAAACCTGGAGTGAACTGTGAAGATAAAACAACAGCCCTGGGATGCTTAGGAGCCAGAAGACAGTAAGAGACCAACTATGCCTTGGATGGACCCTACATGTGGGGTTACATTCCTTTGTGCTAAGAGGAAGGTGATTCTGAGAGCTTGATGGCATCTAATTCCTTCAAGAGTTGGCTGAGACATGTATTCAAGGGCACAGAGTTGGATTATATTTGGAAAACAAATGAAAAACCCTACTGCTTTTGTAATGTAAGTACCAGAGAAGATTTCTATAGCAGCAATCCCCAATCTTTTTGCAACCAGGGACTGGGTTTCATGGATGACAGTTTTTCCACGGACTAGGGTGGGGTATGGTTTCAGGATGATTCAAGTGTTATATTGTTATTACACTGTAATATATAATGAAATAATTATACAATTCACCATAATGGAGAATCAGTGGGAGCCCTGAGCTTGTTTTCCTGCAACTAGACAATCCCATCCGGGGGCAATGGGAGACAGTGACAGATCTTCAGGCATTGGTTTCTCATAAGGAGCATGCAACCTAGATCCCTTGCATGCACAGTTCACAATACAGTTCACACTCTTATGAGAATTCAATGCCACTGCTGATCTGATAGGAGGTGGAGCTCAGGCAGTAATGTGAGTGGTCATCTTGTGAGTGACCAGTACCAGTCCATGGCCTGGGGTTTGGGGACCCCTATTCTACAGCACCCACTCTTTTGCTTACTGGGAGTTTCTCTGTGAACTCCCAGTAATACTCATCACCATATTAACATAGATAATAATTCAGATAAAATGACCCATTAGCTCCAACTGGACACTTTGCAATTTGTTTGGATTTATAAAAGTCTACAAAATCACCTAACATAGTTCTCAAAATTTAGTATTTTCCTGTAAAACTTGGACAATGATGTGGCAGTGAGTGCATTTCTAGAATGGTTCCTGATGATTCCTACCCTCTTGGGTTCACTCCCTCATGTAATCCCTTCCCATTGTTTGTAGGCTGGGCTCAGTGACTTATTTCTAAGGAGTCAGATATAGCAAGTGTGATGTGTAGCCACATCCAAGATGCGGTTATGAAAGCTGTAATTTCTACCTTGTTTTCACGCTCTTAACTCCTGGCTTTGATGAAGCAGGCTTCCAAGGTGTGAGCTGCCATGTGGAGAGGCCCACAAGGCAAGGAAATGAGACCCTCAGTCCAGCAGCCCAAAAGGAACTGAGTCTTGCCAATACCTCTTGACTGAGCTTGGAAGTTACCCATGATACGACTAGTCTCAGCTGATACCTTGATTGCAGCCTTGTGAGTGAACCAGAGCCAGAACACCCAGCTAAACCACCCCCAGATTCCTGACCTACAGAAACTAGAATAATTACACAACAGGTAATTAAAACAAATGATAATATTAATGACTAGCATTCTTCAAAGTCAACTAAGTGTCAGGCACTGCACTAAGTGCTTTACATATGATTTCTCTTTTGATCTTCACAATAATCCTATGAAGAAGACATTATATGCTCATTTTATAGATGGGAAAACTGAGGCTTAAAGTAATTGGCTAAAGTTAACATTGCAAGTTAGCTGGTAAGTAAAATTGGAATTTAAATCCGTGCAGTCTTGTTCTAGAACCTAGATGCTTCAGCAGTATCCTCTGTTTTCTCTGCTATATTAAGTACTCTCTGTAGGACTGAACAGATTTTTCACTGAATTGACTGATTTTTTAAAAATGGAATTACACTGCAGTTATTGAACAAGGTAACCCCAGGCCTGGACCCTTGGTTGCTTCAGAGAAAGGCAAGCAAAAGCTAGAGAAAAGACCAGCAGCCTTGTGCAAAAAGCCTGCTCCATGCAGTTAGGGTATTTGATTTAGAGCTGAGATTTGTCCTAGCAGCAGAAAAGTATTTGAAAAGGAAGCAAAAATTCCTAGGGAAGGATTAGGGGAAGGATGATTCATTAAGTTTTTGTTTCAGCTTTTATGTCAGCACATCAGACTGTGAGGATGAAAACAAATCAAGCTCTCCCCAAGAGAATATTGTGTTGGAATAGTCTCGAATATGTCTCAATTGGAATCTACTAAGAAAAAAGGAAGTCATACTTAAAATGTTGTGATGTAAGACAATCTTTGTGAGAAGCAATATTGCTTTAAAAAAACTATTTTAGAAATACCTTTCATTTCTTTTAATGTAAAAGTAGTTATTATGATATACTTGCTATAATCAAAGCATTAATAAACCAATTGAGACAATTATAGAGACTAGCACCCCAAATCCCACCCACTAGCAATAACCAGATGGATATTTTACGGTATAGTAATTTTTGTTTTGTTTTCTAATTAAGGATATCTCTTCATGTCAGTAACTATGCCTACATCATTGTTTTTAATGTCTCACTGTGTGTACATTCTATCACTTATGCAATTAATCCCCTGGATATTTAAAGTGTTTGCAATTTCCTGTCATAAACAACTTCATGAGAAATAACTTTGTAGAGATATCTTGCACATTTGTCTCATTTCTTTAGAATAAATTTCTAAATTGGAGTCGCTGGGTCAAAGGGTTTGCATATTTTAGATTTTTAGAGGTCTTGCCAAATTGCCCTCCAGAAAGGTTGTACCAAAATTAATTCCCACCACATTTTATGAGAGTGCCCACTTCCTACACCCTCGCCAACAATGAGTATTAGCATTCTTTTAAACCTTTGCCCATCTGATAAATGAAAAATAGCATCTTATTATTTTAGTTTGTTCTCCTTTAATCACTGGGGAGATTAGGCATTCTTTCTTATTGGTCATTTGTGTTTCTTCTCTGATAAATTATCTTTATATGTAATTTTTTCCATTGGATTGTTCATAATTTTTTATTTAAAAATTTTTAAATTAAGGAATTTAACACTTTCTCTTTCCCATATGCTACGTTTTACCCCAGTTTGTAACCTGTCTTTCAACTGTGCTTTAATATATTTGCTTGGTTCTTGCTCTGTTGACATTCAGAATTTTTATGTCATCAAATCTATCCATCTTTATATTTATAGTTTCTGGTCTTGTTATGCCCAAAAAGGCCTTTTCTTTTGGCTAGATGATTTTACCAAGTCTAGATGGCCATTTTTAAAAACCCAACATTTTGAGGCAGCATTTGGAAAGCAAAATGTGAAAGACAATAAATTATAAAAAATGTGATTTACTCTCACATGTTTCTCCCTGGGACTTCTGCATTTGCCTTAACTCTGATGCATGATATTAAAGAAAACCCTTTAACAATTTTTACATATGTTGATTAGAATGCACATCCCTGCATAAAGTTCAGTGCGTTGATCTTGACTACATTTTTTAGTAACAACAATACAGTAAATAAGTTATAAACATATTGCTGATTCCATTGTAGTTCTAATAACAGAAATGTATTATTAAATTACTTCTATTCATGTCATGTTCTATACAAAGTTATTTCATATACTTCATTTCATTTAATTCTTTTTTTTTTTTGATGAAGTCTCACTCTGTCGCCTAGGCTGGAGTGTAGTGGCTCAATCTCGGCTCACTGCAACCTCCACTTCCTGGGTTCAAGTGATTCTCCTGCCTCAGCCTCCTGAGTAGCTGGGGTTACAGGCGCACACCAGCACGCCCGGCTAGTTTTTGTATTTTTAGTAGAGATGGGGTTTCACTATGTTTGTCAGGCTGGTCTCAAACTCCTGACCTTGTGGTCCGCCCACCTCGGCCTCCCAAAGTGCTGGGATTACAGGCGTGAGCCACCGTGCCTGGCCCATTTCATTTAATTCTCACTGCAACATTGCAAGTTAGCTATATTATCTGCCTTTTAGGTGAGGATATTGAGGTTCAGAGTGGTGAAGTGACTTGCCAATCACACAATCAAATGACAGCACAGCCAGGGACTCAAACTTGTGTCTTTTAAATAAAAATATAGTGTTCCTTTCAGTTATCAAACTAGTAATTATGATCTTTCGGCTGCTGCATGGAGTCAGGGGGAAGTTCGAAGTTTAGTTGCCTTTTTGAAATTTCAACAGGTTTGGTCTTACTCAAGGAACTTCTTCGGTTTTAATTTAAATTTGGTCATAAGAAGCAATCGATTACCATTTGTTAGGCTATAATAGCTTTCTTCTTCCCGAGCAAAGATGGCAATGCAGGGCAGCTCCTTTATTTAACATATCTAATTCAATGGAAGCACGTGTCCTTTAGTGGGTGATTATCCACCTGCAGGTGGCTGTTCACCTCTGCTTTCTCTGTGTCTTCCTCATTGCTAAAGCACCCCTCCCTGCCATGCTCACCTCAGGAGAGCAGAAACTGTGCTCCTTTTACCAATTCACTTTAAGCGGGAACTGAACTGTCATACAAACCCAGATGCATGATTGCTTCCTGGGCCAGCTTCCTGCCTAATCGCAGTGGCCAGAGTCAATTCAGCTTGATCCAGACATGCCTGAGTGTCTAGCCAATGTCTCCCAGCCCCTAAAAGTTCCTTTCCCACTCTGGTGTGCTTCCTCTTCCCCTAGAAGTTACCTACCGCCTGATGAATGACACTAGGAGCATATATTCCCTTCGAAGTGGCCTGCCTCTTCTACAACAGGAGTGTGTTATCTCCTTGACCTTAACAAAAAACCTTTTTTACATTTTAACTCGTCTTCATTATTTATTCTTATCCAGTGTCACCTGTCTATGCTTCAATGCAGTGTGACACATGTCAGCAGAAATACCGTACATCCTTCACAGAGGAGATACTATTTAAGCTGACTCTTTAAGGACGAGTGGGTCTTTCCTCCGGCATACAAGGCAGAAAATGTCACTCTAGGCAGAAGAATGAGCACATTCCAGGAAGGGAGGAATAACACGGTCGGGGAAGATGTATAATTCACTGTGACGGGAGCCTCAGGTGTTCTTGGGAAGAGCAGGCAAGGAAAGCGGGGAGGCAAACAAGAGCTGTGCATGGCAAGGAGGGACCTGTAGCCTGTCAGGTATAGATATGATGTCTCTCTGTTGTCTCTCTACATCCTAACAGTGGCAACTGGGCCCTTCTAAAAAGAGGAGACAGAGAAAAGGCTATTGGATCACAGAATGCTCCTGGTCTTGCAGTCATACCTGAGCTTTGATCATTGGAATTGCTGTGGTCATTATGACTTGTCGTACTCTGCTCTGGCTGTCTATTCTCCAGTTTGAGCTTTGGCTCTCAGTCTTATTCTGTGGGTAGGGCCACTGACAGTCACAAAGTTTTGCAATAGAGATGATATCTCGGCCATGCTCAAATGGCTTCCCATCCTCCTAGAATAAAATGCAAAGTCCATACCAGAGTCCCACATGATCAGGCACTTGCCTGCTTCTCTGATATCATCTTTTATTATTTTCCCCATGGCTTCTCATGAGGACTGGTCTTGCTGTTCCTCCTGAATGCCAAGCATGTTCCCACCTGTTAGCCTTTGCATGTGCTATTTCCATTACCTGAGACATTCTTCTCCCAGGTGTCTACATGGCTTGCTCACATCATTAGGTCTGGGTTCTAATGTCATCTCCTTAGAGGGATTATCTCAGACCACCTTATCTAACAATAACTCTCTGTCCCTTTAGCTTACTTTATTTTTCTGCATGCCACTCATCACTGCCCAATATTAAACTATGCATTTCCTTATTTGTCTTTGTCCTTCTCTCTTGTTAGAATGTAAGCTTCATGAAGGGAGCAATTTTGTCTGTCCTGTGCATTGCACATAAATCAGTGCCTGACACATAGCAAATAATAAATATTTGCTGAGTGAATGAGTGAATGAATGGTCTAGCCCCTAATCCCTTGAAGAAAAGAGGAGGGTGCAGGGCAGAGTGATCTTGGCAGGAGGAAGTGAAACCCAAGAGAACACACATTTGCAGCACCATCCCTCAGCCACAGAGTCAGAAACGATCATTTTGCTGGCTCTGAGACCTTCCCAACAACTATTACAAGGGCTCCAGGGAGCAGGTCATTGCACAGACCTTCGCTTTCTACAAAGTAGCCTTGGGCGTGCTCCACATAGTTTAAAGCCTAAGCATCAGTTTTTGCACTGTGTTTGTCAAGGAACAAGACCTGAGTGGAAAGATTGCCAGCTCCCACTGAATGCAAGCTGAAATCATGGTGAGAAAAAAAAATGAGAGGAAAGGATTTAGATGTCTAGACCTTTTCCATTTGGAAATGGGGCTTTTCTCTTGCTCAGTCTTTTCATCATAGAGTCAGAACTTCCTGAGCTTTGCAGATTCCCCGCTCAGGCCTCGCTGCTCCTCATTGGTGCTGCAAAGCTCCTAGGAGTCTGCCTGTCGCTCATTTATAGGAAAAGACCTGAGGCCACCCTTGCAGTTCATTACACACTAGCTGTGCTCTCTGGACTTGGGTTTCCCTGCAAGCCCTTTGCACAGCTCCACTCAGCTTTCCATGATTAGAAGTCCTGTTTGCTGCTTACACCCTTTCACTGTTTACAATAAATAGACTGAGGCACTTAAGGCTTCTCATGCTCCATTAGCTATGCGGATTTGACACAAGGATGGGTGAGACTGGTTGCATAGCATGGAGTTGGGTAATAGGAGAAAATGCACCCCTTCTCCTCCCCTGAGATGAAATTTCAGTTGTTCCCACAGTATGTTTTCATTGTACAGTAGATGCAAGAGCTCCAGCTAGTGTGAGAACCGAGCTCAGATAAGAGAAACACAGTGATGGCACGGTTCCTGCAGGGCTCCCATGCTATTTTCTCAGCATTACGGAAACCCAACAATGTCTAAACAGCTGACCTTGTGGTGTGTTGGTAGGTTTGCACAATTCCCAGGGGTCATATTAGCATATGCATTTCAAGGGAGAGATCAAGTCAACTTTGGAAAAAGCAAGACGTCGGTACATTTAAAACTCACCTTCCATCTACATTCTCCCTGAACCACAAGAGAGCAGTTACTAAAGTATCCCTGGGCATAAGGCACGACTGGGTCACAGTGATGCAAGTAGCTCAATTTGCAGTAGCCCATAGAAGCCTTTTTTTTTTTTTAACTGTCATTGGTCTATTTGCTTTTGTATCTCCCAGAATTTGTTTGGAAATAGCCCCTGGATGCTTCACTGTCTTGCATCAGCCTCTTTATTACTCTGGAAAATATTAGTTAGAGTGGCTCAGTTGCTTGTCAGCAGGGAGTAATCATTCCTCATTAGCTGGGGTGGAGTTCCCTGGTGGTCTTTTAAATTTTTTTCCTATTCATGCAATATCCCCACATCTCCCATCTCATGTTGTAATCTCTCTGGTTACATTAAGCTTGTAGACTTTTCCTAAGTTATTGCTTATAAAGAGAGTATTCAGAAATTGTTTATAAAATAGTTTTTAGTGGAATGTCATGCAATTAGCTCTAATTGTCACCTTTCCAAAATTCCAGGAGACTCAAAGGACATTCTGCTAAAATTCTAGAGACCAGAGCCAGGGCAACTCTTCTCTGGAGTGCCAGCACTATTGTCGGCCCCATCACTAAGGCTATTGACCACCACTATTGTGGCTGTCAGCCACCACCAAGATCACTGAGTAGTCTTCTTCTACTCTCTAAGCCACCTATTAGTTGATAAAGTGGACCAAGTCTTAAAACCTTTATAGAGGAGGAGCTCTGTCTGTTTCAATCAATGTTGAATACCTAGTGCTTAGTACAATGCTTGTTACATAGTAGATGCTCAATGAATATGTATCAAATCAATGAGTAGTTCTCTAGTCTGCGGATTGCCTGTTTTTACTACCGATTAATTTGAAACCACCAAACATGTTTGTTTCTTCTCTTGATTATAAGAATGTGATCTTCTAATACTGTCTTCAGGGATCTACAACATAGTGGTTAAAGTATAAGTTCTTCTAACCTATGGTGTTAGCAATCAGCGTAGTGGTTATCCTTAGTTGGGATGGGGTGAGCGGTAACTGAATAGGGTCCTAATGAGGGCTTCTGGGATGCTGGTAATATTCTGGAAATGGTATGGGCAAGTTTACTTTATGAAAAGTAATTAATCTGCACATTTTTGACTTGAACACTGCTGTATATGTGTGCTATTATTCATTAAGATTTTTACAAAATAAGATCTGGAGCTCATTGTCTAGTTTCATATCCTGGCTATCCACTTTCTAGCTGGATGGCCTGAGACAAGTTATTTAACATTTCCTTTCCTCACTTTCTTCATCCGTAAATCAAGAATAATAATATGCCTATGTTATTTGTTTTTTGTGAAAGAAGTATGTTAATCTAGAGTAAGTACTCAAAAAATGTCAGTTTTTATTAGCTATTATTTTTCAGAAGTTGAGATAGTTCAAACCTGATTCATGTAAAGACTTAGAAAATACCATTGACGGTCATTAGAGTACTCATCAGCCTCCAGGAAACACACTCCTAGTTTCTCAAGATCCATGTTCTTCTTAAGGGTCTCTACAAATTTGCTTTTAGTTCTCTTCCAAAGTACACAGACCATAAAGATCAGACAAGGTCTTAAGATCCATTGTAACAATACTGGTTTTCCTAGAGAGGTTCTGTCAAGCACAGAATGCTAGAATCAGAAAAGATCTTAGAAAATACTGTCTGTGCTGTCCCAATATAGTAGCCACTTGTTATATGTGCCTATGTAATCTTACTCTAAATTAGTTAAAAATAAAAATAAAATTAAAAATGCAGTTCCTCAGTTGTATTCATCACACTTTAAGTGCTCAATATATCCCCATGTGGCTAGTGGCTGCCACACCCAACAGTACAGAGACAGAACATTTTCATCACAACAGAAAATCCTATTGGATAGCACTGCTAGATCAACCTGCTCACTCTGTGTATGAAAACATTGAGGTCCAGAAGTCCAGAGAGGTGAAACGATTATACCAAAATCACATAGCTAGTTAAGGAAAGAACTAGACTACAGTTTAGGTGTTTTGATTTCTACTTCAAGATATTTTCCACTTGGTGACAAAGACACCTATGGATCCACAGGCTCTCTCCTGTCGTCATTAGTATGCCACATCTACATTATATATTATCTTGGAGAAATAATTTTGATGGCTCCATATTATCTATACTCTAATACCATTTTACTAACTGGAAACTTCATTTCCATTTCCATTCTAGGGTCCTTTTTTCTCAAAATCAGCAGGCCATTTTGTCACTCACACACATAGGGTAGCCAAGTTAGCCAAGTTGCAGTTAGTTAACAGTAATTGCTAATGTTTATTAAGCATTTACTATGCACCAGTCATCTCCTCTAAGTGATTTATTAGGTTGGTGCCAAAGTGATTGCCACTTTCAGTGGTAAAAACTGCAATCACTTTGGCACCAACCTAATACATTCAACTGATGAATGTGAGGCACAGAAATGTTATGGGGTGTGCTCAAGGAGATGGGGGGTTGGGATTTGAACTCAGTCAGTCTTCTCCAGGGCCCTTGCTCTTATTCACTATGCTATAGTGTGTAGGGCATTACACAAAGTTTGATGAAAGCTAAAGCATGTGAGCAACGAATGGGAATGCAATGTCCTTACTCGAGAAATAAATAATCCAGTTATGGGCCAAGAAGAAAGTAGCAGATCCATGTGGACAATTTATGTGTACATTTTAGTATTTATAATCATACAAATACTTATGAATTTGGCAGTCTGCATCTCTAAACCTACTCTCTTTCTTCTCTTTCTTTCTTTTTGCTAAAAAACAAAACCCAAAAAGCAAAATCCTTTAATAACAAATGCCCTTCAAACGGTTGGTGATTATCCCTAAGTGGTCTACCTTTACATAGGTCTCCTGTCAGGGCCCTGGATTCATCTGGGTATGCTCCTGAGAATCCATTTGTTGACTGGCTAGGGCTGTCGATGAATGGAGGAAGGGGAGTGGAGAGATCACTTAATGCTTTGATTATAGGTCGGAGCCCCGCCAGCAGAGGTTTCTCACTAAGGCCATGGAGTTAAGTGTGTTTGTGACAAGATTTTTGCACAGATTCACTAAGTATAAATAGAGGATGTTTTTAAAAAGTAGATAGATTTAACAGTTGATTTCATGCTTTGGAAGCAATCCTTTTCAGTTTAAAAAAAAAAAATCCTTGCCCACACTTGCTGGTGAAACCACATTGGCACCCAGCTAGCAGCAGTGGTGTTTAAACATGCTGTGGCTGGCACCATTCAAACAACAACAGAAACGGCTTTAGGCTCTCAAAGCCTCCTTACTGTGCTGTGTAGAGTCCCTTCCAAGATTTCAAATAGATGAACGAATAATGTACCAAGTTGCAATTATCACTCTGAATTGGTCCAATCATAAGATGCTATTCTTGAATTATTAGTAGACTATGATTTCTATTATTCATGTTCCATCTGCTTTGGGATTTGAATTTGAGTTTTTGTGCTTAACATCTTCTGCATTTCACAAAAAGCCTCAGCCAAGGGCACTGATAATTTTTATAAGGTGTTCTGGGTCACGAACGAGTGGAATATAGCTTCTGAAGAGGCCACTTCCCTGAACTAGGGAATGTCACAAGGTTAAGTTTACTGCTTAACATAAATCTTACTTTTTTTCTTTTCTGTTTTAGGCTAGACGGTAAATTTTGCTAAGTGTTATAAAAAAAACTGAGGATTAGAATAGACGCTTTATTAACTGATTTCCACTTTACCAACTCACCAGCTTAACTGGTAGTACCCCATGCACAGGGTACTATCTCTCACCTTCCATCTCTCACCTTCTTGCTTGTGGCAAGAAGACTGCTCTCTGGTGGGTTCAGTACTTCAGCTCCCACTGAGTTTTAATTAACGGACCAATTACCCGATCCTGATTGCACTAAAGAAGAGAGCCCCAGCTGTTCTTTTATAAGTTCATAATCTTTTACTCTGAGTTTCATTTACTTGGTCAGGAAGAAATCTGTTGGGTGCAGAAGATGGCACTGACCTAATAAGATCTTAAGCTACCAGGAGATGCAAGACAGGCATTACTTAAGCAGCATGGCTATGGAAGAACCAGCCTAATTGACAGGCTGAACCAATGTGGCACCCAGGAAGATGGTGCTGTGCATCAATTCTAGACAGTAGACAGAGGATGGGAACACAGCATAGGTAGAAAAGATGAGCGTTGCAAGAATCAAGAGATGATGAAATTGAGTATTAAAAGGTAGTCAAGGCAAGTGATTTGGAGCTGGAATATCTGAGTTGGAATGCCATTTGGAAGCAATGTTCCACATAGGAAAGACTAAACAGAGTGAACTAGCACATTGGCAAAAAGGCCCCAGTCAGGCTGCCATTCAGGGCGTGCTGGTCAAGATGCCTCCATTATATGAATAAGTTAGGCCTGAAGTAGCAGGCTGATGGTTTGGGGTTGTTCACTGTTTTTGGATTTAGGCTACGGAAAGTACCATGGTGGGGGTACAGTGTTATAGTCCCACAGATGTTCAGGGGAGAGAGAATCTTGAAGAACATGGAGAACAGGAGTCATTGTTTCCAGAGAAGGAAATAGAGGGCAAGGAAAATGATGATGCAGAGATAAAGGGAATCAAAGTTGGGTCCTTCATCTTTGCTAAGGTTTTAGATTTCATAATAAACCAGGAAGCCCAACACATAACTAATAAATTGCCTCAGGAAGAAAATCTGCATGAGGGTCTTGAAAAGACATAAGTTGAAATTCCATAGATAAGTCCCCAGGAGATAACAGAGCCAGAGGTACCTCTGGAAAGAGCATAAAGGAGACATCAGAAGGAATCTGAACCAGGAGTATTTGCTACCTCTTTAGCTTCTCCAGACGAGATAGGGAGAATTAAAAGATTGGTACTGCATGGTGATTGCAGCTTCCTTATAATCAGTTCCTCATGGTAGAATTACTAACTAGACATAGGGAGGACCATATTAGTTGTATAATTTTGTGATTCCTCATAATTTTGGAAATAGATGACTATGCTAGAAAAATCACTATTGTTTAGAACTAAATATCAAGGGAATGTACAGAAGAAAGGAGTGACACCCATATAAATCCATATTCCCTTCTGATCAAATTCTGCACTAGCCACTACCAAACTGTCAAACCAGTCTCATTTGTATTTCTTTTGCTAAAGTTAAGCATTTGATAATCAAGCTTTATTACAATCACTAGTTTCTCAAGTAAATATTAGGGTATGAATTTCTACCTATATCTGAATTCATTTCTACTTCTAACACAATTCCCTGAATATGAGAAGAGCTGGGTATAATTTTATTGATGATAATTTCACACTAGGGACTCAGGTTCAAACAATGCTTTTTCCCTACTGATATCGGTAATAAAGTGTAATTTAAGTCAGTGACTAGTTTTTTTCTATAGAAATTGGAATAGAATTATTCTTATTTTATTAACTGTTTTTCTTTGAGATATTAATTGGGTTTAAATGGTTTTACTGGAAGTCTAGAAAATATTAAAAGCTCACTTTAGACTTAACCATTAAAAATGTAATTTTAAAATGTTGAAAACCTATGTCTATAAGTGATTCCTGTTCTTTGATAGTTTCTTCTGATAGCACCCAAAACGTTTCTGCAAACTGTGTGCTTCTATGTGCTTATCACCTTATCCCATATCTTATGAAAGGAAAGGGCAACTTATAGAGACTATTAGGGACTCACGTTTTGCCTTCCAGTCCTCATTGAGATAATGGAATTTTTCTGGGGAAGAGAGCCCCATAGGACATCAAGCACTTATCTTTCTCAAGAGAATAGAAAGCAGGACTTCGGGCTTGCAAGGGTAACTCATCATAGAAAAGAGCAGTCTTAACTGCAGTGAGAATGGAAGAAACTGGAGAGAAAGATCAAATAGCCATGGAGGAGAATGGACATGCTTTCCTTGCCCAGATGGAAAGTGTGATAAGGAAAAGCCACAGGTGAAGGAATAAGGCATGGGAGGGGGATCCTGGGCCAGAAGTAAAGCTCATATGAAGCTGTTACAGAGGGTGACACCCATGCTGGTTCCCTGGTGGGATGGGAAGATCTCTGGCCCTCTCTCGTTTAGAGTGATGCTCAAGTATGATTGCTTCTATATGCACAATGCAGGCTCATGCTTGGCTCAGTGGGGCTTTCTGTTCATTAAACCTGCTTCCACAATGCTATTAGCTCCTGGGCTGACTCCAGGAGCGGTGCTTTGGCAAATGAAGCCCCACCTAAAGATAAGGTCTGGAGGAAGGAGAGAGTAGCTTCAGCTTCTATGGCTTGATGGCTTTCTGAGAACTGTGGCCTCATCAAATACTCTACTAAGTTCTTTGGAGTCTTTCACATGACCTTTCTAAGGGCATGATTTTAACTAGACATGAGACTAAAACTAATTGAACTGTTCTAAAGTAATTACTCTGCAGTATCACTAAGGTTTATCTGGCAATTATGTCATTCAGACAACATGGCTGGTGAGCAACTGCTCAGAGTCCTGAGAAACGGAAGAGAGACTGTGCCTTCACAGAGGCTGTTTTATGAGCTCAGACCACCCAGATTCTCAAACGCTCAGAGATTTAAAATATTTAGGGCAGATTTTGACTTAGTGAACCATGTTCAAGCATCACAATCTTACTTGTGTTTATACTGACCAAAGACCTCATTTTACTCCATTTTCCCCCTATTTCCTAAAACGCATCATTAAAATAACAAAATTTGGCTTAGCTTGAAACCAAGGCTAGACCATTAGAATCTGATTTTGAATCAAACTTGAATAAAGCATTTTTAACTTCCACTTAATATAAACATGATGTTTTGCCTCTGCTCAAACTCAGATCTTTCCTTTCTTTCAAAAGTCTTCATGGATTAACTCTCAATAGCCCTATTCACAAATATTCAACACTTGAGCATCTGAGAACACCATGTCCTATGATGCGTATGGATACAAGTTTACTATAAGGCTTCATTACACAAATTTAGATTTGTCTTATTACAATGCAAATTCTTTAAGAGACTGGAGTCTTTCCTTTCCTTTGTGCCTACCCTAAAAATTACTTAATGGGGAAGGAGGGAGCAAGTGAGAAAAGAAGGCAAGTCAGTGTGATACTCTGGGTTTTTGACAGCTATCATCATTCTTCCCCTGCTCCCTAGAAAGATAAAAACCAGCACTCCTGAAACACCTTCATTATTCCCAAGGCTAAAGACTGTCCAGGAACAGAGTGTCAGGGTTTCAAGGTTGGGGGAGAATTGGTTGGAATAGCCTTCTGGTTCCTCCTCACAGAGCCAACCTGTAATTTTTTTAAAAAACTCAAGACTCCATAGTTCCTTTATATGTTTTATAGACTAACATCTTCAGTAGGAACTTTCTTGAACAAAAAGTGTCCAAACGAACCAGGGCTCCAGTCCTGGCTCAGAAACTATTGCCATCTCCACGTTCCAGATAGGAATACAGCAGCAAAAGAAAAAATGACTCAGCAGAACCCTTGTCTTAGTCTCCTTGTTCCTGAAGTGGTGAAACATTAAGTAATGATGATGAGATAGGTTCTCATTCTTATTAAATGAAATCTGAAGAGGATATATGTAAATATTTAGGTAAAGTACATTTTTTAGAACCTAGAAAGATGTCATAAAAATATCATAGAACACTGTAAAAGAAAAATAGTCTCATGAGTGCAGAATACTACAGTTTCCGTGGATTAGACAAAAACATTTCCCTGCATAAAATGATTTTTTTTTTTTTGGCAGAGTCTCGCTCTGTCATCCAGGCTGGAGTGCAGTGGCATGATCTCAGCTTACTGCAACCTCAGACACCCGAGTAGCTGGGATTATAGGCAAGCACCTCCACACCCAGCTAATTTTTGTATTTTTAGTAGACATGGGGTTTCTCCATGTTAGCCAGGCTGGTCTCAAACTCCTGACCTCAAGTGATCCACCTGTAGAGATGGGGTTTCTCCACGTTGGCCAGGCTGGTCTCAAACTCCTGACCTCAAGTGATCCACCTGTCTCGGCCTCCCAAAGTGCTGGGATTACAGGTGTGAGCCACCGCGCCCACAGTTGTTTTTGTCTACATATCTAGACACAAGCAAAAAACACCCCCTCTAAGGGTGTCTGATTTCATTGCTAACTTTTCTGCACTCCCACATCATTTTCCCAGTCCCTTCACCAGCATCCTTAGCACACCTATGTTGAATTACTGTTGCACATGTAGGTCTGTCTCAGCTACAAAATCAGTATTCCTTAAGGGCTAGCATCTCATCTGTGAAAAGTGAGTGTTTACTCACTTCTATAGTCTCAGTAGCAGCTAGTGCAGTCTAACGTATGCACAGTGGATAATGTCAAATTTTACTGAACTAAAGTAATAACTTTCTTGTTAATGCTGTGGCTTATTGGCTAAGGTGGACAGCATGGTCTCCTTCTGATGATGGACAATCAGATTGGCTATTCTAGGCATGTAGGTAGTTGCCATCACTGTATATGAAAAATACCCTATTTGTTGACAACTTCTATAATCCCCTGGGGACAGCTTCAAGTGAATTCTGAAAATTAAGCACACATATTCTTTCACTCATACATTTATTTATCCATTCCCTAAAATAAATGCAGAATCAAAAAGAAGTAATAGTTGTGACTTACCTTTGTGTATTTTTATCATTCAAGCTTACTATTTTCTTTGATCATTTAATCTAAAGTTATTTTTTTTCCATAGGAGTAGTATACTCTGATGAAGAGGATATTTTACAAGCATAGAAAAAGGTAAAAATAGATACTAAAGGAATGATACCGAAGATAAATATTGTTTACAGTGCATTATATTTATTTCCTTCGAGTATCTTTATGTGGACATGCAACGTTTGGATGTTATACATACACATAAACATACACACACAATTTTTACATCCTAATTTTTTTTTCTTTTTTTTTTTTGTGACGGAGTCTTACACTGTCGCACAGGCTGGAGTGCAATAGCGCGATCTTGGCTCACTGCAACCTCCGCCTCCTGGGTTCAAGCGATTCTCCTGCCTCAGCCTCCTGAGTACCTGGGATTACAGGTGTGTGCCACCACGTTCAGCTAATTTTTTGTATTTTTAGTAGAGACGGGGTTTCACTGTGTTGGCCAGGCTGGTCTTGAACTCCCGACCTCATGATCTGTCTGCCTCAGCCTCCCAAAGTGCTGGGATTACAGGCGTGAGCCACCACGCCCAGCCCCTAATCTTTTTACTTCATGTTTCATCAGAAATATTTTTACATGTCATTAAAAATCTTATAAACATCACATTTAGTGCTGACCACTGAAAGTCTGTACCATAATTTGTTAGCTTTCTTCTTTTAGTGGACATTGAGATTGTTTCTAACTTCTGCCTACTATTAATTATGCTGCCAAGAATATCTTTGGGCTTAAAACTTTGTTCAAGTTTTGCTTAATTTCCTAAGATAGGATTCTCAAAAAGTGAAATTGCTGAGTCAAGTTGCCTGAATTTTTTAGGGCTCTTGATATCTACTTCTAAATTGTTTTCCAAAACATATGTCAATTTATATTGTTGTTAAGCAGAATATATTCTAAAACTACCCTCATACTATCATACTTAGAAATTTTTTAAAAATTACACTTGACTCCCATTATGGAACTGTGAAGTTCAATTTCACATGTAGGAACTGTGTCCTGAATTCTTTCAATAAGAGTCAGTCCTGAAGCCCATTAGTTAGCTATTTAGTTAATCAATCTACTTGTTTTCATCCATTATATTGAATTGAAAAGGGAGGAATTTCCATGTTGGTTGACAGGTTCATCAAGTACCCAAGTTTACGAGAAAAGCAATTCTTAGTGAAGATGTGTTTGGCCCACTGTACAGAACTAGGCACATTGTAGGCATGTTTGTTTGTTCCCCTCCGATCATGGTAGAGATGCTGTTAACTCCCAGATTAAAAACACAGAAAAAAAAAATTCTGTTAATAACATCCCACTTTGAGATCCTTGGAAGAACAATCCATCCTTACAAGTAAAGAGTTTTATTTATTGTTGTTTTGATCCAATGAAGTCTTGAAACTATCCCTCCCTCAGGGCATGGAAAAAGGCCTAGAATTTTTTTCACTTACACATTTTTGCCAAAGTAGTAAGTTCATCAAAGGTGAATAACCATTTCCAAGCTCTCTCTGGAGCTTGGAATAACCAATAACTCTCTCTGGAACTCGAGACGTTATTCAAGTTCCTTTTAGAAAGACTTCAGTGTCTAAAAGATGAGGGTGACGGACCAGCTGAATATTTAGCTTCTTCCTAACTATAGTAATATTCTGGGTCTTTGAAATTTTTCTGCAAGAGGGAGTTTCTGGAGGTTTAAGATTTGAGATTTAGATATGTGATTTTTGAGAGAACAAAGCAACCCAATTCTGGAAGACTCTTTGTTTAACTGCATCTTGACCTTCAAGAAAAACCTGAGCTCTGAGCTGGGACCAAGTGTTAAAATAGGCAGAAGAACTAGACTATCTTCTCTGGAGTTAGAAAGGTGAATTCATCTCCTGAATCTAGTTGGAGATGGAGGATAGCCATGCCAAAACTAAATGACAAGACAAGACATCATGTGGTCAATGGCAGTTTGAATAGGACTGCAAAACCACCAACATTTATTTCTATGCAATGTAGAGGCAGCTAAGAATACTTTCAGGGTGCATAGAAGGGGCTCAGTGTCAATGGTTTCAACAGGGTCATTGAACAAAAATCAGCCTTTGATACTCAAAATGTCAGTTGGAGAAAAGAGCACACTCTGGGATACCTGGCGACAGAACCAAATCTGAAAATCTGATGGCTTCTGACAGTGTGTACACAGACAACTTCACCAAGGCACTCTTTTGAAACTTGAAAGAGAATGGACTTCTGGCAATTAAAGACAGTGCTGCTTTATCTATGAAACTCCCTATTTCTGAGATGCAACAGGGCAAAATTACTAGAATCAAAACAGGACAATAAAAGCATGGGCTATTCTAGGGAGGAATGAAGACATTGTGGTTTACAGCTTCTCCTTTGAGAATGATGTCTTTAGGGTCATCCTGCACTGCCTCCCTTTTCAAGCCCCACTCTTCCCCACCTGTGTTCTTTGTCCCTTTGAGGGACAAAGCATTAAAAACTGAGCACTAATAAAGATGAACAATGTGATCCAAAAGGATATACTCTTGTTTTCAAAACTCTAAGCAAAAGGCCTCACACATAGTAAGTGCCTAACATTGATGTAATCTGGGGAAGAAAAACACAAGGAAGGTCATCTATCATGGCTGAGATTCACCATACAACAAAAGTACTTATCAAAAATGAACATAGGTACAAGCTTCTGCAAGAACTTAAAGTCTACTATTTAAAGAGTTTAGTCTCAGATCCAAAATAATCAGACTTCTCTTGAAGTTATGAAAATTCCATTAGCTAAAAGAACCACCTCCTTCCATTCAAGATATAGCTCTTTCTTATCCACCAAAGGACACCACTGTGGAAGGAGAACATGATTTGCACAAACTGACTTTTCACTGCATGATTCTGAGTGGACCCCAGAAAGATTTGATGGGTGAGTATGCTGTAATTGGATATCAAGACATGAAGTTTACAAGTGAAGATTGATTCAAGGTCAATGCCAGCTTTACTGGGTGTGTTGTGGATCTTGCAACATGAATGGATTCATGCTGCAAAGTTTGACAGCTGTGGTGCCAGAAGACAAACAAAATTACAAGATCATTCATGAAAGCTGACCTTGCTGGAAAAACAGGAGAACATGTGGCTGGCCAAGATCTTTCAAGATCAGGCAGGTACTGACAATGGCTTCACCTTGGAGGTTCTAAGATCCCCATCCCAAGTCACAGCAGCCTGCCACAGTCACAGCAGCAGCTTGTGCCAGCCAACTCTGTGGCTGTAGGCTTGGCTTGCAGGTGCTCCAGGCCCAGTTCACCAGAAGGCTGATGGTTCAAGTCACCACACTCCTGAGAAAAAAACACCATTAAGGAGAGTGAGGACCTACTATTAGTCCAATTCTCAAGAGAGGGGAATGTTGGCCATGAACTAGCTTAAGAAATATGTTAGCTAATAGAAGGACATTTTTTAGAGTAAGACTCACAAAGGATTGGCACAGGTTACCAAGGAAGGCTATTCTGGGACAATCTGAAATAGATTTAAATTGGACAGAACTTCATAATGAAAAGATTCAAGTATTTGAAGCTTAAGGAAAGAAATCTTTCTTTTCTTCTGAATAATCTATACAGCTCTTGCTTTTTCAGGTCCATGAAGTTATTAATTTCAGATTTTCACATGAGTAACTCGTATGAAACTCATGGTCCTCTTTTTTTCTTTTCTTGCTATCAAGCTGTAAAGAAGACTAATTATATGTGTGTTGGCATCATAAATGTCTTTTTCTGATTAATATGAGAAGGCTGGAATTTGAAAACTATTAATTTCACTCTAGATTTGTTTATATGAAAATGGGAGGGCTCTAATTTATCAAAATTTGATTCTTAGGTTTTCTTGGTAGCTTACTGCATCCTTAGAGTTGCTAATAAAGCCAAGGTCATGTAATCACAGCCACCTGTTTGAAATTTCAGTGACCAGTTGAATGGCCTTTGACCTGACTTTCCATGTGCGGGGAAAATCATGGCCCTAAGAGAGTCAGACTGGACCAACTTGTGGAGCTTCCTTGACAAGCCTGCACTAGGCTTCCGGGTCTACACTGTGCTTACCACCCCGCCCTTGGTCAGCATCTTGACTCTTCCCAGCACTGCACATTAGTGTGTAGTCTCTTCCCTTACTCACTTCGTAAAGGGACAGCCTAGGTAAGTCAACAGAGCAGAGGACTGGGAGCCAGGAACCAGGGCTCAAGTTCTCGCCCTGGCACTAGTTGATCGTGTAACCATGAGCCAATCAATTCTTGACTTGCTCTCTTCGTTCACTTGCCTGTGAAATCAGGAGGCTTGACTGCATCATTTCCAAGGATTTTTCAAGTGTAAATTTTCTTCAACCCATGATTTCAAGTTTGTCTGTATTGGTGGATTGTAGCCTGCTTCCTCCCTCTTCCCAGCCCTTTCACTATTGTAGAACTGACTTAACCTCACAGAGGAATTGCAGGAGCAGCAATAAAGAAGGTGGAGGATCTGCTAGGGGTTTTTCTAGGTGTGCTAAAGTGACTGGACATTTAGATGTCGAATCAATACAAATATCTATCACCTAGCTCAGAGGCTGGGAGGGCTGCTCTACATTTTCATGGTCATGCCTCTTGCTGTCATTTTGTGACTTCTTTTCCTTTTCTTTTCTGCCCTGAATGATGAATCTAATGTGATTCCACATGGATAAAAAGTTGAGGGAAGGCCAAGTTCACAGCAGGATATTAACCAGGCCTCGAACCCTTCCCAGGGATGACACATATTTCTGCTGAGGCTTGTGGGACAGTGCAAGAAGTATTATGTATGACTCTATTCTCAGGGGCTTACAGTTGAGTTGGGGCGATAAGACAGGTGCACGTGTAAGTTTTACCTTCATGTTTTACATAAAATTGTAAATCATAATGTCTGGCTTTTTCAGGTTGATTTTGTTTTTAATGTATAGTAACCTTGGGGAGACCCTGCTGCTCCTCAATTAGATTTATTCCAGAGGTGGCTCAGAAGAAATCAGTAAGGACTAGTGTGGATTATAAGGGTAGTATAGATGCTGACTTTCAGTTCTTTAGCTTTTCTTCTGAAAAAAAAAAAAAAACCCAACTTCCTTCATTCATCAAATATTGGCGCATACTACACACCAGGTTTTTCTTTTTTCTTTTCTTTCTTTCTTTTTTTTTTTTACAATAAGGCATTGAATACGTCGGGTAATTTATTGAATACCATACTGAAAGTGAAAAACAGAATTGTTGTATGAGTACTCAAAGTAGTTTTTACTTAACGTGTATTGCTTTTGCGCCATTCTAATGTTAATTTTTCTTTTCTTTTTTTTTTAACTTTTTGGGCGATTTTTAAAATTTTTTTTATTTCCATGGGTTATTTGGAAACAGGTGGTGCCAGGTTTTTCTTTTTAAGGCCTGAGATATAAAATCTTTACAGCCAGACACAAACCTGGGTTCAAAACTGACCATTCTCATGGTCTATGTGGACTTGGGCAAGTTACTTATGTTCCTAAGCCTTAGGTGTCATCTCTTCACAGTGAGGGGAATAGCAGTGCCTTCCTTAAACGTCGTGAATATTAAATGAGATAAATACATATATGCTTGGTACTTGGAAAGCATTTACTAAAAGGGCTATTGTTAAGAAGTGTGTCCTTGCCTCCCAGGCAGCCTACAGTATACTGACGGAGGCAGACATACAAATTTATAATCTCATGGAAAGACTGACCTGTTGACAGGTAATGTCAGATGAACATTGGTCCTTGTTTTTCTGTATCTTTCATGTTAGGGATCAATACTATTGTTGTTTACTCCCTGTGGACATTTGCGACAGGTTGGCCAGTGTCCACAGCAGGGTGTGGTAGCCCTTTCATCATCTTCCTGTATGCCTGCCAACAGGGAGAAGAGATGGAGAAGTACTTTTTTTCCCCCCCTTAATGTGGAATCCACTCTAACAGACTCATTTTAAGTGGCTATTTCAGGACACTTGCTTTCTTCCAGGAATGTACAAGTTCAGTTGACAGGCAAGATAAGAGAAAGTGGCACCTTCTCTTTCTAATGAACTTCCCAGCCCTCCGCTACACCTGCCAGTTCTTTCTGTCACTGTAAACCTCACTGTGCAGGGGAATGGAGTGAACAGTCCCATGCAGAGGGTTTGGACTTGACATGAGCTAGTGAGTTCTAGGCTTGTTTCTTTATATGCA
This sequence comes from Homo sapiens, assembly GCF_000001405.40. Lineage (NCBI taxonomy): Eukaryota > Metazoa > Chordata > Mammalia > Primates > Hominidae > Homo > Homo sapiens. The sequence continues at coordinate 56,550,073 of NC_000005.10, read as the reverse complement.
TCATATCATTTAATCTGTCTTGCGATTGTAATACCCAGTCTGCAGACATGGAAACTGAGGCATAGAGAGAAAACATCGTGTCCATGGTTGTATAGCTTAGAAGCTGGGAAGCCACTAGTGAATATTAGACCTAATTCAGTAAGTTCTCACCCCTAGACTCAGCTGGAAAGCTTAGAAAACTCATATATACACAGACAAATATCTACCTATTTACATAATGCTTAGACCCAATCCCAGAGATTCTGATTTAATTGGTAGCCTAGGTAGCCTGGTGTCAGCATTTTACCTAAACTTCTTATATGATTGTAAAGTGTAGCTGGGGTGAGAACCTTTGGCTTCACTCCAAAGTCACACTGTACCACATTGCTACACAAATGGCTGATTTCGCTCCCATCCCATCCCTGTTAAAGTACCAGGAAGTGCTTCACAGACCACATGTTAGAAACAGGAAGTTTCTGGACAGGTTTGAACTCCTGGGAAATTTTTAATCATTTCCCTTACTCCTTTCAATGTACAAGTAATTCTATGCTTCTGTGGCCCAAAGAGCTCAGAGGGAATAGTTACTACAAATTCCAGGGGAAGAAAAACATCTGTAAAAATTTTCCTGAATCCTCACATTTTTGAATCTTGTTCATCAGTCAGAAACACTCTGTCCATAATTTCTGGAGGAAACTTTAGCTGACAATTGGCCTTTCTTTTCATCTCTGCTTGGTGATTTCCTCTTGGATCACCTGAACTTTGTTGAATTTCTGTGGTTCACTTGGTTACCACAGGGAATAGTGCACGGTCCTTAGAGACCGGAACTGCAAACTAAGTCCTAATGGTCATTTGACTTAGGGTTACATGCCCTTGGAAACAGATCAAGTGTTTGCCACTGTCCCATACAGTGAATGCCACTCTGCCTCTGCAGATACTGTAAAATTTAGTTCCAACAAAAATGCTGTATTGAGGTGGTCAGGCCCTGTCTCTCTTAGGAACTGGCCCTTAATGTGCTTTAGGGCAGTCTATGTTGGTTATGTCCTTTAACATTTCTTAGCACTTTTTTCTACATTTAAAAGAAGAATTTTGAAAATCCAAATGTTTTCAGTTGGAAGACAACATTTTCAAATCTTGGGAAGATTATTAAGTGATACACACTCTCGGGAATTAGAGGTAATTTCCAACTGGCTTGGCAAGTTACCATGGGCATCAACATTTCTATTAGGAAACATCTTGGAATTGAAAAACAATGTGTATAGTATTTTACTTCTATTTTAAAAAATTGACATAAGGCTATCAAGACATTGTTAAGAAGTTTTTGTCACTAAAGAATAGGATATGTGATTTTTTTGGCATATATTCTCCTATAATAATAACAACTGCAACACTATTGACAACTACTGTTTATTGAAGAGTTTCTTTATGCTTGATTGTGTACTATTTCTCTTACTGCATTTATCATTTACTATTCACAATAACCTTACATAGTAAGTACTACTGTACCACTTTGGATGCATTCAGCTATAAGTAGCTTAAGATTGGCTTACATAGCAAATAAGTTTATTGCCTTACATTATGAGACATTCCATAGTAAAGTGGCTACAGGGGTGCCCAATTCAGTGGCATCAGGATCTGATATTTCTATATTTTTGCTCTGCCATCATCAAAATGGTAGGTGGTTCTTAACCAAGCTCCCATCATGACCTCAAGCTGGCTGCTAAATCACATCCACAAGGGGCAACATCCAGTCTCTTCCCTGATATGCCTCTTGTTATAAATCTTTCCTAGAAGTCCCTTACTCCCCTAAAACAGTACACACAATTGCCTCACATGCCCATGCCCAAAGCAGCCACCACAAGAAGAAAGGAACCAACATGGTTGACTTCCAGACCAATCAAGGTTCATGGCCAACCTGAGGCATACAGAGGAATAAGGTTTTGAAAAAAGTCAATTAGAGCCAGAGGGAAAACATTTTCAAGCCCCTATCTAGTCAGGGCTATCAATTAAAAGTATTTATAGGGAATGTGTACTAATATATGTCTAAATTTCCTTAGGCTGCCTTAAGGACCATAGGCCAGGTAATCTGTCCCCTCATCCTTGTCACTAGGATCAGAGTTCTGTTACAAATATGGAAGGAGAAGTTAGATCACTGTCTGCTCTATTATTATCATCCAAATGTCTACAGATGAGGAAACTGAGGGCCAGAGTGGTCTAAACCAAGGGCATATGGTTAATAGGAGGTAGAGCTGAGCCTTGAAGTCAGGTCTGCTTGTCCTAAAGCCTGTACTTTAGCCACTATATTATCCTATTGCATGCTCTATACCACCTTTCTCTGTCTCTGTCTCTGTATTTCTATCTGTCTCTCTCAAGAAGTATTTTTTTTGCTAATAATTAAATAATGTGGATTTTTTGTTGTTGTCATTCTTCTTAAAGAACTGTCTTGCTGGGTTCAGTTAGCTCTAACCGTGGCTTCTCTACTCCGAGAGCCTGGGGAAAACTTTCTGGACTTTGTTTTCCTTATCATTAAAATGCAAGGGCTCAATTAGATGAGAGCTGAGATCTTTTCCAACCCTAAAATTCCATTAGTGTGTGGTTTTCATGTGAATGATTATTCAAAGCAGATATTTTTAAAAAGCTTTAAGCATACAAATAATAACTTCCTCCACGAAAACAAATGTTACTCTTTCTATAAAATGCACCTGCTTACTTGCTTCTGGTGCAGATGGTGGTGTGCAAGCCTTCCCCATGGGGGCTTTGGTCCTAATATCCTCAGGTGGTGTGTCTTCTCTCTTCTCTCCATCGTGGTACTATCTGTCCCAAGGACTCAGCTCACCCAGGCGTGAATATGCCAAGAGGCCCATCTGCTAATGGCTGAGACCTAATAGCTGCTTCACAAGGCTCACCAGCACCTTGGTTTCCACAGTGTAAGGAAGGAAAACCCAGGTGAGCAGAGGAAGGAACTATTATCTAGGAATTTTGCCCTCTAGAACCAATGCAGACTGCTTGCCTTCCTGTGACCTCCCGCTGTGATCAACCTTCTCAAACGTAAGGGTTTGAAATCATATGAGAGTGAGGACAACTTGGCCACCAGCACTAATGGGTCTAGTGAAGGCCCAGGCAGTAGGAGAGGCAAAGGGAAGAGGGGTGAGATACGTGTATGTGGTGTTTTATTTTTTCTTGTTTCTAGAGAAATAAAAGAGGACTATTTAGAAAAAGGAGGGAAAGTTTTCACAGTTTTATTCAGACCAATATGAGAATGAGAAATGAAAATGGCAAGCATCAGCAAGGCGATATTACCATTCACTTTCTTGTTGAAGTGTCTGCAGACTTTGCCATTAGCCAAATATAATATTGTCCAACCTCTCTCCTCAAGTTCTAGGGAAGCTGAAACATGTTAATTGACAGCAAAGATGTCTTCAGAATCATCATTTATCCCCAAGGTAGATACACATTTCCTCTATGCTAAAAATAATTATAATATTAAATCGTTCATAGCAGAAAACAAGTAAGACTTGATGAAACTTTATTGAATTTATTTGCCCCCCTCATGTTAGGGCCTATAGGAGGCATGCACATGGCCCTGGAGTTAAACTAGAAAATTATCCATGCTTGTCCATTCTGCGAGGTATTATTGTGGCCTGAGAGGTGGAGACCTTATCCATGGAGAGAACATTTTTTAAGCCATATAAACATTAGCAGACCACAATAAAATCAATACTGAAAATGCAACTTAAGGACATGGCACTCTCTCTCTCTCTCTCTCTCTCTCTCACACACACACACACACACACACACACACACACACACACACACAAAGAAGGAACTGGGGGTCCTTTATTCTGGGTAACTGGGAAGGTTCTGGTCACTTTGGATAAGAGTTGCAATTAGGCTTCCAACCCGATACCCTTAGCCAAGCACAGCTCCCCATGAGATTTATGGGGCTAACAGATAAATAACACTTGCATCTGAACGCATTCATGAATAGTCATTCCAGGAAACTAAAGCAAATGTGTGTTTTTGGAGAAAATTATCCAGGTGATTGCTCTGATTTCCATTTTTCTTCCCAGCACAAATTAAAAACAAAATTTCTGAGGTCATGGAAGAAAGAAGATATGCACCACATTATCACCAGATCCTGTCTAAAAGTTGTCCCCATCCTGATGGATTGATCGAGACTTTGGATTCTGGCAGTCTTTGAAACTCACACTGCATGACATGTGCAAAGTCCTCCTTCAGTCGAAGGATGATTCTTCAAAGGGTGATCCCTCAAAGACACTAAGAAGGCAGCTGACCCCCAGAAGGCCCTTTTGGATTGCAGAATTCCAGGCGCTCGCACCTCTGAATACAGCACTGAAGACAGCTTGGCTGCCTCCCCGCCTCCTCTGTCCTGGTACAGCTGCAGAGGGGCTGACTTTGGCAGCCATAGATCACTGAGGCTTTGTCTCAGCTTCTCTCAGAACAGCTTTTCATCAGGAGATTCACAACATCTCTCAAAACACATGTAGGAAGAAGAAGTAAAGCAAACACCAATGGTTTCTTTCAAGAAAGAGACTACTTGGAATCTTTGGGTTTTGGTTTATGATTACAGTGTGTGGAACGGATCATTTCTGGTTTATGAGCAGCTTGATGTGCTAGAAAGAGCTGTGAATTTGGACTTGGAGCAATTAGGATTCTGGTTCCAGCTTTTTTCCAGCTACAGCTCGCGAGTAACTTAGTTTAGCTTCTTTGACCTTGGTTTCCTCATCTGTAAAATGAGAGGGTTTGCTCAGATGATCTTTGACCTAATGAGTCTACGAAAAGTGAATGTTGGAAGCACATGTTCACCTTCTCCAATTACCAGCTGTGATTATGTGACTGGACCAAATGGCACTAACTGTCGAAACCTTTTAGGCTGAAGGGGAAGCACTAACTGTTGAAACCTTTTAGGCTGAAGGGGAAGCATTCTGAAATAGGACAAGGGGCACCTCGTGTTGAAACCTGGAGCTGGTCAACCCTCTGAGGCCAATGCCGACCTTTGCATCTGCCTCCCACGCCCTGCTTGTTTTAGCTGGACCAGGAGAAACTAATGTCAAGACAAAAAAAAAAAAAACCTGAAATCCATAACATTTTGATAGGTAGCTTTATGAACAGTTACAAATCAGATGTTTGCCCCCCAAATTTTAACTTTATTCTCTGAAACAGATCTAAAATTCCTATCTACCTCACAGTTTCACAGATAACCCAGTCTCTTCCAGTTTATAACTGCCTCTTTGGGGTAAGTATTCAGTTAAGTATTTCAATATCAGGGCTATATCTGTGTTCTCAAAGAAAATCCTTTCTACCTTCTCCTCCCCGAAATGGCTTCTGGGAGGGGAAAGCTTACTCTTCTTGAACAAGGAAGCTGGGAGGGGGGTCTTTGGTGTGAGCTGTCCCGTGGATCTTCTGTGACCTCTTCCAGGATGTCCCTTGTCCTACCTTGTCACTGGATAACTTGCATCAGTTTCCACCAGATGTGGCTGATTCCACCTGGCCTTTGGGACCTCATGTTCGCATCTGACAGTTTCATTCTGCCCCTCAATTCTGGATTTGAGATTCTGGCACTTTGTGAGTTTATTTGTTTGGACTCCAGGCCTTGTTGGATCTACCAATCTTTCAGCCCATGTTCCCCAGCTTGGATAATAGGAAATTCTTAATCTCCTATGGGCCACCCAAGACCGTGGGGAATTAGTAACACTATCTATATCAGGCTCTCACTTTCTGCCAAATTCTCCACATTGCAATTTCTAAATCTACTTCAGCCTTTCCCCACCCAACTCCATGTTAGTGCAGGACACCTGGTGAGGTTTTCTCCTGCTAGATGGCCAAAGGCACTGCTACCCTGACTCATTATGAAAGATTGCAGTGATGGATTAGTGGTGACAGGCATGTATAGGGAAGATGGAAGTGGTTGCATTCCTGCCGTATATTTGCCATCATAACTTCTGCCCTTACAAGACAGTAGCTCTTGTCTTGGAATAAGCATCATTTCCCAAGTGAGGCTGGTGTGTGTGTGTGTGTGTGTGTGTGCACGCACATATCATGACCTACAGTAGTAGTTCTCAAATGTTAACATGCAAATAATTACCTGGAGGGCTTGTTAAAACAGACTTCTGGGCCCCACACCCAGTTTCTGATTCTGTAATCCTAGGGTGGAGCGTAAGAGTCTGTATTTCTACCAAGTCCTCAGATGATGCTGATGTTACTGGTCCTGGGATCACACTGACCCAGAATCTCCAGACTCTGGTGCTGTATGCAGATTGTGGTAAAAGCAATGCAATGTCTGAACACAATTTTGTGCTTGGAAACCTGAGGACGTATAGTTTTTCAATGTAAGAGATATTACTGGGGTCTGAGTAAAGAATAGGCATGTAAAAATTCATGCGTGAGTCACCTTTTCAGATGATTACACTATATATTTTCTGATGATTCATTCTTTTCCCCTCATGCCTTTCCAGGTTGCTAACCTGACCAGTCCTGCAGTGGAGGTAGTTATACCCAAGGTGTGATTTGGGATCACTAAAAGGAATTTCTCTAACTACTGAAGTGTCTAAAATACCTAGGTTAGCTCTGAGCTCAGATCCCAGTCCATCAGACTCGCTGTTTTCAAGAGGAGGAAGCAAGGGAGAACAAAAGCTAGCCTGTCCATGGAACAGGCTTAACAGATGAATTTCTTCTTGTATTGTTTCCTTTCTGTTATCTCCTATGTTTCAAACACAAACTTGTATTGAATCTTTTTTTTAAAATTAACAACTTTATTTACCATAAAATTAACTTACTGTAAGTATACAATTCAACTATTTTTTGTATGTTTATAAAATTGTATAACAATCCCCATAATCTAATTTCAGAACATTTTTCTCACCCCCTAAAAAGCCTCATGCCCACACACAATCACTTCTTTTTCCACTCTCTATCCTAAGCAACCACTCATCTGCTTACTGGCCCAATATTTTTGCTTTTTGCCTTTTCTGGACATTTCATATAAGCAGAACCTGGGAGGCCAAGGCGGGCGGATCACGAGGTCAGGAGATCGAGACCATCCCGGCTAAAACGGTGAAACCCCGTCTCTACTAAAAATACAAAAAATTAGCCGGGCGTAGTGGCGGGCGCCTGTAGTCCCAGCTACTTGGGAGGCTGAGGCAGGAGAATGGCGTGAACCCGGGAGGCGGAGCTTGCAGTGAGCCGAGATCCCGCCACTGCACTCCAGCCTGGGCGACAGAGCGAGACTCCGTCTCAAAAAAAAAAAAAAAAAAAAAAAGCAGAACCATACGCTATGTGTTCTTTTGTGCCTCGCTTCTTTCACTGAGCATATGTTTTGGAGGTTCACCTTCATCCACGTTGCAGGATGTCTCAGTACTTCATCAAAGGCTAGCTTCTACCAGGTCTTCCTTTGATGCATGCATCTCTGTCTCTCCATTTCTGCTGTAACTCTTAGTCTTGGTCCTTGTTACTCAAGTGTAGTCCCTGATCACTAGCATCAGCATCACCTGGGAGATAGTCCTGGCAGAGACTCAATCAGGATCTGCATTTGAGCAAGGTCTCAGGGGATTTTTGTGCACACTGCAGTTTAAGAAGCACTTCCCTAGAGAATCTCTTCACCTCTGTCAGAAGCATTGTAGAGCAGCCTCTGCACTGACCTCCCTGTCTCCTCCAGTCTCCCCACTGGGCCACCCAGCCTACACACCACTGCCCACGTGGATGAGGAAACTGAGACTCAAAAGAGGTGGGCAAATTACCCATGATTAGCCCTCAAGTGCCAATCTCCACATGCCCTCCATTTCTTAAACAATCTACATGACTTCTTATTAGCTGTTTGAGTGCCAAGTCTCCATCACTCAAGTGTGATGTTCAAAGCTTGCTAAAATAGCGTCTTCTTTACTGATAGAAGCTTCTCACCTGCAGTGTTCTAACACAAACTTTCAGTTCCTAACATGTCACACCTTTAAATCCTGACGACACTTTAGTCAGCCTCAACTTCAGGTATCCTGCTGAGCTGTCCTTCCATGCATCTAGTGAATTCCACCCACCCCCTCCATGGCTTCAGTCCCATTGCTGCCTGCCCACCCCACATAGGACCTTTCCCAACCTATAAGTTCACATTGAACTTTGCTTATTCTAAAGTCTAAAAATGCATTTTTTTTGAGATGGAGTCTCGCTCTTGTTGCCCAGGCTGGAGTGTATTGGTGTGATCTTGGCTCACTGCAACCTCAGCCTCCTGGGTTCAAGCAATTCTCCTGCCTCAGCCTCCTGAGTAGCTGGGATTACAGGTGCCCACCACCACACCGAGCTAATTTTTTTGTACTTTTAGTAGAGACGGGGTTTCACCATGTTGGCCAGGCTGGTTTTGAACTCCTGACCTCAGGTGATCCTCCCACCTCAGCCTCCCAAAGTTCTGGGATTACAGGTGTGAGCCACTGCACCTGGCCAAGAATGCATTTTTTTAAGAGACAGGGTCTCTCTCTGTCACCTAGGCTGGAGAACAGTGGCTTGATCACAGTTCACTGCAGCCTTGACCTCCCGGGCTCAGGCAATTCTCCCATCTCAGCCTCCCCAGAGGCAGGGACTACAAGCACATGCCACCACACCTGGCTAATATTTTGTAGAGATAGGGTCTCACTTTGTTGCCCAGGCTGATCTCAATCTCCGGGCTTCAAGTGATCCTCCGGCCTTGACCTTCCAAAGTGCTGGGATTGCAGGCGTGATTCACTGCACCTGGCCTAAGAATGCATATTAAACACTGAATCCTGTGGTTATTCTTCAGCTACTCATAGTAATAATAATAATTATGATGATGATAAATGATACCAAAGATTGTTGCAGCAATTTGTGGTTGATACTTTAACTTATTCCATTTTGCTTATATAATCTGCATATCTTTTTAATATAAAAATATGAGCTCCTAGAGAAAAAGGGTTATTTCTTATAGGTCATTTATAATATTTTGATTACCAGGAGAACCCTGGCTATCTCAGTAGGAACTCCATAAATTCTTCAGGAATGAAGACCAGGTCAGAGGCAGAATGATAAATTTCCCCTAGAATGGAAGAACTGTTTCCAATACGGAAACTGTTAAAGGACAAATATGATAAAAATATAACTTCTACTACTATGATTGACATTTATTGAATACTGTATGAGATCTTTTATGCATGTGATCTTAGGCAATTTTCACTAGATCTCTATGAAGTGAGCACTATTATTCCTATTTAGGAAGGCATTCTTAGTCATCCCTGTGGATGAGGAAACTGAGGCTCAAAGAATTTGTGCAACTTACCTAAGGCATACAGCTAGTGAGTGGCAGGGATAAGAATCAGATCCAAGTTTCTGACTATTATGCTCTCTTTCCCTACTGTGAAGTAGTTCCACCAAGGGAGTGTTGGGACCCGCCTGGGATAATTAGGGTCTTGGAGGTCGTAACGATTTTTCTGAGTCAGGAAGTGTTTCCATAGGCAATATTCCTGTTTTCATTGAAACACTGGTGACATTTAAAGTCACCATGAATTTCCTCCTTTGCATCAGAGGACACTCAAAGAGAACAACACAATGGATAAAGATGGACTCCACCAGCTTCCTTGGCCAAATTCTTCTCATTCTTGGCTTGGTGTAAGTGGCCTAGGTGGGCTGACTATTCTCTGAACATAATGCTTGGCTGTAATTTCATCTTGGGGTGGCCAGAACAAAGGAGACTCTGACATTCTGAGATTAGAGCTTTAGTTAGGCGGTAAACTGCCTCATCCAGTCAGCTGCCTACCCAAGGGTGACATGTAACTTGGTTCTACTGACTACCAATACATTTTCCATATTCTCGGACCAACCAAACCCTGAAAAATGTTTATTACCCTGTTCCATGTTATACAATTATTACTTAGCAATTCACACTTCTTTCTGATGGCCCACAAGTCACTAGACAAAAAAAACAAACAAGAAGTGGAGACTTTCTACAGCTCACAGCTTCAAATATGGTTTCCATCAAGCTATTCTCAGAACGACATGAAATGTTGGGGGGAATGTAGAAACTTGCAGCCATGAAAGATGGCAGAGACAATCTAATTCAGGTGTCTTTATGGGGATCCTCAGAGGTTGGCATTTTGTGGAGGTCCTTGCCAGCCACCATGCGATGTGGGGAGTGTATTGATATTCTGTTGCTGTGAAACATATTATCATAAATTTAGCAGCTTAAAACTGCCTCCATTTAGTATCTCACAGTCCTGTAGGTCAGAAGTCTGGCACAGCGTGGCTGAATTCTCTGCTCAGGGTCTCACAAGGCTGAGTTCTTGCCTAGAGGCTCTGGGGAAAAGCTGACTTCTAAGTTTCTTCTTGTTACATCCATAGGACTGAAGTCCTTGTTCTGGCTGGCTGCCGTGGAGTGGAGGCTGCTCTCAGCTACTCGAAACTGCCACTTTCCTTGCCACTTGGGCCCCTAGATCTTCAAGCCATCAATGATGTGTCAAATCCTTCTTGTGCTTCCAATCTCTGGCTTTCTGTTTGGTCATCAGCCAGAGTAAACTCTCTACTGTAAAAGGATTCGTATAATCAGGTCAGACCCACCTGGAAAATATCCCCATCTTAAGCCCAATGGATTTGGACTTCTAAATACACCTCCAAAATTCCCCCATAGCAGTACTTAGATTAGTGTTTGAATAAATGAGAGGAAGGAGGTACACAGTGGGGCTGGGGTTCTTAGGGGCCACCTGAGGATTCTACCTGTCATGGGAGAAATCAAAGTGGGGCCCCAGACTTTGGGGCCCCATTTTGCCTCAGAGTTGCCTCATTTTGATGGGTTTTTGTATCTTCTGGTCAATTTTTCAATGAACAGTTATTTGGCTTAAATAATTATCTGGCCACACCCTCTTCCTTCTCCACCCCATGACCTATACTGACTCCTTCATTTCACAGATGAGGACACTGAAGCCTAGAGAGGCTATGGTGTGTCCAGGAGATCAGTTGGTTAGTGGTAGACTTGCTCCTGCACACCAGGCCTTCTGGCTCCCAGTCCATTGCTCTTTCCACATCGTCTCGCCAGGAAGGCTGCCTTCATCCTTTCTCATCATCAAATGGCTCTGAATTTCACATTAATTACTCCTTTTTTATGGTCCCTGAAAGATGAGCATTATTTATTATTCCTGTATTTTCTGTCTAATTCAAACCAGTATGAATACTTATCTCTGAGTGGAGGTGCTGTGAGGAATCACCACTGGCGTCATTGGGAGAGTCCATTGTTTTTCTGCCAGGAGGGGTAGTCACAGGATGCTGCATGCTCCTGTGCTCCTCCACAGGGTTCTTTTCCTACCCTGAAGACTTTCCTCCTATAGAGGAAGGGCTCAACACACAGCTCAGAAATGGCAGAGACCGAGCTGGAGATGTGGTTCGCAGGGCAAGGAATGTAAGCGGTCATTGTGTTCCGTGATATTTCCCTGAAGTCCAGCCTGCACCATACATATGGGCAGCGGAAGCACCCACAAGCAGTCACTGACATACCCCCACCAATGTAAACTCCCAAGTGTCACTCACTCAATGGCTCCATTGCTTAAAATGTACCATTAACTCTGCTCCCTGAAGAAACAGGGGATGACCTAGGCAGGCAGCTTGAGAACATGAGTCTTCCCCAAACCCTAGATTCTCATATTCACTCTTGGTGTTGCTCTGTTAAAACACACAGTCCAAAAATAGTCACGAGGTGGACAATCCACAGTAATTATTGTTCTATGAAAATTGGGCAAAGGCAATGTCTATACCAAGAACAGCATCTTTGAAAGTTTTTGGATTATAACCCAAAGTAAGAACTATATAGTACATTAAATTCAGTATGCTATACACATGTATACATATAAATACACAAACATAAATACAAATAAGTATAAATAAAATAATACATATAAGTATTTATGTTTGCATATTTATATGTATACATGAGTACAGCATACTGAATTTAATTTACTATAAATTTATAGTAAATTAAATTCTACTATATTTTAATTTCATATGAAAAAAACAAAAGCTAAAAAAATACCCTTACTATTGGTATTTTCTATTCCAGCCTATTTCTTTTAATGCTGTTTGAGACCTGTTAATGGTTGTAGCCTGGTCAGAAAAAGGACTCCTGGATCCTCCTGGAAGCTTCGTGATTTGTTACTGCTAATTCACGTTTACCCACAATGAGCATCCATACATGGGTTCTGAAGATTAAAGTCATCCTTGAGAAGGGAGAGTGGAATGCCAAAACTTTTCTTGGATTCCAGAGCTCTGGTTCATGTCTGCAACATGGATGCAATGATATAACCTTATTTTATGTATCATCCATTCACCTGTTGATCAAAGACTGTATTCAAGATGGCAGGCACGGTGAAGTCAATGATAACTCTAGTTTATTGAGAAACTACTCGGCATCATACATTATCTTAATTAATCCTCTTTACAATCCCAGAAAGGTGGGTATTCTTATTACTTCAGTTGTACAAATGAGACTATTAAGGCTCAAAAAGTTTGTGACCTGGCCAAGATAGTATGGGGGTTAGAGCCCATTGGTCAGAGAGCAGAGCCCATGTTCTCCTCTAAGATCTGGTCATTAGAAATAAGCAAACAAGCAATAAAACATGCATACATAACACTTTACTACTGGCCTGAGCCTAAAACTTTATATTCTGGTGCCCCTGCAAATGTTTTAGGAAGACCCGTCCATTGAAAACTCTGGAAGAAATGCCTCTTTTCCTGCCCTCCAACTTCTGGCATTCCAAGAATGACCTGGGCAAAGTTAATCAACTACATATAGAAGGGCCATGAGGGTGGGTGGGGCACAGAGAAGAGATGGTTTCTGGCCCCCTCCTCCCCTTCTCATCTCCCACTGGCCTCAGCTGCTGTCTCCTGACGTCTGAGTCAGAGTGGAGTTGGAGGGAGAAACAGAAAAATTGCAGGAAAAGGGATGAAGGGTGCAGGGCACATACGGGCTGAAAGCAGCCAAGTAGGCTAGGGTTCCCCAGAAGTAGCTCTCACCCTCTGGTCCCGCCAAGCTGAACTCTATAGTGGTATATCATATATCATATATCATATATCTATAGATTGTGTCCAGTTTTTTATCAGCATCCAATTTGTGTTGCTTATCATTTTGCAGACCTCGCTGTTGTTTTGTCTTTTCACAGTGTTCCTTATCCTTTATCTTCAAGTACCCTAAGGTGCAAAGCACAGAAGGAGGGGTGGTTTAGAAAGACTGGGCTCGGCCGGGCGCAGTGGCTCACGCCTGTAATCCCAGCACTTTGGGAGGCCGAGGTAGGCGAATCACCTGAGGACCGGAGTTCAAGACCAGCCTAACCAACATGGAGAAATCCCGTCTCTACTAAAAATACAAAATTAGCCGGGTGTGGTGGCGCATGCCTGTAATCCCATCTACTCTGGAGGCTGAGGCAGGAGAATGGCTTGAACCTGGGAGGCAGAGGTTGCTGTGAGCCGAGATCACGCCATCGCACTCCAGCCTAGGCAACAAGAGCGAAACTCCATCTCAAAAAAAAAAAAAAAGAAAAGAAAGAAAGACTGGGCTCTAGTCTTGGGACTATTATTTAAAAGTTGTTTGTCTTCCTTTTTCTGAGACTGTCTCGCCATCTCTAAAGTAAGGATAATATTAACCATCCTGCTTGCCACACAGGGAGTAATTTTGCAAAATATATTAGGCTTTGAAGGAAGAAGTCGTTCTAACAGTCCCTAGCTAGAACTTGAGTGACTTAAAGGTATTGGTTTAGTTACTTTAATGCTTTTTTGTTGTGGGCTTTTAAAAAAATCTATAAGGGGGTTAGGTTGCTTAGATAACATTTCTGTTTTCAAAGACAGTCTAAGCATTGTGGAAAGCAAGACTCTGACATATGTGGACACATTAAGCCACTGCACACGTGTCTTATCAGCAAGCAGTACCAGAAAAAAACAATGGCTGGTTCTGCTGAAATTGTGAGCATTCTCTTGTGTCAGCCATGCTTGTGTGGCTAGAACATAGGGAGGAAGAAGGCAATGGCATGGGTCGAGACGGGAAACGTGGCCAGGAGGCTCATCTTGCAGGGCCTTGTGAAGACCATGGGAGGAAACTGGACATATTTCAAATGCAATGGGACACAAAATACATACTTAAAGCAAATAGGTGCTCTTTTTTCTGGCCATCGTAGTGAAGCAGTTTAGAGGAAATGGGGGCTTCCTTCATATGAGAAAGGAGGTTGAGAAAGCTAATGTATCAGCCCCTAGGCCGCTGACCTCTCACTCTCCTGCCTCCACCCCCACAGAAAAGAGTGCACAGGAGCAAGGAGTGGCCTGGGTGCATGTGCCCAGCGCCTCTGTGTGGGGTCTTCTCCTTCTACCATCTCAGGACCCCTGGGTCTCTGCAGACCTGCTTTCCACCCAAGGGGAAGAGAAAAGGGCTGAGCAGAGGTGAAGGAGGTAACTGAAATGCATTTTCAACAACTATTTATGTTTCTCAAGGTGAATGAGAAATCCCCTGTGGGAGGCTGAAAAAATGCCTTCCAAAGGTATCCATTCTCTAATCCCCAGAACCTGTAACTATGTTACCTTATATGGCAAAAGGGCCTTTGGATACATGACTAAGGAATGCAGACAGCCTGTAGATAGAAAGGGAAGAAAATGGATTCTCCTCTAGAACCTCCAGAAGGAATGAGCCCTGCTGGCACCTTGACTTTAGCCCACTGAAATTTATTTCGAACTTCCAGCCTCCAAAATTCTAAAAGAATAAATCTGTGTTTTTTAAAGCCACTAAATTTGTGGCAATTTCTTACAGCAGCAATAGGAAAGAAATATATTTCCCTTCCTAGACTTTTCTTCAAACTTAATAGCTGAACCTTAAACTCATTTATTCTAGGAGGGCTCCAGTCTTCAAAGAACCAGAGCATGGGTACCAAAGCCTCCCAGAGCTAGTTCTGGTCCCAGCTCAGCCACTTGTCTGTTTGGGTGACTATAGGTAAGTCATGCTCCCCATTCTTCTCATCGGTAAAGTAGGAAAGATAATAATACCTACCTTGCAGGGTGACCATGAGGCTCAGAGACAATGCGGTGAGGCATGAAATGGCCCCTGACACATAACTAGCCCTCATGCATGGTATTGGAAAACTCCAGGTTCAGGCAGGCAGGGTGAACAGTTTCTATTGCCAGGGGCTGGGGCATCTCGGTCTTGACTTAAGAGAGGCCAGCATTCTCCAGAGATGGAGGGTGGGGGCGCAGGCAGAAGGTCCTGTGTTCAGTCTGTGAGCAGAGTGAGCTACCCTCACTGTACAGGGTCATGCTGACCCAAACTCCCCTCTGGGAATATGGCCATACCCTCATTGTCCTTGTCCAGCCAGCATGGACACACCAAGCCTTTCTGCACTGCAGCAGCCCATGTGCCATAAGAAGAGAGAGAAGGAAGGGAAGACCACGTGCAGGACTCTGCATCTCCACACCACCCTGGCAGAGACACTGGCTACAGCAGGGCTCCAGTTGTCTGGGCTTCTGCCTTCGTGGTGCCCTCTTTTCAGAGAACATGGGATTATTTGTGGGAGAGAGTAGGGCACACTATGCCCCTTGCTTTTGGCCCTGAATCTGAACTATTTCTGTGGCAGCTGAACATGTCCAGGAGGAAACTTCCTGGTGAAAGGACTGTTAGCCTTGAGACCACATTTTGTGAAACAAAACAAAGCAAATGTTCTCTGAATGTCACCTGAAGACCTGACTTAAGCTTCATTTCCAAGAACATATTGCCTGTCAGAAAAACAAGTGCCATATAAGGAATTCCATTAATGAGCCGAGGCAGGCAGGCGCCTGGACACACCTTTTCTGCTGAGTGACTCATCTGCAGGAGGGAGCTCGATTAGAAACAAGGGCAGCTTGCACTGTACTACCTAGCCTAGGGCTTTGGGAAGGGGAATACGCCTATTCTATGAGACCTTCCTCATCACTCTAGAGACAATCTTGCTAATCCCTTCATGGCCAGTGCAAACTGGCCAGTGCAATGGAAAACCCTAATGCTACAATCTAGAATCTTGGATTTGGGGATGACCTTGAAGTCCTTAGACTTATATATAATGTTACATATGAAGAAATTGTGCCCCAGCAGGTGACTTATCCAAAGTTACCAGCTGCATGGTGACAGGTCAAGGTCTAGCTCTGAGCTCTGCTAAATCCTGGCTTGTGCTCTTGCCCTGCAGCATGCTAAGCTATCATTTGAACCCTTTGGGCATCAACACTAAAATGTAGTGGTACTTAGTTGATCAGTTTAGCCAACTAGCAGAGAGTAGGCTCAAGGAGTTGAATATATTTTTTGAGGCTGGGGAAGGGCTTGGGAGCGGGGCTATAAGTGCAGGGGGTGAAAGACAAGGTGTGACTTTAGCATAGTGAGAGTCTGCAAAGTACCAGGTCAAAGCAAATTTCTCCCCTTTCTCCAACTGTTGCACCAAGCTTGTAGCTAAACTTCTGTTGTCATTATTCTCTGGCCATTTTATATTCTAATTATTCGTCAACCAGTCATATTCTAGCACTTCGAAGGGAATAGGTGTGGATTCCAGACTTTCCAAAATTTTCAGAAAAAAGAACCTTGGTTACCATCCAATCCAACTGACAAATGAGTAAACTGAGACTTCAAAGATGCTAAGTGATTTGTCTATGGCAGTGCTTACCCAGTAGAGCTTTCAGCAATGTTGGAAATGTTCTATGTCTGTGCTGTCCAGTGTGGAAGCCAGTAGCCTTATGTGGCCATTGAGCACTGAAAATGTGGCTAGTGCTACTAAGGAACTGGTTTCTAATTGTATCTAATTTTATTTGATTTCGATTTAAATAGCCACGTGTGGCTAGTGGCTACCATATTGGATGGCATAGGTCTAAGGTCACAGAACTGAGATGCAACACAAGGCCTTCTCTGATTTTAAAGCATTTTTTTCTTTCCCCCCCACCCCCCATGCAGAACTCCAGATCCAGGTGGGCTCTTTCCATGGAGCCTGAGACTTATGATGCCAGGTGCCTGGACAAAGCTTCCAGGTAAGCAATAGTGGTTGCCGGTGTTCTGTGAGCTGTCCCAGAAGGCCAGGTAAGAAGGCACTTCATCCTAATATTTGGAAGTATGAGCTTCCCCGTGGTGAGAGGGGAATAGAGAAGCCCATGCATTTATTCTTTCTTTAATGAAACATTGAGTGTCTACTATGGGTCGGGTGTGTTCTAGCCACTGGGCACTACAATGGTTACTTGACATGTTTACTGCTTTGGTTCCCTAAAGATGAATGGTAAAAAGTGCCACATGAGCTCAGAGATGAGAGAGCCATTTGTCACTGGTTAAGAAGTCCCCAACTTCCTTTGGCAAATACTCTATGTCGTGCCGCAGAAACAGATGCCTGTGACAAGCTCACTGGGATCAGTACTGACAGAGCCTGTGCTCACTCAGCCCCTGCATCCAGCCTTTCAGACAACAGCTTGATTTCCTCTAGGTCCAGACTGGTTTCCTTCCATGAGGGACTGCAGTTAAATCACGGCTGGGAGGATGATCACAAGGGTTGTTTCAGTTTAATTTAGAGGTCCAAGCTCCATAGAGAGTAAGCCACAACATTATTCTGACATCTGTGTAACATAAACTTGCTCCATCCTTTCATGGGTGTCAGTGAGTTCTCCGTAGAGTGCCTTGAGGACAATTATTTACAGCCCTTGTTAAAGACTTTTAACTACCTCTGTGTGTGTGCGTGTGTATGTGTCTGCACACACACACACACATGTGGGCATGGGGGTATTCATGCATTGAAGCAGTAACAATTGTTATGACATAGTTTTTTTTTAAAAATCCTCATAGAACTTGAATATGGTCTAAAAAAGACATAGGTATAGATATAACTGAAATTCAGAGAAAAGTGACATAAAAGATAGGCATGGCATTCAGTCATTCTTGTTGGACAGAATCAAAGGAAAATGTATAAAAAAGGGAGCCTTGGGAGTGGTTCTTGATATACTGTCAGACAAAGATGGAGGAGGGCATTGCAGATGAAGAAAATGGCAGAAGCAAAGAATCAGAGGTAGGAAGGCTCAGAGGGGAATGACAAATATTGGATTAGAACATGGAGACTACAGATGGGGCAATAATAGAAGGCCAACCAGAAAGGTAACTTGGGGCCTGATTATCAGGCTAAGGAATTTGGACTTTACTTTGTTGCCAGTAGGGAGCCACTAAAGGTGTTTGAGCACTGGAAGAATACAGTGTCAACTAATACAGTGACAGAAAGATGGAGCATGGTGGGGAGAAGCTGAGGTCAGGAAATCAGTTAAGCGGCTATTTGCATAATCCAGGAAAGAGGGGCTATGCTTCTGAAGAAGACCCATGGCAGAGGATAATGTGTAGCTACTATGTAGCTTTTTACCTGATTGAATAAAGGAAGAGGATTGGAGTAAAAAATGGTGCCGAGATGTCAAGCCTAAATGACTAAAGAAAGATACCATCAAGAGAAATACGGAAATCCGGAGGAAAAGCTGGCTTAGGGGAAAATGACCTTCCTGATGGAAATGTCTGGCAAGCACAATAAAATAGAAGATGGGCATTGAAGGCTGGATATTGGGCCCTAGGGTGTAGGTGGGTAGAGACGTAGCTCTCAGCCCTCAAGAGGAGGCTGCTGAGTTCACAGGAGTTCATGAACAAACCAAACAAGAAGAGGTGGGGTCAAGGTAAACCTTAAGAAATGGTGGAGGAGGCCAATGAAGGAAAGAAGAAGCGGGAGAAGAGCAGAAGAGCAAAACAGCGCAGAGCCAAGGGAGAACTTATACAGGGGGCCAGTCAATTCAGTCTATGTATTCAGCTCCTGTCGCTGGAGATTCATTGATGAACAAGACAAATCTGGTCCTTCTCTTTGAGAAGCTTGCTGTCCAGTGGAAAAAAACAGATGAGCCAAGTAAGAAACTAACAAATAATTACAAAAGACAATAATGGTTATGAAGGAAGTAAGCTGGCTGCTGTGATAGAGGGTATTAAGAATGGGTGACACATCCTTTTAGAGAGGCGGCCAGGGAAGACCTCTTTCAGCAGGTGCTATTCCAGCTCAGATGTGCAGGTGAAAAAGCACCTAGCCAAGGAAGAAGAGTGGATGGGCTTTCCAGCAGAGGGAAAAGCAGGGCAAAGCTGCTGAGACAGGAAAGAGCTTGGCACATTGGAGGGCAGCAGATGGCCAGGGTGACAGGTGCACAGAGACCAGAGAGGAAGGGGACATGTGATAGAACTGGAAGGGTAGGATGGGGCCAGATGACATAGCCCATAGTAATAAAATTTGGACTTTATACTAAGAGCGAATTTCAACAGCATGAAACTGAAAACAGAGATTAAGGAGAGTGAGGACTGGGAGAATGCCATTGGATTCAGCCTTGAGGTGATCTTCAAGATAGCACAGGAGAGAGATGGTGGCTGAAGTTAGTCTGCAGTGTTGAGAGACTTAAAGCATCTGTACAGCCCTTCCTGGAGAAGTTTGGCAGTCAGAGAGGGCAGGGAGATAGATATTCTTGGGGATCCCACCAAAAATCATACTCATCTGGGACACCTAGGTGGCCATGCCGATAGGCACATGCCAGGGCTTGTTTGTATTGCTGTAGCTGAAGTCGTAAAGGAAAATGGAACACCCAGCCCCTGCTCAAAGCCATGCCTTAAGTCCCCGGAAAGGCCTAGTAGAAAACCAGCATGCTGCATCATACAAAGATAAGGCCAGAAGCCACCAGTGCGGTTGGCCCCTGTCTGGCTGAGTGGCTGGCTTTCGCCCCTCAGAGCTGATGGCAAGGACCAGGCAATGGAGACGGATTAGGAAAGCCCCAGGCCTGGGCAGCCAGCGAGGGAAGAAACTATGCCATCCCGACTGTCACTTCACACAGTATGCTTGACTCATGGGTGTCGACAATTGCACTGTAATTGTAATTATACTAGGCAATGTTTCATAATACCTTCTGTCAACTGATATTTCGTAAAAGGCCATGAAGTTTTAATAGTTGGCTGCTTCAAGAGATCGCTTAGCTTTTAAACCCGAGCCGAAGGAGGCTGAGTGGGATCCGGGTTATAATTATAAGGGTTGAGAAGTGGCTGGGAATACTATAAATGCCAAATAAAAAGGAAACGCACTAATATCCAGGGCCTGCTTGTGGAGAAGGGCTGATTCAACCCTCTGCCTGCTGCCCTAGCTCTGTGAATGCCCAGGACAAAAAGCAGGAACCAGGTCCCTAATTGCAATGGCCTCCCAAGCAGGGGGAAAGACCAACATTTGCCTCCTTGACTCTCTTGTGAGGCCTCAGTTTGTGTGCTGGGGTTTTTGAGTGGAAGTCCAGGGTGGAATCAGTGGAAGGGGTGGAGGGAAGCCCTGCGCGAGTGTGCCCTGGCCTAGGGGGAGCGGCATTTCGCAAACCCCCTATGCATAGTGCTGTCCTCAGCCCAGAGCCTCTGACAATACCTGGGCCTGGCCTTGCCCTAGACCAAACACAACAGGGTCTTTACCAAGGGACCTCAGTTTCAGAATTAAAAAAAAAAAAAATCTCTGTGGTAGGCTGAAGAATGCATGCACCCCCAACAAAAATGTTCTAATTCCTGGAGCCTGTGATTTTGTTTTCTAATTTCCATAGGTTTGGGGGGAACAGGTGGTGTTTTGCTACATGAGTAAGTTCTTTAGTGGTGATTTGTGAGATTTTGGTGCACCCATCACTCAAGCAGTGTACACTGCACCCAATTTGTAGCCTTTTATCCCTCGCCCCCTTCCCAACCTTTCCTCCCGAGTCACTAAAGCCCATTGTGTCATTCTTATGCCTTTGCATCCTCATAGCTTAGCTCCCACTTATGAGTGAGAATATACAATGTTTGGTTTTCCATTCCTGAGTTACTTCACTTAGAATAATAGTCTCCAGTTCCATCCAGGTTGCTGCAAATGTCATTAATTCGTTTCTTTTTATGGCTGAGTAGTATTCCATCATATATATATGAATTATGATGTATTCCGTCATATATCTATATGAATATATGATGAAGAAATTGTGGTATATGTATATACACAATATATATACAAAAATACAAAAACATAATTATATATATGTATATGTGTGTGTATATATATATGTGTGTGTATATATATATATGTGTGTGTGTGTGTATATATATATATATATATATATATATATATATACACACACCACAATTTCTTCATCCACTCGTTGATTGATAGAGATTTGGGCTGGTTCCATATTTTCTCAATAGCGAATTGTACTGCTATAAACATGCTGTTATATGGTGAAAGGGACTTTGCAGGTGTGATTAAGTTAAGGGTGTTGAGATGAGGGGATCACCCTGGATTATCTAGGTGAGCCTGACGTAACCACAAGGTTCCTTATTGGGGAGGAGTCGGAGGCCAGGGGACAAGGGAAGCAGAGATAGGAGTGATGATGCCCTTTGCAAATGGAGGAAGGGTCCATGAGCAGCCAAGGACCGTAAGTGCCCTCCAGAAACTAGAAAGGTCAAGGAAATGGATTTCTCCTACAGCCTTTAGAAGGAAGGCAGCCTTGCTGACACCTTGACTTTGGCCCAGTGGAACTGGTTTTGGACTTCTGATTTCCAAAACTGTAAGAGAATAAATGTGTGCTATTTGAAGCCAGAAGTTTCTGGTATTCGTTTCAGCAGCCCTAAGAAACCAATGCAATCGGCACGGGTGATCCTAGTGATCAGCCAAGGTTAAGGATCTACCATGGAGAATCTTGCCACTCAAAGTAGTACCAGCAGCATCTGCTGCACCACAGATTATTAGAAATGCAGAGTCGCAGGACCTGCCCCAGACGTACGGGATCAATATCTGCATTTAACAAGATTCCCAGATGATTTGAATGCACGCTTGTTTGAGAAGCACTGAATTCTAGAAAAATGGTTTTCCACACTAGCTTTACTTTAGAATCTCCCTGGAATGGGTGGGACAGAGAACTTAAAAAGTACAGATTTCTGGGCCAGGACATGCTGCTTTTGGAAGTTTCTCAGGGACAGGGTGGGGGGCGGCATGGTGGCTCACTCCTGTAATCCTAGCACTTTGGGAGGCTGAGGCAGGCAGATTGCCTGAGCCCAGGAGTTCGAGACCAGCCAGGGCAACATGGCAAAACCCCACCTCTACAAAAAAATACAAAAATTAGCCAGGAGTGGTGGCGTGTGCCTGTAGTCTCAGCTACTTGAGAGGCTGATGTGGGAGGATTGTTGAGCCTGGGAAGTCGAGGCTGCAGTGAGCCAAGTTTGTGTCACTGCACGCCAGCCTGGGTGACAGAGTGAAACCCTGTCTCAAAAAAAAGAAGTTTCTCAGGTGGTTTTAATTTTTAATGTGAAATCAGGGGTAAGAACTAGTGATCTGGGACAAAAGGTTTTCAGATTGAATCACCAAGAGAGGCTGTTAAAAATTAAGGATTTCTGAGCTTTATCCCTGAGTTTCTTCTCATTCAGTAAGTCTGGGTTGGGGTCTGGGAGGACACATTTTTTAACAAATATCCAAGGGAACTCTAACATCAGAAATGACCTCTGGGATAGGTGCTGTGGCTCCCTGCCTGCCTGTAGCCCTGTTCTGCTCTGAGAGAGACTGCCTTCCTGCTCTGCAATCTGCCCCACCCCAGCTAATGGCTCATCTCTTAGGACGTCCCTTTACCTACCCTAAGCAGAAAAGTTCTATGACAGGCCCTCAGGAGGATGTAGTCCTGAGGAGGTGACTGGGGAGTGGCCAGGAAGTGCTTCTTGGGAAGGTGGCATCATTCTTGATTAGATTATTCATCCCAGGTCCTGAGAAATAGCTTTCGTGGTAGCAGAGGAAGTGAACCAGCCATGCAGCCAGGTGCCAAGGAGCAGCCAGAGGTGGGGAGTGTGAGCCGACCCTGCCTTGCCCAGCCCTGCCCAGCCCTGCCCTTACTGCGCTCCTGTGGTTCCAGGCCCTAAAACTGCAGCCTGGAATGCCACAGTGTCTGTCCCATAGCAAACTGCTCTCTCCTGGCCTCCCCACTCTTTTTCAATCAAATATTATTCTATTTTTAACATAGGTTCTGAAAACAATGCCCTCATCCAAAGGACCTGCAAATGTTAAGCACTGTGGAAAAAAAATCGTACAAATCACGTTGATCCCAAACCCAACCTATTCTTGTCTAACATTAAGGCCTCACATTCATTTGCTAATTACTTATTGTATTCATAATAATATTACTGTGTTGAATCCTGGCTGTGCCAGTAGTTGCATGGTTTTGGGCAACTCATCTAACCTCCCTGAGATTATTTCATCAACTGTCAGGGAGGGATAGTTGTACTTACTTCAAGGGCTGACGTGAAGACTGAGAGAGATAATGTACCTAAAACACATAATCTAGTACCTCAATCAATGACAGATGCTATTACTAACAATCATTTCATCTGGGAATGAGATCCAATCAGGTAAATTAGGAAGGTTCAGTTTCTAAAGTACCTTTAGAGCTAGTTGAAGTAAAGGGGGATCTTCTCCCATCTTGCAATAATTTTCTGGAGGCTGGGTGTGAAATCAGAAAATTTATCTGAAACTTGAAAATAAGCGAAAGAGGTTACCAGGGACTTAGTGCTAGGTTGACGTTCTATTGTTTGAGCTACCTTACAGCTCTAGAGATCCAGTTCTTAACAGGCAGATTTTATCTGCTGGAGGTGCAAATAATTTCTGTCCCTTAGAAAAGATAACCCAAAAGTTATCTTACAGTTTATGGCTCTGTTGGATATTGACCAGCTTTGTGCTTGACCTGGCAATCTTATCCTAACGTTGCCTCTAAATACGTAGCTTCTCAAATGCTCTTCGACCAGTGTTAATTGGATAAAGTATTTGACACACATTCGTTTTATATTTATATGAGAATCATGATTTCACCTTTTTGAAAGCATCTGCTTATATGCAGTTTGTCCAGAGCTTGACTTCTTGGAAATATCAGTTTTAAGGGAGGTCTGATCTGGGTTCCACGTTACAAGTGTTTTTCATGTTGGAACATGCACAGGATAAAAAAAGGGCAGAGGTAGGTAGAGATAGGAGTATTTGTACATTGATTGTAAGTTATAATTTTATCTCTCACTTCTTTCTTTGGTGCCAAAGGACTGCATTCATATTGTAATGATAGCAATTATCATGTACACCATAGTTAGATATTTATGTGTCTACCTCTTCATTAAATAGTGAGCTCTCCGAGGAAAGCAATTGTCTCATGCATCTTTGTATTCCCAGCACCTAGCACAGAAGTCAGCACTTGGAAGCAAATAAACACCTAATTGAAATGGACAAAGCTGTCTAGGTCCTTGCTACTCCAAATGCAATTGTGGACCATAAGCACCCACATCAGCTGGGAGCAGTCAGAAGGCAGAATCATAGGCCCACTCCCGGCTCACTGAGTCGGGATTATCATTTCAGCAAGATCCTCAGGTGATTCTGCACACTGTTCTAGCCGATTGTCAGTTTGGGGGCAGTGGCTCTGCTATTAGGGAGAAATGAGATTTGAGTAAAGAAAGTTGTAAAGTGATTGTCCCCAGTTTTACATCAATTCAGCTATGATTGCAAAATTGAGATCATTGCCTCAAGCATATTGTTGCTGAGATCAAAGTGGGATAGATTGTGCATCTCACAGTAGAATACCAGTTGGTTGATAAAAGCTGTGACTTTTGGAGGGCAGAGCCATTAAGTTTGGTTTGGCAGGAGGAGTGTTATGTTCTTTGAGTACAGCTCTACAACCAAAGGCCCCTCTGCCCTGCTCGATTCCAAGTTGAGCCCGCGAGCCTTTACTCACTAGGAGTGTCTGACTCAACTTCTGTTGGCTCCAAGCCCAAACCAAATGAAGGCTCAGGTTGTCCCTTTGTGGAATCATGATGGTTTAATCATAAATGTGAAATCTCTATTTGTCACATCAAGGTTTAAGTTGTCAGGGATATTTGCCCAATATCCCTAAGGAAAGCCAAAGACAAAGGAAGAAAAACCAGCAGAAACTTTTGGGAGTGTCTCAGATATAACATCTTGACAAGGAGAGGTGGTTATTAACTGGCTGAAATAAGTGATACCTTGCAGATAAGAATGTAGAGTTACAGAACAGGGATCTTCCAAAATATCTGCAAAGAAATTAAAAAATTGAAGAATAATAAGAAATTGACTTTTTTTTCTTTTTGTCTGAGCATGCTTCATTTCTTCCTAATAAATCCGCAAGCCTATCTGTAAAAGAGTGAGAGTTTTACTTACTCTCCCAACAAAGAGATTCGACAACTCAGCAACTCAGTAAGAATCAGGATAGCAGAGTCTGGAAGTTAGAGGAAGCCTAAATCATCTCATGCAGGGTCTGCAAGCCCAAATGCTTCCAGGCACCAAGAAGAGAAGCAAATGTGAGAAGCAGGCAGCTGGGTGATATTAGGGAACTAGGAAGTGAGTGCTTAGAAAAGTCATTCACATTCACATTTTTAAAACACCGCTAGGTGAATGAAACAATCTGTAAGCATAATTAGGTGCATTTATTTATATTTCAAAAACCCAAGACCCAGGGAAGGAAAATTTTCTGCCCACGTTCATACAATTCTAACTTACCCATAGTAATGAATATTCCAACTGTTTCAACTCCTGTTTACCCATTGAGGGGACATTTAGATTGTATTTATATACACAACTCTGTGTGTGTGTCTGTGTGTGATAAACCAAACAGGTTCGATTCTTATAACCGGTTGGAAATTATCCAGTTGCTAACAACAAAATGCAGTAACTCTAAACCACATAGTGGTGCAGTGAGAGAGTAAAAACAAATGAACAAAACCAGCCGTCTTTTCTATTCATCTGGCCCATATTTTTACAAGGCTATAAATAATTGCATTTAGGCTATAAATAATTGTCTTGGATGTTTTTGAAATTGTAATAAAAATCTGTATGTTTTAAGAGAAAGATTCCTGAGTTTAAAATTTTAATTGGTTGATTACTTAAAAAAGGGTGTGCGTTCCTCAGAGGAGGTGATAATTGGTGGCTCGACCATGATCTTGGCCAGTTGCTTTTCCCTAGTCCAAGCCAGGATGCACCACCAGACTTCCCTCAAACTTGAGTTTAGCAGAATGTGCAGGGATTGCTGTTTCTAGCTTCCTGCTCAGTTATATCTGGAGGCTGTTCCCTGTCAGCTTTTTTCAAGCCATGTCAGGCATTAGGAATTGCTTTCCTGTAAGAAGGCAGAGAAAGAGGCAAGCAAGCCAGCCACTTGAGAGGCCATTTGAGTCTGCCTCACACAGTAGCACCTGCATTCAGTGGACACAAGAATCCTCTATTTAGCATGCTTCTGTCTATACAATATGATTTTATTATTTCCCCTATGTCAGGTATTTTGTGTGAATTTTTAAAAATGTAATCCTCATAACAAATATATGTTAGTACAATCGACATCTTCATTTTACAGATGGGAAACTAAGGTTTATAGAGTTTAAATAACTTGCCTATGTGGTTGAGATTGGAACCCAGACCTGTCTCTCTTCACAGTCCAAGTTTTTAGGCACTAAGCTATACTCCCTATTCTAGGCCAAACATCTAAAGGCAAGCTTGATTTACATGGTCTTTGTTTGTTTGTTTGTTTGTTTCTATATCTTCTATCAAATTGGCCATTATCCATGGGTGACTCAAAACAGCATCTTTGACCAGGACTTTGACCTTCAAATGTGGAGGATGCTGACCTTTTTTTCTAGTTATTGGGGAGAGGCTGGGTGTGTTGTTCACCCAAGAACTGAGTGTTTTTAAAAAGTTTTAAGAGCTCCACTGGTGAGCCAGTAGAAGTAGGTGTTTTGCAGTACTGGTGTCTGAAAAGCAATTTTTCAAAAGGCAAATCCCATTGTTCTGTGGACTTCAGTTATAAAATCACAGCCACATTCCCACAGGCTAGAATGGAAAAGTCCAGTTCCTGAGTCACTGGGTTGAAAAGTTTTGGCAAGAATTGGCCAAGTGACCTGGCCTGGCCCAGGGAGGGCAGAACTCAGAAAGTTACACAATTGTCTCCTGACCCTGGAATCTCCTTTCCAGGGCAAACCCCATTCTTTTTCTTCCCCTTTCCCCTGCGTTTTATTAAACTTGTAAAGGCCTCCAACTACACTTTAGTAACTGTCAGCACTGCTTCCTATGATTCCATCTACCCTATTTACAAAGTTGAATAATGGAGCAAGGGCTGCAATAGCACAGTTTCATGTAGGAATAATCATCGAATGCAGGTTTATTCTAAAGGGAAAATTCCAGATTCCAGACTTAATGCCTTGTTTTATGACTCCTAGTAATTTCAAATACCTATATATCAAATCTGCCTGAAATATGTGTTTGAAGTAATGGAGAATTTAGAATGATGAATTAAAATTTGCCATTTTATTAATTGCATTCTGAGGCCATTTTCCTAAATGCAAGATTTGGGGAATTAATTCTAAGCATGATTTGGAGTTCCAGCCAATTCAAGAATAATCCAAGCAAAATAAAATAATGAAAACCCAAAGACTTTGATTATCTTTAAATTGGCCTATCATATCCTTATAATTTAATTTGAATGCTTTCACTCTCTTCCCCATCCCTTATCCCAGAACAACCAAATATACTTCTTTTTCAAAAAGGTAGGCAGTATACATTTTGTCCTTGTCTATTCTACCCGAGATGACAGTCATTATGATAAATGGACCACACACAGAACTGAATCTCTCCGTTGTGGCTAAGGTCTGCAGCATAAAATTGAGAGGACTATTGTGCAATGTATAAGGCACAGATTTCAAAGCCAAGAGACCTGGCTCTGAGCTACCTCTTACTAGCGTGTGCTCTTGGGGAACTGTTTTAAGGTCTGTGGGCCATTGTGTTCACATCCGTAAAGTGAGGACCACAGTGCCTGCTCACATGGTGATTATGTGGGTTAGGAACTGCTGGTACAAAGCAATCGCTCAATAATTACTAGTTTTAGGAGGACTTAAACAAATATAATGGTAATTCTCAAAGTTGAGGTGGGGGCACAATACAGGGAGACTCTTTTTTTTTTTTTTTTGAGATGGAGTTTCGCTCTTTCACCCAGGCTGGAGTGCAGTGGTGCGCTCTCGGTTCACTGCAATCTCTGCCTTCTGGTTTCAAGCGATCCTCCTGCCTCAGCCTCCCGAGTAGCTGGGATTACAGGCACCTGCCACCACGCCCGGCTAATTTTTGTATTTTTAGTACAGATGGAGTTTCACCATGTTGCCCAGGCTGGTCTTGAACTCCTGACCTCGTGATCTGCCTGCCTCGGCCTCCCAAAGTGCTGGGATTACAGGCATGAGCTGCCATGCCCTGCCCTGCAGGGAGACTTTAAAGAGTATTATTTGAGCCCCTCAGTGGGCACTTTTGTACCCCCTCCTCCATTATCTCTGTCACGTATACAGGGTAACTTGGTCCTGGTTCCTTTCTCCATTTCACCCTACTCCTAGGAGGTTCATATGGCGGGCTAGCTCAAGGCCATACATGATGGTGAAATAAAAGAGCTGAAGGGAATTTCCTTTAAATGGCAATATATTATCAAACGCCAGAATAAATGTGTTCACACTCTCTAAGGCACACACCCACAGATTCTCTCATAATGATGCAAATGACTAAAAATCATGTTAACTCAATATGCTTTCTGAAAGCATTTCCATTGCCAGTCTGTGGGAAGTCAGCATTCTGGCACTTGAACCCCCTCATAAGGGCTTGATTCTGAGGGGTACAGGAAGTTGTGAGTCTGACCAGAGGCAAGACAAAGCTCTTTAGGTGTCAGAGTGGGAGCCAGCCAGGGCTGCTGAGCCTGCCTTGCCTCATCTCAGAATTGGCATGACCTCTTGTAGGGAGGGCAAATGGTAGTTACCGAGACAGGGTGGGTGGGGTGTTATAAACCAATGCCAAGAGTTTCTAAAACCCCAAACAGTTGTCAAATAAGAATGACGAGCACCGCAAAATGCTGCCACCTTTCCCACCCACACGGAGCACGGCTGCCATGTCCCTGCAGAGCTCCTGGCAGAGCAGCCAACAGCCGCTCTGCGCCTCAGGCATGGCAGGCAGTGAAGCATTGTTCTCCCTTCTATTTCTTAGTGGCTGGATGCTTCCCTAGGTGAACCATAACAACAGAGCGGGCTGATGAGAACAAACTAAAATTACAAGTGACGTCTCTACAGCTGAAGGCAACATAGGCACAGCCCATAGAGGAGATAGATGAAGACAAAAATTTCTTTCTTGGGCTCACTCTTGCATCTCCCCAGTGACCAATGCTATCTGGGTTATGGGTTGAATGACCACACATTTAGTTAACTCTGATTGTGCCCTTTCAGTCTCAAAAAGTAATGATTTAGATAATAAATTACATAATCACCTTAGTTATGGTCATAAGCCATGGGACTTATTGTACAGTGTATAAGGCACAGATTTCAAAGCCATCCTTTGCTAGCTGATGGGAAGATGCGAATAAGGTGGAAAAAGGCAGAACTTGGGCTTAGGAGCTAGGCAACTTTGTAGGTGAATAGCAATGAAATCAAAATTACATCCAAACAATGCAATGAGCTCGGATCCATGGGTGTCAGCATCCATCTCTGGCAGGGGCTGACATGGTGGTGGAGAGGGGCTGGAGTGCGGGCAAATGGCAGCATCGTGGCCTCCAGGGATCCCCTGGGTTTGCAGCAGGACACCAGGCAATGGCTGGGGCTTGGGGAGCAGGGCCTCCCTTGGTGTGAAGAATGTGGCAGGAACCAGGCTGGGTTAGAGCAAGGAACTAAGACAGATTCCAGATGTACATACTGGGAAGCGCAGCAGGGGTCTGTTGCGGGGAAAGCTGAAGTCCAGCAGGCTTGTGGGTCCAGCAGGCTCACTCCAGGTGCAGTCTGCTGTGCTCACGCCACACACTTACCTCTGTTATTGCATTTAATCCTCACAGTAGCCTCGAAAAGTGGGTGTTATGTCCCTTAGAGAGGTTTGGCAGCCAAAGCTCAGAGTTTCAGTGGCCTGCTGAACATTACAGAGCCAGGAAGTGGCAGAACCAGGACTACACCCCTGATCAATCTGTATGTAAAATCTGTGCTCTTTTCTCTCCACTATACTGCCTGAAAGATAAGGACTTATTCAGGCTGGCAATTTGGAGAAGAGCATTGGTGCAGAGTAATCTGAAAGTGTGGTGTATTTGGGGTGGGGCCAGCGATGGGGTATGTCTGCAACAGAAGAAGCACATGGCAGAGACTGAGCAGGCAGGAGAGGGGCTGGACAGAAAGGGAGTGGAAATGCGGCTCTCACCTGGAGGCAATGGGAAGAAGCAGAAGAGTGACAGCATCCAATGTGGGTTTCAGAAGGTTGAGATTGGCAGCAGGGTGATGGCTGGACTCTCAGTGAGGGGTGTGGATGCTGGAGAAGAGGAAACCCCTTAAGAGGCTAGTCCAGAGAAATCTTTCAAACGTGTGGCTAATACCCACTGAGTCCCCAACTTTAAATGCATAAAGCTTCCCCATGGCCTTTGGGATGAAGTAGAAGCTCCTAAGCAAACCCCACAAGCCCCTTCATGACAGTCCTGATGCCTTTCCAGCCACCTCTCCCAGAGCTTCCAGCCCACTAAGCCGCCCATGGTTCTTTGAATGTTTGCTGTTTTCTTTGCTGACAGTGGCTTTCTCAGGTTTGGCAAACTTACTCTCAAGCTTCAAATTTCAGGTCAAATGTTCTCCCATGCGAGAAGTCTTTCCCTATTATCTGGCAGGGATTGACCCTGCCACCCCACACAGCTCTTCAAACATGCCTTTATGAAAATGGATTTCATCTCATTTTATAATGGCTCCCCTTCTTGTCTGTTCCTGAGCTTCTGGAGGGCAATGAGTATGTCTGGTTCATCTTTAATTCCCATTATTTAGCTTTGTACTTGGTGTATAAAAGATGCTTCATAACCAGAACCCTCTTCCCCAGCATTCATGGGGCTGGGAGAAAGACTGAAAGTAGTCACAGCTTACCCCTGTTCTCCCTCTGCCTGACACCCCAGCTCCATCTAGAACCACAAGAAATTCTGCACACATGTGCATATGAACTATCTGACTCCTCCGTCCAGCCTCTGTCCCTCCCCGCTGCAAACAGCCACCTGTTGCCACTTTCAAGCCTACAGGCATGCACTCCAGCAATGGAGAATACACGTGGGGGCATGGATCTGTGGGAGAGTCCCACGTCAGCCCTGGAAGCAGGCTCAGGCCATTTGGACAGGGAATCCACAGTTCTAGGTATGGAAACATGGCCTGGAATTGGGGTGTGTGGGCCCATGGTGGCAATGTCCTGTAGGTCCTATGGACTTCTTGACTTGTGGTTAGCGGTGTAACCAGAGAAAGGACAGAGCCAAGCCCTCCACAGTGTGGAGCACAGATCACTCAGCTTTAAACGCTGTTTATTATGCTATAAAATATGTGAAACAGTGAAGATCTGAGATGAAATATTAAGGTGGGAGAAGTAGGGCTACTTTGAGAGAATACACTATTTAAGAGGATGATACCACAATCCCTAGTGACCAGTGGCTGAGTTGAGAAAAAGAGAGAGACAGAGAGAGGGAGAGAGAGAGAGAGAGGGAGAGAGAGCGGCGGAGGAGGTGGGGTGGGGGTGCGGAATTGAAGATCACTGCAGGCTCTGTTGGTGGGAAGAATGTATTGTATTATTAGCTCAGAAGGGAGGAACATGTGTGAGGGTGAATTCAGTATTAGACAAGATAAAACATTTAGGGAGAAACGTTCCGTAGTTGGATATGCAGCATTCAGAGTCCAGGACAGAGGCTGAGGTTAGAAATAAGGATTTGGTAGGCTTTAAGCACACAGGTGACCTTTGAAATTACAGATGTGGCCAAATCGCCCAAGGAGAGAGTGTAGAGTAGAAAGAGGCTGACAAAGGGAGCTACTGAACAGCTGACAAAGGGAGTCCATGAAGAACACTGAAGGGAAGCAGCCAGGGAGATATATGGGAATCCAGTGCAGAGGGGGCGATGGAGGCTATTGGAGCCAGACAACAACTTCATCAAGGCAAAAGAAAATCACATTGCCAGTCACCAGGTCACATATAGGAAAGGCTGAAGAGTGTCATGGGATTTTAATAAAGAGGAGGTTGCTGGTGACCTTCTTGAGAACAATTTCAGGGAGTGATGGCAGCTGAGAAAAGCCATGCTGTATCGAGGAGTAAGTGGAAGGCGAAGATGAGACAGTGTCCAGTTAGCTCCTCAAGAAGTTGGGATATGGAAAAAACAAACAAACAAACAAACAAAACCAGCCACAACTTGAGGATGACACAATTTAGGAATGGTTATTATGTTTCCTGGTTGTGTTTCTTTTTAATATGGGAGAGCCTAGAGCATTTACATGTGGCGAGGGGAAAGAGATGAATAAGAAGGGAAAGTCAAAGATGCAGGAAATAGATGGAAACTCAGTGGAGTAAGGTTCCTGGTACAGATGGGGTTTCCTGGGGAGCAGATGAGAATTCTTGGGCAGGAGGTTTATCAGGCAGTGCTCTGGGAATCAACGCCTGGGTAAGAAGGGAAGAAAGGAGGGTGGGGTGAAGGGAGCAGTGGGGCTATGATGCAGCCACAATGAAGGTCTCAGCCAAGTTCATGGGGAGCTCTGAAGCTGAGGCAGCCCTTGGGTTTACCCAGAGTTGGGGCCAGGGGCCCAGCCTTTCTAGCCCCACATCAGACAGTCATTGGAGCTTTGCTGCCCTGGGAAGGGAGTGTGACCTGGGGCAAGGGGACTCTGCTCAGTCAAAGCACTCCCTAAGGACAGCTGGCAGCTGAGGGCCTCTGCCACAGCCAGGCTTCCAGCAGCTGAAGCCACAAATTCTCACGTTTGGAAGGGGACTCCAGGCTGCAAATCTGCATCAGTCAAGTTTTAACCAGTAAAACCACATCAGAAGGAGACAGATATTAACAGATTTATTGCACAGAATTGGTTTACCTGATTATGGGGACTGGATAGGCAAGTCTGAAATCAATAGGGCAGGCTGTCAGAAAAGACAGACTTCAACTCTTGGACACGGGCCAAAGTTGCTCTGCACAGTCAGAATTTCTTCATCAGGAAGCCTCAGTTCTGCTCTGAAGGCCATTCAGTGGAGTGAACCAGGCCCCCAGATAATCTGGAACAATCTCCCTTACTTAAAGTCAGCTTTAAAGCCTCAACATCCATGTCTTCCTCGTCCATGTTTTTCTTCAGGAGCAGGGGAAATGTTTCATTGCCTTTACACGCTCTCTTTCCAATCTTCCCAACTTCCCCATCTCCACCTGTCGGGGCTCCCTGGACTTCCCTCACCCCACTCCCTACCCCCTCTCTCTGCCACTACCCATCACGCACCTCAACTAGCCAGGACAGAGAGCCCTCCACTAAACCGCTGTCTCTACAACTCCAGCTCCACTTCCTTCTGCCCTCAGCCCACCCTCAGAGCTGAGTGGAGGTGAGACAGGAGGTGTAGAGCTGTGGGCTGGCCTCCACCCAGAGTCCCAGATGGCTGCCCCTCTGTGAGGATTCAGCTTCCACTGGAGCCTCATGAGGAGCACAGCATTGTCACTTCTGGCGCAATGAAGAGCCTATCGAGTATCTGTTTCAGACTTCAGTTTAAGAGGATTAAAATTTGTCAAATGCGATCTGCTGTAGGCTGTCATTTGGAGTATAAATAAGGTCACTGTAGAGCAAAGCTTGTGTTATTTAATCACAGAGTGTGAGACTCACCTATTTTGCTTCTTTTAGATCAGAAAGTAGGCCTCCGGTAATGCACAATGAAGAAGAAAGTGCCCCCTCAACCCTCAAAATAATTCAAATGGCAAGCAAGGCAGATTGTAAATGACTTAGTTACTTTGGGCAGTTTTCCAAGATCAAAGGTAAAACTGCTGGGATGCCAAACTCTTAAATGTCATCATCTTCATAAGCAACTTCCCATACAGATGATTATTCTGCATGTAGAAGCAAGTTTGCATCATACGTGCTATTACTGGCATAAACCTATTTTTGGCAGTTTAATGAAATCTGTCCCTTTCTCCCTCCCCATAACCCATTTCCTGACTCTTCCTCCATCTAAGAGAAACCCACCCAAGCCCAGAGCATACAGAAAAGGAATCAGGCAAAATTAGCTCTAATGGATTAGGATCAGGACTTGAGAAGCAAAGTATAAAACCTAATCTTGGTCATCTCTGGCTTGTTCTTGGTTTCAAAACAATGTCTCCTTAGAAAGCCAAGTTCCCCAGAGCGGTGGAGGAGTTTAATTTTTCTCCCTACCTTGGATTTTCCTCGAGTCACGTATTAACAGGACTTCAAAACTCCTCTTTTAACAGCTGAATTATCACAGGTATAATTTGAAAAGAACCAGTAGGATGAAACAAGTCAGGAATCTGGAGGTTAGGTGGGAAGAGAAAAAACATAAAGTTAGTATGGTTTTGATCACTTTGTTTCTTTGAACATGTGCTTTCGTCTACAACTATTTTTTGCTTAGAGTAATTATGTTTTTTTTTTTTTTCAATTAAAGTACAAGTTCAGCTACCTTGTTTTTCTATCATCCCCTTCATCTCTCTTTCCCCATTTTTTGAAGATGAGTTCTGGGGTAGATAAAATATAAGATAAACACAGAATTTGAAAACGTGATGGTTCCCTGTTTAACCTGCCAATTTGGCAGTGCTTGAAGTTAATGTGGACAGCCGTGTCAAGGGCACCAACACAGCTAGCAGCTTCTCTCTAGCAGCCTACTCTGGAGGAGAAGCATGTGAAGGCTGGGCCTCCAAAGCACAAGCCCTAGAGGCCGGAGGTGGTGGCAAAGGGATCCGTCTAATTCCAGTACAGACCACTGAGTCAAACACTTGCACAAAGAGGATGATCTCCGGGAACCATCGGTGCTACTGAAGCCGGGAACAAGTGGGCCAGAAAGCCTCATCCTGCCAGAGCAGTCAGCTTAATGACTTAATTACACCCCAGCCTACACTGCTCTGCCTCCAAATCTAGGCTACTTAAAAGGGCTCAGCAGGGAGGTGCTCCGGCCTGGGGTGGCCAGAACGCTGCTCTGGCCACAGGCAAAGTGGAATCTAGAGGCAAGTGCCACCCCTGCTTCTGCTCTGTCCGGCTGTGTGACCTGGAGTAGGTTCTGGACCCACTCTGGGCCTAGTTTCCCCCAGTGAAACGGGCTGCTCTGACGATAAATAAAATAATGCATGTACAGTGCCTCTCTCGATGCCATTCCTCTTCCTCTGTCATGCTGTCCTCCAAAATGGTTCTGGGTTTTGTGGGGCCTGGAGACAGAAGAATATTCCAGGGACCATGGAGGAGAACATCACTGTAGAAAGACAGGCAAAGAGCAGGGAATGCCAACTCTCACATCCTACCACAGGCCCCAAACACAACTCATAATTATGCTCAGATAGTGTCTCCGTTCACTTGTGTTGCTGTAAAGGAATACCGGAGGCTGGGGAATTTATAAAGAAAAGAGGCTAATTGGCTCATGGTTCTGCAGGGTGCACAAAAAGCATGGCACCAGCACCCGCTTTTGGTGAAGGCCTCAGGCTGCTTCCACTCATGGGGGAAGGGGAAGGGGAGCCAGTGTGTACAGAGATCACGGGGTGAGACAGGAAGCCAGAGACAGGGGAAGGTGCCAGGATTTTTCTAACAACCAGTTCTAGCTAGGATCTAATAGACCGAGAACTCACTTACCTCCAAGGGAGGGCATTAATCTCCTCCTGAGTGATCTGTCTTCCTGACCCAAATGCCCTCCTTTTGCCCCGCCTCTCACATTGGAGATCAAATTTCAATATGTGGTGTGGAGAGGTCAAGTATCCAAACCATAGCAAACAGTCTTAATCTATGTTCTTTTACATATTCAAGGAACAACCAAGCTGTTAAAAACCCATCTACAGAAGCATGTCAGAGCCAACATAGCCAAAAGAGGGCTGGGAAGTGCAGTTTTTCTGGGATATTGAGTTTTTCAAAAATATTTCAGAACTTTTACTCTTGGAATTGTTTACAGAACTGGTTAACCAGCCACTTAAAAACATTAATCATACCTTAATTTTAGCCCCAAACAGTATTACCCTATTGAGTTATTCATCTTGACAATAAATGACTTTTTAAAAATGCTAACAATGTATTTTTCAAAAGAAGATTTGCCAGTGCTGAGGAAATTCTAAACACAGTCATCAAGTTCTGAAGGAAATTCCCAAAGAAGAATTTTGATGATTTCAGGTGATGGTGGCAGTGTCCCAGAGAAGGGAAAGCATGGCATTCTGGGAGCACAGGGCCAGGAGCACCCGGGTTTGAATGTCAGCTCCCCGTTTTCCAGCCCTTGGACGTGTTACCTGTCTGGACATCAGCCTCAGAATAATAATAGCCCTGAGCTTCAGGTTAAGGTAAGGATTCAATAAAGTCATGTATATAGAAGACACAGCACACAAAACGTGTACAATCCATTTTTCCTCTTCTTACCCATGCTTTGAATACAACTGCACTCAGTTAGATGTATGAAAATAATATTAAAAATTATAACAGCTAATGTTATTGAGTAATGACTGCATGCTGGGTCCTACCTTAAGTGCTTTACGTGTATCAACCCAGGTAGTCCTCACAACATCCTATGTGGTAGGTACTATTATTATCCTATTTTGTAGATGTGGAAACTGAGGGACTGAGAGGTTGAGGAATGTGTCAAAGGTCATACAGCAAGCAAACTGCAGAGTCAGGATTTCCAAACCTGGGAGTCTAGGTCCACTACTGGCACAACATTTTACATACTGCCCTTGTTAGGCATTAGTCATTACTTCATTATTACACTTTATGCATTCCTCAGGGGTGTGTGGATGGGAGTGTGAGCATGTGTGTGTCTGTGTGTGTGTGCATGCATGCACACATGATATGGAAAAGAGAATCCAAGCAGGTGGGGTGGATGACGAGGCTGGATGAGAGCTCCTCTTGATGCCTGTGCTCTGATTACACCAACCAATCTTAACATAGAAGAGTTTTTCTTTAAGAACCTTCTTGGATGCAAACAAAGCCAAGAGCCACAGCAGAAGATTATCGGCTGTCCCTCACCAGCAGCTTGAGCTGCAATCACTCCTAAGTATCACTTAGGACTGAAGATAGTTTTTGAACTAACCTAGTTGTAGGTAGTTGTTCTTTTTAGAATGCTATAATTTCACACGAGTTGTCTCATATCATCCCATTTTACTGATGATGATTTGAAGGGAGAATCACTTGCCAAAGATCGCCCAGATAATAGCTAGAGAAAGCTATTGAATCAGTTTTCTTTCTACCATATTGCACAATCCCTTTCCTTCTTGGAGGAGTGAAGCTGTCACCTAATTTCTTCCCCCTAGTTTTGTTTTCACTTTCACCCTCTTTCTGGAGGCCACATTGACACCTAGAAAGGTGGAGAATGTGATGCAGAGAGCTGCATGGCGTGAAAGAGAAAGGTGGAGGAGCAGCAGGGCCCTGGGACTGGATGGCTGTTATGGGTGGAGGCCCTGGATGCTGGCCTTCTATATCCCATAACCAGCCAAGTGACCCATTTTTTTCCAGCTCTGCCCACACAGCATTCACTGTTAATCCTGAGTGGCCATTGGCTGACTGCAGGAGCGGAGCTGCCAAATGCCCTGTGCAGCAGTGACCTTGACACAGCATAGGAAAAGCACTCAACTCTTGGCTCTGCATAGGCCTTTACCCCGGCGCAGCTTAGCACTGCCCTTCCCTAGGGACAGAAGTGACCACACAATGCAGAAGAGTGATGATGGATTTCCCAGAACTCCAGGCTCATTCTCTTTCCCTCTGACTCCAGGTCAAAACCTATACCCATTACCATGTTCATGCCATTGTTTCTGATTCTTCAGACTTAATATCTGTCATATATATATATATATATATATATATATATATATATATATTTTTTTTTTTTTTTTTTTTTTTTTTTTTTTAAATTACACATGGTTCAGTCCTGAGCACCGTGCATCTTTTGGGCAATCAAGGAGCTTGCCTTCGTGCAAATAAGCTTGGAAAATGAAGCTGGGTGGATGTGTGGAAATATTCTAGGTGCAAACAGGGCTTGTTTACATACATTTTGCCCTAGAAAAACATCTGTTGGAAAAGCAATGGCTTGGAGCTGTAACATATAAATATACTTTCTCTAACTCTGTTGATTATGTTCAGCATAATGTTAGTATCTTTTAATTAAGCAGTCTTATTTATTACATTATTATATGTTATCTTATTTTTAAATAATCTCATCTGTTTATCTTGTCTACTTAGCTAAACTGTAAACTCCTTTGGGGGTATTAAAAAAGTCTTTCTTTCTCTTGTGTTTCTCAATAATCCATGACATAACAATATAGACAATTGTCATTCTTTTTGACCACTCATCATCTGAAACTTCTTCCTCTCTTTAGGAAATCCTCTTATGAGATAGAGCTCAGCTCCTCCTGTAGAAGCTGAAATTCCAGACACTGGACTTCCCAGTCTCCCTTGCCACTAGATATGGACACGTGATCAAGATTCCACCAATCAGATGGTCTTTGAATCTGCTAGTGACAAAAAGAAAGGAACATGCCAAATCCATTCTGGCAGATTTAAGACACAATGGCAGCTACATCCAGTTCCCAGAGGCAGCAGGGCCAGTGGTTCTAGCATCGGCATCCAAGAACACTTGCTGATGGTGCAGATGGTGTGAGCTGCAGTGTCCAGGTGCAGTATGGCTGCTATGGTGTCCTCAATGAATGAATCCTGCAGTGGAATTTACAGTGTTGTTCCTGGCTGCACAGTCTTCAAGCCTTTTTCTCTGGATACTCTAGGAATTCTTTGAGTTTCCCAGTGTCCTTTCAATAAATTCTTCTTCCTAAATTAAGTAGAGCCTATTTCTGTGGCTTGCAACAAAGCATCCCAAAAGATACAATATTAAATTACTAATTAAGAACTTCTGACACTTCTCCTCGTCTTTATGAAATTTCAGAAGCCCCTCCCCCCAAAGAATATGTATGCAAATAGGGAGGCAGAAACGGACAGAGACTATTTAGGGAACAAGGAATAGGAGAGTTTTGTTGAAGCAGAAAGTTCATATAGAAGAATAATGGGAAATGAGGCTTCCAAACTAGATTGTAGATATTGTGGAGGACCTTAAAAAGCCAGACTAAAGAATTTGGGGTTAGCCTACAGGATTGGGGAAATGTGTGCAAAATTAGAGAATTTGGAGTTGTGGCTACGATCAGTCACTTCAGAGTGTCTTCAGCACAATATTCCCCCCAAATGATGGGTAGAACCTGCATATACAGAATATTAACATGGAATAAAGGATTGGAAGTCTTATATGTTTGGGAAATAGTGGCTTGATTGAGATTCAAACAATTTCTCTATCCTGATAAACAAAGTGAATTTCCTAGAAGACGCATTCAGCAGGCAACACTTCTCTAACTTATTGGACCTTGGGATTTATACTCTTTCAGCACGTGGGCCCAAGAGGCCCAAGAAGCCATCCTGGGAAAGGCTGTTTTTTCCTTGGTGACTGCTGGTTAAGAGAGCAAAAGGGATGCAGAATGAGCAAGGGGGGCAGGGAAAGGTTCAGAACTTGAAGAGGCCTTAAAAGAGTAGATGCGCTGAGACACAGGCAGTTAGGAGAAGGGGAAACTGGAGGAAAGAAGTTGGAAGGAAAGAAGACAAGTTACCCAAGACCCTCTAAATTTTACAGATAATCAGCCTGGTTTCCAGCTCCTGGCTTAATTTTAACAATTCAGCCTAATGCTTTGTCAGCCTCATGTGAGTATGTCAGATACCTAGGGAATCTCTCAGAGACACTCTTGGGGCATGAAAAATGTAAATAATAGACCAGGCCTCTGCCTTGAGCCACGAGGCAGCTTCCAGGAAATAAAGGCAAGGGGACAAAGTTAGACTAGTCGCAACCTGTGCCATCAAGCAAACTTTCTTACACCCTGGTCACTCCCCAAAGCTACCTGAAGGTTCCATGAAATACTTCCACAAACTGCCTGCTATTGCCAAGGTTTGCAGGATCTAGGCATATTTGAACAAAGTTAAAATGACGATTGCAAAGACCCCAACAGTTAGGAAAGCTTTTTGTTGTAAGAAACAGAATACTTGACTAACCGAGGCTTATACCCTAAGGACATTTCTTATTCGCAAAACAAAAAGTCCAGAAGTGAGAGGTCCTGGGGTTGGTCTAAACACTTTCTAACATTTACATCTGCCATTCTTAGCATCTTGGCGTTTGGTCTGCACACCTATCTCCTCATGACTGCAATATGGCTGCTGAAACTCCAGGCATGATGACCCAATTCAAGGCACAAAGAAAAGAAAAGAAAAGAAGAGTGATTTCAGCACCTCTCCTTCTTTTATGTCTGTCCCTTTTATCTGGAAAATAAAATCCTTCTCTAAAGTATCTCAGTAGACGTCTCTTCATGTTTCCTTGGCCTTTTAGTACATGAGTACTCCTGGCACCAGGGTGTTTAGAAACACTGGGGTTTTTGTTTTAATCTATAATGGAAGACAAGCAAGGGAGCAGGGGAGTAGAAATGGCTGCCTCATGAGCCAAATAATAACAGTCACTATGAAGGCTATGTAGAAAACAACTATAACAAAAAAGCCCATGATAAGCCACTAAGTAAATAAAAAGCAGGATTAAACCATTGTATATGCACTATGGTTACAATCAAGCAATAGTACAGATGAATGAAAGGAAAAGACTAGAAAAAATTAGTTTAAAAAACACATAAAATTTTACCCTTCTAAAAATGTTGATGGAAAGAGGCCAGAGGCCCCATGCAGGGGAATTAATCCTGATTTCATGATCAATCCAATGGCTTACTTGGGTGAACTTTGAGTAAGTCAGCCCAAATGCAGAGCATGTGAGCTGCAGGAATACAACTGCAAGAGCTGATCATTGCTGCCTGTGGCTGCTTCCTGACCTCATGCTGAGCCCCTCTTTTGGCTTTTATGTAACTGTTCCCATGCACTGTATGACCTCAAGGTGAACACCCGGTCATAGGGACTGTCTCAGGGGTGTGCAGTGGTCAGCTTCAATACAGGAAGAAGTCTGACAAGTCTCTGAGCATTATTTTTTTATTAGTCTAATAGTACAAAACTTGGAAACACAAATAGATTGGACCAGAGAACCAGACAAGGGGTGCCAACCTTTTCTCAGTTAGCAAAATATGTGAGGAAAAAAAAAAAAAAAGAAAAATGCATATTACCCATGGTAGTAATTTGTCAATATACTATTTTAACTGGTCACTTTTTTGGGATTTATTTTGGATGGCCAAAGTTATCCTTAAGAAATAACTGGATAGTAGCCTGGACAATTCAAGGCCCAGTGGTGCCCGGATACTTAAAAAGAAAGGGCAGAGTGTCAGAGAATCTCAAAAGGGAAGTGACCTTTCGCCCAGCGCCATGCCCTTGCCCTGAAATCCTGCTTGGAGCAGGACCCAGGACTGAACACACTTCCAGATGTAGCTGACCTGCTAAGACAAGTGTGGGACCAAGACACTAAACGATGCATTAGAGGACATCTAATTTCAGAAAGTCTTTAGACAAGGACTTCTAGCACATTATTATGGCTTAACTGGATGGCATCCCAATTCAGGAGAGAAAGTTCTTCAAGTTAGGAGATCAGGGTCACATTCTGATGTTGCCAACTGTATGACCTGAACATGGCTGAATCTCAGTTTCATTAACCAACCACATAGAGGATGTGTAATGCACACCTCACAGGCTGGTCTTAAGTATGAAGTTTGATTGCTGAGAAGAGTGAGAAGAGGATGATTACTACCTCAGTTTACTTATCTGTAAAATGAGGATAATAATGTTATAATACTTAGATTAGAAGGTTGCTATGAGGACATGAGTTAATACGTGAAAAGTGCTTAGAATAGGGAAAGAATGTAAGTAGCCAGGATGTAAATACATAGAATGTAAGTATTCAGAAATGTTAGCTGTCATTCTTCTTCCTTTATTTCTATCATCATGTATTAACTTATGACTATTTTTTCTTAAGCAGTAAACAAGTTTATCTAACAATCTTTCCTATTATTCCCTCCAAATCTCCTTAAAATCTAAAACCCAACTTTCAAAACAACATTTTTTTTCTATTTAGTTGTTTAGGTTTACATTGGTCTAGTAGCAGACTGCTTGATCCTTATAAACCCATTTGTTAAGTCTTTCTCAGAACATACATTTGGAAAACTATTAAATGGAAACATAAACCTTTTTCCCCCACTGCAACTATACATCTACTTTTTCATAATTACTCAAACCTGGAATTAGGTATCCAGTTTCAATAGTCTAGTATATTTAAATCCTGAGGACAGATTTTGATCCGTCCTGTATAAACACTAGCACCTGCTGGTTATAACTACACCCCCTGTGGACTCTCCAGAACTACCTCTGTAAGTGAATCACTGAAAGGGTACTCTACTGCCCTTGTGTCTCTGTTACGCCTGTGTTTCTAACCAGTCTTTATATATTACTGAGTTTTCTTTTATCTTCACTTTTTTTGTTTGTGATTTAGTCAAGACCAAAGGTCACTATCTCTATTCCAGGTATCAGAAAATAAGTGACAGAAAGTGGAGGCCTTAAGTGACTCACCCAAGGTGCCATGTGTTGGTTCAGTAGTGGAGTTTGGACTCAAGCTGATCCTAGGGGTGGGTCCTCTGAAGTATACCAGTCAATCAGAAGGGACTCCTCTGTGAGTTTTGTTCTTTAAGTTTTAGGAAGTAAGGGCCAGGCATGCTGGCTCAAGCCTGTAATCCCAGTACTTTGGGAGGCTGAGGGAGGTGGATCACGAGGTCAGGAGTTCGAGACCAGCCTGACCAACATGGTGAAACCCAGTCTCTACTAAAAGTACAAAAAAAAAAAAATTAACCAGGCATGGTGGTGTGTGCCTGTAATCCCAGCTACTCAGGAGGCTGAGGCAGGAGAATTGCTTGAACCTGGGAGGTGGAGGTTGCCGTGAGCCGAGATCACGCCATTGCACTCCAGCCTGGGCGACAGAGTGAGACTCCGTCTAAAAAAAAAAAAATTTAGGAAGTAAGGCTACAGTCTGGGTTGGAGCTGGTCCAAGGAAAGGGTCAAACTCTGTCTTGAAACAGGAGGTCACAGGAGCTGTGTACAAGTGACACAGGCCATTCACACTTGGCTCACAGTGTAACACTACAGACTTTCAGAAGTGTAGAAGAGCTGTTTGGATAAAAATCTTGGAAGGAATGACACATAATGTATTAGAAGATTCCTCAGTATTTGACATATGTGAGTTTCATCTGCAATGATTTGGCAACCGCCATTAATTTTCTTTCCCATCAGTAAATGGTAACCTCATAGGGATGGCATTTTTCTTTGCTGCTCCTTGGAAGGGCCAAGGTCACATTCCAGAGAAGGATGCTTGCCTTGCAAAGCATGCCATTCTTGAGGCACGATAAAGAGAGAGTTAATATTTGAAGACATTGTCAACTTCATTGACAACTAACAAACTTACCTAACTTTTATTGTTGCTGTAACTTGTCCCCTTTCCCAGAAAAGTGTGATAAGAAGAGGAGTAAGACTGCTCAGACTAATGAAGGAACAATGGTTTGATAGAATTCAGTTTAGTTTTTCACAACTACTGTTTGTATTCTGGGGCTGTGTGAGTTTTATATGGCATCTAGTGAGTGTCTATTTTTGAAATGCAGTGTGATTTATTCAAATTTTGGGCATTCTTTCTGCTCGACAATGCTGGGGGGTAAAGGATATGGTAAAAAGGAATCAGGAAGGATGTCACTTGTGGTTCCTTCTAGTTTTGCTCGCACTGCTTAAGTCAAGGAATCCTTGCTTAAGTCAAGGAATCCTTGACTTTTAGAGCCAAATGGAAGTTGAAGTGCTATAACCCAACTCACTCCATTCTTTATCCAGTTCAGAAACTAATTGCACCACAACCCTAACAGATAGCTCTACAACTCTGCTTGGTGTCTCTAGTGATAGGGAGATGAATATTACAAGTGACTATCAATTCAATTATTGGAACCATCCTACTGTAAAAAAAAAAGTTATTTTCTTTTTTTGACCCAAGTTGACTCTTTGCAATATCCCCCCATTAACTCTAGTACTGCCCCTAGAGTGAGAGAGAGCAGTATAGCAGAATGACAATGATCACAGCTCTGGAGCCAGATGGCCTGAGTTCAAATCCAAGTTCTTCCACTTCTTTGCTGGGCGCCTGTGCCTCATTGTCCCCACCAGAAAAATGTTAATTCTATTGGTGCCTACTTGATAGGGTGGTCATGAGGAAAAAATGGGTTTATATGTGTAAAGAACTTAAACAATGTATGGGACTTGGTAGGCACACAATTAATGCTAGCTATTGGCAACATTATTTCATCTCTTCATATACCTTTTTTTTTTTGAGACAGAGTCTTGCTC
Source organism: Homo sapiens (assembly GCF_000001405.40). NCBI lineage: Eukaryota > Metazoa > Chordata > Mammalia > Primates > Hominidae > Homo > Homo sapiens. The sequence goes on along the minus strand of NC_000005.10, from coordinate 56,505,735 downwards.
TGTCGCCAGGCTGGAGGCTGAAGTGCAGTGGCGCGATCTCAGTTCACTGCAATCTCTGCCTCCTGGGTTCAAGCAATTCTCCTGCCTCAGCCTCCCAAGTACCTGGGACTATAGGCACATGCCACCACACCCAGCTAATTTTTGTATTTTTAGTAGAGACAGGGTTTCACCATGTTGGCCAGGATGGTCTCAATTTCTTGACCTCATGATCCACCTGCCTCAGTCTCCCAAAGTCACATACCCTTTCTTTAAAAAAAAAAAAAATGCTATTTGAGGCACTGCACTGAATGTATTCTGAAGCTCTGTTCAGTGAATGCCATGATTGTTAAGTAATGTCTGCCACTGGTAGAAGATAAAATGATGTCACATATGTCACATACTTGCCATCTGTCATCCAATCCTGTTTTCTCATGACAGTTTTAAAAATATTAAATAAAATAGCAAAATTTCCTGTCTTAGCCTCTCATCCAGGCTAAAGCACCTAGTAGAAATACTGAAGTCTGTAAATTCTGGTTGATATCAAAAGATGACCCCTCAAGGCATCCTTGAAGTGGCCTTAAAATTAGAGCAAGAAAGAGCATTTTATTTTTTCATTTATTACCTTTTATTAGATACCTCTGGCTCTTCCCTTTTGCGGCTATCACCGAAGCAGGAGTGGCCAAAATGAAGTTTAATCCCTTTGTGACTTCCGACCGAAGCAAGAATCGCAAAAGGCATTTCAATGCACCTTCCCACATTCGAAGGAAGACTATGTCTTCCCCTCTTTCCAAAGAGCTGAGACAGAAGTACAACGTGTGATCCATGCCCATCCGAAAGGATGATGAAGTTCAGGTTGTACGTGGACACTATAAAGGTCAGCAAATTGGCAAAGTAGTCCAGGTTTACAGGAAGAAATATGTTATCTACATTGAACGGGTGCAGCGGGAAAAGGCTAATGGCACAACTGTCCACGTAGGCATTCACCCCAGCAAGGTGGTTATCACTAGGCTAAAACTGGACAAAGACTGTGAAAAGATCCTTGAACGGAAAGCCAAATCTTGCCAAGTAGGAAAGGAAAAGGGCAAATACAAGGAAGAAACAATTGAGAAGATGCAGGAATAAAGTAATCTTATATACAAGCTTCGATTAAAACTTGAAACAAAGAAAAAAAAATACCTGTGAATACCCAAGAGTGCCATAATTATTTGGAATCTCTCTAAAAACACTGATTTTTCACAACTTAATAATGAAATTAGTATTCTCCTACCACCCATTGCACACACATTGCTGTTGGTGTGTAGTGTGTTGCTGTGGAGAGAACATTAGATGGGGAGTTAGGGAGTGTTATGGCCCGAATTATGTCTCACCAAATTTCATATGTTGAGGCCCTAACCCCTAGTCAGACTCTATTTAGAGACAGGGTCTTTAAGGAGGTAATTAAGCTTGAATGAGGTGATAAGGATGGCACTGTTCTTCAAAAGAACTGAATTCCTTATCGAAGGGGAAGAAGCCTCATTAGGGCATGCATGCAGAGGAAAGACCAGGTGAGAACACAGCAATAAGGCGGGCATTTGCAAGCCAAGGAGAAAGCCTCACCAGAAACCAGCCCTGCCGACACCTTGATCTTGGACTTCTAGCCTCCACAACTATGTGAAAAGTAATCTCTTGTGTAAGCTGCCTACTCTGTGGTATTTTGCTGTGGCAGCCCTAGCAGACTAATAACAAGATGAGATCTAGAGCTCATTTTGCCACCAACAAAGTATGTGACCTTCAAGTATTCAAGCTTCCCAAATTTCAATACTGAAAAGTGTTTTAACCCTTGAGAATTAATATCATATGCTTCATCTGGGCTCCTGCCTTGAGGTGGGTGGTGTGCTTGGGATGGTGGGAAAATAAAAGTTTTGTAGCAGATTATCTTGTAGCCTCAATTGTGAATCCTGTGCAGCTCCTCCAGCCTAGAAACAGTCCAGGGGAAAAATATATCCTTGATCCTTGAATCCACAACTTCAGTCCTTTCCACATTAAACAAGCCATCTCACTTTCTTCCATGGAATTAGGAGATCTTGGCCTCATCACAAAAACTCTGCCTAGACTCCTCATTTTTCCTCTTGCCCCATACCAATCCCCAAAAGAATCTAATTTTCTAAAACAAGGAAAGAAGGATATGAAAGAGAAGCAAAGACAGATAACTTTTTCCTAAAGACCCTGATCTTAACTTGTTTAAAGTTTGTCCAAAAAGAATCTTGGGATCATGAGACATCCTTGGTTAAAAAGGGCCTCAGAGGTGTTCTGGTCCAACAACTCAGCTAATTTAACACCCCTAATGTTGACTGAGGCCTTATGGGTAATAGTCATAATTATTATGTATTTATACCCATTGGGGAGTCAAGAAGGATTTAGGGTAACTGGAATCACAATAACAATAGCTCCCAACTAGCATTCTGATGTTTTCTACAACATCTCAACCCAGCAGTCTAATAGTGCAAACATACATACCCAAGCATTAAATGCCCTTCCATATGTGGACCTGTCTGACTATAGTCAGAACCTCAGGACCCTCCCAAATCATATGCTTTCAGTCCTACTTTGAAAGCAAAGAAAATGAAGTCTAGAACAATGGAGTGATTGTCTTAGGTGTCACTGCTAGTGAGTGGCAGAGTTTGTGTTCAGATTCCCATCTCGTCCCCACTCTAGGGCTCCGTGGGACGCTCTAGTCTATAAGATCACCCAGCCTGTGATCATCCCTGGGTTGCATCTGAACATTCCCATCTGGTGTTTCAGGTTATGCCTTTGTAGCCATATTTAGGCAGCACGGACCAGCCACCTTGCTCAGAGCCACGCCAATTTGACTGTCTCACCAGGACAAATGGTGAAGAGTGGGTCTAGTTCATAGCCTTGGGCTCTGTTTTTGATACAGAAGATATTTTTATCTTCTTTTCCCTGATTTTTTTCCCAGTTTCAGGATACTAGAAAGCCCCTCCCCACCCTACCCCAATCTAGCAGTCTTTTCAATTAATAGGACTTGGTTGCTCCTAAGTCTAGTATTTAGATCTCTATTTTAATACACTCTTCACTTGTATAGTCTCATAAGCCACTCAAGTACCTCAAATTTTAGGATTACTCAGAAATTGTTTGACTTAACTAATTTATAAAAATATTTTCCCAAATAAACAAGAGTGATTTTCTTCCAAAATAAAAACAGACTTTACTTAGATGTCAACCAGAGTTTCTAGAACAGGATTAAAGTCAAATGATGCTTTCGACTTTGGCACCTGGCTGCTTCCTTGTCTCTCTGACCCTCTCCCACCCCCACTCCCTCACTGAACACTCCCATTGGCTCTTCCTGCTGATAGTGACTTTAAAAGAATCAACCACAGTATTGTTATCAGCCCTGTGGTTTCAGTTCTCATTTGTGCCTATATTTAGACTGGAAGAAAATAATCTCTTTCCATTGCCCTGGAAATAAGAGACTGTTTTTAAGTGAGTTAATGGATCACCTACATTTGGAATTTCCCTGTAAATGTTGTCTTGTTTCTGTGAAGGAAGACATGCTAAAGCTTATGAAGCAAGGAAGTTGCTATCTGGTGGCGTGACTAAGACTTTGATAGTCAGATCATAGGTGTGTTACCAGTTAGTCTCCATATGCATTGGGCCAGGCCTTAGGGCAAGGGCAGGAACTTCTGTGCAGGACCGTATGTGGGAACAAGCATCCCATTTGTGCCTAAATAAGAACACAGGTCCATGCTACTCGAGAAAAGTGTTGATAAGCACAGTTCTAAAGAACAAGTACCAAAGGATGTCTCCCCTAGATAAGAACCACAGTCTGATATTGGACTTAGAAAAAAACCCCATGAATTAGAAAGAATCATGGGTTGTAACAGATATTTGACCCAAACTTATCATTTTCATACTTTCCCTTACTGGCTTTGAGGTTAATTTTTTTCTTCCTTTATACCATTTTCGCTGAACAAAATTCTTCCAACAATTGGAAGAGTTGGAATTTTTCTCTAAGAAAATTCTTCCCATTCTCAACCATTCTTGAGTGGAAGGGAGAGGGTATCTCTTTATCTTTTTACCTTATGAATGGGAAAATCCATGTAGTAATTCAGAGTAGAATAAATCTGAATATGTGGTGGGGAGAAAGCATCATAAGGTGTTTTCAGGATCAGCCTTCAGTGTACATGCAAAGAATGCAATTTGTCCTTCCTTTCTTATACGCTATGCTCTTAATTCACTTAAAGGCTGTCCAGGACTCCGTATGGAAAACTTCATTATCCCTCCATTCTGCTTCCAGGAGTCCCTGGTGTGATTGGAGGGAATCTGGAGAAGACACAATGTCCCCAACTCCTGAAATCTTCACTCCTCTCAATATTGGTGGCACTGAAAATCACTTCTTTGGGAAGAGTTCCTTAATTGGCTTACCTTTTGTCAAAATGTAAGTCCTTAGAGGCTTGGGGCATTAAGCCATTAGCAGTAAAAAAAAAAAAAAAAAAAAAAAAAAAAAAAAATTGGAGGGGAGGGGGAGTGGAAAAAAACTAGAGCTGACATAAAAAAAAATTATAAATATTGGATCTTGCCTGAGACTTTAGGTACTGATTGCTGGCTTCTTGACCTGTTTCACCTTCCAGATATTTTGGCTACATCTATCTCCAACACAGTCTGACTCTCAAATTTAGTGAATCTTACACTTTAGGGCCACTCACTTGCAGGGGCGCCTTCCCAAGACCTTTGGAGAAGCCCTAGCAAGGTGTTCATGTGATTGTGCATTTTTGTCAAATTTGCAAATACAGTATATTTTTACTTTAATTGGCTAAGACTGCTGCCTGTTTCCACTCCAGTGTCCCCTCCCTTATACTTGATGTCCTGTAAGGGGTTGATGTGGAGGGGAGGATGAGGAATTATAAACACATATTCACTTGTAATTAAATTAATGTCTAAACAAATATTTACTTTGATGCCTGACTACCTTCTCGCAATTTTAAATTATTTTTCTTATTGAGGTCCCCAAATACTTCAGGCTCCACAAAACCTGAAGGCAGATGTCCCTGAATTCTAGGCTTCCTGCCATCACATAGTTATTGGTCTCAGTTCATCTTTGCCTTCTATGCTGATATATAATAACTTCTACCTGTTATACAAATAATGTTTGGTTTTCCTGGTCCCCCACCATGGCCTGACAAAAGTCCATCATAGAAAACGGACAGCAAATGAGGGATATGCTGAGAAAATAGTTAACCGAGTGAAGAGGAAGAGAAAAGAGAATCGAGAACGTAGATAAATTGCCAACTCTTCCCATACATCCTGGTATTGGCGGCAGTGGTCAAAGGAGAGGGTCTTCATGCTGGAGAATCAGAAGAGGAGACTCATCAACTTCTGTTTGTTTGGAAGGCCGAAATGAAACATTGCCACGCTGGTTGAGAAGCTGAGTGATATTCCAGCCTGAGATGGAGGTGGGGGGAAAAAGGGAGGAGGCAGGATGGGGAGCTGAAATGAATTAAGGAAAACACATGGTCTTCCGGAAAGGAAATGGAGTTATGAAAAGAGATGGAAAAAACAGTTCTTCCAGGATAATGTCTTTTGTTGGTCCCCAACGGGAAGCTCAGTTGAGACATGAGGAAGCTGGAAGAATATGATGGAAGCCCAGGTTACCTGACACAAGGAAAGAGGGCCGAAGGGAAAGGCGAACAGTAGGGGACAGGGACCAGGGGTCACGTTTTTCTTGGCATTGAAATATTTTCAAACAAGTTATTTTTCAAAAGTTTCCAAGGAGGATCCTCTACCAGTTTCCAACCTCCATTTGGGATTTGAAACCTACAGGAAACAAAGACCCTTCCCATGACCTCTTTTCTTCCTCTCTAAATTAAATTTGGATGCAGAGAGCTGGTTAAGCGGAGGCTGGAGCCTTCTGCTGTGCCTGAAAGGGTGGCCTTTCCCTGATACAGTCTTAGGGGCTGCTTCTGCTCCCAATTAACAGTTGTTTTGGCAAGTTTGGGGACATCGTTTTGATTTTTGGCAAGTCGTTTAAAGATCTGGCTTTCAAGTTCTTCCATCTGTAAAATAAGGAATTTGGACTAAAACCATTGGTTCTCAACTTTGTGAGGGGTGGGGAAGGAATGGTTAACGACTCTTTTTGGAAGAGGCTGAAAGCTGCAGAACTGCTCCCAGAAGCATGCACATATGTCTGCTAACATATAATTCTGCATACAATTTTAAGGGTTTGTGGACCTTACAGTAAACAGTTCTCCAAGTAGTTATCCTCCTGGCAGAAGGGCTATACTTCTTTACCCCAACTGAACTCAGGCATTGGCCAATGGGATGCAAAGGGTCCCCCTTCTAGGTTGAAGAATTAAGAGCTTAGCTCTCTTTCCTTCTGCATTGATGCCAGCAATATTCCTGATATTGCATTTCTATCATGTCCAGGAGTATGTTGATGATGCAGGAGCAATGTCCCAGCCAACCCTGTATTATCATGTGGTATGAGTACAAAATGAGCCTTTGTTGCTTTGAAGCCACTGAGATTCTCAAAGTGTTTGTTACTGAGAGGTGACAGCGTGCTGGCAGCCCTCGCAGCCCTCACTCACTCTCAGTGCCTCCTCGGACTCCGCGCCCACTCTGGCCGTGCTTGAGGAGCCCTTCATCCCGCCCCGGCACTGTGGCGGCCCCTCTCTGGGCTGGCCAAGGCCGCAGCCAGCTCCCTCTGCTTGCTGGGAGGTGTGGAGGGAGACGCGGGCGGGAACTGGGGCTGCATGCTGCCCTTGCGGGCCAGCACAAGTTCCGGGTGGGTGTGGGCTCGGCAGGCCCCACACTCAGAGCAGCTTCCCGGCACCACTGGCCCTGGGCAGTGAGGGGCTTAGCACCTGGGCCAGCAGCTGCAGAGGGTGCGCCGGGTTCCCCAACAGTGCCAGCCCACCGGCACTGCCCTCGAATTCTCGCCGGGCCTCAGCTGCCTCCCCACGGGGAAGGGCTCAGGACCCACAGCCCCCCATGCCTAAGCCTCCCCTGCGCCGTGGGCTCCTGCGCCCCCGGAGCCTTCCGGACGAGCACCACCCCCTGCTCCATGGTGCCTGGTCCCATCCACCACCCAAAGGCTGAGGAGTGCGGGCACACGGTGCTGGACTGGCAGGCAGCTCCACCTGCGGCCTGGTGCGGGATCCACTGGGTGAAGCCAGCTGGGCTCCTGAGTATAGTGGGGACTTGGAGAACCTTTATGTCTAGCTAAGGGATTGTGAATGTACCAATCAGCACTCTGTGTCTAGCTCAAGGTTTGTAAATGCACCAATCAGCACCCTGTGTCTAGCTCAGGGTTTGTGAATGCACCAATCAGCGCTCTGTGTCTAGCTAATCTAGTGGGGACTTGGAGAACTTTTGTGTCTAGTTCAGGGATTGTAAATGCATCAATCAGCACCCTGTCAAAATGGACCAATCAGCTCTCTGTAAAACAGACCAATCAGCTCTCTGTAAAATGGACCAATCACCAGGATGTGGGTGGGGCCAGATAAGGGAATAAAAGCAGGCTGCCCCAGCTTGCAGTGGCAACCCACTGGGTCCCCTTCCATGTTGGTGGAAGCTGTGTTCTTTTGCTCTTTGCAATAAATTTTGTTGCTGCTCAGGCTTTGGGTCTGCACTGCTTTTATGAGCTGTGACACTCAGTGCAAAGGTCTGCAGCTTCACTCTTGAAGCCAGCGAGACCATGAACCCACCAGAAGGAAAAAACGCCGAACATGTCCGAACATCAGAAGAAGCAAACTCCGGACACATCACCTTTAAGAACTGTAACAGTCACTGTGAGGGTCCGCAGCTTCATTCTTGAAGTCAGTGAAACCAAGAACCCACCAGTTTCAGACAGATTTCCACAGCATATCCTAGCCCACCAGGACTGAGAGAATCCGTGAGTCCATTCGTGCACTCTGGAGCTTTCTAAGAGCCTCAGGTTATCAATTCTGAGTCTAAAAGTCTAAATCATCTCTTTTTTTTTTCTTTGAGAGGGAGTCTCACTCTGTCACCCAGTCTGGAGTAGCGCAATCTTGGCTCACTGCAACCTCCGCCTCCCTGGTTCAAGCGATTTTCCTGCCTCAGCCTCCTGAGTAGCTGGGATTACAGGCTTGCATCACCACGCCCAGCTAATTTTTGTATTTTTAGTAGAGATGGGGTTTCATCATGTTGGTCAGGCTGGTCTCGAGCTCCTGACCTCATGATCCCCCCACATCGGCCTCCCAAAGTGCTGGGATTACAGGCATGAGCCATTGCGCCTAGCCGAGTCTAAATCATTTCTAACATCTTTTTATTTCTGAAAGTTTCTGAGTCTGAGAGACAAAACTTAAAAATGCAATTTCAGGTTTTTGGATTACCTGAACTCCCACTTTGCCTGGTTCATAAGGAATGTCCATTTGGTTGAATGGAATGTCTCATTTTGGAGTCAAGTGATCAAATTCGCAATTCAAATGAAAGATTCACCTGGCTCATCTTCACAAGGCAGTGAGATATTAAGGGGTGGCCCAAGGTGTCATGGGGGTCTCCTAGTGACAGATAATTGAGGGGGAGTCCTTTCAGCCCTAGTCCTGCTGTGGGTGCTCCCTGGCTGTAGTCTCATTTGCAGTAGAAGGAAAGAGATAAATCAAGAAAACAAATAAAGGCATACTTCTGAAAGCTTTAGATGACAAAAGAAGTCAAGTTAAGAGGCAGGATGTCTGCACTTTGTTTCTATTTATGGAAGACACAGTTTAAACAGAGCTCTCCATTCAGCATCCGTCTGGCTATTAAAATTGCCTTCCAAGTTATTATCGGCAAGGAAATGGACAGCATTTAAATCTTTCCCTGTAGTGGGTTTGTATTTGGAGATGTTTCACATGTGTTTAATTCACTGATCAATTTTACCTTGTCGAAACAGAGAATGGTCTGTCAAAAACAGGATGAAGCTCATTAGTGAGATGCAGGAGATAGCACAATTGAGGGAGAATAAACAGACTACCCAGAAAAGAGGAAACAAGAGCCTATTCAGGAAGCAAGTGGGAATAGCAGAAAATGATACAGTAGTCATGGCAGACCAAAGGCTAATGGACTGTACTGCTACTTAGTAAATGATACTGAACAGGAGGGAAAAATGTCGCTGATTGCCATGTGATGGTAGTTCATGGTCTGGGGCCTGATAAGTCAGCAAAGCAGATTAACGGATTTTCTCCATTCTAGATGGCATGTGATTTTCCCAGTTAAACATTTCTGAAGTCAGGTCTTATCATAATTGATGTGCAGATCTTATAAGGTAGAATTTTCCCTGCTCTTCACAGATGTAATTGACGATGGGATGGTTTATGACAAAGTGTAAGAGAGAGAAATATGAAAGTGGAGTCCAAATAATAATTAAAAAGTCAAGATATTACATAGCACAAAAAATCCAGGCTTAAGATTTTAAACGTCATTTATTTTTGGACTGGATTTTACCTTCATGTAATTCAAAATTCAAGTTTCAAAAGAAATATGGCAAAAGTCTCCCTCCAAATCTTGTTCCCCAAATGTTCAGTTCTCCCACCTGAAAGCTATGTTACCAGTTTCTTGTATATTCTTCCAGAGATGGTTTTATTTATATGTCAGTGAGGATATGTATAATTTTCCCCTTACCTTTTCAAATGATAGAATACTACATATGCTTTTCTTTCTATACTTCCCTTTCTTTCAATGCAACAATATATCTTGGAGATTATTCTGCAGAACATCAAGAGTTTCCAATTCCTTTTTTTACAGTTGTGTAATGTTCCATTTTATAGAACTACAGTGATTTATTTAGCCTGCCTCCTTAAAATGGACATCTAGTTTGTTTCTGATCTTTTGCTATTACTAACACTATGTTAGAGAATGACATTGTATTCATATCATTTGGTACATGTGTGAGTAGGAGAAATTTTAGAAGTGGAATTGCTATGTCAAAAGGTATGTTTATTGGTATATTTGATAGATATTGTCTATTTGCCCTCCATAGAAACTGTACCATTTATATTCCTGTTAACAATGTATGAAAGTGTGTATTTCTTCACATCCTTTTCAATATTGTGTTATAATTTTTATCTATGAGAGTATCTATTTTTCTACATCCCTTTCAGTATCATGTGTTATCATGTTTATCTTTGACACTCAGGTAAAAAAATGGAATTCCAATGTACTTTTTAAATTTTTAAAATTTAAATATATTTATAAAGATATATTGATCCTAAGTGTGTAGCTCAATGTCTTCACAAATTAAACACACAATGTGATCAGCACCCAGGTCAAGAAACAGGACAGGACTGAGAGCCCAGTAACCCCCATTTTATACTTCTTTCCAGTTCATGTAGTTTTTGCTTTTCTCTCATTATGAGTGAAACTTAACCACCTTCTAAAAATCATCTATTTTGAAATAATTGTAAATTGATTTCACAGAAGTCAAACATCTTTTCTTGTTTTTAACAGCCGTTTGTATTTTCTTTTCTATGAATTGTATGTTCCTATCTTTTGGGCATTCTTTGATTTTTCTCCTTAATTTGTAGAGGTTATTTTAGAGATAAGGACATTTCAGTCCTCAGTAGGAAAGATATGAGCATTATGCTGAAATTTATCAACCGTGGTTGACCCCTGAGAATGGATATTAAGCATTTGGAATTTTAGTCAGTACTGGGTAAAGCAGCTCAATGATCGCTATAATCAGCCCGGATAGTCTTGCCTTGCAGTTGACCAGAGCCTGTGTAACCATTGCCACTCTCTCTTTTAACTTGCCAGCTTGACCCTGTCCACCTCCATCCCTAGCCCTTCCCTCTGTCACCTCCCACCCCAAAAGCCTTGGATAAGTAGGTTCTTCTGTCAAGTGAGTGATCGCTCAAGTATCAAGCAAATATTTTTCAGGTTACCAATAGAAAACCTGACCAGATCACAGGAAGGACCCCATTAAACAGGAGTATCTGAGAAGACGCTGGGGAAACATTTGGAAAAGAGACTCTTCTAGGAGACAGTTGCCTGCTCCCAGATCACTGGCGTCTTCCCAGCCTGTCCCATCCAGCTCAGCCCCCCACATAAAACCACAACGTTCCTCCTCGCCTGGTTCATAAAGGGCCTCCCGGGGACTGTCCTTACAGGAGGGGAGTTTCCCTTAAAAGCAAGTAGGAGTTTTCTGCTGCATGTTTGTGCCTTTTTTCCCCCACTCCCTCCGACTGGACAGTCACCTCACGCCACATGCTTTCCAGCAAACACTCATCACCCGATAAATCATGTGACCCCTTCTGTTTATTTAGAGGTGCTGGCTGGCTAGCTGGGGCCTCTCATCCAGCCCCTGCTCTGTAACCAATTTCAGAGTGGTTTTCATCAGAAAGGGGAACTTCTGAGAACCAGATAAGGAAAACTATTCATTTGCATGGAAGAGCTCCCTAGGCCGTTCCCTGGGGTGCCAGGAGAATTAGGGAAACCTCAAACACAGTTTATGAAGCTGCCAAAAAGTGTGTGCTAGAGAACACCAGCTCCGATTAGTTCCTACAAAAGATGGAGTAACTGTAGGAAGTCTCCTCTCAAATGTAATTTGAGGTTCATTTTTGACCCTCATTTAGCGTTTTAGATTCTGGAATCAACAAACATTTTTGCTGAGTGCTTTGGCAAAACCTCAGGTTGAACTATTTTAACTCTGTTTTTTTTTTTTTTCTTTTCTTTAATTAAGAGGCTACTTATAATGAGAAGAAGGTGGAGGCTGCGTTTGACCAAATGAAATGCCTGGCTCCAAGGGGCAGGACAGCGTATCTCAGTGTGGACTCGGGAACTACTCAGTCAGTATGGCCTGGGCTGGCTGAACATAAAACAAGTTCTCCAGGCCCCATCCCAGGCCTGAGGAATTCGAATCGCAAGAAGTTAGGCTCCAGAAACATGCTTTTAAACCAAAAAAGCTCTTCAGGCAAATGTTACGCTTATTGACATGTAACAGCTCTGCTTCTAAAAGCACCGTTCTGAGGAACCAGAAGTGGCTCATAGCTTATTGAGCCATGGACCATCAACTGTAACATGAAGAAGTTCCAGTGTGGAGAGAAAAGAATCCTTAACCTTTGGTTTACCTTTCTAGGTCTTTCGATCTCCCTTTAATCCACTCGATGGCTAGCTTTTCAAGATAAATGGAAACTTTATTCAGTTTGTTTTTGCTTTTAAGTCCTTGGCCACTGGGAGAGTCCTTGAAGGGGAGATATCTTGTGAAAGAGGGAGGGAGCACTGAAAATGCATCCGCATAACAGATTCGTGGCTGTGCAGATCCTGAATGGAGTAGGGTGGGTGGGGTAAGCGGAGGGAGAGAACCCAGTGTTTTTCTAGGCAGTTATTCAACCAAACCATTACTTCAAATTTCCAGAGGTCATTTTAAAGCCTGGTCCGACTGTTGCCTCAGGACCCAGTTTCTTAGCTTTGAGTGAATGAATTGAGGACAGAGAATCTGTTACCAGTGACAACTGCCTATTACTAAAAGCCGTAGGAAGGCCTGACAACATCAAAACCTCTTCACCCAAGCTGATCTTGGAGGCAAGGTCACCGCAGCATTACTGCCACGCAGGAGCTTTCCTGTGGGCTCCTGAATGCAGCCCAGGACAGTGACTGAGCAGTGGCTGTGTGGTGCCCCAGGGACACTGAACACTAGGCTTTGGGGGGGCAATCGTCAGCAGAGGTCCCCCACCTTACTCACGTTTGGCACCAAAACAGTGAAGCACGTTTGCACAGGAGACGATGAGGGCTCAGACATTATCAGTGGTGACCAGCACGGATGGAAAACCACAGGGTGGACCACAGAAGACCACACTGTCCTCAGTGTTCAGGACTTCAAAGATTGTATAATGGAAGCTGCTTTTAGTGAGTAATAGAATACCCAATTAGAACAGCCTTGAACATCAAGGGTTCTTCATGGTACACATCAAGAGGTTCCAGAGAGGTAACCTCAGCAACATAACACTGTCAGGAGGCTGCGGCTTCTTGGTGATGCTCTCCTTTCCCCTCCTAACAACAAGATGGCTGCTGCTGCAGGTCCAAGCATCGTGCCTCACATGGATGTGCTCAAAAGGAAGGAAAGAATGGAGTTTTGCCTCACATGCCTTTGTTTTAATTAAATAGGAAATTCCCCTCTCACACTCTCCTCCTGAGGTAGAAGGTGGGGCTTGGATACTGGACCAAATTGAGGACTAGCTAAAACACGGACAAGGCAGAAGCAGCTTTCCATGAGACAGCCCACCAGCATGCCATGTAAGTTTACCATCACTATGGCAACAACAGGGAATTACCACTCTTTCCATGCCAATGGCCTGATGGTCCAAAAGTTAGCACCCCTTCTCTGGAAATTTCTGCATAAACCACCCCTTAGTCTACATGTAATTAAAAGCAGGTATAAATATGACTGCAAGACTGTACTGAGCTGCTACTCTGGACACACTGCCTATAGGATAACCCTGCTCTGCAGGAGCAGTCACAGAGCTGTGACACTGCCGCTTCAACAAAGCTGTTTTCTTCTACCCTACCACCGGCCCACCCTTGAATTATTTCCTGGGCAAAGCCAAGAACTCTTATAGGCTAAGCTCCACTTGGGGGCTCACTTGCCCTGCGTCACTCCCACCCTATGGAAGATCCCAGAAATCCACAGTCACATGCCCATCCCACACTGCAGGTGGAAGGAAAGGTAGGTTTGCTGCACAGTTTCAGGTTAAACTAACCACGTTCCATTTGCCTGAGCTTGGGGAAGGGCCCACCTTCCCTGAGTATGTTGCTGTCCCACAGTTGAATAAAATCAAGATTTAAGCAGCAAAACAAAAAAGTTCAATGACTTCTAAACAGGCCATGGAAGATGGACAAGAACCCTGCCAAAAGGATCTAGCATTATCTTTGGTAAGGAGTTCCTTCCTAATGACCAAGAATAAATTTCCTGCCCTGGAGAAAAGGGGATGCAAAGTAAGATTTAATTTGATTTTAGAAAATTGAGAAGTGGCATTTTTTCATCTGAGTGTTTGGTTTGGTTTTCTGGGGATAAAACTTGGTTTATATCTCAGAACTTGGGACGTCTGAGTAAACTCTAGGCTTGTCAAGAGGTCCTGTCCCTCCAGCTCCCCAACAGGTCTTCCCTGCTGATGTTTCTCCATCAGCCCTTGTACTGCAAGAAATGTGGGTCTGGGTCAGACATGTGTGCATGCATTGGCATTTTCCACTGAGGGGTTTCTAGTAATTTCTTAGGGAGTTTCTGAAACCTCCAAGCTCGACTTTTTTGTTGTTGTTCTTTTTCTTTTTTGAAGTTAATAAAGCCTGAGTAGTGAATGAGGCCATCTTTAAAGAGTCGTGTGTACTCAGCAACTTTGGTGTGTTAGTTTGTCTTCCAATCTGTCTCACTCGGGGTGCTTATCTCTTAGAAAGGGAGATTATTACCACAGAGACTGGGCTGGAAACCGCTTCGCTGACAGGTTTAAGAGTCTTAGCAAAATAAACAGCCGCAAAGGCAAAACTGTGTGCAAAATGGCAGGCTTCATTCTCTCTATGTGGCTCAGCTGGGTAGAGAGGGAGCTGGAATCAAAACAAAACAGACAGCATCTCAACAGCACTCTGAGAGGTTGAGCTTCACGTGGGAGGGCTGTGGGGTGGGGGCGAGCGTTGGCATTTCCTTCTGATCAAGTAGTTCTCTCCTTTTATAGAGACAATTGCTAAACTGGCAAGCCCGTCACCATACCTGTTGATCTGGTTTATGATTCATGCCTTAAAAAACCCTAGAGTTGTGATAGTTCCTCTTACTGTTTTTCATACCCAGAAAGCTATACAAGTAATGGAATTCTGCGGTTGAGTTTCTCTGGAGCTTGCTTTGCGGGACCAGCTGAAGATCCTTTTCCTTGGATTTGGCAAAATCCAAACTAGAACCAATGCATGCAAATTTGCAAGCAACTTGAGAACAAGAGAGTATCATTTATTTTTATCTCTCTCTTCCCAGCACCTCTAGCGCAGTATTGAGAAAATACTAGGCACTCCATAAATGTCAATTAAATGATCGGATGAATAAACGGATAACTTTGCTGTCTCATTGTAACAGTACTCTAGAGTATTGGGAAGTAAAAGTGTTTCCACATATAAATTTATTCTTCTTGTTTTAATACTGGTGGCAAAATTTCCAGCTAACTCAGAACAAAAGAGCAAATTAGAATGCTTAACTCTTACCCCAGGATCTATTAGGAAGGAGAGAACCTATTTAGGTAGGACTTTGTTGATTGACGAACATTCAAGGACAATTAGAACATTTGTCAATAATTGATATTTTGCTATAATTCTTCCACTTTTAAAAGTGTTTGAGAGATTCAGGTAGAACCTGCCATCTCTTCCCAAAGTTCAAGAATTCAAGGCAGAATTCAAGTGACTTTTGGAGTTGAGGGAATAGGTGACTCCATCTCTTTTTGGGACAACTAGAGTTTGCATGTTTCTTTTTGACTTAGGTCAAGAAAGACCCTTTTCAAAGAGTGCAGAAGGCATGTAACCTTAGGAGTTTAGGAGTTCAGCAGGAATGTGAATCCTGACTCCACATGTCACTATGTGACCTGAATGAGGGACTGTCCTTCTCTAAGTCTTAATTTCATCATCCATAAAAGGGGCTCTAAAAGACAGTTGTGAGGATTAAATGGGATGATATGTGTAAAGCATGCAGCACAGTGCCTGGCCCTCCATAAGCTCTTATAAGAGAGCCATCTGTCATTTTTATTATTACCATCACTATCATCATCACCAGTTTCCTGTACCAGAACATTGTACAACAAAGAGGTTTGGATCAATATCATTTTAAACCTCTTTTTTGAGAGCAAGGGTCCTGAATCCATGAAAATGTGTTTAACTTGGTCATCGACCTCAATTTGCTTGGTTACTGTACATGTGGGCTGAGGTTAAGTCAGTCCAGGCTAGATTCCCAGGAAGGCGATGCACAGCCCAGAGTGGACACTGTCTGGCCTCAGCAGCTCCTACTAAATGACAATGCTCCTCCACCTTAATTTTCTTTTCAAAGGGGCAAATTAGAGAACATCTGATTACAGTCACACTGCTTACTTTTTAACTACCCATTTCTTCCAAAAAAATAAAAAAATACAATGAAAAATTAAAAAAAGACATTATGTTTAAAGATGACTTTTGCTGGAAACCACCAACCCAGCGTTGGAGAAGTAGCTGAGCCAGTGGAGAGACCCTGTAGCCTGACTGATGTAGATTCAGACACCAGCTTGGCACCTTCTGGTCATGTAAGCTGGGGCAAGTCACTTGACTTTTCGATGCCTCCATTTCCTTGTTTGTAGAATGGAGATAATAATGTTTATCTAACATCTCTATGGGTTACACGTGGTACGTACAAAGCATTCCTAGCAAAGAGATTAGGTGCTCAATAAAAGTGGTAGCTGGTTCCAGGATTCTGGTTGTTATTCAGTCCCTGGTTGTTATTAAATCCAAGACTTAGGAAAAATGGCTCCTGGAAGCATATTAATAATGATGCTCAATCTACTTACGGTGAGCCAGGCAATCCTCTACACCCTTTACATATATTAACTGGTTTAATTCTCTCAAAATCCTATGAAGCAGGTAGTATTATTACCCCATTTTACAGATGAAAGAAATAAGGCATAGAAAGTCCACATACCTTATCCAAGGCCCCAAAACTGGTAAATAATAGCAGGTATCATCTCAGGCAGTGTGATGCCAAAGTTTCTGCTCCTGGCCACTCCTCCAGGCTACCTCTCTTAGGTGGCCCAGACAGTCACAGGGTAGAGGACAAGCCTGCATCTTCCCCACCCCATGGTCTGTTGAATGGCCTAGAGGCAGAGACATTCCCCTAATGTGCCCAGAATTGGTGGATTCTTGGTCTCACTGCCTTCAAGAATGAAGCTGCAGACCCTCGCAGTGTGACAGTTTTTAAAGATGGCGTGTCCAGAATTTGTTCTTTCTGATGTTATGATGTGTCTGGAATTTCTTCCTTCTGGTGGGTTCGTGGTCTGGCTGGTTTCAGGAGTGAAGCTGCAGACCTACACAGTGAGTGTCAAGGCTCTTAAGGTGGTGCATCTGGAGTAGTTCGTTCCTCCTGTCTGGAGTTGTTCATTCCTCCTGGTGGGTTTGTGGTCTGGCCAACCCCAGGAGTGAAGCTGCAGACCTTCTCCGTGAGTGTTACATTTCATAAAGGCAGTGCGGCCCCAAACAGGGATCAGCAACAGGATTTAGTGCAATGAGCAAAAGAACAAAACTCCATCGTGGAAGAGGACCCCAGCAGGTTGCCGCTGCTGGCTCGGGCAGCCTGCTTTCATTCCCTTATCTGACCCCACCCACATTCTGCTGATTGGCCCATTTTACAGAGAGTTGATTGTTCCATTTTACAGAGAGCTGATTGGTCCGTTTTACAGAGAGCTGATTGGTCCGTTTTGACAGGGTGCTGATTGGTGCGTTTACAATCCCTGAGCTAGACACAGAGTGCTGATTGGTGTACTTACAATCCTTTAGCTAGACTTAAAAGTTCTCCAAGTCCCCACCAGATAAGCTAGATACAGAGTGCTGATTGGTGCATCCACGAACCCTGAGCTAGACACAGAGTGCTGGTTGGTGCATATACAATCCTCTGGCTAGACATAAAAGTTCTCCAAGTCTCCACCAGACTCAGGAGTCCAGCTGGCTTCGCCTAGTGGATCCCGCACCAGGGCCCCGGGCAGAGCTGCCCGCTAGTCCCTCGCTGCTGACCTGTACTCCTCAGCCCTTGGGACCAGGAGCCACGGAGCAGGGGGCAGCGGCTGAGGCCTGGCAAGAATTCAAGCACTGTGTGGGCGAGCTGGCAGTGCTGGGGGACCCAGCGCCCCCTCCGCAGCTGCTGGCCTGGGTGCTAAGCCCCTCACTGCCCGAGCCGGTGGCGCCAGCTGGCTGCCCCGAGTGCAGGGCACGCCGAGCTCACACCCACCAGGAGGCACGTAGCTGCGGTTCCCACCCACATCTCTCCCTCCACACCTTCCCGCAAGCAGAGGGAGCTGGCTGCAGCCTCGGCCAGCCCAGAGAGGGGCTCCCACAGTGCAGTGGCAGGCTGAAGGGCTCTTCAAGAGTGGCCAGAGCAAACGCCGAGGCCGAGGAGGTGCTGAGAGCGAGCAAGGGCTGCTAGCAGGTTGTCACCTCTCACTAGCGTGTCTTAAACAAGGTCAGAGGAAGAGCCACACCATCCCATAGGAATTTTCCAACTTCCCACTAGTCCTATTGGGACTAAATCTAAGAAAAATGGATAATATATCAATAGCAATTTAAAAATTTCTTTTGGAAGGAAAAGTCCGTGGCGGAAGTCCAAAGTTCTGAGATAAGAGACCCCAGTCTTATTTTGGGCCATATGGCTTAATGGAGAGCCTCCTAACTTTAAAGTCAAATGAACTCATAATCATATGTTTGTCCTGATATTTTTTGGCTGTGAGACCTCTCTCAGCCTTAGTCTCCTCAGCTGTGAAAAGAGTTTAATAAAACTTACATGATGGAGTTGTTCTGGGAATTAAATGAGATAATACACTGAAATTCCCTGCATAGTACCAGAAATACCACTGGTTCCCAGTGAAGGAACATCATACTCTCTAATATGGTTTGGCTTTGTCCCCACCCAAATCTCATCTTGAGTTGTAGTTCCCATAATCGTAATCCCCATGTGTCATGGGAGGGATTCAGTGGGATCATGGGGGTGGTTACCCTCATGCTGTTCTTGTGATACTGAATGTCTCATGAGATCTGATGGTTTTATAAGCAGCTTTCCCCCTTTGTGCTCAGCTCTTCTCCTTGCTGCCACCATGTGAAGAAGAACATGTTTGTTTCCCCTCCCACCATGATCGTAAGTTTCCTGAGGCTTCCCCAACCATGCTGAACTGTGAGTCAATTAAATCTCTTTCCTCTATAAATTACCCAGTCTTGGGTAAGTCTTTATTAGCAGTGTGAGAATGGATTAATACACTCCCCCATTTCAGCCACCTTGCATGATGACTTCCAGAGCAATTATTCTCTTAATAAGCAATTGAGATTTTTGAACCACTCCACCTGTCTCTGAAATTGGGACCCATCAGTGCAGAGACTAGACATTCTGCTTTATGACCACAGCCTTAAACTTTGTCCCTGGCCCTTCTGGCTTCTACCACCTCTGACATCTGCTGTCAGCCTGACCTCTGCCAGGCCTGGCATCCATTGACTCTTCTAACAGTGCTCTACTTCTTTCAGGGGCAGTGGAGAGGAAGGTTCCATGGCAGGGAAAAACTTTGAATATAGAACTAGGGGACTGGCCAGGGCTTAAGTTCTGCATCTACTACCGACCTAGGAAGGTAACTGTCTCTTTGCCATTTGGGACTGAATTCCCTCATCTGTAAAATGGGGAGGGGAAAGTATTAGAGTAGGTATTACTGAAGCCACATCTAGGCCCTCTTCAGACTAGTAACTTCTTCCCTATCTAGGTCCCCAGCACCCCGAATTCACCAACTGGGAAGCTTCATGGCTTTATAGCCTAGTGTTACTGGTTTTCTGGAGAATGAAGGAGAAAGACAAATGCAAAACAGCATTGCAAGATGAATATCCCAGGCCTCTTGAACTCGCTAATAAAATAAAATCGTGAATCAGTCTCTCTCACCCAGTCCCCAAAAAAAGAACAAATCTCTTTTGAACTTCCTGCAGTGGCAAAGAAAAGCCTTTACCTTCAGAGCCAAAGCTATTTGTATACTGTCCCAGTGTCCTTTCACCCAGAGCTCATCGCACAGACAACAGCAAAGGCAAATGAAAAGACAAGCTATTGTTTTGTTGTATTTATATCCTGATGTAGGAAACAGCACAAAAATACCATCAAGGAAACTCAGTAAGTCTCTGCTCTAGGGTATGTATACAGTTTTGGTGCCAAAGGTAGCCGGGCCAGATGTTGGAGGACATGGTCTCCCTGAAAGAACAAAAGAGAAGCATGTTGGGATTCTACAAGGGAGGAGAAGAGCCAGAAGTAATCACGCAGGTGCCTGCCCAGTAAGCTCTTTCAGAGGCCTGGTGGCAGCCTTCTCTCTGGGTGTCAATCCAGACGCTGCTGCCTGACAGCTATAAGGTCTTGGACACAAATGTTATCTCTCTGTTCCTCAGTTTCTTCATCTATGAAATGAGACTAATAACAATGCCTAGTTCACAAGACTTCAGTGGGAATTAACAACTTAACATATATAAATCACATAGAACAGTGCCAGGTATATACGAAGCACTCAGTATTAGTGAATGTTCTCATTATATATATATGTCTAAGAAGTTCTGTGATCCCAGAGCTATAATTGTAAAACTTTACTGCCATTTTAGGGAGCCTGAGGTGCAGTTGAATTATTGTTGGCTCTGATACTGGACAAACTTGGATTCTGTTACTTACCAACCCTGATCTGGGCAAGGCTGCACCAACAGTGGGGTCAAAGTGGCTCAAGGCTTAGGATTGCTCAGAAATATTGTCCTGCTCCAGGGAATCTAGGGATGCTATATTGTCTAGACTTGTGGGACCCCCTTTAAGCCTCTTTCTTCCATCATCATAGTCATCTTCACTATCATAAGTTATCATTCTCATTATCATCATTATTATGATCAACTAGTTAGCCTCTTTCACTTACCTTAATGTTTTGTAGGTTCATTTATGTTGTATTTTATATATAATATATGTTGGATTATAGTTTGTATCAATACTTCATTCCTCTTCATGGCTGAATACTATTCCATTGTATGTACATACATTTTATTAATCCATTCACTCATTGATGGACAATTGAGCTGTTTCCACTTTTTGGCTACTGTGAACAGTGCTGTTATGAATATTGATGTACAGATTTTTGTTTAAATATGTTTTCAGTTCTTTTGGGCATATACCTAGGAGTGGAATTTCAGGGTCATATGGTAATTCAATGTTCAGCATTTTGAGGAACCACCAAACTGTTTTCCATAGTAATGGTACCATTTTACATTCAGCAGGACTTTGATGTTAAAAAAAAAAAATAGTCCTGGTGGTTAGAATTTTCTCCTTCCTGACTCAGTGGAGTGGAGGAACTGCCCAGTGGATGGGAGGGACAATAAGTGGGGGCCTGGACCTCTCTGCTGCCTCATTAATCCTCAGTTGTAGGAAGGCACTAACTGGGCTCTCTGCAAAGCACATTTTACTAAACTAATGGGGAAGCAGGAGGGGGATGGGAGAGAGGTGGACAGAAGACTCTGGAAGTGACCAAGTCTAAGCAAGAAGCCATTATATAGACCGTTATGTGTAGACGGTCTTGAATCCTAATCACTTTCTTCAAACAGAACCGTGGTATTCTTGTGCATTTATTTATGGTAGTAATTGCCCACAATCTTGGTGTCTGATGTCCTATAGCAACTTGAAGGGGAGCGTGTGTCAGAACCCCTTTAGAGGAGCAGGGGCCGATCAGGTTTTCCAGGAGCACTTGCCATGGAAGCCAACAGGTTGGGCAAGGAAGTTACTGGAGTGTCTGGAAGAGCAGGACATTAAGGGAAAGCACAGGGGGTTGGAGCCAGGGAGGCTCCGCCATTAGATGGAGAGAGGCAGAGTGCAAGCAGGAAATAGAGCAAGCCATTAGGAGTCGGAGGCCAGGTCTGCAATCCTATAAGGCAAAGACAATGGGTTCCGCAAGAGGCATTGACCATGGATGGGGCTGGGTGGCCAGAGCTCATTATTCTTACGGGTTGTCCCATTGGCTGTGAGGACAGTCAGAATGGAAGAGGCAGAGTCTGGGCAGGCAAAGAACAGCCTTTCTCAATAGGTTTCGGAGATAGCTTATTAAATGTGTGTTCAGGGGATTTTTAAACTTCACCCAGATATCTTTTAAAATATATTGATATCAAGAATATATTATAAAACCTGAACCCTGGCAAATGCAAAGTCTCCCTCCTTTGAAAATAGTCACCATAGTTCATGTTCTGTCCTGTTTTTTTTTTTAAATATATAATTTCAACTTTTATTTTAGATTCAGGGGTACATGTGCAGATTTGTTACATGGGTATATTGTGTGATATACATGTGATGCTGAGGTCTGGGGTAAAATGATCCTGTTACCCAGGCAGTGAGCATAGTAGCCAATAGTTATTTTTCAACCCTTGCTTCCCTCTAGTATCCCCCAGTGTCTATTGTTGCCATCTTTATGTCTATGTGTACCTAATATGTAGCTCCCATATATAAGTGAGAACATGCACTGTTTGGTTTTTCTGCTCCTGCATTAATTTGCTTAGAATAGTGGCTTCCAGCTGCATCCATGTTGCTACAAAGGACATGATTTCCTTCTTTTTTATTGCTGCATAGTATTCCATGGTGTATATGTACCAGTCTTCCATTGACGGACACCTAGGCTGAGTCAATGTCTTTGCTATTGTGAATAATGCTGTGAAGCACATAAAAATGAATGTCTTTTTGGTAAAACGATTTCTTTTCATTTAGATATGTACCAGTAATGGGATTGCTGCTGGGTCGAATGGTAGTTTTGTTTTATTTGAGAAATCTCCAAACTACTTTCCCCAGTGGCTGAATTAATTTACATTCCCACCAGCAATGCCAGCAATGTATATGTGTTCCCTTTTCTCCACAGCCTTGCCAGCATCTGTTGTTTTTTTGACTTTTTAATAATAGTCATTCTGAGTGGTGTGAGATCTCATCGTGGTTTTGATTTGCATTTCTCTGATAATCAGCAATGCTGAGCATCTTTTCACATTTGTTGGCTGCTTGCATGTCTTCTTTTGAGAAGTGTCTGTTCATGTCTTTTGCCCACTTTTTAACAGGGTTGTTTGTGTTTGTGTTTTGCTTGCATAGCTGCTTTCCATGTTCTTTTCTATGTTATCTAGAACTATAATAAAAGTAACTGCCCAGCTCTTTGGGAGGCTGGGGCAGGCGAATCACTTGAGGTCAGGAGTTCAAGGGTAGCCTGGCCAATATGGTGAAACCCTGTCTCTATTAAAAATACAAAAATTAGCCGAGTGTGGTGGCACACACCTGGATTCCCAGCTACTCAGGAGGCTGAGGCAGGAGAATTACTTGAACCCCCAAGGCGGAGGTTGCAGTGAGCCCAGATCGCACCACTGTACTCCAGCCTGGGAGACAGAGTGAGACAGCGTCTCAAAAAAACAAAAAAAAAGGAACTAGGTCTAAGACAGGGTACCCAATCTATTTCTAAGAAGATGCTACTTCTCATTTTCTGGAAACACTGTAGCAAAGAGGAAGGGACAATAATGTCCCATAGTGGGTGGGCAGATATAAAAACCCCAAGATGTTCATTTCAGGCCCAAAGTGACTACTGCTTGCTACCCTCACCTTTCTCTGCTGGAACACTACCAGCCCCTGTGAGATGTGGGTGATCTCATGGGTGTTTGGAAGAATCCCAGTACCAGGCTAGGGGATCATCAAAGCTGACTGGATCAGTCCTGCTAGATCAGGAAGCCTTACTGAGTAAGGCTAATGCCAGGTCTCCAAACTGCCACTGAGCATCAGGGGTCCTTCCCACAATATCTTTGTTTCTCTAGGTCAAGAAATGATGCCGTCCCTAGAAACAGCGCAATGTTTATGTAAGAGTCAACTCAGAGACCTTGTGCCGGTACAAGAGGTACTATCTCATCCTGCTCCCCTGCAGGCACTAAATGAGACAAAATTCCTTCTGGAGTTCAAGTCCAGAAGGCTGACTATGCTGTTAATGGCAGTATACTGAGTTAAGAGAATTCGGGGAGACGGGAATATTGGGTCCACGATTCTGCCTGGAGGGAAGAATTGTGGTCTCCTCAGTCCTGTGGAGTAGGGGTCCGGGCTGATGATAGCGCCTCCTGGTGCAGAGTATACAAACAGCTGAAGATCTGCCTGGACCCCCTACCCCTCTCTTTTTTCCTTGTGGAAACTGTGTATAATTTGGAAAGAGCAAGGACATCCTGGCTCGCAGCTGGCCAGCTCCACCTGCGACCTGGACAGCCTCGCCCCTCCCTGCGGAGCCAGGCGAGTTCACAGGGCTGCCTCCGCTTCTTGCAGCATGTCTGCTCTCCTGGCCTGGCCTCTCCAGACCTTTCCCTCCACGGGCAGCGATTTCCAAGGCTCTCAAGACTCCAAACCACGTCGTTTTGGGAGTGAAAAAGTGAAAGCACACATCGTGTCATTAGAGCAGCAGGGACCAGCTGCTGGGTCAACACTTCCGAAAACAGCGCTTCCTGGGGAGCGACCGGAGCATCTCAGAATCTACGGTTTGACCTCCTGCCAATTCTCATGGTGTCTTTATACATTTTAACACAAAAATAAGATGTTTTCACTTGAGAGCGAGAGGGAAATGAACTGTTAAGGTGCTCTGTCGCCAGAGAAGTGAAGTTGGGGGGTAAATTTTAGGAACCCCCGACCCCCCTACCGAGGGAGGATGCGAAGTCGGCTCCTGAAACGCGAGCGAAACCCCCGCGCGCTTCCCGGGGTGACGCACATGTCTGTGTTTCTTTTTGCTTTTGACCAAAAGTCGTAGGGAGGGTCCTCCTCAGGGGACAGTCGCGGGCGCTGTGCCAGTCCTTCCTGTCCCCCCACCAAAGTCAACCCCAGCCCCAGGCCAAGGCCGCCCCGGCCGGAAGAGCCAGCTGGTGGGGGCCGTGGGGGGCGCGGCGGGCGCGCGGGGCTGGGGGCGGCGGGTCCGCCTACCCCGCCTTCCTGGCGTGGAGAGTTTCGGCCCCAGCCTCGCTGGCGTGGACTCTGCCTGAACCACGCCTGGGATGCTTTTGCCAAAGGAAACTTGGGGGGTGGGGGCGGGGCGGGCGACGATTCCCCCCCTCCCCACCCCGCCCCTGTCCTCCTCGGCCGGGAGCCGCGCTGGGCCGGGGTCAGCTGGCTGCCTTTGTGGCCGCTTCCCAGGAAGGAAGAAGCGTTGTCTGCAGATCAGTTGATCCGCGGGCTTTCCTGTGTCGGAATGCCGCCGTTTTCCGGGGACGGCTGCCACCCCCGTGATTCCCAGCCGGGGCTGCCGGCCGTGCGTAAGAGCCGGATAAATAGGCCATTGTGAGGCCGTTCAGATCTAGGTTTCTTATCACAGTATCCACCAGCGAGAAGCAGATTCGGCCCCTGATGGAGCTCATCCCAGCTTCTCTTTTCTTTCTCTGCACAGTTACAGCCATTTCTATTTTTTGCAGTTGTAAAGGGAATATTCAGAAAGCAATTTATTGTGTGCGACAGGGACTTAAGGGAGCGTGTCTGCAGACCGTGTTCCCACCGGGGTTGGGGTTCGCAACCTTGAGTTTAGCTCGATGGGCTTTGGTGTGTGAGGTTTCTACCCGCCCATCGCCCAAGGCAGGCACGTCCTTAAACACCAGCTGCAAGTATCAGGAGGGCAAGTCCGTAGGTCTCTAGATCCAGTGGGTTGGCTTTTTGGTGTTTGTTTTGTTTTGTGATAGCCTTGATCTGCTTTGTGGACACTGAAAATTTGAAGGTCGAGGGAACACGAGTTAAAACAGGTCAAATGAGGGAGGTTCTGAGGAAGGCTGGTGGTTTGGGAAGAGCTGATGCTGATGGTGTTGAGTGTCTGTTTTGTTTTTGTTTTTCTGCTGCAGCAGCCGCAGGGCTGTGGAGGGGTTGGGGTTTCCTGGTGTTTGACTTATTGGATAGTCATTGCTTGGCATGGCTGGGTTTTTGGGCCTGTGACCTGTGCTCAGAAGCCGACGTGTGCTTAGTTGGATGCTCTACTGACACCATGTTGACATGCTTAATAATTTTTGAAAAGGACCCTGCATTTTCAGTTTGAACTGCACCCGGCAAATTATGTAGCCAGGGCTGTTAGTAGACTCTCAAATTCATTTGAATAAGCTTGAATAACGGTTTGAATCAGTTCCCATTTGAGATAAGGGCCTGTGGTTAGTCGATAAGCTGCTGAAGGTGATTCTCTTAGTTTTCAGAGTATCTACTGTGGCTGTGCTGACGGATTAGAGCACGTTCCACAAACTAAACCAGGCTGCCTGGCATCGTGGGCATCTGCAGGGAGCGGCACCAGCCCCCTGCCAGAACAGAAGAGTGCAGCCAGGCAAGATTAGCTTCGTTCCGCCTGCTGAGACATCATCCTTTAGAAAGCATAGAATGTGCAGCCCTCAAAAACCTAGTGATTTCCTTAATAAGATGCTTATTTGTGCAGTTATTGCTTCTCTTTTCTTTTCCACTCTGAAATGCCTGGCTTCCAGGGTTGAAAGTGGATTCATCCTACCAAAAATATTCTATCGTTTTTGGGCACTGTGTTAATACTTCCAGCACCTGCTAAGGACTGAATGTTTGCATCCTCCCAAGATTCAGATATTGAAAATCTAACCTTCAATGTGATGGAATTTAGAGGGGGGTCTTTGGAGAGTAATTAGGTTTAGATGATGGCATGAGGGTGGGGCTCCGTGATGAGATTAGTCTCTATAAGAAGAGAAAGCAAAACTAGAGCCTTTTCTCCCTTCACCTGCATGAGGACGCAGCAAGAAGGTAGCTATCTGCAAGCCAGGACCAAGGCCCTCATCGGGAACAGAATCTGCTGGCACCTTGCTCCTGGACTTCCCAGCCTGCAGAACTGGGAGAAATAAATGTCTGTTGTTGAAGCCATCCAGCCTACAATATATATTCTGTTATAGCAGCCTGAGCTGACTAAGACAACCCCTAAACAACTCTTGAGAAATTACTCTAAATCAGGGACTTTGCATTTCTCAGAGACAGGGGAAGGGAAGTTGGCAATAGTTCATAATAAATAAGGAAAATGCTATCTTTTTAGAAATAGTTTGTATAAGATACAGTTGTTTTGGTTTAATGCAAAAAATATTCCCTTCAAATGAGTATTTGTTTACTTGCTTACTCCTTCACTCATTAATTTATGGCTTCACTTTTCATTTACTCAACAACATTTATATAGGACAGGTAATAGAGGAGACTTTGTGACATTACAGTAAAAGAGAGAATTCCCTGCCCTGGAGAGGCTTTGGAATAGTGGAGATATAAAGAAATAAAGAATACAATGGAATGTTACACGTGCTAAAATAGCTACCTATCAGGATATTTTAGGGCCACAAAAGGGTTATTTGAATCACTTCCATTTGCTCATCATTAATGAATTCCCTAGGTTATTTTTTATAAGCCTTATTATTATTATTATTAAGGTTTTTTTGAGACAGAGTTTCACTCTGTGGAGCTGGAGTGCAGTGGTGTGATCTCGGGGCACTGTGACCTCCACCTTCTGGGTTCAAGCAATTCTCGTACTCAGCCTCCCAAGTAGGTGGGACTACAGGTGTGCACCACCATGCCCAACTAGTTTGTGTATTTTTAGTAAAGATGGGGTTTTGCCATATTGGCCAGGCTGGTCTCAAACTCCTAGCCTCAAGTGATCTACCCGCCTCGGCCTCCTAAAGTGCTGGGATTACAGGCATGAGCCAACGTGCCTGGCTGGACTATTAATATTATTTATAATGTTATCTATTAACAGATAATATAATAATGTAGTGTTAATATTAATAATATTCATTAATTTTAATAGTTATTAATTAAAATATTTAATTTTAATATGAATTAAAGTGCTATTTATTAATAACTATTAATAATGTATATTATTGCTAATAGCATTCATACAGCAATTGATGTGTTCAGACACTGTGCTAAGCAGTGTACAGGCATTTTCTCAGTTTACACTCATGATTAATTAGGTCCACTTGGAAACTCTATTGTATACAAGAAACTGAAACTGGGACATTAAATAAATTGCTCAAGGCCACACAGTACCTAGTGTAGAGTCAGGATTTTACCCAGCTGGTCTCTTCCAAAGTTTGCCCTCTCCAGGCTATACTGTTTCCAGCAACACAGCTACAGCACCATGTGAAATCAAGGTTTGTGCAAAGCGTCAGAAAAATGCCATCTACTATTTCACATGATCATTTCCCTTTTCACAAAGTACACTAAGACTGATACCTCCAAAAGAGAGGGGTTTGTTCCCTCCTCACTAGAAGCTTCATGTTTTTGCATCAACAGGTTGCGGATGCCAGTACCACAGATGGTTCTCAGAGGATGCAAGTAAATTTCTAGAATGTTGGGTAGATGGCAGAACAGAGTTCCATGGCTTCTCAAAGGAGGAGATTTTTATGGGCATGCCAGTGCTTCCAGGTAACTGGTAAAATCTATTCCGTGTGGAAGATTCTGTATCTCCATGTCTACTTCTTAGTAGGCAGATTTAGTCTGCCTACTAAGTCCTGCCACATCACAAGGCAGGAAGCCAGCATTTTTTTTTTTTTTTTTGAGATGGAGTCTTTCTCTGTCACCCAGGCTGGATTGCAGTGGCAAGATCTCTGCTCACCGCAACCTCCGCCTCCCGGGTTCAAGAGATTCTCCTGCCTCAGCCTCCCGAGTAGCTGGGACTACAGGCGCGTGCAACCACTCCTGGCTAATTTTTTGTATTTTTAGTAGAGCTGGGGTTTCACCTTTTTAGCCAGGATGGTCTCTATCCCCTGACCTCGTGATCCGCCCGCCTATTCCCAGGAACCCCTCTAGGCTGGTTGGCACTTGTGGCCCCAAGTAATAAAGATCACTTGAGTTTGAGCTTTTGGAGAATTTCCCTGAGTCTTAACACACTTACACACAAAGTTGCAATAAGAAGGGGATGGCAGAGGGTGGGTATGGGGGCAGGACAAAGCTCTTCAAGTAGCCGGGGATAAGGTCACAGAATATCAGAGTGAGTGCCAGAAATAGAATTCAGGTCTTCTGATGTGTTCTGTAGCACGTTCCCTTCTGCAAGGAGCAACCTCCTTGGAACCTGAAACAGGCTTGGCTTAGAGCAGAAGCAAAGCAAAACTGGCATTTTTCTTAAGGGAGTTTTTTTTTCTCCTTTTTTCTGCTTTGGAATCTAAAGATAGATAGATTCCTTGGCTGGGTGCTGAATGCTTTCATTAGGGAGAGGCCCTATGTGGCTAAATTCAGTTCCTTCCACCTTGAGATAGTCCCTTTGCTCTGACCTTGACCTGAATGTTTAGCAAAGCTGTGAAATGGAAAGCTAGTCTGGAAAAGACCAAGCAAAGAGAGAACGGAAAGAAAAGACTCATTCAGGGTGACACTGTGGGGCAAAAGGTGTCCGATTACCAGGCTTTCTATTGCTGCTTCGGCCCCAGGACACGGAAGAGCGACCTAGGTTGGCCTTCTAAAAAATCATCTTATTATTTGAGTAGAAAACACAAACAGTCATACCACTGGAATCTGATAAGGGTTTTCATACTATATGGCTAGTGAATATTAACCCTAGTTGTAGATAAAAGATGACAGATTTAGAGAGCTCAGAAACAAGGTAACATGTAAATAAAACCTCTACTTGTCTAACTTTTTGGAAACAATGTGGCAGCTTTCTGCTATCTGGCCTGGAATCACTAGGTCACCAAGGAAACTGTTTAGATAGATGCCTTTGCTCCTTTATTCATTCATTGTCAGTCAGTGAAAAACTGTGATACTTACTCTGTGCTGTGGACAAATAAGATACAAGCTCATCTGTCCTCGGGGAGCTTATGATATTGAAGGAAGATCAAAAGGAAAAAGTACATGAACTTGAGACTCAGACATGGCAGGGGCGGTATGAGGGACTGATCGGGCTGGGACCATAGGCAGCTGTCTGCCTGGGTTGCTTTGCTTTGGGGGAAAAGAGCTAGTGAAGGGGAGGTTTGTGCTTAGCACTCAGATGGAGCTCAGGGTGAGGGAGGGACAAAGAGGTCAAACTGGTGCAGGCTGGCAGAATATGCCACCCCAAAATATGCCACTTTGACATAGGGATTACGTCAAGTGAAAGACACTTGCAAAACAGCAGAGGCAAGATGAGCATTCTAATCTTCCCCTTTTCTTCCTGAAAACAGGAGATAAAAGCTGCCATGAAAAAGATTCCTTCCCTGTGCCAGGAGAAAAGAAACATTCTTTGATGGGGAGTCATAGCCAAGAGAATTTTGTACAAACAAACCTTGTTAAGATAATTCATATCTTCCTTCAGCTTCTACACATAATTAAGTTACTTTTCCATGATTGCCTCCCTTTGTTTGACCTAATATATGTAGGTTTTGCTATTTCTTTGGGTCTTTATTTTCTTTTTCTTTTTCTTTTTTTATTATACTCTAAGTTTTAGGGTACATGTGCACAACGTGCAGGTTTGTTACATATGTATACATGTGACATGTTGGTGTGCTGCACCCAGTAACTCGTCATTTAACATTAGGTATATCTCCAAATGCTATCCCTCCCCACTTCCCCTACCCGACAACAGGCCCCAGTGTGTGATGTCCCTCTTCCTGTGTCCATGTGTTCACATGCAGTATTTGGTTTTTTGGTCCTTGCTATAGTTTGCTGAGAATGATGGTTTCCAGCTTCAAAGACTTGGAACCAACCCAAATGTCCAACAATGATAGACTGGATGAAGAAAATGTGGCACATATACCCCGTGGAATACTATGCAGCCATAAAAATCATGAGTTCATGTCCTTTGTAGGGACATGGATGAAGCTGGGTCTTTATTTTCTTATGAGGGCTCTTGTATCATGCAAAACTGAGGGTAAATTTGCATGCTTTTGTCCTGTTCGTCTGTCAATTTAATTATCAGGCCTAGCTTGGACCCTAAGTGGGTGGAGGTAAAGCTTTGCCTCACCTCTGTGGCAGCTGTTCTCAAGGCCCTCCCCAAGGGTTAGGGATGCGTCCTATGGAGAGAGGGCTCTCCGGCTTCCAGGAGTGTGGATGGGATTCCTCCGCATTTCTGCTTAGGTCATGGGAGACATTGCCTCAGTGAGAGCTGCAAGAGAGCTGCTCCTGCATCACTAGGGTCACAGCCTAGGAAGGCCCTCACCTCCCTGTTATCCCCTGGGTGATGGCCCTCATGGCATGGGCCTCAGCATTGTTTGGGGGACTATGTCCAGAAAAGCCCACCTTTTCTAGAAGAGTGAGCCCATGAGAGATACATCTACAACTCCGGGGGCTTAAAGTTGAGAGTGGTGAAAGAGGTGCGTTTGATGGGTGGGCAACTTTTGGCACCATTATGGGCTAGAAATCTACCACCATGAGACACCCGGACATTACACAGTTTACCTAATGAGCCCAGTGATGCACAAGAGTTTTGAAAGTTGCCAATAGAAAGATTTTAATTCGAGAAAATTATAATGTGTGATATCTAGATGAGTTGTCATTTTGTTTACCAGTGATTGCTCAATGATTGACTTCTCTGCCTTGACTAGATGCTAAATCGCTCCCGTAACTGAACTCAACACAGACATACTCCCCTCCCACCCCATCACCCCTGTGCTTGGGCCTCAATTAAGTTGTGTTTGTATAAAAATTTAAAAATTGTATCACAGTGTTCCATGGTCAAGCATATTTGACCATGGAACGCTATTATTATGAAGCATCTACTAACATCACACTGAACACTGATGTTCAGTAGACACCATTTGAAAGTGTTAGCCTAGTATTTTACGTTATACCTAAACTATGACCAGGGAAAGGACTGTGCACTGTTTTTATGTACCAGAACCTCCGCTGAATAGAATACCAAATAGGTACTTACAAGTAACTTATTGAGGGATTAACTCTGAGAGTAATTAACTAGTGCAACTTCAAACCCCTTTACTTGGACAATGTCCCATATTCTTTCAGAAAATTATCATTTTAGTAGATGAAATTTAAGAGATACTTTCATTACATAAGAACCTGTCCTATGGGAGTAAAGAAAATGGTACAATCAAGTGTCCTAGATTCAATTATTAGTTTTCTGCCACACTCTGAGTCTGTGAGTAGGAGGAAGGTGACAAGAGCATGAACATGTGCACACGCGCACACACACACACACACGCACACACCAGTGAGTGTGTTGTTCATTGTGATTCTCCATCTTCAAAACTTACCTTAATAACGGCTGCTCTTGCATTACTCATAATAGCCAAAAGGTAGAAGCAACCGAAGTGTCTATCACTGGGTAGATGAATAAACAAAATGTGATATATACATACAATAGAATATTACTCAGCCTTAAAAAGGAAGGAAATTCTGACACATTCTACAGCATGGATGGACCTCGAGGACATTATAGTAAGTAATAAGCCAATTATAAAAAGACAGCTACCATACAATCTTGCTTACATAAGGTACCTAGAGTAGTCAAATTCTTAAGAGACGGAAAGTAGAATTGTGGTTTCCAGGTGCTGGGGGAAGAAAGAATTGTTTAATGGATAAAGAGCTTCAGTTTTTCTAGATGAAAAAGTCTTAGAGATTGTTGCTCAGAAATGTGACTACACATAACGCTACTGAACTATACACTTAAAAATGGTTAAGATGGCAAATTACATTATGTAAGTTTTACCACAGTTAAAAAACAAAATAATAAATAACATTGCTCGATAATGATCAATATACTGAAAATCAAGCTTTAGGCAAAATAACATTATTGTCACTCTAAAGAAATGTTTATGATCTTTATGTGGGAGGTGTAAATCTAGATTTTATTCCTGTTCTTGACTGTTAACTAATTATTCTGGGTTTATGGAAAGAGTCCTGGAGATTGGTTGCACAACCATGCCATGTACTCTATACTACTGAATTGTACACTTACACCTGATTAAGACGGGAAATTTTATGTGTATTTTACCACAATTAAAAGGAAAAAAGAAGACCTGCAGGCTCAGAAGTTTTACAATTTCTAAAGAGTCAGAGAGAGAAAAAGACGCCTAAATATATTTCACTTAAAATTTCTTCAATATTTATTATTTGGAATAAGTAGTGTAGTAATATTTTTAAAATTGCTGTCCTAATACATATCATATTCTTTGAGTTTCTTCTTTTTCTTTTTCTTTTTTTTTTTGAGACAGAGTCTCACTCTGTTGCCCAGGCTGGAGTGCAATGGTGCAATCTCAGCTCACTAAAACCTCCACCTCCTGGGTTCAAGCAATACTCCTGCCTCAGCCTCCCAAGTAGCTGGGGTTACAGGAATGCGCCAAAATGCCCAGCTAATTTTTTTTTTTTTTTTTTTTTTGAGACGGAGTCTCGCTCTGTCGCCCAAGTTGGAATGCAGTGGCGCAATCTCGACTCACTGCAAACTCTGCCTCCCAGGTTCACGCCATTCTCGTGCCTCAGCCTCCCTAGTAGCTAGGACTACAGGTGCCCACCACCACACCTGGCTAATTTTGTTTTTGTATTTTTAGTAGAGACTGGGTTTCACCGTGTTAGCCAGGATGGTCTCAATCTCCTGACCTCATGATCCGCCTTCCTCGGCCTCCCAAAGTGCTGGGATTACAGACGTGAGCCACCACGCCTGGCCTAATTTTTGTATTTTTAGTAGAGATGGGGTTTCACCATGTTGGCCAGGCTGGTCTCGAACTCCTGACCTCAAGCGACCCGTCCCCCTCGGCCTCTCAAAGTGCTGGGATTACAGGCATGAGCCACCGCGCCCAGGCTCTTTGAGTTTCTTCTAAGCTCTGGTGATAGCAATGTGTACTCTACATTGTTTCTGCATGCACTTTAGGAAGCCAAGCATACTCCCCTGACCCTGGCCTATATTACATGATAAAGCATATGTGCAGCTTCCATATTTTTCTTGGAAGGTTAATAGTGCTTTGTTTTCCTCCACCACTGTGGTAGGGGCTGCTGGTGCTCACAATACCCAAGGTCCCCTATTCTTGGGATCCCAATAGATTACACCTCTTAATCCCTGTGCACCAGGGTGGGCTGTAAGACTAGTTTCCATCAGAGTGGATGTGCCTCACCTGAGAGCAGTGGTGCCTTTTCCACGTGTGCTCTTTGCCTTACACTGGCCAAATGGAGAAGATTTCAAAAACTCAGAAGAGGATAGAGCCATAAGAAGGAATGAGCCTGGATTCCTAAATGACTGCATGGAATAGAACTTTGCAGTAGCTCTGTAAGGGAATGTGACCAGAATGAAAGATAAACTTTGCTGTGTTAAGTCACTGGAATTTGGGACTTGTTAAGCAGTTAGTCCGCTCTAACACAACCACCAAAGGTATTACAGAGACAGGATGTGTATTGATGTACCTGTGAGCTAAGGAAAGGTCAGATAGGCAAGGAGCATGGAAATTACAAGTTTCATGATTCCCAGGTGTAAGCGTTTTATGTTGCTCATTAATCATGTGGCAAATATGTTTAAATAAACATAGGCAATTCCTGTTCAACAAATATCTCAAGGGTAAGGGGTTTTGTTGAGGCTTGGACCAGAATGTTAATACCTCCTTTGGGCCCAGCACAGCAGATACAGGAGAAATCAAAGTGAAAGACTTATCAGAGGAAGATAAAACTGAAGCTCAAGTGGGGAGACTCAGGAGCTCCCAGTACAAGAGTCTCTTTCAGAGTTCTAATACCCCAAGTCTTAGAGATTTGAGACTTTTCTTTAAAAGCAATGATCTATGCTGGCACCAAAGAAAATGTAGGGTGGCTCACGCCTGTAATCCCAGCACTTTGGGAGGCCGAGGTGGGCGGACCACAGGGTCAGGAGTTCAAGACCAGCCTGGCCAATATGATGAAACCCCGGCTGTACTAAAAATACAAAAATTAGCCAGGCGTGGTGGTGTGTGCCTGTAGTCCCAGCTACTTGGAAGGCTGAGGCAGAAGAATTGCTTGAACCTGGGAGGTGGAGGTTGCAGTGAGCTGAGATCATGCCATTGCACTCCTGCCTGAGCAACAGAGGGGGACTCCATCTCAAAAATAAAATAAAATAAAATGTAAGACACCCTGACTCTTAGAAGTTCTTCAAATATTATCCATCGAGTCCCGACCCTCATCCCATCCCACCCTTGGTTCTCAGTTGTTCTTACCAACAATTTCTGTGTCAGAGACTGGAACTACGGACTAGCTCCCTCAACTCAGCAGTGCACAACAAATTTGGCCCTGTTGACTTTGAGGGAAGCCCTTGTTCTTGGCCCCAGTATGGACCTTTGGCCAATGGAACTATCAACCAGTTTGTTCTTTCTTGTATAGAATGACCTCTCAGCTTCACACCTATGGTTCTTTTTCAGCTCTGAAACTCTTGTGATCCCTTGTTTGGAGGTTAATAGAGTGCATTTTTATGACCCTTCAATGAGTTTGTATTCACTAGAAATGAAATCCTTATCATGTTCTCCAAGCCTCTGTGTGACCTGGCACTGCACCCCTATGACATCCTGGGCTGCTTCTCACCTTTCCTTATCACAGCTACCCTGGGTGTCAGTTCCTGAAAGATGCTACCTCTTTCTGAGGGCCTTTCAATGGCTGGTTCCTATGCTTGGAAATGTTCTTCTCTCAGCTCTCACCATGCTTAGCTCTTTGTCCTCCTGAAATCTCATCACAAAAGCCACCTCCACAGGGAAGCTTTCTCTGACACAGCCCCCTAACACAGGTCTCTGTATTGGTCACCTTGTGTGTCCTCACAGCCCACTCAGCCCACCTCTTGGCCAGCCATCGTAGCAACAAACTTTGTCTGGGTGACAGTACCTGGCAACCCCTGGCCTCAGCTGTACCTGGCTTCTTTCAGTTTCTGGCCCAGGATTTCTCTGGTATTGCGATGGGAGCTTTGCACGCACAGCCTAGGAACGGGAGGAAATGAACAACTCGTGACCATTGGGAGGTGGTGGACCCGTGTTTATCTCTTCCTTCTATGGGTTGGACAGTTCTGAGGTGCATTCTCCTCTACTCTTTGGTGTCCCGGCAGAATTGTTCCCATGGCACACAGCAGTGACCAACTTGAGAATGCACCCTAGTTTCAGCTTTTCCTCTTTCTTTTTTTTTTCCCCCAGTCCCCACTGCTCTTCCCTGTGATCACTTCCCAAAAGAAACCACCTATGTGCAATTCTTTGCCAAGCTTTCCACAGAGAACTTATGCTAAGAGAGTCCTCCTTCCTTATTTAATATATCAGGATCTTTGTCTTTCTCATAGCACTTACTACAGCTTACATTAATTTTATTTTTTTCTATGGTTATGTATTTTTTTCTGTCTAGATTAGAATGTAAATGCCACAGGGCAGGAACCTAGTCAGTTTTCAACTGTATCTTCAGCTCCTCATGTGTAGTTCCTGGCATAGACACACCATCACTAAACATACACAAAACGAATGAATAATCTCAAAAATTCTTGTGTCTTATTTTTTTAATTACCCTTGTATTCTAGGTATTGAGAGGCAATATAACATACTTGTTAAAAGCCTACATTTTGGAGTTAGACATTCCTGACTCTGCCACCTAAGTAGCTCAGTAGCCTTGAGCCAGTTACCAACCATGCTGAACACCAATTTCCCCAACTGTAAAGTGGGATTAATAATAGTACCTAGTCCATGGGATTTTTATGATACTGAAATAAAATATATAGAAAGCATTTAGAACAGTATCTGGCACACAGAAACCACCTAATATACTTTGCTTTTAAAATACTCATTTAGCTAAAATTTGAAATTGCACAAATGTAATCTCTACTTTAGACCTTCCAAATTTGTCAGTCCTTTACCTACATTTCCCAAGTGTGCTTGAGGTTAATAATATCACCCTAATGACTTGTAGCTGGGAATCAAATGATTTGGATGTGCAGTGCTCTTTAAACATTCCACGTGTCTTTAGTTTCCCCTATGAAGTGCTTTGGGAACATACTTAATAAAAAACAGACAAAGACCAATGCTGATGTGTAACATGTTAATTTCCTCCATTTCTTGTCTTTTGAGGGTTCTTATTCCATGTGATTACATTTTTACGTTGTAAGCTAGAACCACAACCAGATAATAATCATGATCATACACTCGTGGCGTTTTCTGAAGCTATAATAATAATTTAAGCAATGAACAAATATTACATTAAGTAATGCTGCTGGAGTGAGAGTTGGGAATGGGTGCTGTTAACCAACATAATGTTGTATCTCAGACTTTGTACATTCCTGCCCTCTCCCCACCAGCTCAATCAGGAGTAAGGTCTTTATTTTCTAGACAGAAGGAACTCATGCCCCATCAATATTGGCTTTCTATAGATCCCTCTGATGAGAGAATTTGTGCCTACTTAGAGGCTGAAGAATGTTAGTACCTTGGTTCCAGTGAGTTTCTCTTCTATAGAGTCACCTCAAAGAAAGAGCAAAACCCAGAGAGCTTACATCTGCCTTGGTTCACAAGCCTACTCTCAGGTGACTTTTAGAAATGCTTATTAAATCCATTCAACCCTTGAGAGAGAGAAAACATAGAAGTTGGGTTCTGGAGTGCTTAAAGGTTCAACACAAGACAAAGAGACTGTGTGTTAGCATGTGGGAGGCAGAGGTGTTGACTCCTGGATGTTATTCTTGGGCTGCGGAAGGGAGACAGTGCTGGAATTCTTCTTCTGTCATTGTTAATTGAGCCTCTCCGCTTGCAGAGAGAATCTTACCCCACTCCTCTCCTGACTTCCCTCTTCACTTTCCCCTCTGACTAACCCTTACCTGCATAGAGCCAAGACAGCCGGCCAGGACCTGTGGCCAGGGTTGGGTAGGGAAAGTGGCTATGTGGCATGACTCTAGGAAATAGGGTGAGGAAGAAGGAGGGATTGTAAGTTTTAGGAATTTCCCTCAATGTCGTGTTGCAGTGCACTGTGACAAATTAAGAACACTGAACGAGGGAAGCCGTGAAGTGTTGTGCAGAGTTGAAGACAGGAGAGCTGACTTTTAGCTGTCACCCTGCCACCAAATAGCTCCATGAGCTTCTCCTCTTTGAGCCTTTGTTTCCTGGAGATTGGACAAGCAGTTTTCTAAGGTTTTTCTCTTGACATTCAGTTTAGGCAACTGACAATGCTACGTAAGCCGATTTTTAGCTCCTCACTTCATATCGCCTGGTTTTACCCACATTCCGCTATCAAATGGTTCCTGGCCCCATAAAAATAATCAAGAAAGCTCATGTTGGTGGCTTTTGCCATAGGAGTCTGATTTTTGATGCCATTATTTTTCATGCATATAAAACTAATATTTTAAGTCTTCTGTGCTTTGTTCTGTTCTTTTGGTCTGGAAGAACGTGCTTCAGAGTTGCACTTAGCCTAGAACATGGCCTGACCTCTATGGTATGAATAAATGAGCTCCATGAAGACAATAAGATCTCCTGAAATTATACAGGTATGTGCATACATATACATATATGTGTGTCTATGTATGTGTAGATATATGTGTGTAATATTATATTTAAATAATCTACTTTTTCAAAAGTTCCCTTAAGCTACTCCATGTGATTTTATGATAATTTTGTTTGGTTATATTCTATTTATCTTCATTGCTTTCTGACTTCATTGCCATTCTGTCCATATTGCTGCTCAAAGCAGAATTTTAAGAACACCTCGAGGTGTTTTTAAATTAAGCCAGTAAACAGCTTTAGCCAACACCTCCATGGCACAGTGACAAAAGCCAACACAAACAGGGAGCGGGAGGTTTGCTGACAGCTCTGTGCACTGAGACCTCAGGACTGGTTTGGTGAGGCAGGCTCAAGCAGTGACTCGTGGGGGAGCCAAAGAAGACTCAATCATGTTGTCTCTTGTATCAGCTCCCTCCACAAGGAACGGAAATCTACAAGAGGCTGAGTCCTCCTTTAATCAAAGCAAGAGAAGAAGCACTCAGGACGGGGTGGGATGCATGTCTTCAGACACTGACTCAGCCCCTCCTGTATAAGGTCTCACTGCTGCAGCAGGGCTGGGTCCACATATCTCCTTCTGTGTTTGGTGTCCCAGAGCCGTGCTTAGAACTCCAACATTACCCTGTGTGTTCATGGTGATGACGAGATTCCCAAGCACAGTGACTTAAATAAGAGAACTGTACTTCCTTCTATATAAGCTCAGGTGTACTGTCCAGGGGTGGCTGGTACCCTATGTTGTTGGGGATCCTGCTCATGTAAAGTACCTAGCACCAACAAATGCTCTTCAGTTATCATAAGCCTTAAAAACCTAGGAGAGTTTGCGGGAAAACAAGGAAAGAGAGAAGATAAAAGCATGCGTTGCGGAGGGCATTGCCAATGTGCTGTAACACATATGCTAAGGCTCCATAGAGCCTGTGAGCCTGGGCAAGTGACTTAACCTCTCTGTGCCACATCTATAAAATGGTGATAACAAGACCTATCTTGTAGGCTTGTTGTGAGCATCTCACACGTTAACACATGCAAAGTGCTTACAGCAGTGCCCAGACCACATTCAGAACCTAATAGCAGGCCCTGTTGGTGCCCTACCAGTACCTGTGGCTACTTCCCATTTTGTGCACTCCAGATGGCCTTGTACTGTAAGAATTTGTGAGTCTGCCTCTAGGCTCCCCCTGGCCTCCTGAGAGTGTGCTCTGCATATGCAGGCTTGGCCATAAGGGCTGAAAAGGCAATCGACAGCAAGCAGCCCTCAACCAGGATGGGATTTGGTGTGTAAATACCTCGGCTTTCTCATCCCTTGGGTGAGACAACTTGGCAGCATGTTCTGAATCGCCACACAGAGGTCTCCAGGGTGACTGAGCCCCAAGTGTCCGCATTCATAACCTGTCCCTGTCATATCCTGTCTGCTTCCCTGTCGTCCTTGGTTCATTTCTGCACTCTCCTGGTCTTACTGGGATTACTCCCCAAATTAACTTCCTGTATTCAGGACCAACTTCTGGGAAACCCAAACTAAGACACTCTTCTCCTTACTACACACTCCTTTCTGAACATATTGGCCTTAGTGTGCGTTCTGAATGATCCTGCCAGAACCTCACTCTCCCCTTTTCATGCACCTCCTCCTCCTGATATTCCTCTTCTCACTTTTGCAATCACGTATGCACCAGGATGAATCAGATGCAGACTTCTGTGCCCTTCATAAACCAATCTTCCAAGCATACATGCACACTGATACATACATGTACTGATACATTCCAAGCATACATGCACACTGATACATACAGAGAAACCCATGGAATCCAGGCCCAAAGGAAATGGAATGTGTAGCAAAGAATATACATTGTCTCTGGGCTTGCTCTCTCGCCTAACTTCCTTCAGGCTTGTTCTGATTTCCCCTGGGGCCTGCACATATGGTGTATTGCTTAGATTTGTGCCTGGGTTCGGACTGCACATTAAATCAGAGACGTGGGGTAGAATCAGGTCCACAGCTCTATATCCTGTTGTGATGGATAAGCGTTCTCTTTCCATTTCCTCCCCTGGGCAGGGAGATGATGGAAGTGTTTTGCATGAAGACAGGAAATATCTTCAGTACGGCTTTGTGAGCTAGATGGAATTATCCTAAAAGAGCAGGTCCACTGGGTGAGGAGAGATGTGTGGGCTGAGTTTTCAACTGAATGATTAAACAATAGTGCTTGCTGTGGCCACACCCTGCTAGTTTACACAATGGAAAAAAACAACTTGACAAAATAAAATCCATGTCGTCGTCTTTAAAATGTGCTATCATTTCCTTGTTATAGTTGTGCAAGATTCAGTACCGAGAAGCAGATAGTTCTTCCTTTGCCAATATGGGAAACATACTGCAAACATATTGGGCTTCCAATATGTTTGAATTTCAATCATGACCCTTTAGTCAGTTTAGTTAAGTAGATGCAGTCCCCGCAAGGGCAAGGTTCAGATTTCATTCACCATGGTCTATGAACTGTCAGTTCCTGCATGAAGCACAGACTTCACTGCTAGCTCTTCAGGACACACATCACTTTTGTAAATATGAGCACTATGATCAGTCAGTGACCACTCACATCACTTCTTTCAAAGTCTGCCAGTGATGGTCACCACACCCTGTTATTGGTTCACACACAGACAGCAAAGTATGTCGCTGTGCTTCCTTGTCTTCCTGTGATGACCCATGTGCCATCTTACACAAATGGACAATCAATGGAGGTAAGTGGCCAGCAAAAATGAAAGTGAAGCAAAGAAATGAAAAATGAGAACGCAGGGAGTGAGATTCAAATCCAACATAAATGGAGGTGAGAAGATATAGCTGAGATTGGGATGTCAACACTCAGGCATCCTAGACTTTACATAGGCAGCCAGAGGAACTTGGCGAAGGTGACCTTATTGACATAAATGAGGAAAGTGAGGACAAGGAGCAAGATATCCCAGAGGAAGTGACGCCAGCAAAAAAAAAAAAAAAAAATTAAAATTTACATTTTAAAAATCACATTAAAGGAACTCTCAGAGTTAATTCATGAATTAAAAGTGAAAAAGATTAAATGTTGGGTGCTCACTCAAATTTAGAAAGGAGAGTAACAATTTACCAGGGCATAGAAAATATATTTTTCTATACTGTAAGTTGTATGACAAAAAGATAACACTGTGTATTATTTATCTTTTTTATTTTCTGTATGTTATGATGTTTTAATATCTTAAAAACCTGTCTGACTGCCCCTCCCAGGGCTGGCCAATCCTTAGACACAGCAAAGGGCTCAGCTGGGAGTGTGCCTTTGATACGCAAACTGCCCAACCTAGAGCCATCTCTCCTCTATGTGGCCCCTGCACCTCAGGAGGCAACATTTTTCCTCTGCCTTAGTCAACCAAAGGCCAGGAACCAGGCAACTAAAGACCACCCGTATAGTTAAGTGCCTGCTGAAATGATTCAAACTAGCCAGTCCTAAACTGCCCTTGCCCTGCTGGGAAACCCCAATAAAGGCTGTAGCCTCGGCTTTCCCTGTACCCCTGCTTTCTGCCTCCTGACCACCCTGAGGCTACCCCACGTGGCCCTGCCTGGTGTGGTTTGTCTCCTGTCTCTAGGACCTGTGAGTGTTGTTTTCCTGAGCTTCTCCTCTGTCTCCTCTTGTGGCTGCACTTGACTGAGCATTTCATGAAAGAATACAGAATGCACTTCTCAGACTACTCTTGGTAAGTTTTTTACAAAGAAATAACACAATTCTCAACATTTCTAATCTGTAAAATTACAG
The DNA here is from genome assembly GCF_000001405.40 of Homo sapiens. Taxonomy (NCBI): domain Eukaryota; kingdom Metazoa; phylum Chordata; class Mammalia; order Primates; family Hominidae; genus Homo; species Homo sapiens. The sequence goes on along the minus strand of NC_000005.10, from coordinate 56,463,949 downwards.
TATGCTAAATAAATATTTGTTTTACCATTTTTTTCATTTCTTTATACATTTATAACCGATAATGAGAGAGTTTTTAATGTTTTGACAAATATTTCTAAAGGTTATGGGACCATTATGATTATTTCTTTGTGAGGTTTCTGCATGGTCTTTTGGTGTTTTTTGTTGTTTGTTGTTGTTGTTGTTGTTGATGTTGTTGTTTTGACAAGGTCTCACTCTGTCGCTCAGGCTGGAGTACAGTGGTGCCATCACAGCTCACTGCAGCCTTGACATGTTGGGCTCAAGCAATCCTCCCACCTCGGCCTCCTGAGTAGCTAGGACTACAGGTGAATGCCACCATGTCCAGCTAATTTTTGTATTTTTTGTAGAGACGGGCTTTCACCATCTTGCTCAGGCTGGTCTCGAACTCCTGGACTCAAGTGATGAGTTGCCCTCCTGGGCCTCTCCAAATGCTGGGATTACAGGTGTGAGCCACCATACCCAGCCTGCAAGGTCATTCTTACAATCCTGCACTAAGGTGCAAAGCAAAGACTGTCTGTACTTAAGCTTTTATCTTATTTATTAGGATAGTGAAACTTGTGGGCTCTGGAGCCTGAGTGCCTGAGTTCAGATCCTGACTCCAGTACTAAACTGCTTGATCTCTGCTCTAAACCAACCCAACTGAGGCTCAGTTTTCTTATCCGAAAAAAGGAAATAACAATATCACATAGAGTTCTTGAGGTGATGGATTAGAAGGCCTCTAAAAATCTGCCTGACATTCAAGAAACATTTGATAAATAAGCTCCATGAAAGTGGAGACCCCATCCCATATCTTCATTATAATATCCCCAGCATTTAGAACAAAGACTGGCACAGGTAATCATTGCACAGTACATATGTGGCACATAAGAGATTAAATAGTCATATTTAATATTCAACAAATATTAGTGATGTGACTCTCTTCCCCTTTTTTCACTTTCTGAGTGCTCTATACCTTCAGAGAGTTTGAGGAAATCATGGGGCTCAGTTTTACTGAGAGCCCAGTATGTCACCAATGGCCCCTATACTGGTTCCTCTACAGTCATTTCTGCCTTATTTCTCCCGGCCCATCCTGCCCATTTGATTTAGGTGGCTGGGTACCTCAGCAAGGTTAACATTGTTCATATAAATAAGGAACTCATACAAATCTATGGGGAAAAAAAATGAGACCCCAAAAATGGGGGAAAAAAGAATAATTAATTAGTAATTAAACTTAAATATTTGGAGTCATCCTCACCAGCAACCAAGGAAATGTAAATCAGAACAAAGGAGATGCTCTTTTTGCAATCACATTTGCACAGACTTCTGGAATGACAGAAACAGAGACTAGTGAGAGTGAGGTGAGAAGACCCTCCCCCGACTGCTGATGCTCATGAGAATCGGCAGAATCTCTCTATAAAGCAGTTTGGCCCCAAAAATCATGGGCCTTTAGACGCTTCATTCCCTTTGACCCAGAAATTTTACTTCAGGAAACTGATCCTGAGGATTCAATGTGGATGAAGCTTTATGCATAAAGATTTTCTTTTCTTTTTTTTCTTTTTTGAGACAGTTTCACTCTTATTGCCCAGGCTGGAGTACATGGCTCCATCTTGGCTCACCGCAACCTCTGCCTCCTGGGTTCAAGCAATTCTCCTGCCTCAGCCTCCTGAGTAGCTGGGATTATAGGTGTGTGCCACCACACCTGGCTAATTTTTGTATTTTTAGTAGAGACACGGTTTCACCATGTTGTCCAGGCTGGTCTTGAACCCCTGACCTCAGGTGATCCACCTGCCTCAGCCTCCCAAAGTGCTGGGATTACAGGTGTGAGCCACCGCGCCCAACCATGCATAAAGATTTTCATCACAATGTTATCTGTAAGAGTAAAGATAGGAAACTACCTATATGTCTGGTAATAGGAATTATTTACATGGGAAATGTTATATGCACTTTTTATTAGGCAATGTAAGTCTATAAAGAGACAAATGTTTATAATAGAACATAATGTATAATAAATATTTTTAATCATATGTAAAATCCAAACGCCTGATGCCTTAATGCCGTTCACTCCAAAATGTGAATAACTACCATTTGTGGTGGGTCCACCGTATTCCAGGGACATTGTGTATTTTATTCCCAATTCCCACAACAATTTTGCCTGGTAGATATTATTATACCCATTTTATGGATGAGAAAATGAGGTTCAGAGGGCCAGGTAAATTTCCTGAAGCATCCCTTTAGTTACATAGCTCTGACAGTTAAACCCACACTTTCCCGCCAAATTATGTCCTTATTTATCTTTGTTTGGTTGAGTCTTTTTCTTTTATAAGTTGTGAAACAATGAGTGATTTTGGTTGAGTGTTTTTCTTTTTAAGTTATGAAACAATGAGTGATTTTCTAAATTTTTGTAAGTTTTTGTCTTTTGAAAAGATGTAGTAGCATAGAATAATAACCATAAACATGGCTAACAAGAAGGCATTGCAACATTACTAAATCATTTAATCACTTTGAGCTTCACATGCTTTCAAATAAATAGTACTTCTCTCTACCCATTGACAAGGCTATATGTCAAAATTATAATGAGATAGCGAATAACATGTATCAAAACTCTTTCAAGTTAAAAAAAGGAAAGGTGCCCAACTTTTAACTGTTCTTTCCTAAGTTGAAAAATTTACTTACTTCAGTTAATTATAAATGTTCCTATTACTATAATTATTATAAAGGTTAAAACCCTTCAATAAACTGAGTACTTTCTCAGTCACAGATGTTAATATCTCTCTCAGTTAAGAAACAGGGAGCAAAAGTTATTGATTTACATGGTTGAGATGGAAAACTTAGCACACATCCAGCATTCTTTGGGAAAGGAAGTGGAAGACTCCCATATCAGATGTTTTGGAAGGAAGATAACTGTGGAATGGGCTGGAAGTTGTAAATGGGAGCGTTCCAAAAACAATTTCATTGGTTCCTGTTGAATATTCATAAAGTTGAAACTTTCTGTCTCTAATTGTCCACACTCTGAGTCTAATATGTTGCAGTCAGTGGTTGTCTAGTTGCTTTCCCGAGAGTTCAGTGGTGATGTTTTTGCTGCACTTGGCATTGTGTGTGTGTGTGTGTAGAGCATCGCCAGATCCTGGGCATTTATGGAGCATTGCCTTCAGGGGCTGTGTACTCTGGACTTTGTCCAGGATGCCAAGCTCGTCCTAGATGACTCCCCCTGACAAAAGAACCAGGCTCGGCTCATCCACAAAGATTGTTCAGATCATTATGCACCTCACCAGTTTATTTGACAGGTTTTGACCTGAGGACAATCTGGAAGCCCCCCAAACATTTAGGAGACGTGAATATCTTGTTCTTTCTGCACCAAGGGGAAGGTTTGTAAGCAGCTTCTAAAGAAGCAAGGAGAAATGCATGGCTGGGGCCACTGTATCTTGAAGTTCCCACAAAGTTCAGTAAGTTATTTGCTCCTTCCTGCAACCTGTGCAGCCACAATTTTAATTAACTGCAGAGCTGCCTGCCACCCAGTAGTTTAAAGGAAGGCAACTTCAGCCATCCCAGGGAACTTTCTAACAAGAAGGGTTTTTTTTTCTTCTTTAGGAGAGCGAGAGAATATGGCAACAAGCCAAAATATCAAATATATAGTTGGCTCTATTTACATGACAGACTTTGATTGTGCCTTATTTAACCAATAGTCGTTATCTCCCCAACATTTGGTTTGCAGAACTCTGAAGCAAGGGTGCTTAAGGAGGGCCTCCTGGATACTCATTTCAGGGCCCTTTCTCCCTCAGCTGTAAAAATATTCATTGTGATGTGAGTTCCAGCAACATCTTTCAGCCCAGGAGGAAGTTTAGTTTGGCTGATTTAAACCTAAAATGAGAAAAAAAAAACTCACATTTTTTCTTGTTCTTCTCCTGGATTAGGCTGTAGTTTTGAATTCGTTATTATAATTACCTGTACTTATTTATACGTGGAAAATGTAATCTTGCGCATTGACCGCAACCTTTGGCAGACTCTAATAAGATCCCAGATGATCTAGAAGATTATTGTAAATTACTTCCATGCCTGCATTATTTATTTTCTAATTGGATTCTTTCCCGATTTATAACATTTGGTTTTATATGCAAGAATATGGCCAAGTGACAGGTTTAAAACCTTGCTTAAAAAGATGATTTTTGGAGAAGCTTAGAAAAACAATATCCAACAACAAAAGGAATGATCATGTTCAAGAATGGCAAAGGTTTGCAAACTTTTTCTTATAGGGCCAAATAGAGGAATTTTAGGCTTAAGGGCCATTTGGCCTCTATCACAACTACTCAATGTTGCTATTGTAATGGAAAAGCAGCCAAAGACAGTACTTGAAAGAATGGATGAGGTCGTGTTCCAATAAAACTTTACTTAACAAAAACAGACAGCTGTTCATAGGCCTATAATTTGCCAACTCCTGAATTATGGTATAATCCATTTGAGGCATGCACCTGGTATGCTGCTTTTAGCTGAAAGTAAAGGAAAAGGTAACCTAAAATTGGAAGTTATCTCAGATATGAAGAAGTACCATGATAGGGAAGTTCCAGGACGGGTTTATTAAAGCAGTTAAATGATGTCTACAGGCCCAAGAGAACCCCCACCCCCACTCCAAGGGCACATTTAATTTCATAAACTTGGACAGATAATCTTTCCCCAGAGTCTTGCTGGCATTCACCACGGTAGACGTAAGCATGGCAAGGGTTTTTTCCTTTGCATATGTGGACTGTCATATGTTGGCTGGAATTCATGAGGTTCTGCAGAGGTCTGTGGTGGGCAGGGCTCACATGCTACTTCTTTCTCCACTGAGATATAAAGTGTGTTCTGAATTCTGAGCCATAGCTAACCCCATCCCTGGCACATAGTAAGTTCTTCATAAACATTTGCTGGATAAATGAAAGAAATAATGGAAGGACTGACTGGTGGAAAGATTGAAGTACAGAAAGAGGGAAGGAAGGAAGGGAAGGAGGGAAGGAGGGAAAGAAGAAGGAAGGAAGGAAGGAGGGAGGGAGGGAGGGAGGGAAAGAAGGAAGGAAGGAAGGAAAGAAGGCAGGTAGGCAGGCAGGCTAAGTGTAGATCAGACAACAGTTCCTGATGTGGGGACGTGCTTAAGAGAAACAGGTAGGATTGGAGTTCTAATACCTAACCTGTGTCTTTTATATAATATCTATACATCTAATATGTATTAGATGTTTTAAAAAGGTAAATTAAATATTCAGTGTGGTTCCTACCCTGGAGGATGTTTTCAGTAGTTTCTCCCAGGTGCAAAGGGAGGAGGCCTGTCTGAAACTCTGAGAAAAGGGCTTTGTGAATTGCAAAGCAGAAAACAAATGGTGATTAACTAAGGCTCCACAAGCAAGGGCAGGTCTCCGGAGAGCAGTCTCAAGAGATAACTCTTCTGCCTTCTTTTTGTCGTTTGAATCCTCAAAATTGTCCCTCGCTTAGACCAAATCAACCTCAAACAGTCTATGATTAAAATTTCCACTCTGAGAGTCTGAGCAACGTAGGAATTGTAGGAACTGGACCATCTGGAGATAATTTATAAATAACACTCGCCTTTCAAATGGGCTCTGTCTTCCCAAAGAGTCCTCTGTCCTGTTAGTAGGAGCTCTGCCAAGGCACAAACCACTAAATTGGGCCAGGGACACTGAAATTGCTGGCGGGAGCTTCTTATCTCTGATTCTTCTAAGAATTTGGGACGCTTCACTGAAACATTTGTTTTTCCTCATGTAAAATGTAAGCTGAAAGTTATGGGCTGTCTTTAGGTTGGGAAAAGCTTTTAGGATTTTACTGCATGGGACTCACTCAGCTTTTGCTTTGTCTACTGCTAAAATAATTGAAACGTGAATCAAATACTAAATATAACCCAAAATATCCTGGATACATAGTAAGCTTTGAGAGCATTAAAACATGACTAAGCCCTTTGCTCCTTTTTCAGTGAACCTGTTGACATGAAAGGGAGCCACTAATACCATCTTTTTCTCCCCTCTCCTCCAGGTCAGTCCTAAGCAGCACAACCTTAGCCACTGTGGAGCTAGTGCCAGCTGTGTGAATCTGTACAGTGGTGCAGTGTTAAGGGCAAAGAGCACTTTGGAGCCAAGGCAGACAAAACTGCGCAGAGCTCCCAGGCCTGGGTGATGATCCCTCTTCCCAGACATCTGAGGAGTTGCCATATTGATGTTCTCTCATTGTTTCGGCTGAGCTGGAATGATCGAAATAATTCTGGGACTATGACAAGTCTCACCAGACCTCGTTATGGATCAGGGAGAGGTGAACTTTAAAAATAATCAAGTTCAAAGGAGAGCCCTGTCACCTGTGATCAGTTTCGTTAGCAGAATCCCACCAGCCTTGCTCCCCATATCCAAAATGCACTCACCTCCCACAAGGCCCTTCCCTGCTCTTGGTTGGAGCCTCTGAGTTCAGACACATGCCTGAAGTTAGTTTCTCTGGACTGGGGAGCTTTCCCATTGCTTCCCAAGGACCTCCTAATGGCAAGTGATAAAACTGATTGGCAGGTGCGTGAGAGAGTCATAGTCAACTCATGGCATGAGAAACAGAAAGTTGATAAAGCAGAGCTTTTCTAGAGATTGAGCTGAAAACTTTTTATTTGGGAAATATACAACGTAGCAGAGAGCTGTGCTATTTAAAACGTAATGGGAGGTCGAGGTAGGCATATCACTTGAAGTCAAGAGTTCGAGACCAGCCTGGCCAACATGGTGAAACCACATCTCTACTAAAAAATATATACAACAATTAGCTGGGCATGGTGGCAGGCACCTGTAGTCCCAGCTACTCAGGAGGCTGAGGCAGGAGAATCGCTTGAACCCAGGAGGTGGAGGCTGCAGTGAGCCGAGATCGTGCCACTGTACTCCAGCCTAGGTGACAGAGTGAGACTCCGTCTCAAACAAAACAAAACAAAACAAAACAAAACAAAAATGTAATGGGCAGGCTATCTGCCTGGAGACAAAGTACATGCCCATTTCTGAGAACATTATTTGTCCTGGAAAGGTAGTTTCATAGTGGGATTCTTCTTCCCTGCTTCTTCCTGGGTCCCACAAGGTTGATCTTCCTCCATACCTTTCTTTTGTTCCCTAACATTTTACAGCATTGATTTTCTAACAAAAGGAAGGAAAGTTCCTAGGGAGGTATATCAACATTTCTAAAAGGAAATGTATGTATACTTTGAAAATACATATTTCACATTATAATAGAATTTCATAATTTAGAAATGAAAAGTACATCACTCTAATTATATTTCTCTTGATGAAAGTAAAATTTGACAAGTTATCTCTGCTGACAAGAATCTGCATCAGTGAATCTGCAAAGAGGGCACCAGTTAGGGGTGGGGCCTCATCTTCCTAGATGGCTCAGGTCTAGAGCCTGTTGGCTGGTCAGACATAACATTTTTATGTTTATCAAATAGGAAAATGATTTTTTAAGGACCATCTGGGCACAGGTAACAGGAGATGCTTGTATCTCTCCTGTAGGGTCAGTCTTCAGGAGACGGAGCTGAGACAGGAGTCCTACTGGCAAGGTAGGAGCAGCACACTAGGGCTTTATGGTCCAGGATGCTTAAGAGAAAGAGAAATGTACGTGAAGACAGCCTGGCATCCACTACACAGGCCCTGCCTTCACCGTGTGGATGTAGTTGCCCTGAGAGTGGACAGAGAAAGAAGAATGAGAGCAGTGAGTCAGCGAAGGGCCTCAGAATGGGGATCTCAGGACCTTCAGAGCTGGCAGCCATGTGGCTGCCTCAGGACACAGTCATGCAGCACGTGGTGTCTGAGGGGTAGACAGTGATTACCTCCTAATCTCCCACAGATGGTGCCCTGGGCAGGGGTGGGGATGAGGACCCACCCAAGCAGGCACCTAGAAGAATTTGATCCTGGAACTCTTAGCAGGGAGGCAGTTCTGTGTAGGCAACTTCATGGCATCACCTCTGCAGGGCCTTGTGACCCTACCCAGGGTTATTAGTCCCACATTCTTCAAGAGCAATGGCTGGAGAATGGCAAGAGTTGAATGGGAGTGGGGACACAGAGACATTGTTAGGACTATAGCAAGACAGATCTAATGCATGAGTCTTACAGTGAAAAGAAAAGAAAGCCCAGTGAGCAGTGCCAAATGCCACAGAATCAAGTGCCTCCCTGCTGAAGATGGGACAAGTGAGGACAACCAGGGCACTGTTTTGGTGGAGGAGCTGGAAGGACCCTGGGTTGGTGAAAGAACATGACCTTAGCAGAGGCCCATCACGTTAGGAAGGGGCACCAAGCTGCAGAACAGCAGGATGGGCACAGCTGGCACAAAGCCCATCCCAAGGCACAGAGAGAGAAGGAGGGACTTGGGGCGTTGCAGTCCAGTGAGTTCCCACTAGGGAACTCAGCACTTAAGACTCCTAGAGTATGGTCTCTCAGGCTGATGGACAGGAAGCCTGGAGATGGGGCTAAGTATGTGGAACAGGGACAGAAACCTCAAGGGTTCCCGAGAAACTGGGACAGGCCGGACAAGGCAAGATGCTCCCCACTTGTAGGTCCAACAAGAAGCACGTTCTTCCAAAGATTTAGGGTGTTGTGAAGGTGGCAGAGGGCAAGCAGAATACTCCATTTTAAAGAACACTCAGCCATATATTAGCAGAAGTGCAAATCAATCTTTTGGAAACAGCATCCCACCTTCCTCGGACATTGATATTTAAGGCAGGGACTGCTATGACATTAGCCAGACTATCCACACACCAAACCAGGCTGTCCCCGAGGCTCTGATTCACAGCTATTTACCAACACCCTGAATGTGTTATCTGAAACAGCAATCAGGAGAGAAGGCTACACGAAAATCTAGACAGGTCGCACCTTCTTCAACGTTTTGAATTGCAAAGTAAGAGGTGACACCAGCCCAGGGAGGTGTTGTGACCGTGGAAGGAGAAAGAATGAGCAATAATCTCTGGCACACCTCTGGGCAAAACGCTAAGCAGCACAAAAAGTGCGAGAGCATAGGACACATGGAGAAGAGAAGGTATGGAGCAGAAATGGCATTTCACTGGGAACTGGGATAAATAGGATCTTTCTTCACTCTAACTAGCTTGGTACATTTGGGAAAGTGATTTAATGTCCCTGAGACCTGGCTTCTTCCCTTGTAGAACATGAGAGTTGATGCAGGTGTTCCTTGGGATCCTCCTCATCCTAGTATTCTGTGAACGTGGGGGTCTGGGTAGTTCACAGACTGGGACACCCTCTCCCAGATTTTCCAGAGTAAATATTACTCCCCTGATGCAGCCTCAGCCAATAGCATGATCCTTCCCATCTCAGGAAATGTGTCCAATCAGAAAACATAGAGGGTGGATCCATCGGTGAGAGATCTTGCCGAGCGGTGTCAAGACTTCCCCGTGGCCCTATGTTTACCATGCATTCGATTCTCGGTGTGGTCCGGGCCTTTCTCACCTCATCCATTTCACCTACCAAGAAAGGAAATGACATTCATCCGGGCTGGGGCACTATTGCGCAACAAAACAAGCCAACCTGTAATTAAGGAGAACTGAACGCTGATGCTGAGCCCAGCATCTTGGGGAAAGACTGCTGAGAGTTTCGCTTGGCTTTGGAATTCATTTATCAGATAACATGCGCTGGATTGACCTAAACTGCAACATGGCCCTTGTAATTATACCGTGCTTTTGCTTTGGAGCCTGAGGGAAATGTGGAAGGCGCTGGAGTCTGAGCTCTGGGTCACCTGAACGTCCTGTGATTATGCCCGGTCTCACATTCAAAAGGAGAGATGGGAGTGTTTGTATTTTACCCACAGCAGCAGACTCAGCTCTAGGATATGTGGGGTGCATGTGTCTTCTGTCTCTCCTGGAACTCAGTATCTGTTCATTCATTCATTGAGTACCTACTGTGATCAAGGCACTGGATGGGGCACTATGACAATTTCTCTTTTGGTATTTTTTCAAGATTTGTTTACTTGATCTTCTAGCCCAGGGGTCAGCAAACCACAGGCCATGGGCTAGATCCAGGCCTTTGCCTGTTTCTGTGCAGCCTCAATAGTTAAGAATTTTTACATTTTTAAATGATTAAGAAGGAAATCAAAAGAAGAACACTATTCTGTTACACAAGAACATTGTATTCAATTTGAATTTTGGTGTCAATAAATAAAGCTCTATTAGAACCCAGCTGTGGTGGGCAGAATTCTAAAATGTCCCCCAGGGATGCTCATCCTTGTTTAATCGCCTCCCTTTGAGTGTGAGTGAAACCTCTGAATGTACTGAAGTATCACTCCTGTGATTTATGTTACATTTTATTGCAAAGGGAATTCTTGCAGATGTCATTAAGATTACTAATCAGTTGACTTGGGGGCTCTTCAAAAGGGAAATTACCCAGGCGCGCCTAACCTAATCATACTAGCCATTTACAACAGGGTTCTCTCTTGCTGGTAGCAGAATAGAAGTTAAAGAAACATGCTACAGCTGACCAGGAAGAGAGCAAACATCTGTACTATGAACTGCCCAGAGGAGCCCTGAGTGTGGCCCTGATGACAAGCAGCAGGGAAACCAGGACTTCAGTCCTACAACCCCAAGGAGATGGATTCTTCCAACAACCTGAATGAGCTTGGAAGCCCCCAGATAAGAGCCCAGCCAGCCAATACTTTCATGTCAGCAGCGTAAAACCTAAGTGAACAGCTCAGCTAAGTCCACCCAGACTTCTGACCTACAGAACTAGAAATAATAAGTGGGTGTTGTTTTAATTGACTGAGTGTGGGGTAATCTGTTCTGCAGCAGTGTACTGACAATACAGCACAAATGCACATGCATGTGCACATGATCTGTGGCTGCTTTCACGCTACACCAGAGAGTTGGGTCGTTGCAGTGGAGACCTTATGGCCCATGAGCCTAAAATATTTATTACTGAGTCTTTGAGAGAAAAGGTTTGACAAACTTGTTCTCTAACCATAGAAGTAATCTCATATCAGATGTATTTTGTGAAGGTTTTGTGCCTTACCCAAGGCTTGCAAGAAACAGGACTTACACCCAGGCACACTCAGCAAACATTGCTTCTGTCAAGCTGAATTAGCTCCAAAAAATTAGTAGGCACCAGGCTGACTGCAGACCTACTCTCCATTCCAATTTTTAAAATGTTAGGGGGAGAAAGAGTGTGTGTGTGTATTTATATTGTTGAGCAGGGATAAAAATATCAGAGGAATATGTACCATATGTATTTTAGAGGTTGTCATTTCTATATTATGAATTTCAATAATAGTTGAATTTCGTGTCATGAATTTGTGTTAGTAATTATTACCTTATTATTTTTAAAGGCTATTCTGTGCTCCATGTGTGCTCCTTGGTGCAGTGGCCTAGAGAAGAGAAGGTATGAAAATTGTTGCTTTGCAATCAGAATTTGAACTCACTCCACTGTCTTCTTGACTTCTTCTGCCTTCCAGATGCCCTTCTGCTTTCACAGTGAGATGTGTCAAGATAATCCAATTCTTCATTCACTAATGATGGTTATCCAGGAGAATAATTTTCAATCACTTTCGAATTAGAATGCCCTTTCTCTTTCTGTCATACACACACACACACACACACAAATTAAAAGATTTGGAGAGGCTGAGGCAGGAGGATCACTTGGACCTGGAGTTCAAGGCTGCAGTGAGCTATTATCACATCACTGCACTCCGGTCTGGACAACAGAGCAAGACCCCATTTCTACAAAAATAAAACAATTAAAATGAAATGTCTGGCATGGCGTGTATACAGCTTTAAATTGGGTTAAAGTCCATATGACTCTAAAGACTGGAAGAAGGAGCTGAAGAGGGTTTACTGGGGCTAGTCTAACAAATAGCCACAAACTGGGTGACCTAAAATACAACAAAAATTAATTCTCTCACAGTTTTGGAGGCCAGAAGCCTGAAATCAAGGTGCTGGCAGAATCAGTTCCTTCTGGAGGCTCAGAGGGAAAACCGATTCCACGCCCTCCTGGCTTCAGGTGGCTGCTGGCAACCCGTGGCGTTCGTTGGCTTACAGCTGAATCACTCCAGTCCCTGCCCGTGTCTTCACCTGGTCTTCCCCCTCCTTATGTCTGTGTCTCAGATCTCCCACTGCCATTCTCTTTTAAGGACTGCTGTCGTTGGATTTAAGCCTATCCTAAATCCAGATGATCTCATCCCAAGATCATTCCTTAATTACATCTGCAAAGGCCCATTTGCTACATAAGGTCACAGTCAGAGGTACTGGGGTTGACGGCTTGGACATATCTTTTTGGAGGCCACAATTCAACTCACTACAGCAGGTATTTAGTATGTTCCTGGAGCTGATAGGGAAACCTTTCTCAATCTCCTAAACAGCAATTGAAATAAACAAATCTGTTCTATATTATACTGCAAGTTTTTTTTTCTCATGGGGCTTTATAGATACTTACATCCCCTCACACACCCCCAAACCCCCATGATCTTGTGATTATAGATTAGACATTTACTCTGTGGCAAGGGAGATACTGAAATCTTCATCACTCACCTAGATGGGTGCCCCTGCCTTATCTTGCTCTTTTTACCTATCTGGACAAAACCCAAAGTAAGGCAACATTTAGGAGATACATCAAAAGTCAGGGTACTAATCCACAAGTTTTAAGTCCAGGATTGAATCCCACTGAGACTTTCTGTGAGTGGGAAATTCTTTGTGCTTTCCAGCAGAATAGTATGGATCTCTCTGGAAATAAGTCCATGCCACTTATTGTCCATTTGGCCTTGGGAAAATCCGATGCTGTGATCTGGTTTCTCTCCCTGTAAAGAAGACATAACAATACCTTGCTACCTTACCAGGGTGTTGTGTGAATTTGCTGACACCCATAAAGCTCCCTGAAAATGAAGAAGCTTACATAAGTCCCTGGTATTATTCACACAGCAAACGTTTTCCCCTGAGAATAAAGTAATAAATGGTACCATTGTGCAGCTGGTGGAACGTGTTCAAAAGTTTCCGTTCACAACTAGTAGATCAAGTTGTGGGTGGCTGTATGGACTTTCTGTGCTCATGCCAAGCTTCATCCAAAACAGCCAGCACGACAGGCTATCTCGGAATGAAAAGCTGTACTGTAAGAGACGGCCAGATCATGGCATCGTATCACACAGGACAATCACGTGTAGCCAGAGACTACATAGGCACTTTTCCTCACAGCAGGAAAGGAACAATGGCAGAAACATTGGCCATATGGATTTCTAACATGGCAGCCTTTGAGAAGCAACTACCTTCTTCCAGCACGTTGACATACTTCCCAAGGCTAAAGATGCTCATGATTGTGAAGAATTATAGCTTTCTCTCTGCATTCATGGAGAAAAGCAGAGTTCTAAATCAGATAGAGTGTTCAGGTGAAAATCTATTCTCTTTAAATACAATTCATCTGGGTGGGAGTGTGTGGGAATTGTTTGGACAGAATGCTACTGGCTGGCATAGGATACAGGAGAGCATTTCTTTCTCACCATTATAAGCCCTGGAAATACCCCAGCACATGATATAGGGAAAATGTCTTTTCTCTTTTAGCAAGGTTTGGGACTCCCAGCCTTTGGATGTCACATCGAGAAGATGACAGATATTTTTAATTGAATGAGAGGAAGATTAGCTACTGAAGATTTTTTAAATGATCATGTTTGATTAGAGTTACTTGGGAATTAGACTAATAAGCTCACAGCTGGTCAGAGGGGATCAAGGTACTCCTTCAGTGGTAAATATTCTCATATTAAAAAGCTGAGGCAGGATTACACAATCATGGAATTTTTGAGCTGCCATTGATTTACCTGGATATTAAACTATTTGGTAACTTTGCAAATTCCATGGACGTGCTAACATTTTTTCCCTCTTTCTTTCCAGTGGCAACAATGGGCAAAACCTTGAAGAAAGTTAATGAGCTTAAGACAGCAAAAGTGGAAAAAAAAATCTCTCTAGGTGTTTAATATTTGAAGCTGGTAAAATCTTTAGACTGTAACGCAAAGGCTATGAAGAAGTATTGTACCACCCACAGGGTGCCTCAGGCTCCCTCTCCCCTCTCGCTTCCACATGCCTGTCACATTCTATTTTCAGGGAATCTTTCATTCATTCTTTCAGTGCCTATTTATTTGGCACCTGCTATGGTACTAGGCAGTGTGCTACGTGCTAGAGGTACAAACAGATGAAATACACAGTCACTATCCTCATGGTGCCCCTCACCTAGTGAAGAATGTGGTGACAAGCATCATGATGGAATCGAGGTCAGAGCCAAAATAACTGAAGAGAATTTCCTGGTGATGCCTTGCTTCAGGCCCTAATATCCAGGGTCCAGGCACCTTTTCTTCCTGGAATGGCTTCTGCTACATGTGTCAGGAGAACCACGGCCTGGGAGAGAATCACATGGTTGCTTCTAGGTTCAAATGAGCTGCAGTCACTTCCCCAGAGGATGTAGAGCAGCATAAGCCTGCTGGGCAGAGGGGGGGTCCAGGTCCCACTCTCTTGTATCCGGGGAAGCACACAAAGGGTCTGGAGGACACTGCATGAATGTTTCTGCGTGACTGGACCCATCTGCAGGCAATTTAACAGTTGCCAAAGTTTCTTCATCAGTGTGCAGTCTGGAGCACCCAAAGACTGGGCAGGGCTGATCTGCGGTGACCAAGTTCAGAGGCACAGGAAGGCACAGTTTGCCTGAACAATGCTGAGCGTGCTTGCAAGCCTGAGAGATGCAATTATTTGAACGCTATTATATGCTGGCCTTCCGGTGAGCTTCAAGGGAGCAGACACTAAGGTCTCTGTTGCACTCTCTGAGCCTCAGGCCACAGGCTGCCTGTGCCTTTCATGTTCCTTCAGTGGCCAAGGGCAGGTCATCTGGGAAATGAAGGGATGTGAGGCAGAGATGATTCTAGGAGAGGGTGGTGCATTTCCCATTTTGTTCCCAAAGTTTGGGTTCTTCCTTTAGCAGTTTCACAGTAGACCCAGTTAGTGATACCATGTCCAGCCCTTCTCTTCTTATCGATCTTGCTCAGGGCAGCAATGTGCCCAGTTACCTACTTGCTTTCCTAGTTTCTCTCACTGCTGCTGGTAGCTTGTGCCATAACCCAAGCCAAATAGATATAAACTAAAGTCAGCTTGGGACTCCTGAGAAAGTTTTGCTTATGTGATAAAGAGGGCCCATGTGTCTGGCACTACTCTTCCCCAATTTCTTTTTGCCTTGGACATGGACATGATGTCTGGAAAGCAGCAGCCATCATGTAGCCATGAGGCAACAAAGATGAAGACAAAGCTTAGACTGGAAGGGAGGTAAAGTAGAAAGAGCCATTCATTTATTTATTCAACTAGTATTTATTGAGTGTCTGTTATGTGCCAGGCACTGTTCTAGTTGCTAGAGACACAGCAGTGAAAAAAGCACACAAAATCCCTGCCTCCTTGGTGTTTATTTTTAGTGGTAACAGGAGAGAAAGACAATATATAACATCTGAGAAATAAAGGCTATAATATGTCACATGGTGATAAGTATTATGGAAAAAAGAAAAGTAGGTATTCACCCTGGGCAGGGCATTAGAGGCTAATATAAGGACTGTAGCTATTCCCCTGAGCAAAACAAGCAAATCATTAAGCAAATCACTGGAGGGTTGGAGGAGAGGGTGACATGATTTGATTGAGATTGACATTTTAAGATCACTCTGGCTGCTGTGTTGAGAATAGACTGAAAGGGGAAAGATAGAACCAGGGACCCTGATGGCATCAGTGAATATCTAAGCCAACACCAGCAACTACTTGCTTCCAGAAACCTTGTTATCTGTAGGAAATAATTCCCTGTGTTACTTCTGTGGGAAATACTCTCAGCCAGGTATTCTGTTACTTGCAGCCAAACTCATTCCCAACTGATACAGAGAGCAGGTACCATCATTTATCATGCACCTGCTATGTGCCAAGTGTTGTTCTAAGTCCCACGGATATAAAGATGAAAACACATGTAGTTCTCATTATCAAAGAGCCTTTCAAGGGCCTTGTGATATGACTGTGGGAGGCCAAAGACAAAGCATTACACTGCAGTAAGGCAATTGCATTATCGAGGTTTGTCTGGAAGATTGGGTGGGTGCAGGGGAGGAGCACAGCTAAGCTGAGAAAAGGAGCCAGGGAAGACATCACGAAAACTGGTAGGTGCTTCTCAAATGAACACATTTGTGGAGGGCATTCCAGACAGGAGGAACTCTATGTGCAATACAAAACATAGAACATTCTGGGACATGTAAATAGATCAGTATTCCTGGGAGAGTAGAGTTTGATTGGGCGGGGCTTGGTGGGGAGAGAATGGCAAGAAATGGTGGAGATTAGGTTGGAGAGGCAGGAGGAGAGGTGATGGAGGCTTTTGTAAGTGCTACAGAAGAATATGATTTCCCCCTGTAGACAGCAGAGAGGGAGTGGAGCAATAACTCTGGCAGCCAGATTAAAGACAGCTCATAGAGGAGTGAGGCTCCAGGCAAGACCAGTGCAAGGGTCAGGGAACGGTGGATAACAGCCTGAGACAAGGCAGCAGTTGGGTTGGAGAGGAGGGAATGCGGAAGTGATGTTCTGAATGTGGTAATAGAAGAGGCATTCCAAGATAGCCCAGACACACTGCATACACCTCTGCATGAATAGCTAGATGATGTTTTCGGCATAAAGGTCACTCCAGGAGACAATGGACAATTTTTTAGTGGACCAAATTAAGAGCATAACCAGCTTTTACATAAACCTGTGGAGACTGCGTCTGGTGAGCTGACAGCAGGAGATTCCATTCAGGTGGCTTCGTGGAAGCTAAAGGGTAGTTCCTTACACTTGGTTCAGGCTGCCCTGCCTTCTTCACTGTGGCTTTGCATTTAGCCTACCATTTCAACATCATTTATTCTAGAATGCCTTCTGTATTCATCAACATCACTCTGCATGGGTAATCATATTAACAACTACTATGATTGGGGGGGTTACATATGACAGACATGTTACATATACTTGTTTAGATTTCACAATAGCCCTGCCAAGAAAGTATTATTAACTTGAGGCCCAGAGAGGTAAGGTAACTCCCCTAAGGCCACACAGCTAGTGAGGCAAAATGTGATTTGCCCAATGAAGTGTATGTTGTTCTCACCATGCTCCAAGGTTATCTACCTCATTATAATCCATTGTCCATTCAAGACCCCAGGCTCTACTTTTTTGTCCACAATCACAGAGCTGCATTAAGGTGGGGCATTTACAAAATACTTTCATAGACATTAAAGAGAAACTCTTCGAACAGGTTTTGCCTGATTTCCATGAAGGGATTTGGATTATTTAGAGTTCCAAATTTTCCAAAGGACTAAAGAGTACATTACTAATAGAATAAATTTAAGGGAAAAAAATATTTACTTTATAACCATACTTTACAATACTAAATAATCCAGTTGCAAAAGAACGGAATCGGTAAAGGATGGTTCTATTCGTTAGCCATAGGGAAGTATAGAAATTCTTGGGAAATAATATTCTAGAACTGAAATACAAGCAAAGCACAGGGTTGGTTATTTTGGATGATGAATGAATGGATAAATTCAAATTTTGTCTCTCATTCAATAGGCTTGTCCCATTGGTCAATAACTGGTTTACTAACCATCTACTCTGTTTGAGGTGCTGCTTTTGCTGTTGGGAAAGTGAGAAGGGATGGAGACACGAGAAGAAACTGAAAGTTACTGTACCTAAAAGGCATAATTATTGATGCCATAAAATGTTCAGGCAATATTACGTATCCTAAAGACACTACTAAGGACCACCGTTTAGTAGCTGGGCCTCAGAGATCACCTTGTCCAACCCTTACATTTTAGAGGTAATGAAATTAAGTCCAAAGGGATTTGTGACTTGCCTGAGGTCACAGACGTAGCTGGTGGCTGATGTGAGAGCTACATCTGCCACGAGTCTGTTTCTATTGCTGTTACTTTTATTCAAGAATGGATTTAAAATTATGTAGTACATTCTTGAGAGGAACAAAAGGATCCTTTTATTTAACTCAGGAGGAAAAAGCAAAGAGATTCTAGCCTGTTATTTAGAAGGGACATAATCATGGAAGATGTTGTTATACTTGCACTTGTGTGCCAGGATTTGCATTGCAGCTTAAAAAAAAAACTTTTGCTATTGAAAAAAATAGTAAAAGATAGCAAGCAACTTGAATTTCTATCATTAGAGGGCTTAATATGATAGAGTTCATCCTCATGGTGAAATATTATACAGCCGCTAACAAACCAAAGCAAATCTATGTGTAACTGATATAGATATATTTTATTTTTTATTTTTAAATTTTTATTTATTTATTTATTTTTGAGACAGAGTCTTGCTGTGTCACCCAGGCTGGAGTGCAGTGTCATGATCTTGGCTCACTGCTACCTCTGCCTCCTAAGTTCAAGCAATTCTCCTGCCTCAACCTCCTGAGTAGCTGGGATTACAGGCGCATGCCACCATGCCCAGCCAAGTTTTTGTATTTTTAGTAGAGATGAGGTTTCACCATGTTGGCCAGGCTGGTCTTGAACTCCTGACCTCAAGCAATCCACCCGCCTCAGCCTCCCAAAGTGCTGGGATTACAGGCGTGAGCCACCGCGCCCGACCAGATATAGATACATTTTAAATGACAACAATAACTTGTAGTTCATAGCTATATATTTCTTCAACCGGTTTTTTGCACAGTCTCAGTTCAATGTGAATTAACATAAAATGATTTATTTTTTCCAAGGGTAGCTATAGTCAATACTGTCATTTGTGTTGCCCCAAATCTATTAAACGCTTTTCCACATTCTAATATTTCCCATAATTTAAATCCAAATTTTCCAATGTAGAATCAAAAACAACAACCATATATTGCCATTTCCCATGCCCCAATGATGGGGACGTATAATTCAGGTTGCAAAAATAAACTATATCTACAAAAAAATTTTGATTTAAAACTAACTTTATTTTAAGAAGGTAGGACATGGAGCATTCATTTGGCCTCTATCAGCAAAAACAGTCTTGAAGCCAGAAGTTGTGGTGGCTTCCTGATTTGTTTGTTTGTTTACTTGTTTGTTCATTTTATATTGTGGCAGAGGCAGAAATGCTTTTGAGGTCAGGTCCATGGGGTTCAGCCTGGAGTCTGATTCTTTAACCTTATCAGTGGTTCTATGAGCCTTCTATATACCTAAATAAAACTCTTTTAAAGCTAGCTAGAGTGGATTCTATTGACTGCAACTAAGTACTGTCACCAATATGAATAAATACTTTCACCACACTCTGTCAAAGTCTCCTTTGCCATCATGTGACAAACAACATCTTGGGTAGGGCTCATTGTCATAATTAAACAATGTTCAGTCTAGTTTAGTTTAGACTTTTCATTCATGTCCTATTTAAATCTCATATCCAGTTGTCCAGCCATGTGAGGCAGGCAGCAAGTCAGGGAGTGAGACATTAGTTTCCCTTTCCTGCCAATATTCCCAAACGCTACCAATCAAAATCCTCTCTAAACTATAGGGTACACTTCGATCTCAGGTCTGGGTCTTTCTAACCAGCTACACAGTATCAGGGAAAGTCTCACTCAATAACCTTATAAATTTCTATTCACTTATAAAGAAGGGGGAGGGACACAGAAATTTACACATATGTATCCTTTTCTGGGGCTACTCTAGAAACTAACGAGAATGATTGGCTGTTGGGAGGAAAACAGGAGTCTGGGAAAAGATGGTGGCATGGCACAGTGATAACTTTTCTGAAATTGTTTCTTTTGTTTGGAGAGATCCTCACTTTCTGAGTTGTTACTGGAGACACAGCCTGCCACCACAGAAACTGAACACTTAAGCCACTTACTCTCCTATCAACTTTTATAGCTAGGATAGAAGAACATGGCCTGGGCTCAACCAATCAGACTCTCAAGCTCTGGACTATGAAGAGAGAGCTGGTGTCAAGAAATGAAGGAAACCATTCTTGTTATGGGTGGCAACAGCTGGGGTGGTAAGAACCAATTTCTGGAGCCAAGAGAGGCTTCCAGGCAACTTGTGGCAGCCAGTAGCCTGCAACTGATGCAGAGCTGCTGGGAAGCATGATCGTGGCTATGTGTCTAGCTACTGCCTCGTCCCTTGTTCTTGCTTGTTGTGATTCTGTTTCTCCATTGCTCTTTTCAATTTTGTGAGTTTTCCAATTACCTTTCTGACATAAGCATTTAATGCTACATATTTTCTTCTAATTACAGCTTTAGCTGTACTACAAATTTTGACCTTTTGAATCTTTATTTTTATCCAATTCAAGATGTTTTCCAATTTCTCTTGTGAATTCCTATTTGACCCATGGGTTACTTAGAATATGTTGTTTAATATCCAAATATTAGGGGATTTTAAAAATCTTTTTCTGTTATTGATTTCTTCTTTAACCCTATCATGGTCAGAGGGCATACCTTGGAAGATTTAAATTCTTTTAATATTTTTGAGGTACCACTGTTGCTGAGTAAAGCGCTCTCTAAATGTCAATTAGGTCAAGTTGGTTGACAGTGCTGTTTAGGTTATCTACATTCTTAGTAATTTCCTGTCTATTTTTTCTATTTGATTACTGAGAGAGAAGTGCTAAAGACTCCAACTATAACTGGATTTGTCTATTTACTCTTTCAATTCTGTCAATTTTTGTTTCATGTATTTTGAAGCTACTTTGTTTGACGCATACGCATTTAGGATTATTATGTCTTCTTTATGAATTGACCTCTTTATTATAATCTAATACCCATTCATCCCCGGTAATAATTTCTTGTTCTTAAGTCCGGTTTGTTATTAAGCACTTTGATTTTCTTTTTGTTAGTGTTAGACTACTGTTTGTTTCTCTCCTTTTACTTTTAAACTATCTATGTCTTTAGATATAAAGTGGGTTTCTTGTAGGTAGGATAGAGTCGAGTCTTGCTATTTTCTTTTAATCCCATCTGACAATCTATGTTTTCTAATAAAGTGTTTAGAACATTTACAGTTAATGTGATTATTGATATAGTTAAATTAAAATCCACCATTTTTGTCTGCCTGCTTTTAGATTTATGATTCCGCTTGATCCTGACTTTGTAATTTTTTTCTGTAGGAATTTATTACCAATTCAGATAAATAGATATATAATGGATTGAATGTTTGTGTACCCTCAAAATACATATGTGAAACCCAAACCCCTAATATGATGGTATTTGAAGATAGGGTCTTTGGGAAGTAATTTGGTTTAAATGAAGTTGGGCCCTCTCCGTGATGGGATTAGTGTCCTTATAAGAAGAGGAAGATAAGCCAGAGCCTTCTCTCTCTTCACCATGTGAGGAAACAGCAAAAAGGTGGCCATCTGCAAGTAAGGAAGACGGCCCTCACCAGGAACCAAATCTGCAGGCATCTTGATCTTGGACTTACCAGTCTCCAAAACTGTGAGAAATGAATGTCTGTTGTTTAAGCCACCTGGTCTGTGATACTTCGTTATGGCAGCTCAAGCTAAGACAGTTAGATAGATAGTTTTTATTGTTGCTTTTAAAAAGCAAGTGTTACCCTTTAACCCATAAATTTCATTTCTTCATGTCTATTCCATAGAAAACATTGGCACATGTGCTTAAAAAGATAAGTACAACAAATTTCATCACACTATTGCTTGTAATCATAAAAAATTGAAAATAATCTAAATTTTCATCATTTGGGAAATAATTAAATAAATTTCCATATATCCATTCTATGAAAGATTATACTTCTCTTAAAGCAAATAAGATCAATGAATACATACTGATATGAAGAAAATATGCAACACATATTTAAGTTAGAAAAGCTAGTCATAGTAAAATATGTACCATATAAACAATTTATATATTAAACAAAAATTCCCACCAAATAAATATGTGCATTCCTATATGCAAATAGACATATATGAATGTAAATACTTAGAAAACGCCTGGAGATATGTGCAGTGGAGGGATAATAATGATATACAATGAAGAACAGTGTCAGATTAGGGGAATAGGTAAAGAGAAGTTCTGTTTATCTATATTGTTTTCATATTTATCAATGAAAATCTATTACTTGGGTAACTAAAAATTGAGTTGTGATTAATATTATAGTTTGAAAAGAAGAAAAAAAGACATATATATATAGTAAATTAAAAAATCAGGATTTTTTTTTCTCTTTGACATTTTATTCATCCCACTGGAGTAGGAGATTTGGGTATGGAGAATCAAAAGATTTCTTGATTCTTTGGCTCAATAAAAGACCTTTTCTGCCTTTCATTCTACAACAGCAGTAACTAAAAGCATGGTGAGTGTCCCGGGAGTACACAGTGTGTCTGGGGTGTGTCCTAGTGTGTTCGGTTATGCTCATTCATGCTGAGACATTGCTTTTTGCCCATAAAAGGAGGAATTACAACATCAGACCTGGATTGTTTTCATTTCCAAACAGCCACAAAATGTCAACACAAGACTGTCAATCTCTTGTTCTCTCCTCTCTCACAAACACTCCCTGGAACCCAGGCCAATTGAAGAAAACAGATGCAGGCAGGCACTGTTTTGACAACACTGGAAATGCCTGTGGAAGAGTAAAAATGATTAATATGCTCCTAAAAGAATAGGGAGTGCGCCTTCGGGAGAGATAATTGGATGGGCATCCCTGCTGGTAGATACCCTCTCATACCCAAACGAAGGCACACATTCTCACACAGGTTTCTTCCGAGCAACCCCTTGCTGAGTGTTTCCTGTAACATTTTCATCATGGCAAGGCAGGTGGGGTGAAAGGTTCTTGGAGGATGGGGGAAAGGCTGGAGGATAGCAAAAGTGCCATAATCTCCCTTCAGCCATAAAATGAATAATCTTCAAACAAGCAATAAAATGGATCTTGGTATCTTTTAAAACCAACAAAGAGTTCTCTGAGTTTAGAGGTATTTCATGGGATGTGGTAGTAGACAATGCAATTGCTCATTCTTAATTTATGAGACAGAAAATCTTTGTTTAGCTATCACATGTAAATTAAGGTTGTCTTTGAGTAACTTGAATTACATAACCATCTATGTGCCAAGCAGCTGTCGTTTTCCTATAAGTATATTCTCAGTTGTAAGGAGTCTGGGGGCCAGGCTACCCCCTTATGTTGTGGTGGGGGAAAGAACTTTGGGACTCGGCATCAGAAAAGTCAGCTCTGTTCCTCCTTAGCAGAGTGGTCTTTGATAGGACACTAAACCTCCTTGGACATCAGGCATCTTCATCTGTACTGCAGGGATCTGGATTAGATGAGTAGCCTTCAAGCTGTGGGTAGTTCTAGAGCAGGCTCTAGACTGTGGAACTCTGGGCCCCACCTCCACTTAAAAACTTTAACCAGAGCATCTCTGATATGATCTGTTTAATATTGGAGGTTTGAATAAATGCTTTAAAAAACAAAATTATTCAACACTCATTTTTTCAATAAATACTTACTGAGCTACTACTATGTAACTGGCAGGGGGACTCATCAATGATGGAATGAAGATACCTCCTGCTCTCATGAAGCTCACACCTTACCATTCCACTGGACCAGATGAACTTTAAGGGTCCTTTCCAGACCCAGCATCCTGCTCTTCCATAACACATAAAACAGGTGTCCTGAAGCATTGCCCAGAGAACTTAAAGTTCAACTGTAACTACACAAGGACAGACAGACCAAAAGAGACCTTAAGAGTGATGTGCATTGGAGTTAAGTTGACAAAGTGAACATTTTGGCTCTACTAGTTAGCTAGGTGACGTAACTCAAATTAATTAACCTCCTGTGCCTCAGTTTCTTTATCTATAAAATGAGGGTAATGATAGTACCTACCTCATAAGGTTGTGGTGAGGATAAAAAGACATAATGCATGCAAAGGCTTAGGGCTATGCCTAGAATTCTATAAGTTACGTTAGGTCTTATTAGCTATTATAATGTGCTTTTCCAGGCTTATATCAAGATAAAGTACACTTGAAAAGGTCCTACAAGATGGCCTAATATAGAGCAGAATTCAGCATAAGGTAACACTAACCTGGACTTCCAAGGACCTTCATAATCACTGCCAGCTGTAATATGGCCCGCAAGTGAATCCAAGGGCAAGGTTCAATTAATGTTTCATGTGCACCTAGCACAACACTTACTGTAGGGAAGGCAATCAATAAATATTTATGGAATCAATGAACCTATTCCTCTAATAGCATTTAAAGCTCTGTGGATCGTTTTAGGTTTCATTTAGGGCAATCACTGCCTGAATGCCACCTTTTTCTAAATTGTATTTTTACTTATAAAATATTTCAAACATACAGACAATAAGTTAACAGACACCTATGTACTCACCATCAAGATTACATAAATGCTACCTCAATATATTGACTAATTAGTTTCAGATAGTCTTTTAAGAAATACAATTACAGTCATGCACTACATAATGTTTTGGTCAACAACAGACCACATATATCACCTTGGTCCCATAAGATTATAATACCATATTTTTACTGTACCTTTTCTATGTGTAAATATGTTTAGATACACAAACACTTACCATTTTGTTACAATTGCCCAGTGTTCAGCACAGTATCATGCTGCACAGGTTTGTAGCCTAAGAGAAATAGGCGGTATCTTATAGCCTTGATGTGTCATAGGCTATACTTCTAGGCTTGTGGAAGTACACTCTGCAATGGCCACCCAACAACGAAATCACCTAATGACGCACTTCTCAGAAAGTGTCCCCATTGTGGCCGTGCGCAGTGACTCACACCTGTAATCCCAGAACCCTGGGAGGCCGAGGTGGGCAGATCACCTGAGGTCAGGAGTTCAAGACCAGCGTGGCCAACATGGTGAAACCGTGTCTCTATTAAAATACAAAAATTAGCTGGGCATGATGGCAGGTCCCTGTAATCCCAGCCACTCAGGAGGCCAAGGCAGGAGAATCGCTTGAACCTGGGAGGCGGAGGTTGCAGTGAGCTGAGATCACGCCACTGCACTCCAGCCTGGGCGACAGAGCGAAACTCCATCACGAAAAAAAAAAAAAAGAAAGAAAGAAAGAAGATATCCCCATTGTTAAGCGATGTATGGCTGTATTTAGAGGCCACCAGAACCCCATTCACACTCTCTTCTCTTTGCCAAGATAATCCCTACCTTTAAGTAGATGGGTATCATTCTCAGCATGTGCTTATGCCCATAAAGAACCCATGTGGTGGTTTTGTGTGTATGCACTGCTCACTGGTGGACATTAGGATCCTCCCATGTTTTGATTGTCGCGGACAGAGCTGTAATAATAAACATCCATGTACCAGTCTCCTTGGGGATAGGTAAGAGATAGTGAGCACAACTTCAGCTTTATTAGGTGTTGCCAAATTTCTCTTCACAAGAGTGGTTCCAACACATGCCCCACACTCACAATGCATATAGGTATTTCATCATGCAGACTTTTGTTGTTATTTGCAATCCCTAATTACTTGTGAACAGGAGCATCTTCTTATGTGTTTATTAACCATTTATATTACCTCTTCTGTGAATCGTAAATACCTCTTTCAATTGGATTAACTGTCTCTTTCTTATTAATTTATGAGATTTATTTTTATATAAAGTGCAAGTATCTTCCCCCAGACTGTTTTTTTTCTTCTATCTTTGTTTATGGTCCCTCTTTCTCTCAATTTTTTTTCATCTTAATAAAATTCAAATTTATCAGTCCTTTCCTCTATGGTTTGTAGATATTTGTGTCTTGTATAAGAAAATTCCCCCTATCCAATGTCATATCATCTTCTTCTATGCTTTCTTTAAAAGTTTTAAACTTTGCTTTTTCACATTTAGATACTAATATATCTGGAGTTTATTTCATGTAGGATAAAGGTGGAGATCTAATTTTATATTTTCCATTCTGCTTACTCCTTAAGTGTCTTTTCTATTCCTTGTGGTTTGGATTTTCTTTTATGTCCTTAATCATCAAATTATTGATGATACTTAAATTAGTAATCAAATTGTCAAGTTATTTGAAGTTCTTTGGTTCCAATCCTGCTGTTTGTGTTGTGCTTAATTTTAGTCTCTTGGAAGATTGCTTGTGATTTTAGATTGTTAGTTCAACTTTAGCAGGACTTTATTTGTGGGTCTGTGTAGAATTGGCTGGAAACATCTTCCTTTTACTTCTATCAGGTGTCCCTGGTGTACCATAGACCCAAGCCCAATTTTTTTTTCAATAGGTTTTTGGGGAACAGGTAGTGTTTGGTTATATGACTAAGTTCCTTAGTGGTGATTTCTGAGATTTTGCTGCATCCATCACCCAAGCAGTGTACGCTGTATCCCATGTGTAGAATTTTATTTCCCCCCACCTTTTCCCCTAAATCCCCAAAGTCCGTTGTATCGTTCTTATGCCTTTGCATCCTCATAGTTTAGCTCCCACTTATGAGCAAAAACATTTGATGTTTGGTTTTCCATTCCTGAGTTACTTCACTTAGAATAAAGTTCTTCGATTCCATCCAGGTTGCTGCAAATGCCATTATTCCATTCCTTTTTATAGCTAAGTAGTATTCCACAGTATATATACATCGCAATTTTTTATCCACTCGTTGATTGATGAACATTTGGGATGGCTCCATATTTTTGCAATTATGAATTGTGCTGCTATAAACATAGGTTTGCAAGTAACTTTTTCATATAATGACTTCTTTTCCTCTGGGTACATACCTAGTAGTGGGGTAGCTGGATCAAATGGTAGTTCTACTTTTAGTCTTTTAAGGAATCCCCACACTGTTTTCCATAGTTGTACTAGTTTACATTCCCACCAGCAGAGTAAAAGTGTTCCCTTTTCACCACATCCACACCAACATCTATTATTTTTTGATTACGGCCATTCCTGAAGGAGTAAGGTGGTATTGCATTGTGGTTTTGATTTGCATTCCCCTTATCATTAGTGATGTTGAGCATTTTTCCATATGTTAGTTGGCCATTTGTATATCGTATTTTGAGAATTGCCAAGACCAATCTTTAATATAATTTTTCAACCTAAGTTTCTAAGAATATATAGATATAAAAATAGTCAACCGGAAACTCATGAAGGCAAAGCTTGTGAATATGAATTCTCAGAAAAACGTTTGTCTCTATAGAAAGCTCTGGCAGAGACAGCATCCCTGTGCTGGTGGGTGGGTTGGAGATTTTTCCTGGTTCATTCTTTCACTGAGATGCAGCCCTTTGGAGTGCCAAGCTTATGAGGGGTCTCAGGTTCACTTTCCTTCACCATAACAAAGTACTTTAACTGCTGTTTCCAATAGGCATTAGCATTCAAGCCCCAAGATTACTGTTAACCAAACCCCTTCATACCAGTCTCTCCCATAGCCAAAGAACCACAAAAGCTCCCACACTCTCTGGCCTGGTTTTCAGTTTTCCTTCTATATCTGAAACATAGGGGTTTCTCTTTCTTTCTTGTAAGCTCTTTGCTTTAAAAGCACTATGCCTTTAAAAGAATGCTTGTTGTAATTTACTTTGTTCTTGGTTTTTATGTGGTGGGGTAGGAGGGCAGAGTTCAGATAACCTAAACAATTTGCCTGAATCATTTCTGGATTCAACGTACCCTTCATGCTTGTAAGTGTGTGTGTGTGTGTGTGTGTGTGTGTGTGTGTGAGAGAGAGAGAGAGAGAGAGAGACAGAGACAGACAGAATAGAGAAAGAGAGAGTTGTAGCTGTCAAGTCAAATTCCTCTACCTCACATTTGGAACCCCACAGTTTGCTAAAAACATTACATTTTTCAAGCACATGCTGTGTCTGCTTCATGTCTTGAGTGAATTTTGGGCAAGCCTGGATGTTTGGTTCCTTCAGGTGCCTGTGGCAGGCCAAAGATGAAGTAGGATGTTGACCACATTTGTCTCTGAGTACCTTTAATTCCAATCTATGTGCCTACCAGTTCTCAAATAGTAAGGTCTGAATGACTGAGGCTTTGCAGCATTCTCTGAATGGGTGAAGCTGACCTGAAAGTTCCCATGACTTGTGTTGTGCATTCATCATTCATGACCACTTTTACAGTCAGTGATAGAGTTATGGATTATTGGCCTCTGTACCTGAAGTATTTGTCTGTCTCACTAAGTCAGTTTCCATGGAGCCACATGTGGTGTTCCTCCTTGGGAGCCTTGAGAAACAGGGAGCTCCTTCTATCTTCTTGGTCTGCTTTCTGGCCCCTACGCTGTGCGTGAGCCTCTCTGCAACCCTCAGAGCTCAGTCAGGGGTGATGTCTCCGCTATGTTCCTATTTGCTTTCACAAGCGCAGTACAGATCTAATAGTGAATTATTAATGAAGCACAGAGGGGGAAGCCATTATTTTCTAAGGTACAGTAATTAGTGATAATCAGACATCTCCATATAAAGTTGTATGAACCATTTCAGTGGTCCGACCTCCAGCCTTTCCACTCAATACCACATTCTTCCCAGGTGGTCTCCTCCTTCTTCCCTGGGAGGCTCAGAGGCGCCTTGCTCTCTTCCTTTCCTTCTTAAAAATCCTGCTTATAGGAGGTCACCTCATTCTTGCCGAGGAATAGAGAAAATAAAAACATGCCCTAGTGATACCAAGAAATTACCAAAGGAAAAGGGCTTCTTCCACCACTGTCAACTGGGTGCACATGTATACGTTTGAATTCAGGTATATTTGTGTCCATGTGGCTAGCTGGAGGTCCTTTTCTAGGTTTCAAACTCAGGGAACACATGGCTCCAGGGAAAGGCAACTGCCTTATCTACCCTCAAACAGCGTGCTTCTGGTCCTGAGGGCTTATTTGTTCGATAGGAAAGTTGAAAGGATTAAATAAGGAAATAATGAGTGAGGCGGGAGAGTTGGCTCAGGGCTTATGATTTAATTCATCTGTCTGTAATGCTTCTTTAGCAATCCAGGGAGTCAGGGAGGAGTGGACTCCTTTTTCACTCAGCCTGATGACTGATGAAAATGACTGCCCTGTTCTAATCTAAATTAAATAGGGATGAGGTCTTAGGGTGACAGCTGCCCTTTCAGACTCTGATTTTTAAGTATTTTCCTGGTTTTCAGAGAGAACAAGGGGATATAATTATGACAGGGAAACCTTATCATTATAATAATATCAGGCCTGGGGAGAGAAAGAATGATGTTCATAGGCTTTTGGAAAAAAAAATAATAATAAAGCACTCTTCAAATCAAGTTCATTGGTCTGATAGGAACAGAAGTACCCACACACTTTCATGACACTGAAGAAGCCATATTTCTTAGGTGTCTCTGATGACTGCTTCATGGGGGGTGGCTGATTTGGACACTGGACGTGCACAGGTGGCCTTAGTGCACAAAGGGCATCTCATGGGCATTCTAAAGCAAGGGAAGTAACATACCCTCTGCAGTATTCACTGTCAATACTTTACAAATCCTCCATAGCCTTATCAGCTTCTGCTGCCTGAAAATGCCTCTTCATCTAAAATGCTCATGTTCTGACCTGTGAGCACACTTATGGTGGCTATAACCTGCCCCTTCTCAGCAATAGCTCGGACTGGCCTCACATCCACAAATCAGAGCATTGTAGAGGTGGAAGGAATTCAGCATCCCTTGGGCTAAAGCAGAATTTTACCAATGAGGAAACAAGGCCCAGAGAAGTGAAGTGACTTTCTTGAGGCTGCTAAACTAGTTACTGGAAGAGTAAGTTTCAGAACTAGTTGTCTTGACTCCCAGTGACTGTCTTGGGTTCTGATGTGCTTTGGATCTGTGTCCCCACCCAAATCTCATGTTGAAGTATAATCCCCAGTGCTGGTGGTGGGGCCTGGAGGGAGGTGATTGGATCATGGGGGTGGTTTCTAATGGTTCAGCACCATGCCCCTAGTGCTGTTCTCAGATAGAGTTCTCATGAGATCTGGCCGTTTAAAAATGTGTAGCACCTCCCCGCACTTGCTCTTCCTCCCACACCAGCCATGTGAAGTGCTTTGCTCCCCCTTCACCTTCTGCCATGATTGAAAGCTTCCTGAGGCCTCCCCAGAGGCCAAGTAAATGCCAGCATCATGCTTTCTGTACAGCCTGTGGAAGTATGAACCAACGAAGCCTTTTTTCTTTATAAATTACCGAGTCTCAGGTATTCTTTATAGCAGTGTGAGAACAGACTAACACACATTCCCTAACCACCAATGTAGGGATGGAGAGTGTCCTGGGTCTGGGAGAAGTCTTGCAGGGACAGGGCAAGTTCCCATCCTCCCTCTCAGTTCCTTTATCACCACTACTATCTCTGCCTCCCAAGCCACTTCCAACCTATTTAAGAAGGTCCATTGACTTTAAACCTCACATAGCAAGAGACCTAGAAAATCACTAGGCCATAAAAAGTCCTGGGCAGGAAGAAAACCAAGCGCCCATAGACCCAGCATACTTGGTTGGTAAAGTTACATCTCTGTAATGCAGTTTAACTGCAAAATACTTTTTGTGGCTGGAGAGTAGGGAGGCAGCATTGGTTTTTTTAAGAGCCATTTCCTCTTCTTGCCTGGTGCCCCCTAAGCATAATTAAGGCATTTAAGCTTTAGCTTTAGCTCACCTACAGGCAGGGTAGACCTCTTAATGTATTACAGGAAAATGCACAGACTTCACAAGCATTTCCACTGGGGAGGCTGGAGTCTGGGATCTCTTAGCAAGGCATATTAGCATTGGGGTGAAGCAGAGTTTCTTGCTGAAAGTTCTGGTGTTCATCAAGCTTTTCTGAGTACTTACTTATAAAATACTTCGAGGATTTTCTGCATTTTTAGCTTTTTAAAAATGCACTAATGGCCTTGGGCAGTGTTGTTTATGTACCTTTAAAAGGCAGATCTATGAAAGATACGACTTCTCTAATTAGAGCCAGAGACCAGGCTGGGTAGGAATGGCTGCAGAATTCCCTGTACAGGGTGAGGGATCAGTCCTTTACTCCTTCTGGGATACCCCACCCCTCTCTCCCTCTGCTGTCTCACAGAGGAGAGAGAGAAAGCCTAAGGTTATTGATCTATTGGCCTGGTGAAGAGGTACAATGGTATGTGGGAATGAAATCACTGATAAACGCTATTAGACAGTCATCTAAATAAAATGCCCCAAACCTAACAATCTTAAAATTTACTTGGTTCACAAGTAAGCTGACCAGTTGCCAGTTGGGGAGACTCACATAACTTATGAATAATTGAATTAGAAACATTTTTTTGCAAGCAAAAAACTTTTTTCCATGCCACGTTAGTTCCCACTGCTGCCCAACATTAGCTCTGGGCCTCTATTGTGCTGCCTCTTGGTCATCCTCCACTGTACTGTGCTTGTTCCTATCTCAACTTTCCCTCAAGGCTGAGATGAGCATCTCATCCTCTCCCTCTTTTGCCTATGGCCCAGCCAAGCCCTGCCTCATCACAAATGTTATTTCACTGGTCATCTCCTCCACTGGAGGCTCTAAGCTAGTTCTGTCCACATTTATGGTCTCAACTCACTACAGCTGCTGGATGCTGTTGTTTTGTTCATCCAGTGTCTTTCTATCTTCTCCTGATGATGTCACCTCTTGCTTCTTTAAGAAGAACTGTGCATCACCCATTCCTTGGGGTTTCCCTGATGTACATTCCAAGAATTCAATTTATAACACTTAGGACACTTTTTCAGTGGTTTCCCCAGTGGAATAAAAGTGGCTCAAGAGGGGACACTGTGCCTATAGGGCTCACCACTGTGCCTTCCATATTCATCTTGCTGCCTGGCACATAGTAGGAACTCAAGAAATGCTTAAAGGAGAAAACGAATGAAAGAGGTCAGAGATTCCTCACTGGCCAAAGACGGAAAATTCACTATTCTGATAGAGATAACAGTAAGTCCTCACTTAACATTGACATTATTGATATGTTCTTGGAAACTGATTTTAAGCAAAATGATGTAAAACAAAACCAGTCTTACTGTAGGCTAATTGATATAAACAACAGCTAAGTTCCTATGGCCTATTTCTGGTCACAAAAACATCTCCAACTTCTAAATAAAGATGAAAACAGGCTGGGCATGGTGGCTCATGCCTGTAATCCCAGCACTTTGGGAGGCCGAGGCAGGAGGATCTCTTGAGGCCAAGAGTTTGAGACCAGCCTGGGCAAAATAGTGAGAACTCATCTGCAGAAAATAAAAATTAAAAAATTAGCCTGGGTGTTGGTGCATATATGTTGTCTCAGCTACTCAGGAGGCTGAGGTGGGAGGATCCCTTGAGCCCAGAAGGTCAAGGCTGCAGTGAGCTATGATTGCACCACTGCATTCCAGCCTAGGTGACAAAGCAAAACCCTGTCTCTTAACAACAAAAAGATCAAAACACTTCTTTTTTTTTTTTCTTTTTTTTTTTGAGACGGATTCTCTCTCTGTCACCCAGGCTGGAGTGCAGTGGCTGGATCTCGGCTCACTGCAAGCTCCACATCCCGGATTCACGCCATTCTCCTGCCTCAGCCTCTCGAGTAGTGGGACTACAGGCACCCGCCACCATGCCTGGCTAATTTTTTGTATTTTTAGTAGAGACGGGGTTTCACCATGGTAGCCAGGATGGTCTCGATCTCCTGACCTCATGATCCGCCCGCCTCGGCCTCCCAAAGTGCTGGGATTACAGGCGTGAGCCACCACGCCTGGCCGATCAAAACACTTCTAAATATTAAACATCGAAACAAATGTGATCTATACATGCATTTAAGAAAGGTTAATAAAAACAAGTGAGATACTTACCTGCTTCTTTCAGTTCAGAGTTAAGGAGTTGCCAGAATCTGTCCCAGCAGCTCAGGGTGCAAGGTGGGAACCGGCCTCGGACAGGACACCATCCCATTGCGGGGCACACTCACACACACCCACACTCACTCAGACTGGGACCCCATAGACATGCCAATACACCTCACGGGCACATCTTTGGTACTAGGAGGAAACCAGGGGACCTGGAGAAAACCCATGCAGGTATGAGGAGAGAGTGCAGGCTCCACAAAGACAGTGGTCCTGGCCAGAAAGCAATTGTTTTTTCATCAACCTTATAATGAAATGACATTGAACAAAGATGTTATTTGAGGACCTGTGGTAATTCAGGCAAAACTTTGCATAGACAGAGCAATGCTGTTCTCATCCTCATATATTGAAATGTTTCTTCTCTGTATTTCAGTTTGGTTGCAATGATTAGTTCAAACTTTAGAGCTGAAACCCTTTGTAGACGAGAATGCCCAGGAGATAGTCCAGGAACAGACAATGGCCTGAGCTTCATTGGGAAACAAAAGGAGATGCCAGGAAATTAGGGCTACAGGCAAGAAAGGAAGGGTCAGGACAGAGGAAGTGTGGGTGGGGGGACATTCTTGCAGTGCTCTGAAGGCAGAGTCTTCAGAGGTTTAGGGGTGTTCATCTAAACCTCAAGCTGTAGTGAAACCACTCTCCAGCATCCCTCTCAGTTGGCTAATTTTTGTTTACATATTTTGCATAATTATGCTTTTCCAATGTAGTGACTGGAATTCAAAGGGCTTCTCTCCTTCCATTGTTTCCCTGGAGGGCTATTCGGAAGAGTTATGAATAGCAGGATGGGGTCTCTCTCTCCTGATTCTACCCTACTTGCTTTCCACACTAGAGAGGCCAATTGGATCTTTATGTGAAAGCCTCTACACCCTCTGGGTGTGTCTCCATTTTCCATAAACCTTTTTAAAAAGAAAAACCAGGCCAAGGATGGAATGGTCAGAAAAATCACAAATCACTTGCCCTTTTATGGTTTATTTCAGCTGGCTCAGAGCAGGCCCTGAGCTAAAATGTGGATCACCTTAGTGTCCCCAACCTCCTTTTTGGTGCCCACTTCTCCTTCCACTTCCACCCACCTTTCTTCAGGTCCCCAGAACCTTCACAAGAGCGCTAATTCTCCTTTTAAATGATAGAAGAAATATGTGTTGCTCCTCAGGGGTAGTTGCAATTTAGCAAGGGACAAATTCTTAAGCCAAAGCCATGAGTTTCCAGGTGTGGAATGTAGGCAATAGGAGAGGGTCAGAGCCCTTCCTAGAGCTCCTGAGCTTGTACATGCCTGTCAGTCAGCTATGCTTCTTATAGGATGAGAAGCATATATGCCTTCTTATAGGATGCTTCTATGTGTGATTTTATTATTTCTGAGAGAGGTGACTTCTTACCCAGGCACCCTTACCAATCCGTGGACACTAAATCCACCACTTTGGAGCACAGCAGTCTTATTTCTTCAAGGAAATATCCCCTGGAAGTTTCATGCCTTTCTTTTAAACTTTACTAGATAGGTGTTTTTGAGAGCAGAGACTACTTCTTTTATACATTTAGCTCCCCAATGTCTAGCACGGAGCCTGGCACATAGTAGGTGCTCAGTAAATGTTCAGTGAATTAGATTGAAGTGACTCTAACCACACCAGTATAACCAGCCCTTGCTATTCTGTTTAGATACATGCTGTATCTGCTGGAAATGTGCATAATAGAGGAGTTTGTTTTCTCTACACCCAGCAAAAAATCTAGAGGTAAGGTCTATTCAGAGGCCTGCTAAGGACATCAAGCAGCCAGGTTTTTTTCCATTGTTCCACTGCTCAGTCCTCAGTGAGTCAGAGTTGTCTTGTCTCCCACAACGTGGCTGCCACAGCTCCCGATACCATCTCTTCAGCAACTGCATTCCAGGTAGAAGGCAAGGGTCAGAGTGCCCCTTCCTAGTTTCTCTCCATCCATCATTGGGACAAAATCTTCCCCAGACGCCTCAGTATACTTCCCCTTACATTTAACTGGCTCAAAGTGAATCACACAGTCCCTCTGCACCAATCACGGTGCAGGGGAATGGGGTCACACTGAGCAACTCCCACAGTCTGAGTCCGTCCTGCCCCAGGGGAGCAGTTGCATTTCCCTAACACCATTTGGCTCAGTGCCCAAGCAGAGTGGACAGAAGGGGTGTGCTTGTCTGGTAAACAACCAAGAGTGTCAGCCCAGATTCAATCTCGATCATACCGCCGGTCCACTCAGGCTTTTTATCAACAAATATTAATCCAGGCTCTACTTTCAGAGGAAAAGAGCCAGTTAATAAAGAAGGAGACTTTAAGAGACTCAGACTGTATTATTATTAATCAATGCCTTTTCAGAATTTACAGGGCGAGTTGAACTACCTCACTGCAGTGTAATTTTCTTTTAAAGAAAATTGTCTTGAATTGTTTTTATGATGTTAAAGATCTTACCCAAACTTGCTTCTCGATTTAAAGGGGAAACAATACAAACTTTACTCTGAGCTATACTTAATCCATGTACATGTTGGAGTACCTGACATTTTGACTGATATCAGATATTTAAGATTTGAGCTAGTAGACTTTACAATGCAACTTTTTATTCCATTCTAGATTCAATAGGTGGATATAGATGCAGGAACCCAAACTGATGCCAAATTTCAATTTTCCCAGTATGCTTTAAAACAACGAAGCAATCTATTTTAGAGATAAATAGGCTATTTGAAAAAGCAGTAATTTGTTGCTGTAAGTGGGAGTATAGATGAAACATGATTGGCCATTGATCAATTTTGATGGGTACATGAAGATAGTAGTACTTAGGGATTTGTTATATTATTCTATTTTTCATAATAAAAAAATGTAAAAAGGAAGGATTTTTTTAAAACAGTGATAATTATAAAAATTAAAATTGAATTTTATTTTATGCAAAACTTCCATGCTGGTGAATAAACTCCTTCAATGTGTAAAATGAAAGATTTAGAGTTCTGAAGGATCACTGGAAGGTAAAAACAAATTATCCAGATGTGCAGAGATTTTCCCACAATTTCCATTTCTTTTATAGCTCTAGGAACATAAATGTTAGAAAGACAGTTGAACTACAGTAATTTGGGAATCTACTAATCAATTCAAATGTGATCATTTGGAACACTGGGTTATACAAAGTATTATCATATGGCAGAAGAATAGGGGAAATCCACTGCCTTTTTGATTTGCTTGGGTAGGGGGAGAAGTGCAGGAATTCAAGATTTAATGTCTGGCTTAGAATTTGACCCAAGACCTGTGAGGCCATTGAGGAAAATCTATTTTTTGCTAGTTCCATGTGTTGCTAAAAGTGTAGAAGGAAATAATATGGTTCTGTGCAAGCATGTAACAAAGGAACCTGACCTAGGTGCAGGCCATCAGAAAGGCTTCCAAGAAGAAGGGGTAACTGAGATGACAGCTAAAGGAAGTATAGGAATTAAGTACATAATAGATGGAGGGAAGGGGAAGGAGAGTGTTGCAGGCAACATGTGCAAAAGTCCTGGGGTGGGAGAAGGCAGAGGGCTTCTCTAGGAACTACCAAAGGCCCGGGTGGCTGCAGGGCCTGGACCGAGGACAGACAAGTAGGAGATGAGCTTTCAGAGGAGAGCAGAGATTCAACCATGTAGGGCCTTGGAGGCCATGTCGAGTGAAGCAGAGGACCAGAGTGATGGGAGAATGGTCTCTTTTCTGGAAGTGGGTTCAGCAGACCTAGACCAAGAAGACAGAAAATCAGTAAGAGGCTCCCCTTGATGGTGTTTGGCCAGTGGATTCTCAGGGTAGTTCTAGGCCTGAATCCTGATTTTGAGTTGTTTCCTGGATGCTGGGAAACAGTTCCCCTCCGGCACACCCCAGCCTTCAGTAAGGCTGTGCTGTTGGCCACTACAGCTGAGATCACTTTGAGCTGCAAGGCAGGCCAAGTAATGAAACATTTGGGGTGACCAAAGAGCCAGGGAGGAGCTGGAGCAAGGAGTATGAGATGTCAACTAGAATATCTTCCGGATGGAGTACAGATGTAACTGGGAGATACCTGAATGTGCAGTCAGTGCCAAGTGGAGGCCTAGGTAGGTTTATTTGGTTATTGGGAAAAGGAGTGGCACCAGAAAATTGGAGGACTAGAGGACAGTTGGGTGAGAGCAGTTTAGTTTCTTTGATTCTGTGCTAACTTTTTTGGATATTTGCTGGAAAATGCAATTTATAGAGGCTATTTGCTCTTGGCTATGGAATGCATTTGCTGTTTCTTCTCTTTTATACGTAAGATACATCTGTGAGACCCTCTACAGGAGATGAATTCCTGGTGTAAAAGAGTCATGTGAATATTGTGGAGTAATTATTCTGAGCCAGGGGAGCAGGCTAATTAGCCTTCTGGGAATGTCCCAGTTATAGCACTAACAGCTGGCTTGGTGTGCATATTAGCTGTAAAATGTCTCCAGAGGGAGCTGGTGACTGATGCCCCCAGAGGAAAAAAGCATGCGGAATCAGAAAATGCTGGCGTTGGATGAAACCTTGGAACCATGAGGACAACCTCCCCACTGGCAGCTGAGGACAATAAAGCCAAGAGAGATTTGTGTTTGAGTGAAGGTCGCAGCCAGTCAGTGGCTGAAGAGGGACAAGAGCCCTAGTTCTTTGAGTCTTTGTCTCCAGTCTTTTTATCAGGTAACTGCACAGCATCTCATCAATCCCCTCACCACCTAGACCTCCTTCGTCCAACAACCTCTTCAAACCTGCAGCTTTCGGGGTCTTCATTTCCTCTCCTAAAGAACGTAACAAGAACACTAAAAGTTGAACAACCTTGTGAAGCACAGAAAGAGAGGAACTACAAATGGAAAAAAAAAATCAAAGTGAGTTGAGGTTGCTATAAACTAACTTGGGCTCTGAATGAAATAAATTGCAATTTTAATTTTTTCCTTGGCTCATTTTCTCCACTTATTTTAGTGTTATTATCTTTTGCTTGGTTAACTGCATTTTTGTAAGACATCTCAAACTTTTATGAAGCAAAGTTGAGTGGACAAATATGAAATACAAAACTACATCTGTGGACATGGAGCAAGAAGAAATATAGAAGAGGAATATAGTTCCCGTCTGCCTGGAAGCTGGGTATAGGCACCATTGACATCACTCTTGGGGTCAAAGATCGATGCTGGGAATTTTGGTTTACTTCTTGTTTCCCACTTTCTTGCCATTTACATGGCACAGAATCTCCTTTCAAGTCCCACATTTTCTAGGCCAGACCAGTTATGTTGCTTTGTGTATGTGTGTGTGTGTGTGTGTGTGTGTGTGTGTGTGTATGTGTATACACTCTCTATACACTTTAAAACTTGGGACTACTTAAGAGTTCAAGACAAATAACCAAAGGAGTGGAACGAAGATCTCAGAGGGAGTGAGAGAGAAAGTACATAGAGTGTATGGGGGAACTTGATATATGAAAACAATGCTAATACAAATCAATAGGGAAAGGACAGACTGTTTAGTAGTGGTGTTAGGAAATCGGAGTCACTATATTTAAAAAAGCAAAACAAAATTCATACTTTATACCAATGCAAAGGAAAACTCTAAGTGGACCAAAGACCTAAATGTGAAGGTAAAACTATACAGCTAGTAAAAAAAAATGTAGACGAATATAATTGAGAATGGGGTAGAGCATTGTAAAAAGACCCAAAACCC
This sequence comes from Homo sapiens, assembly GCF_000001405.40. Lineage (NCBI taxonomy): Eukaryota > Metazoa > Chordata > Mammalia > Primates > Hominidae > Homo > Homo sapiens. The sequence goes on along the minus strand of NC_000005.10, from coordinate 56,425,654 downwards.
GCAACAATGATGGACAGAGATAGATGACAGATTAGGAAAAGAATTACCCTCATGAACAAAATATTTTTATGACTTAATTGACAAAGGGTTTATACAGGGAGTATGAAAGGATTTCTGCAAATCAATAAGAAAAAGACAAAAATGCAAGACAATAATGGTCAAGATATAAAAAGACAAGTCACAGAAGAGAAAACCCAATTGCTAACATATATATGAAGATATGACAAATAAATAGTAAGTGGAGAAATACATATTAAAGCAGCAATGACATATGCTTTATTCTCATCAAATTCATAAAATTAGAAATGTAATAATGTCAAATTTTTTGGAAGGCAGGCAGTGTATGAGGAAACGAAGTCTTGTGTGCCACTGGTGGGAATGCAGTGTGGACATTCTGGGGAACAAGGTGGCAGTGCCTAGTCAACTACTGTGCATAAATCTTACTTTGTACAGTAAAATAACCCTTGAAACATTATCACAAAGGTCCAGAAAAGTACGAGTATGCATGCATATCATTGTGTCGCTTTCTTGGCAGTGGGGAATTGGAGGCAAATTAGGAGTCCACAGCCAGAGAAATTGTGTAGCAAAATAACGTGAAATATAGAATTTGATACAAACTAATATTAAAAACATAATGATGGGTAAAAAAAATAAGAGAAAGAACAAAGTTTTTCTTAGCACAATACGGTGTATGTAAAGTAAAAATACATACATGCAAAAATAGCAGATAATTTGTAAGGAAAAGCACAATTTCAAAGATAGATATCAAACATTCAGGGTGTAGCCTAACATGAGGATGGGGCTAGGGATGGGGGTAGTTATTCAGGATGACCTGGAATACATTTCAAAATGAAACAAGTGGCCAAGCTCAGTGGCTTACACCTGTAATCCCGGCACTTTGGTAGGCCAAGGCAGGTGGATCACCTGAGGTCAGAAGTTCAAGACCAGCCTGACCAATATGGTGAAACCCTATCTCTACTAAAAATACAAAAATTAGCGGGGTGCGATGGTGGGCACCTGTAATCCCAGCTATTTGGGAGGCTGAGGCAGGAGAATTGCTTGAACCCTGGAGGCGGAAGCTGCAGTGAGCCAAGATTGTGCATCTGTACTCCAATCTGGGCAACAGAGCGAGACTCCATCTCAAAACAGAAAAAATAAATAAATAAATAAGAAACAAGAGCAGGCCATGGCATGAGTGATGGTGATACATCATGAAATTAAACTGATGATTCAATTAGCCCTCTGTAACTGAGGTCCAACACAAATATAGAAAATAAAGTAAAGTAAAATAAAATAAAACCATCAAAGGATCTTAAATGTTCCTTCTAATTCTAAGAACTGCAGAAAAATAAACATTTGATGTTAGGTTCATTGGAGACCCCTTTTTCCTCTCTGGTTGTTTGCTTTCTTATTAGTAAAAAAAATTTTAATTAGGGAGGCATGAGTGCTAGATATCTTCCAATATTGTTTACTCCTTCTTCTATAGTGAAAGTAGCCTTTATTATAACTAGACATGGCTATCTGGAATAAAGATGACATTGTTTAAGACTCCCTTGCAGCTAGGAGTGGCCACTAAGTTCTGCTCAATGGGTTTGAGGAGAAACAAGGTGTTTCTCCTCTGAAACATCGTTAATGGTAGAAGCATAAACTTTCTCCCTCTTCCTGCATCCTGCCAGCTGCAATGTTGGCTATGGTAGCCAGCCACTTTGGAATATGTGATTCATTCTGTCAGTTGGCAAGAATTTGGTACTTAAATGGAAGCAAAAACAAAAACACAAAGCAAGAAAAGCAAGAAAACTGCCATGTATTGGCCGGGCACAGTGGCTGATGCTTGTAATCCCAGGACTTTGGGAGGCCAAGCCATTCAGATCACTTGAGGCCTGGAGTTCGAGACCAGCCTGGCCAACATGGCAAAACCCTATCTCTAGTAAAAATACAAAAATTACTCAGGGTGATGGTGCACACCTGTAGTCCTGGCTACTTGGAAGACTGAGGCAGGAGAATTGCTTGAGCCCGGTAGGTGGAGGCTGCAGTGAGCAGAGATAGGCCACTGCAGACTCTGTCTCAGAAAAGAAAAATGCCATCCATGTATTATTGAGCCATATGAAACTGACATTTTTGTTTTTGTTTTCTTTTTGATTTCTCAGAAGATGAAACTGACATTTTTATGTCAACAATGACCAAATATCAGCAATTTCATATGGGTTAATCTAATATACAGATTCCTTTGCAATAAGTATTAAAACACTCACTTTTCTCCCCTCATTCTGGGAAAAAGGATGGCTAGCCTGGGAGCTTCTTGAGATCATAGACCCCCTCTTTTTCAAACATTTTTAGGGTTCTTCTAAAACTTCTTTTTAAACTAGTGATATTAGATACATAAACAATGACACCCTAAGAGGGTGTCCCTCCGAAGCAGTCCCTGAGACAGGATTCAAGTACGGGTAGTTTGGGGAGGTGATCCCAGGAAATGTTTATAAGGGCATGGAGAAGTGAGCTGGTGAAGGCAAGGCAGCCAGTATACAGGGATTACTACTTAGCAAATTCCAATTGTTGGCAAGAGGAGCTTACCCCACTGGGGAGCTCTGGGAGCCAGTGTAGAGCATTGCTGGTCTTTCCACCTGAGGAGCCAGGGAGCTGGAGGGAGCTGGAGCAGTCATTGCTGCAAGGTGCTGGCATGGGCAGGCAGGCATCAGTTCTTCAACACTTCCAGCTTGCCCTGGGGCAGACAGGTTCCAGCAACCAGAGGAAGCCTCCCAGACAAAGAGGTTCAAATGCTGGTAGTTCTGGGTGGGCAGCCAGTATTACAATAGTAAGGCCCTAGAAGACTTGAGCGCAGCTCCAACCATGAATGCTGCAGGATAATTGATGGTTTTGCTGAGACCTGGCAAGTCACAGGCACTCAATAAATATTTTTTGAATAAATGAATAACCTGAAAATTCTCTGATAAAAAAAAGTTGCATTCAACTTTCACTGTCATTAAAAAAAAAAAAAAAAAAAAAAACAACCTTGTGTCCTTATTCGTACCCCTCACAGGCCCATGTGAAAATTTTCCAAGGATATACACATAGGAGCAGAATGTGTCCAGCTGTCTAACTTTTGTAAGTCTGAGGACGTATATAGATCCTGGCACAGAGTAGTTCCTTAACGTTAATCAAAAGTGAACCTTTGTCAACATCATAAATAGCACAAATACACTTGACAAGATCAGAAAATACCATAAATATGGTTATATCCAGTTAGCAGAAATCAAAACCAAAGCTCACAGACGGACAAAAACGATTCCTTGGAGTGGGTTAACTCTGCAGAGACAGAGCAGGAGGAGAAAGAACCACAATAGCCCTGTCCTTAACAGCCAGTTCCTGGGACTTGGTCCAAAGGTACCAAAGTGGTAATTCCAGTTTGGGCACTAATTCCCACTGGACCTTAAGCAGGTCAGTTCATTCCAGTCAGCAAAATAGAGAGACTAATAAGGGCCTCTCCTCAAGGGCAATAAGGAATAAAGTTTGGAAAGCACTTTAAAATGAAAGCTCCTGTTACAGTTTGCAGAGAGGGAGGCATTCAGAAATACAGCCTATAGGCTTAGCATGGACAAAAAAGGTCAGCATATCCCAGTCTGCGTGCTGATCTAATTAAACCCTGGGCAGCCCTCGCCACTGGCCAAATTCAGATTTCTGTCTCTCCATATAATGTCTAGAAACTACAGATGGATATGAAAGAATCTAAGTTTCCTTCTGCTGAGAAATTAAAATGCAACTCTTTTGAGTCTCTCTCTGTGTACGTCCATATGTATGTGCACGTAGGAGTTGTACTGTATCACCATCCCTCACTTTATAAAAATCTTTGGATTTTTCCTATACTTCAAACACACTCAGGGAAGCAGATAGCATTGTGTTCACCATGGTAATAATAAGCACTAATAAAACATAAAGGTGATTGCAACTCTAGTATAATCCCCTCGCCAGAGGCATCAGTCTCTTTAAACTTATGTGAGAGGCCAGTGCTTTCTGGAAAATATGCATTTATGTTTTTCTTGTTATGCAACTCCACAGCCTTGCCTTGTTATTTTGTTTTGTCTGCTCCAGAAACATTTAATGGATTACTTGAGACTTCTCCTTTTCACTTTTACTTTTCTTTTGAATTTTACTTGTTAAATTCTGGGATTCCTAGCACTCTAGTGATTGCTCTGCAGGACAGACTTCCGGGACTTTCTACTCCAGGTGAAAACTGTATCTTTCACATTTGCACATAGAGAAGCTTGCCAAAACTATCCTCTAGAGAGAAGAAATTTAAGTCATATGTCATTTATTCCAAGGAACATATTCTATATGTTGCCAGTGGAATGATTTGTCTTTTTCCAGGGATAAAAACTAACCCAAAGGCATTCTGGCTTTATTTAAATCATTCACAAAAGGAGACATTTATTATGGTTGCTATAGTTCTGCACTATTGAGCAAAGTGCCTTGATGTTTATATGCCTGTGGGTCTAGTCCTACTATGAGCTTCCAGAAGGAACTGACCAAGTATAAGAATACTAGTAATATGAGAGTGCCTTATTACATTAGCTGTCTCCAAAATAAGGTTAAATTTGCAAAACATTCAAATGAAATGGCTATCACCTGGTTGTACCATGAGTTATTGAGTCTTAGTGGAAGATCACTAATTTATGACACTAAATTTTTCAGTACAGATGTGAACATTTTTCTGTATTTTAAAAAATCCTTTTTCCTGACAGAGCAGCAAAACCAATTTATTCATTCAACAAAAATATTTTAGGAAATTAGTTTGTGCCAGACAGGGAACTTTAGCATAAAAATGGAAGCTCTCTAAAAGGATTGAGGGGAAATTATAGAGCTGAAAACTACAATATTAGAAATGGAAAATTCATTCAATGTGTTTAACTACAATACTGAACACAACCTTTACTGATCCTGAAGAAAAGATCAGTAAATTTGAAGGCAGTTCAATAGAAATTATTTAAACTAAACCATAAAGAGAAAATGAATGAAGAAAAACAATAGAATGTTTTAGATGTGAGACACTGTTAGATGGTCTGATATACAGGAAACTGGTGTTAAAGAACAGGAAGGAATAAGGCAGAAGAAACATTTATAGAGATAATGGCTAAGATTTAATCCAAGGTTAATGAAAGACATTAATCCACAAATCAAAGATCAGACTCTCCTAAGAGTTTCCTATGCTACTTAGAATAAATTCCAAGATCATAGACTAAAAGTTGCTTTTGATTTGGCTGTGGTTTACCTCTGCAACCTCATTTTCCTGCATACTTTCCTCAGTGAATTCATTCCAACTCATCTTTCAGCTCTTCTTTTAGATATTTCCCTGGCTGGTGCCTCTGGATACTCAGATTTCAGTTCAAATGTCACCTTCTCTTGTCTGACTCTTACCTCTCTACTTGTCAACTCCAGCCCCATTCTCACCTCCCTTTTACTCTCTATTTAATTATTTTGGATTTTTTTCATAGCACATATAATTATTTGAATTTAATTTATGTTATGAATTCACTATTTTATTCTTCACTCATTAGAATGCAAGCTTCTTGAAAGCAGGGAATATGTATTTTTCATCATTGTGTAACATCAATTCTTAGAAAAGTGTCTGGCACATAGGTAGAAGGTCATCGTAGGGGTGTGTGTGTGTGTGCATGTGCGTGCACAGTTTCAGAAATTATTGGGGCCTGTCAAAATTCTGAATAGCTCAGCTCATATTTACTGATGCAGCTCACTCTTCCAGCTCATCTGCACTTCCTCCTTCTGATTCTCATGTTGGCAGGACAAGAGAACACAGAACATGATATTATCACAACATTTTTACCACAGCACACACTTAAGGTTAACCCATCCACAAAGATGCTTATGAAAATCAAACAGAAAAGAGAATAGGAAGCAGGGGGTGAGTGGTTTATTTCTTTTAGACCTGCTGCTTGAACTTACTTAGACTCCTCTTAGATCTGGAGCTGAATTTTTTGACATTCCTGGTCACTTTTTCTACTCAGAGCTGAGTTGGGGTCAAGAAAGGAAAAATAAACTAGTACTTAAATAAAATAGCATACATTTGAATAAGTCTCTTAATTTTTCTAGGTATTTTATCCTGCTAATTCTATTCCTACAGCATCTGTATAAAGAGATAAGCGGGCCAATCTAAAAGGATTTCTAATGAAGTTAGAAAACTGAGGTTCAGCGAGGCTAGGTGACTGTGTAAGTCTATTCTCACACTGCTATAAAGAACTACCTGAGACTGGGCAATTTATTAAAAAAAAAAAAGGTTTAATCGGCTCATGACTCCACAGGCTGTACAGGCTTCTGCTTCTTGAGAGGCCTCAGGAAACTTACAATCATGGTGAAGGCAAAGAGGAAACAAGTACATCTTCACATGGCCAACAGGAGACAGAATGACAGGGGAGGTGCTACACACTTTCAAACAACCAGATCTCATGAGAGCTGTATCTCAGCACTAGGGCAATGGTGCTAAACCATTGGACACCGCCCCCATGATCCAATCACCTCTCACCAGGCCCCACCTCCAATGCCAAGAATCACAATTCAACATGAGATTTGGGTGGGGACACAGAGCTAAACCATATCAGTGACTTTTCCAAGATCTCACAGAAAAAAAAGTCTGGGTTCCAGGTAGCCAAAGTTGTCTTCTAACATTTTCTGCCAATATTAATCTCACATTTTCAACCTCTAAGTCTTAGGTTACCTGCTAAGGATGTTTTCATAGATATGACAATTGAAAAATAGAAAATTATAGATTTCTGATGGGGAGAAATAAATAGCAAGAAATAGTCTTATCACAAGGTCAGAATTAAGACCTTAACACTCTCGAAATTCTTATTGCCCTTGTTTCTAATACAGGCACCATTTAAGCTTATTGTCTCGTTTTCTTCTAGAAACCAAATGCCAGATCATTATTCCTATCATTTCTTATATTCTGCTCATCAGATAGTTTAGTGTTTTTAACCAGAAGTTTGAAGACATAATATAGAAGAAATAAACTCCCAAGTACCCTATGAAAGGGGAAAATTAAACAAGTCATCTTGGTGAACTTCTTGCTTCAGATGCCATCTTACTGCTTTTGTTTGCAATCTTACTGTTGCCTTAATATCTCTGAAACTTAATCATTGTCATCATGAAACTACCATCCCTAATATGAAATTATTTCAGTTCTCCAGTTTTCTCCACCTAACAACTTTGTGTCTTTACCAAACTTCTCATTTTATAAAGTTTTCAACTATGGCTTCAAGGACTGATGACATGACTAGGATGTCTGGTACTGTCCCAGATTGTCCTCTAAGTTCAACCTAACATTTTTCCTGGGTAAAATTCAGCCAAATGCATTGTCTGATGAGAACAATGCTGTGCACCTGGAAAGGAGATAGTGCAAAGAGCCTCCAATTACAAACCAGCATAGGAAATAACTTATATACATGTAATATGAAGACGTTCATTTAAAAATTACTTAGTGAGAGCCTAATCCCTACTTGACCCCGGGCCAAATTCTAGAGACATAAACATAATAAAACACAGTCTCTACACTCAAGCTCATAGTGAGGAAGGCTACTGAAACTATCCACACCCTAGGAGTGGACGTTGTAGTTAGAGTATTTATGAAGTTCCTTTGTAATCTATGAAAATGCTAAGTAAATATGAAGACATTTTGAAACAACCACAAAACATTTGTAAAAAAAAAAACAACTTTATTATTCAAAAACGTATTTTCTGATCTTTTTTCCTTAATTTTACCTCCAAGGGGTTTCAGACTCCTGAGTTCCTCTTACCCAGTGGAAGAATGGCCAGCTCAGATGGTTGGGAACATATCAAACACTTTCTAGCATGTAATATCCACTCAACAATTTTTGTTGAATGAATGAAAGCAGGCAGAATTTGAATAATAAACTGAGATGGAATAGGGCATAGGAAGACAGGATATGGAAATGGAGTTTCATCGAGAGTAAATATACACAGCAGAGGTTTTCCTACTTTCTTGGGGTCATAATCCCCTGAGAAAAATCGAAACCAATTCCGATTGCTCCAAACATTTTATGTATCAAGCAGAGACTTTATGATATAGGACCTTGCCAACATTTCAGGACAGGTTAAACAAACAAACAACAACAACAACAACAAAAAACAAAACAAAAAACCACAACTTTTATGTCTGACTTTCTTTTAGGAAAGATACTTCTAATTTTTTCTTCCTTTTTTTTTTTAATTGTAGGATTTCAGATGCCTCATTCATCGGGCTCATTCAATATGCTCTTTTTGTTGTACAGGTTACATAGGCATCTCAGAGGAGATATTTAGTTGGATGAATAAATGGATCTAGAAAAATATCATCTTATTTTGACAAAGGAAGAAAGGTGAGAAAGGCAGGGAAGCTCAGGGAAACTGATGCTAAGAGGGGCCTCAAGAAAGGTGAGATTTACCATTCGTGGCCATACCAAGGAATTTAGTTACAGATAGATCCTTCTATGGGCACAGTAGCTGGCACCTCCACTAGAACAATTATAATCATTTCTGAGCATCAATCTCCTAAATTATAGAGATGCATAAAAAGATTAGATGAACTCAGTTTTCTAACTTCAGTAGAAATTCTTTAAAATTTGCTACTTATCTCTTCATATGGACGCCACAAGAATATAGCTAACAGAGATTAAATACTTGGAAAAATTAAAAGACCTATTCAAATGTATCCTATTTCATTTAAGTACTAGTTTGTTCTTCCTTTCTTGACTCCAAGTCAGCTCTCAGTAGAAAAAATGGTCTATGAGAAAAGAATGTCACAAAAATGTCAGCTCCAGATCTAAGAGGAGTCTGAATAAGTTCAAGCAGCAAGTCTAAAAGAAATTAACTCCTCATCCCCTGCTTCCTATTCCCTTTTCTGTTTTATTTTGACAGGCATCTGTGTGGATGGGGTACCTTAAGTTTGCTGTGGTAAAAATATTGTGATAATATCATGTTGTGTGTTCTCTTGCCCTGCTGTGATGGTTAATACTGAATGTCAACTTGATTGGATTGAAGAATGCAAAGTATTGATCCTGGGTGTGTCTACGAGGGTGTTGCCAAAGGAGATTAACATTTGAGTCAGTGGACTGGGGAAGGCAGACCCACCCTTAATCTGGTGGTCACAATCTAATCAGCTGCTGGCTAATTTTCTGTCTGGCTAAGCAGACAGAAAAACGTGAAAAGGCAAGACTGGCCTAGCCTCCCAGCCTACATCTTTCTCCCGTGCTGGATGCTTCCTGCCATCAAACACTGGACTCCAAGTTCTTCAGTTTTGAGACTGGGACTGGCCCTCCTTGCTCCTCAAGCTTGCAAATAGCCTATTGTGGGACCTTATGATCATGTTAGTTAATACTTAATAAACTCCCCTTTATATATATAATATCCTATTAGTTATGTCCCTCCAGGGAACCCTTACTAATACACCTGCCAACATAAGAACCAGAAGGAAGAAGTGCAGACGAGCTGGAAGAGTAAGGTGCATGAGTAAATATGAGCTGAGCTACTCAGAATTTTGACAGGACCAATAATTCCTGAAACCTTTGATGTCTGTTTTATACATACACACACACACACACACACACACACACACACACACACACACACTGACCTCCCACAGTGTGCCAGTTAAAACAATGAAATCCCAGAAGAGTTAACTTGACCGAGTCTGAGAAAGCATTACTAGATATCTAAGGACAAAGAAAGAACAAAACTATTTTTAAAAATCTGAAAATGTTAAAAGCTCCAAGAAAAGAGTTAAGATGTGTCTTAAGAATTCAAAAGCCCTCAAAGCTAGCAGATAATAAAGAGAAGAGTGAGTTGACAGTGACAACAAGGCAAATTCTGGCCTTGAATTGCAATCTTTAGGTTCCAGGCTTAGGACTCTCAGAAATTTCATAGCTCCTTGGTTTTGAAATAATGTAAACAATGGCCTAGAAAGACATTCCTGAGAAGTAGACTGGACTGCAGATAAGAAGCTGGACCCAAGGCTCAGGCTGGTGTTAAGACTGTGCAATCTACTTCTCTGTGAAACTTTCTTGGGGGTGAGAAGTTTAGAGTCAACAACTGGAAGAACTCTGTAGAGAGGCGTGGCCCAATTGCTGCTTCCTCTTTTCTCCTGGGGGCAAGTTTCATCAGTCTCAGAGCCCTGCTGTTTGTCATGGGAAATGGGGTGATGGCTGTAGTTCCTGTCTCAGTCTTATTGGTCGATCATACCCTGTCAGCGACCTAGGACATGGTAAGCACTCAAGCACACCATAATTATTTAATATTGATGCAGGGGCTGCCACGACTTAACAATATATTAATGACCAATATTTCATTACTGTGGGTTTGGGGACAGTCAGCCTTAATAGCAGGAGGCTAAACCAGAGTGACTAAAGAGCATCAGAGGATTTCGGATAGCACAGGCGGCAAAGGTCCATAGTGAGACAGCCACGGGGCAAAGGCAACTGGCTTTCTTTACTGAAGAACTACTTTGTGTCGGAGAACCTACTATAAGGAGTTATATTAGAGGTGAAGTTTCTCATGCATGGAGAGACTAGGAGTGATGGTTGACCCCAATATCTTTTTTTTTTTTTTAGAAACAGGGTCTTGCTCTGTGGCTCAGGCTAGAGTGCAGTGGCATAATCATAGCTCACTGTAGCCTCGAGCTCCTGGGCTGTAGGGATCCTCCTTCCTCAGCCTCCTGAGTAGTTGGAACTACAGGTGTGTGCTACTGCATCCAGCTAATTTTTAAAAACTTTTTTTGTAGAGACAGATTCTCACCCCCTTGCCCAGGCAAGTACAGAGATCCATGTACTGGCGCGGTGGCATAGTGGCTCATGCCTGTAATCCCAGCACTTTGAAAATCCTAGGTGGTAGGATTGCTTTAGCTCAGGAGTTCAAAATCAGCCTGGGCAACATAGCAAAAACATGTTTCTACAAAAAATATTTTAAAATGTAGCTGAGTGTAATGGTGCATGCCTCTGGTCCCAGCTACTCAGGAGACTGAGGCCAGAGGATCATCTGAGCCTAGGAGGTCAAAGCTGCAGTAAGCCATGATCACACCACTGCACTCCAGCTTGGAAGACAGAGCAAGACCCTGTCTCAGAAAAAAAAAAAAATGTTTAAAGAAGACAATTAATTTAGATATTTCAGGATTCCCACAAAATATCAGCAGCTAATAAAATCCTGTGCTAGGCCTTACCAAGACAAAATAACATTTAGCCCTATATTTGATGCCTCTCCCATAAAGTCTCAATTTTCTATTGCTATTTAAAAAAATGATGCCATGAAAATACAAAGCAGCTGAAATGAATTATGAGTCCTTTTCGGGGAGGAGAAGGGGGAAAATCTTTCCCCAGGGGCACATTTTTTAAAGTTCCTCTTTCTATTTGAAATGCTTCCTGACTTGAAGCCTTGCAAGAATTTCACAATTAGATGGGTGCAGGGAAGAACAGTTCTGCAGAGTAGCAGAACATTTCTTGCAAATTAAAAAATTATTTGGTTCTGTCGCTAACCTTATTCAAAACTCACTCAATGGTTTACAAAATGCCGGTTCCTCTTAGTTATTTCTTATCAGTGTTCTTATGCAGAGAAGTGTATAAAATACACTGTATAAAATTATGAATGCTAATTGCAAGATTTTCAGGTTCTTAATATTAACAAAGATACATCATAAGCCATCTTTGTTAATCAGCAAATTAAACCTATTACACCAAGTCGACTTCTAAGATTTGTCAAAGTATAATTATTTTTAAGTTAAAAACTTAACTCTCATAAAACATATAGTGAGCAGATGTCAAAGATTTATTTAACTCAACGAGAGAAGAAGCAGAATGACAAAGCTGGAATAAAGAAGAGTATGACAACCATCACGTGGATAGTCATTGGAAGTAATTCTGAAATAAGAGTGCAAAGTTAGACACCAAACTGGTTAATGTCCTACAGGGCAATAAAGCCATAACCATCGGGGTTACCCTTTTTTTTTCTGGACAGATGTCTTTAGCAATGTAACATTTTCTATGGGATAACATCAAACTTTACAGAGTCTGGGTCCTAATTAGTAAGACACACAATGTTACCTCCCCCTAGAATATCAGATGACTTTTGGGCAAGCAGATTAAAAGGTATGCATTCATCTTTTTTCTTTATTTTCAAGATTTGGATAACTCTTCTTAATGGATCTTAGAAAAACATGCAGAAAAACCCAGAATTCTCCAGGAAGAGTCCAGTGTTCCCATCTTTATTAATCTGGCTTAGCTGGCATTTGTATTGTCACGGGAGAGAGTCGGGATAAGGACAACATAAATAGGAAAGCTTGATCAAGAATTCCCTTACTTCACAGTTACTGCCTAAATGCAGATATTAATACTTAAAGTCAGCGGATGTGAAACTAAACAGCAAGCTGAGCCCAGCCCCTCTCACAGTTTGCTGCTGTCTCAGGTCTCCTGACATGACAGTGCTCACGTCATTTGCAGCCAGAGAAGCCCCAGCCTCACCCAGCACCCTCCTCAACCCAGTGCTTCTCCCATCCACTCATTTCCCCACCACCGGGGACCCAAGCAGCCTACTTCCTCTGAATTACCATGCTTATCCTCACTCATATTTTGGCTTTGTTTCACTGTTCCCCTGGATTTTATGGTTGCATTCATACTGCAGTATAACCAGTATAAATCAATACTTAATGATTTCGTATTTTTTCGCACACTTTTTGTGGACAAAGCCCAGTGACAGGTCTCTCTCATCTCTTTCTTTTTCAGTTCACACCAGCACCTGGCCTCATTGTCACAGATATATCCACAAGGGCTTAAATTCTTATAATCTGCTAATTCTTTCACAGTCTGTCTACGAGGCAGGGCACACCCGGACAACTTGAACTAGAGATCAGATATGAGTCTCTTTATGAGGAGCTTAAAATAAAATAGGATGGAGAAAAATAGAAAAACCAGAAACACTGCCCCACCTTTGTTTTTTTAAGCCACTGCTAAAGAGCCTGCATACAAGTTAAGCTTGTGAGACAAAGTTTAAACTCAAGATGTGTGCATTAGGGGGCAAGTAATTGGTACCCACTGGGTTGGGCCTTCTTGGAGTTGGTAGCTTTTCATACCCACTGGGAATGTCTTGTCCCTTTTTCACAGCCACCCAGATCTTATTTTCAAATTTTAAATCTCAGTTTCCTAAGAAGCTTCCAGTGGTTTTCCATCCCACAACCTCCTATAGCACTCATGGTAGGAATCAGTTGTCTGGTATTACACACATGCCATATGTTGCCAACATCCTCTAAGCTTGAAGCATGGCTCACAACTCCTAAGCAGGATAGCAGGGTTTGTACAGTCCTGGTTGCATCTTGTACTTCTTTATATATAAGAACCCTCATAGCTCTATATTGGAGCTCAATACAAATTGCTTATTTTTTTGAAGCTAGGCCTGAGTTGAGCTATTAGGAAAAGAAGGATGAGGTTTGGACAAGTGAGCAGAAAAATAATGAAGCAAAGGCATAGAGGTAGAGAGTGTCTGGAGGAGGTTAGGCGTGGCTGTGCAGAGTTGCAGTAGAGATCCACTTATCCTAGAAGGAGAGTCAGCCAGAATGTGAGAAAGGAGGAAGGGTAGCTTAAAAGGGATCTCAAGAGCTTGAGAGAAATGTCATACTCTGCTTTATAGCACCTACTAATGTGTTAATGAGCCCTTAGTCATGTTTAATGAATAAGCAAATAAGTGAGTGAATGAATTAATGAATAAAATATTTTTAAATCTCTCTCTCTCTGTCTCTCAGTTTTAATTCATTTCAACCTCGCTTTAGTCAATGCTATACTCTCCAAAATAGTGTGAGAGGCTTCATGGTTTTCTGTTAAATGATATAATAGACAAATTTCACCATATAAAATGGGATAAATATGCGGTTTTTAACCCATGCATTGATTTTTTTCTTTTGGTCTGACATTATTATGTATGTACAAAGTCCTTAGAAAATATTTCCTAAGCCCCTCAAACTATAAAGCTGGCAACGCAGCACCCAGGCTGACTTAAAATAGCAATCTGATTAATTATATTGCCTTGAAGCAAAGATGTGGCTAAAACACTGATTAGTTCCCTTTATTCCAAAAATCAGTTTAAAATTTTTAAAAAGTAGAAATAATTGAGTCTGAAATGTTCCTAATTCATGCAAGGAAAATGCTTTTAAAAAAAAACAAAAAATCTGTAGGTTTGGTTTTTTTAAATTAAAATGATGGGTTTTTTCCCCTCAATTTTACCGTAGAACTCACACTTATAAACTTCTAGGAAAGAACCTATACTCCGAGGAAATATTTCAAAATCATTTAAAATTAGATAAAAATCAGCAAGCGTAAAAATGTCCACGTGACTGTCTGAAAATACAGTTCCAATGTTAGGATTGAAGGCATGATGATTTTTTAAAATGGCACAGAGGAAGCACATTATTCAGTTACTTAGTGATGTAAAGAGGACTTCTCCTGATCCTTTAAGCTCATTTCTATAAAGTTGACATTTTAATTGGTTGAAGTCAGCCCTGTGCACACTTCCAGGCAGGCTGAATGGTAAGGTGTCGCCAATAAAATGCATCCCATGACCCCTGGAACAATATAGGGTACATAGGTAGGTCCTCAATTAAAAATCACTAAAAACTGAATACATGTGATCCAAACATGGAGAAATAGTGGCAACAAGATTGCCAGACACAGTATGTGGAGTCGGGCAGGCAATGGCATGCCCTTGTTATGCTGGTGTCCTCTATAGCACTCATATTCTGTCATGTATGGTTGGGAAACTTCACGTGTGCACAAACCATTTCCTAACCCAAGTTTCAGGATCCTTGAAGTCAAGGCCAGGTTCCAGGCCTCCTCACATTTCCCACCATGCTCAGCAAGCTGGGAGGCGAGCGGGCACCCACCTGCAAGCCAGGTTCAGTTCTGCCTCTGGCCAAGCACCGACTGCCCATCTCCCCAAGTCCCTCTGTAGTCATGAGACGGGGGCTAAAAGGAGGATATAATTAAAGGGTCAGGAAGTAAGGAGAGAGTGTGGTGTAAACTGAGGAAGCAAACAGGTCAGGACAGTAGGTCTGAGGGGAAAAGTCACCTGGGCCATTATACTATAACAAAATGAAAATCTAGATGCTTTATTGTTCTCAGTAGTTTAAAAAAATATGTTTTGGGAACAACTATTTTTATAGAGATGAGAGGGGAAACATACACTAGAAAAATCTTTCTCATAGGAATGAGTTTGTTTGTCCTTTTTAAACAAACAAGCCAACATGAGTTAGTAATATAATCTTGCAGTTAAAAACCAACAAATCTCCACCAAAAAAAAAAAAAACAGCAATATGATATATTTCTGTCCATCGTTTTAGCCCTCTTGGGTGACAGAGGAACCAGCTACCCAGAGAAGAAGACTTGGGGGAGTGGGTAAGGGTCTCCCCTCATCCCAAGGACAGCATCACAAGGGGTTCAGGGTGAAGGGAAACAGGAAGTGGAGGCATTTTCTGTCTTTTCAAACTGGGCACTTCTCATCTGGTCCAGCTCTTTGGCAAAGAGAAGGACACCAACCGGGACCTCGCAGTCCCTCGACTCAGCACAAAGCTTCCTTAGATTAGTGCCCAAACTAATTTTTATGACATGTCATTCCAGTAAGGGCACGGCTGCATTTCACAGATGGGCTTCCCCCAGATAGCGACTGTTGATTGGCTGAGTTGGGATCTGGCTGGATTAGGGAAATTTAAGCTGACAGCTGGTCTTTTTGCATGAGAGCATAAAGCCCTTGTTGTTGGAGGAAGCAATGGGAGCTGGTCAGATCTCATGGCCAAGTAGGAGGGCTTACTCTTAGCAGAGGCCAACACTTCCCAAGCTAAGATGACTTAAAAACGACGATTGTGCAAGTACAGTTACACTGTACCAGCCCAAATGATCTCAGGTCCTGACCAAAAGACCAGAGCAGATAAGAAAACAGCCCAGTAGAACATATGGGAAAAGAGAAAAAAACTTAAAGAAGCCCACGTCTAGGTAGAAATCCCAGAAGTCCTAATCACCAAGGAACTTGGCTTCCCTAGAGTAATGAGTCACCTCTGAGTCTCCTCTGGAAGATTAGTTCACGTTATCAGTGAGTCCTGAGAACAGGGATTTAAAATGTTTATTTGCCCAAGGAAAGACCTGCATGTATTTAGAAATACAACTACTAATAAAAGTATGTGTGTGTGTGTGTATGTGCACTCACATGCAAGCGTGATCTCATGCCAGTCACTGTGCCAAGAGAGAGCTTAATGTGCATTAACGCGTCCAATCCCGCAACTGCCCTATGAGAAGGGTGCCATTATTTTCTTCTTTTTATGGAGGAGGAAACTGAGGCTTAAAGAGATTAGGTAACGTCTGGGCTACTCTGGGAGCCTAACCAGTATTAATAACAATGGTTTCCAAATTATAGATCACAACCCATTAAAGATCATAAAATCCATGTAGTGGGTCGCAAATAGGCTTTAACAGAAAAGAAAAAAAAATCAGCGTGCTCTATGTAAAGTAAGAGAAAAATTGATTCATGGAGCCGGCGCAGTGGCTCACGCCTGTAATCCCAGCACTTTGGGAGGCCGAGGCGGGCGGATCACGAGATCGAGACCATCCTGGCTAACACGGTGAAACCCTGTCTCTACTAAAAATACAAAAAATTAGCTGGGCGTGGTGGTGGGCGCCTGTAGTCCCAGCTACTCAGGAGGCTGAGGCAGGAGAATGGCGTGAACCCGGGCGGCAAAGCTTGCAGTGAGCTGAGATCTCACCACTGCGCTCCAGCCTGGGCAACAGAGCCAGACTCCGTCTCAAAAAAAAAAAAAAGAAAGAAAAGAAAAAGAGAAACTGATTCATTATCCTTTCCATTCAGTGATATAGGTGCTATATGCTGTGGGTTACAATATCAAATATAGTAGCCTGACATCTAACACTGTAGATTAGTTTTGCCTGTTTTTGAACTTTGTATAAATGAAATGATGTAACATGTATTCCTTTGTGTCTGGTTTCTTTTATTCAACATTTTATTTGAGAGAACCATCAATATTATTGTTTTAGTTTGTTCATTCTTGTTATTGTGTTATATATGTATACAATACACATATTGTATATTGTGTGACTACACATAACTTTTTTAACCAGTCTCCTGTCAATGATATTTGGGTTGTTTCTACTTTTTTACTATGATAAACAACACCATGAACATTTGGGTATGTGTCTTTTGGCAAACATACGTACACATCCCTATTGGATATGTACCTGGGAGTAAAATCTCAGGGCCATGGGGTATATGGGAGTTCAGTATTAGTAGACATTGCTAAATAGCTTTTTTTCAAAGTAGCTATAACAACAGTTTAAGTGTACCAGTAATTTAAACGTTTTTCTTTCTGTGACAATTTCTCTGGGAAAATGCTTTCTGCAAGGTGCAAGTACAGAAGTGTTTATGAACACATCTGCTCCGTCATCCTCTTTTCCTTCCTAGTCCCACCCTCCATTCATCTATAACATTGACTGACTGAGGAGGTGGGGGCTTGGATTGCTTTGTCTGACATAACTTCAGAGCAGAGCAGGAGTGTGTGCATATTAGATATGCAGTAGCAGACTGACCTGTAAGGGAAGGTCCCACTTTATGACAGGATGGATCCCCCTTGACACTCCTGTGATGCCTCGCCCCCACTAGTCAATCCTGGGCTACCCAGGACACTAGGGAAACCACCCTGGTCCCCTGGCCACTGCCAGCTTCCTGTCGTCTAAAGCCTACCTGATTTATTAGAGCATTAGCTGCCCTGCAACCCTCTCCTTTCAGAGGAAAGACATCAGGTAACAGGGACAATGACCTACAATCTACCACTACAATTAACCATTACAATCTAGTGAACAATATGTTTGTAATGAAGGAAAAGGTAACAAAATGCAAGAGAGACTGAGCCTGTGGCCCCAGAGAGGACTGTCTTCAGAAACAACAGAAAAACAGAAAACACATACAAGTTACGGTTTCAAGGCAGCTGAGGACTGGGGAAGGCCTCTGCATTTTATGTGCCGGACAGTGATGTGGATGCCTCATATCATTCTGCCCAGCAGCAGTCTCCCAGTGGCACAGAGCCACACCATGACGCCCCCCTAAAGGCCGTGCTCTCACTTCTCTCCCTGACATGAACACCCAGCCCCACTCTGCCCACATGCAAGAACTGCCCTTCCAGGCAGCCTTTTCCATACTCCTTTCCCCATAGGCCTAGAGTCCTTGCAAGGAGGCCACTGAGTGTTGGAGGTCACAGGCAGGGTGGTGGTGTGTGGCTGTGGAGCTTGTGGCCTATGGGGGTGAGTGAGGGCTGCCATCCATCCAATCATCTGTCAACCCAAGGGACTGTGTCATCCCAGAGCTGGCCCTTACTCTAATATACACAAAGGCACCAACAGGATGGAAGGGCTCTACTGCTTCCAGTTCTCCCATAAACTGCCTCCTAATCCCCTACTCTACTCCGATTCTGGACTTAGAAGCTGCCTCCAACCAAAGAGAGGAGTGACTGCAGAGCAAGAGACATTGAGATGTTGACTCAAGTTTGGTAGACCTGAGCCACATGTGGCATCCAGCACTTGGAACACGACTAATCCAAGCTGACATGTGCTGAAAGTGCAAACCACACAGTGGATTTCAAAGACTTAGTTTAAAAAGAGTTTTAAAATGTGAAATATCTCATTATTTTTACACTTTATGTGTTGAAATGATAATATTTAGAATATATTGAGCTAGAGAAAATGCATTATTAAAATTAATTTCATACATTTCAGTTTACTTTTTTTAAATGTGGCTATGAGATAATTTAAAATTATATATGTATCTCACATTATATTCCTTTAGGCTAATGCCACTCTAAAGCTAGACCACATGGGCTCAAGCCAATTGCTTGCACTTTGGAAATAGCTTACCTCCTTTGGGTCTCAGTTTCCTCCTCTGTAAAATAGGAATGCTAATGTGCCTCCCTGACATTGTTGTTAGAAATAAATGTGTTCATATATGTGAAGCATCAAGAATTGTACCAAGCACAAAATAAATGTTTTCTAAATGTCAGATATTACTAATATTAACATTATATCCAGCTGTCTATGAGAAAAAAAAAGGTGACATCTTGTATAGTTCTTCTCTACCCTGGTCTCCAGGGAAACCTAGCATAACCAACCAAACATAGGGGGAAGTCAATTCTTTGCACTCCTGAGACACATACAAGATTAATGATGATAAGTCAGGAATGCCTGTCCTTTGATATAGGTGTCATACACACAGGAGTCATGCTGCCCTTTTATGATGAACTCGACCCACAGTCCTTTTTTTAAGAGACAAGTTCTCACTATGTTGCTTATAGTCTTTTGATGAAACCAGATCATGTACTATTCTTCCCAACCCAGAGAATACTGGGAAGAATTTTCCCTATGGTGCCAATTAGGCCACAGATCAATAGCTGCTATGAAAATATGTCCCCATTTCTAGTTAAAATAATTACTACCAATGTTTTCAATTTATAAGAACCCTGAAGTCTTTTTTTAAAAGTCATGATTAAATTTGCAAATAGATAAACACGTTAAGATAGAAATTGAAATCCATTTGGGACTTAAGAATATTTAATCTAAATCTTCAGCTTATATGTAATAGTCTGTTATGGGTTTTTTTCCCCTGAACTGTTTTTAAGACCCTTGCTTTGGGCTACAATGGTGGCTGTTGTTCTCAACTCATTGAAAAACAAGTTCTGATCTTTTCCTTTTAAAGTATTCTGTTTCCAAATGCTTGTCTTGTTTGAAAAAAAAGAAAAGAAAGAAAGAAACGAAAAAAAAAAGCCCATATCCTGGTGCCATGAATTGGAGGCTGCATTTTTCTCTAGTTAATGGCACACTATTTACTTTCTAGATGTGTAAATGAGTAATGAGTCCCTGGGGGGAAAGATAGTATTGAAGAGCAAATAAATTCCATGGATAAGATCCATAGAATTTTTAAAAATGATTATAAACCCATGCTTTCAGCTATTAATAGTAAAGGTTTTGTTGCAGAGTAAGAACACTGAATTGAATTACACAAGTGGGGAAAGAGCAATGCATTTCCATAGTTCACTTTGAATTACAGAGGTTCAATTTCTATGTTCCCTTGTTCTGGTTTCAAAAAAATAATGTTAAATATAAGGAGAATGATTCTTTGGAGAAGGCAAAGTTCTTTTCTATGAGATTTATAAAGCCTGGGTGTTGTTTTTTTCCCCCACTCTGGGCATTGCAAATTGCTTCTGTGATCCTAGTAAAATATCTCCAGAGACTTACTAGCAACAGGCATGGCTAATTAACACAGCCAGGGAATGTGGCGCCTTCCCTGGGTTTCTGAGCCTTTAATCCAGAGCAAGGCCCACTCTTCTTTTCGCGTCCCCAAGGCCATTAAGTACTTATCAGAGATCCAAGAACTTTAGATCTGGGCCAAGAGGCAAAGCCAAACAAGGAACATTGAATTGGACACTGTCCCTAAACCTTCAAAAATTAAAATGTGTATGACAACTCAGAAAACATGGTTTATGGAAAATTTTGAAAAAGGTAGACAAAGGAAGGCCTAAGGAAAATGAAGACAGATTTATAGCATGACTTAATAGGGGGTAGAGGGATGATAAAATGACCTATCCAGGTCCCATCTAACCTTATAGCTATGCAACAACTGGGGCAGAGCCATTATTTTTATTTATTTTTTGGCCTCACATAAATTTAACTTCATCATCCTAGACTCAGAGGCCTTGTTCCTACAAGAAATGCCATAACGAGTTAGTATATGTGAATCTTGGGTCATATCATGTTAACATTATATGTGACATACAATATTAAGCTGCAAATAGAAACTACAGAAGCACTATTCCTGCCTGAATATTTGTTGAAAATCAGAATACCATTATTCTAGTGAAACGTTAAAGAAATAATCTGTTGTGTCTTTATTGACAGAATAGAGAACAATTCCTTTGTTGGATTTTTGTAGGTAATGGGACAAGTTAAACACAAAGGCAGACATAATTTTGCAGTAATCCCCAAGGTGCAGTCACCAGTTCCATGCTTGCTCACCTCTGTCCTCTCCAACACAGAAGGCCAGCTTGTCAACTTTAAGAAGGCACAAAGCTGGGAAGAATAATAACTAAGCTTGATGACAAAATCAGGGTTTTGATGATAGGGTTTGTGTTGAAGGAGGTACTTACAAAACTGTATTTAACAAGCCTAAATGCAAAGACATTCAGAAAGCCATCTTCACAAGGACTGGTTGAAGTTGATCCACTTGGCATCACTGATGTGAAAAGGACCCATGGGCTTCTGCGTTTTGGTTGAGGACAAGCCCAATATGCATCAAAACATGATGAAGTTGAGTTAATATAAGGATAAAACTCTAGTGTAATGGCAAGACTCCCACTTACTTTGTATTCATTAAACCACATCTGGAATATGGCATTTTCCTTTTTGGGGCACCCAAAACTGAGGAATGAGCAAAAGAAAGTGACCAGAATATTCTACAGGGAATAGAAAGAAACAGAAATGAAAGGAATTTTTTTTTTTTTTTTTTTGGAAACGGAGTCTCACTCTTGTTGCCCAGGCCGGAGTGCAATGGCGCAATCTCGGCTCACTGCAACCCCCACCTCCCGGGTTCAAGCAATTCTCCTGCCTCAGCCTCCCGAGTAGCTGGGATTACAGGTGCCTGCCACCACACCCAGCTAATTTCTGTATTTTTAGTAGAGATGGGGTTTCACCATGTTGGCCAGTCTGGTCTCCAACTCCTGACCTCAGGTGATCAGCCAGCCTTGGCCTCCCAAAGTGCTGGGATTACAGGCTTGAGCCACCGCACCTGGCCAAGACAGAACTTTTGAGTTGACATGAGAATTGTCTTCAAATATTCCAAGGGGCATCAATGGCACAGATAATAGTAAGACCTACCTGGGAACAATGTGTGCTTTGTATTAATAGCTGAGTATTAACAGGAATGCAGCAGGTCGCTAAGACACATCCTTTGTATCTTCTTAAGTAGGGTCCTAGCATTATATGTAGCCTTGTCCACACAGAATCGTAAGCTTCTACCTCCATGAACTCCCCCCATCTGCTCTCACTGCGCTACTTTAAAGCCTTCAGAGGCTCTTCTCAAATGAAGCATTTTGACAATATACATCTCACATGAACAGTAATTTCTGGCACGAAAAGAATTTTTAGAAATTTTAAATAAAACATGTTTTTTGAAATTATTTGATTATGAAAAAACTAATTTAGTTTATAAGGAGAATATTTGGAAATCTTTGGAAAATCTACCTATAAACTGCTTGCAAATGTACTGGGATTTTGTTTTAAGGTCTATAATTAATTAAGTTGATAGAATGCTGCTGGTCGACATTAACCATTGATTAATTTTGTGTTTATGGGATTGTTATATATGTATGTGTATAATTGCTATATATATTATAATACAAATACATTAGGTCTTGTATTTTCATAATCCTTTTCAAAGCACATAGGTCCTAGTCACAGAGCTCACAATGACAAGTTGATAAAATGGCTCTGCTTATCTCAAGTTGATAAAAAGTCTGTTCCATGGTAAGCACTCAGTATTTGCCGAATCAGTTAAAATACTGACTCATCAAATAACAACCAGAAATTTCTAGTTCTTTTCCCTGCTCAAAGCTCGAAAGAGGGAATTAAAAGATGAGTGGGAATGGGAGGGGAGGGGCAGCAGCTGTCTTCGAATTTCTGTGGATCCTGTTTGCCAAGAAAAGATACATCCTAATTTGGTTTTTAATTGCAGGTGTGATTGTCCCCAGTGCTGCACCACAGACATTACCATGTTAATAGCAGGAAGTGTACTGGGATCAGAGAAGCAAGGTCCCATTTAGTGCAGGAGTTGAGTCACAGCTTTTCTAAAAAGAGGATTCTAAATATACTGAAAGGGGGGACTAGCTGCTGGATATTGGGAAGGGTGCCTTTTTGCAGGTCTTTTTGAAAAAAGGCAACAGATTAAGCAGTGGATCAAAATATAAGTGAAAGACTTGCCCACCAAGTTAAAAAGCAAAAAAGAACTGAACTAAACTAAAAATAGCTCCAACCCAGAGATCAAGAGGACTATTTTGTCCAAGGAAAGAATAGAAGTGGCCCGCTTACACTCCGCCAAGCCACTAGCTTCAAGTGCATCATTGTGCCAATAGCAGAGGGTCTGAAAGGCTTCATTATTAAGAAGTTAATGCTTGACAGCAGCCGACTCCACCACAGCAAAATTACCAGCCTCCGAAAGACTGCCTCCTATGAGTCTTGGGTTAATTACTCAAATCTCCAAATTATCCTTCAGGGAACAAAATGAAGCATGCAGAATCAAAAGCAGATCTGTAGCTGAGATTATGAAAAGGGAGTGGGTTCCTTTCCATTTTAAAAAATGATTATTTCTATTGTAGGAACCACAGAGGGGAAAGGGAAAAAAGCAAAACAAAAAACCTGCCCCTGTACCAAGCAGGCAATAAATGGCTGGCAGCCGTACAGCCCAAGGGGAAAACAAAATCTGCCCATATAAATATTCACATGAAAGCGTTGTCTAAATCTCCTAAACAAGTCACCCCAAATCAAATTGCTTGAGAAGAAAGGGGGTGCTGAAATGGAGACAAACACCCCAAGTCTTGTTGCTGAAAAATATTTTCACTAGCTGCCATTTTCCAAAATAGCTGGATGTACTCAATCAAGCCACCTAATATCTACTGAAAATAAAGTACTTAAACATTATTTCTCCCTCTATATGTACATATATTTATTTCCTAGCCTTACTTCCCATTTCACGAAGTAATTTAAAATGTTTTTTATTTAGAACCGCCACCACCAAAACATTTAATTTTTTTCCTGCTTCCCGCCGCCCCCATCAACCATGGCTGTCAGAGGCTCCCAAAACTTTCTAAGAGAAGTAATTCTCAAACAGAGATCTCTGGGCATATTTTTGGAAGGGGAGGGGGCTCCATGAACTGTAAGAAAATTAAAAAATTTTTAATTTAGTATTTTTGTTATGATGATAATTTTATTTTTATCACTTAGACAACATTTCTATTCTGCAGTGGTGATTTGCTATTGCATGACTTTCATGGAGGAAGTCTTCAATATTTTAAGTCAGTGTTTCTCAAATAAGGGCCTGTGGATTTACTCTCAGTAATAGGAGAAAATTTTATTTCTTAAAAAGGACCTGTATAGTTCACACATTTTAAAAATTGAGCTACAAGGGCATTAATATCTGTTTCACAACCAGCAGACTCTCCATCACCAATATGCATCTGTGAACCCTAAAGCAGGGTAATCGGGCTCATTGGCAAAGACTTCAGGTATTACATAAGAATTCTTCCTAAAATCAGAACAGTAGGTGTCTGCTCAGTCCTGGGTTGAACAAACTACAGATAAAATGCCTGGTACAGACATTGCTTGGTACAATGCCTCGTACAGACTTTTCATGTTAATGTCATATTTAGTTTTATTATTGTTACTTGGATTGCTTAAATCCCCTTATCCTCCTTTTCCCCTCCAAGGCAGACCTGAATATTTACAGACTTGTATGTTTCTCTCATGGGCTGAAAGGGGGCTTCCTCAGTCCCTGGCACACACCACTCTGCTTTCTGGCTCTACGAATTTGACTACTCTGTCACGGACTTTTTGGAATGATGTTCTGACTCTTATGTAGATCAAGGTGAATGAGGAAAACTGTATGTCCTCTTTCTTTGATCTTCTATGGACGTGTGAGTTGCCAAATCCTAGTTCTTGGGTGCAATTCATTGAAATATTTGCCCACCATTGCCTCCTGAATTATTTTGTTGGCCATCTAGAAGAACTGATCTGTGAGCAAGACTGAACTGCCTCAAAATGACCCACAAAGGAAGGCAAAAGTGGAGCTGCTTTTGCTCAAGCTTGTGGATGAACTATTTATAATTATTCTGCCCTAGAAGCTCTGGTTATGTCAAGTTGCAATTTGATATGGGTGGGTCAGAGATCCCAGTTGCCCTTTCTTGCAGCCTAAGTTTCTAAGGA
This sequence comes from Homo sapiens, assembly GCF_000001405.40. Taxonomy (NCBI): domain Eukaryota; kingdom Metazoa; phylum Chordata; class Mammalia; order Primates; family Hominidae; genus Homo; species Homo sapiens. Next base: position 56,400,605 of record NC_000005.10, on the reverse strand, counting down.
TTCCTCTTGGCCTATGCAAAGCTGAAAACTGATAAGAATGGCACTACCATGTTCTTTGTTTTAAAAGTGGATGATTGGACAGAATGCTGTTTGCCAATGAACAGGTAGAGACAATCTGGGATAGCAGCAGGAATTGAATAAATTTCATTTTTGCTTGTTCTTTGGCAATGATTATTGAAACTCACCATCCCTCCTCTCTTCTGTTCTATGCTAAATTAATGACTTGATCTTAAGACCAGATGACATAATCCCCCTTCATTGTCAAGATGCACTAGATACAAATCAAGAGCTGAAAAGCTCATATTATAGTGAATTCACCTGCGTTCCATCATCTCAAGCTGCTGACTGCTTGACTTTGTCAGTAGTTGAGTTGGGTGGGGATTGGCTGAAGAATCAGATCTTTTTGGTTTACCTTTGAATTAAACTTTGTTGGGGCCCCAGAATGTACAGAGTTATGCAGTTGCTCCCTGCTTATCAGTTACTCCCCTACTGCTGTTTTTCTCAGGAAACCTCATGGTGGGGATGAGAAACAGGGGAAGAATTGTTGGGCCAAGTGATGTGTCTTTGCATTTGGGGCTGTTCCAGAATCCAGTCCTTCTAGCCACATCGTGTTGTCCTATAAAACTTGGCCAATTTTGGATGGGTGCAGTAGCTCATGCCTGTAATCCCAGCACTTTGAAAGGCCGAGGCAGGTGGATCACTTGAGGTCAGGAGTTCAAGACCAGCCAGGCCAACATGGTGAAACCCCATCTCTACTAAAAATACAAAAATTAGCCAGGCATGGTGGTGGGCACCTGTAGTCCCAGCTACTCAGGAGGCTGAGGCAGGAGAATCACTTGAACCCGGGAGAAAGAGGTTGCAGTGAGCCAAGATCACGCCACTGCACTTCAGCCTGGGTGACAGAGTAAGACTCCATCTCAGAAAAAAAAAAAACTTGGCCAATTTCTCCTTACACAGAAAAGTCTCTCCATCTGTACCCAGTTACTACCTGTACCCAGACCAGGTGCATGCCTAGGTATGGAAGCTGTCATGGCTCCCTGCTCACCTATAAAAAGCTTATTTCTCTTAGAATTAAGTTCATCAAGGGTTTATTGCATCCATCTTACTCCTTTTTCCCTGTATCAAAGCATATTTCTTATTTTGTTTGTTTTCATTGTTACCAAAGGAGTGATAGTCTTTAGCATGCTTGTACATCCTGTCCAGAAGTCTTGAGGGAAGTAGATTGTTACTAGAACATATTGCTCTGGACTGGCGCCTCACTCTGTGACCCAGGTATCTGAGAGGCACTCATTTGGGAAGACCATTACTCACAGCACGGAGCTATTTTATGTATGTACAGACTCAAAGTATCACCTCAAGCTTTCTCCTGTCTGCTTTGCATCTCTTGCCAAAGTTACCTCTGTACCTTTCCATATTTTTTCTATATCTAGCCATTTTATGATAAAAGCAAGATAAGTATGTAGGTTTAGCTAGCTATAAGAGCCCACAAAAAAATCTGCTCTATCAGAAACAACTATTTATTGATGTGGTGGAAAATGTTCGAAAGTTTGAAAGTCTGCTTCTCAAAGATACTGCCCTCTGGTCCTGAAGCAACCCTTACAGCATCCTATAAAAACTTTCTAGGCCTCAGCCTCCTGGTTTCTAATATAAGCATTTGCACTAAATGATCTCTAAATACCTTCTATTTCTAATTTTAGATATAAGTAGCTCACGGCTCTGTGAAAGATGACCAAGTCGATAAAATTGATGAAAGTAATACATGCCATTGTTCTTTAAGTCACCCCAGTTCTGATCTGGCTCAACCTATGGCTAGAATTGGTCTGGCGTGGTGATAGACTAGTGGCTTCTTCCTCTCTGGCCTCGTGGATACAGAGTAGGCAGTCTTTTAGTCCTATCAAAAAAAGTTCTCCCTCTCCCTCTCCCTCTCCCCCTCCCCCTCCCCCTCCCTCTCCCTCTCCCTCTCCACTGTCTCCCTCTGATGCCGAGCGAGGCTGGACTGTACTGCCGCCATCTCTGCTCACTGCAACCTCCCTGCCTGATTCTCCTGCCTCAGCCTGCCCAGTGCCTGGGATTGCAGGCACGTGCCGCCACGCCTGACTGGTTTTGTATATTTTGGTGGAGACGGGGTTTCACCGTGTTGGCCGGGCTGGTCTCCAGCTCCTGACCGCGAGTGATCTGCCTGCCTCGGCCTTCCGAGGTGCCGGGATTGCAGATGGAGTCTCGCTCACTCAGTGCTCAATGTTGCCCAGGCTGGAGTGCAGTGGCGTGATCTCGGCTTGCTACAACCTCCACCTCCCAGCCGCCTGCCTTGGCCTCCCAAAGTGCCGAGATTGTAGCCTCTGCCCATCCGCCACCCCGTCTGGGAAGTGAGGAGCATCTCTGCCTGGCCACCCATCGTCTGGGATGTGAGGAGCCCCTCTGCCCAGCAGCCCAGTCTGGGAAGTGAGGAGCGCCTCTTCCCGGCCGCCATCCCACCTAGGAAGTGAGGAGGGTCTCTGCCCAGCCGCCCATAGTCTGAGATGTGGGGAGCACCACTGCCCCGCCGCCCCGTCTGGGATGTGAGGAGTGCCTCTGCCCGGCTGCGACCCCGTCTGGGAACTGAGGAGTGTCTCTGCCCGACCGCCACCCCATCTGGGAGGTGAGAAGCTTCTCTTCCCGGCTGCCCCGTCTGAGAACTGAGGAGCCCCTCCGCCCTGCAGCCACCCCGTCTGGGAAGTGAGGAGCCCCTCCGCCCGGCAGCCGCCCCGTCCGGGAGGTGGGGGGCAGCCCCCGCCAGGCCAGCCGCCCCGTCCAGGAGGGAGGTGGGGGCAGCCCCTGCCTGGCCACCCGGTCTGGGAACTGAGGAGCCCCTCTGCCCGGTCGCCACCCCATCTGGGAGGTGTACCCAACAGCTCATTGAGAACGGGCCATGATGACGATGGCGGTTTTGTCAAATAGAAAAGGGGGAAATGTGAGGAAAAGAAAGAGAGATCAGATTGTTACTGTGTCTGTGTAGAAAGAAGTAGACATGGGAGACTCCATTTTGTTCTGTACTAAGAAAAATTCTTCTGCCTTGGGATGCTGTTAATCTATAACCTTACCCCCAACCCCGTGCTCTCTGAAACATGTGCTGTGTCAACTCAGGGTTAAATGGATTAAGGGCGGTGCAAGATGTGCTTTGTTAAACAGATGCTTGAAGGCAGCATGCTCGTTAAGAGTCATCACCACTCCCTAAGCTCAAGTACCCAGGGACACAAACACTGCGGAAGGCCGCAGGGTCCTCTGCCTAGGAAAACCAGAGACCCTTGTTCACATGTTTATCTTCTGACCTTCCCTTCACTATTGTCCTATGACCCTGCCAAATCCCCCTCTCTGAGAAACACCCAAGAATGATCAATAAATACTAAAAAAAAAAGAAAAGAAAAGAAACTGACTGAGAGTGGGACAACATTAAGCCCAACAACAAACATATAATAAAGGCTCCAGGAGAGGAGAAAGAGAGAAACCAGAGAAAAAGAAGAGAGAGGTTGCAGGGAAATATTTGAAGAAATAATTACTAAAACTTCCCCTTATTTGATGAAAAACATTAATCTATACATCCAAGAAGCAAAATGAACCCCTAGTAAGATAAATGCAAAGATATCCATACAGAGACACATCATAAACTGTTGAAAGCCAAAGACAGAGAGAAAATTTTGAAAATTGGTAAGAGAAAAAGGACTCATTGTTTATAGGAAAGCATCAATACTATTAATGGCTGACTCCTCTTCTTAAACAATGGAGGGCATATCAGGGCTGTTAGAGAAATAACTGTCAATGAACAATTTTATATCCAGCAAAACTATCCTTAAAAAGTGAAGGTAAAACAAAGACATTCTCAGATAAACAAAGACTGACAGAATTTACTGCTAGGAGACCTGCCTTACATGTCTAAATCAAGTCTTTCAAGCTGAAAGGGAATAATATTGAGATATACTCAAATCCACAGGAAGAAATGAAAAGCATCAGAAATGGAAAATACACACATTAATAAAAATAAACCTATCAATATAAAAAAAAGTTCTTGCTACACCAGATGCAAATCAAGAGATATCAATTATTCTATTTTAGTTTGAACCTCTTTGTATCAGAAACATCAACCTAAATAAATACTTTAGCATTCCTTTAAGACTTTAAAAATATTGCTATGGTTTGAATGTGTGTGTCCTCCCCAAATTCATATATTGTAACCTAACACCCAATGTGATAGTATTAAGAGGTGGGACCTTTAGTGGTCTCCACCCACTTGAACAAAATTAGTGCCCTTATAAAAGAGGCTTGAGGAAGCCTCCTGGCCCCTTCTGACATGTGAGGACACAGCAACAAGGTACCATCTAGAAAGCAGACAACAAGCCTTCGCCCAACATCTAATCTACTGGTGCCTTCATCTTAGACTTCCCGGTCTCCAGAACTATGAGAAATACATTTCTGTTGTTTACAAATTATCCAATCTAAGGTATTTTGTTCTAGTAGCCTGAACAGACTAAGACAAATATCATTTATGCTCATATAAACATAAGTAATTCATTTAACATCATAGCATTAACACTATAGTACCCCCAAGATGATCCAAAATGTAGATAAATTTCTTGGTGATAGATTCGTAAAAGACTCTTCAGGGAAGACACGGAATAAGAGTTGCATCTTGAATATTTCAAGGATTTTGTCACTGTGGCCAACTGCTATGCTTTCTAACAGACTCTTCCTTCTCCTGTGAATCCTCAGTTCTGCTGTGACTTGATGAAACTCTCAATAATCAAGTAACAGTAATTATTTATGCATTATTTTATGAGCTTTGCTTTCTTAAACTTAGGTTTGGACGTATGTGTGAAGGTTTGTAACATAAATAAACACATGTCACAGGAGGTTTGTTGTACATATTATTATATCACCCAGGTACTAAGCTCAATACCCAATACTTACCTTTCTGCTCCTCTCCCTCCTCCCACCTTTCCCTCTCAAGTAGACCACAGTGTCTGTTGTTCTTTTCTTTGTGTTCATAAGTTCTTATCATTTAGCTCCCACTTATAAATGAGAACATGCAGTATTTGGTTTTCTGTTCCTGTATTAGTTTGCTAAGGATGATAGTCTCCAGCTCCATCTATGTTCCTGCAAAAGACATGATCTTGTTCTTTTTTATGGCTGTGTAGTATTCCAGGGTGTATATGTACCACATTTTCTTTATCCAGTCTGTCATTGATGGGCATTTAGGTTGATTCCATGTCTTTACTATGGTGAACAGTGCTGCAATGAACATTCACGTGCATGTGTCTTTATGGTAGAATGCTTTATATTCCTCTAGGTATATACCCAGTAATGGGATTGCTGGGTCAAATAGTAGTTCTGCTTTTAGCTCTTTAGGAATTGACATACTGTTTTCCACAATGGTTGAATTAATTTACACTCCCACCAACAGTGTATAAGCATTCCATTTTCTCTGCAACATCACCAGCATTTGTTATTTTTTGACTTCTTAATAATAGCGATTCTGACTGGTGTGAGATGGTATCTCATTGTGGTTTTGATTTACATTTCTCTAATGATCAGTGATATTGAGCTTTTTTTCATATGGTTGTTGGCTGCATGTACATCTTCTTTTGAGAAGTGTCTGTTCATGTCCTTTGCCCACTTTTTAATGGGGTTGTTTGTTTATCTCTTATAGATGCTGGACATTAGACCTTTGTCAGATGCGTAGTTTGCAAAAATTTTCTCCCATCCTGTAGGTTGTCTCTTCACTCCGTTGATAGTTTCTTTTTCTTTCTTTTTTTTTTTTTTTTTTGAGACGGAGTCTTGCTGTCTCCCAGGCTGGAGTGCGGTGGCTTGATCTCAGCTCACTGCAAGCTCCGCCCCCCTGGGTTCATGCCATTCTCCTGCCTCAGCCTCCCTAGTAGCTGGGACTACAGGCGCCCACCACCACGCCTGGCTAATTTTTTTTTGTATTTTTAGTAAAGAATGGGTTTCACCGTGTTAGCCAGGATGGTCTCGATCTCCTGACCTCGTGATCCACCCACCTCGGCCTTCCAAAGTGCTGGGATTACAGGCATGAGCCACCGCAACTGGCCGATACTTTCTTTTCCTGTGCAGAAGCTCTTAAGTTTAGTTAGATGCCATTTTTCAATTTTTGCTTTTGTTGCAATTGCTTTTGGTGTCTTTGTTGTGAAATCTTTGCCCATGCCTAGGTCCAGGATGATATTGCCTAGGTTGTCCTCAGGGTTTTTATAGTTTTGGGTTTCACATTTAAGTCTTTAATCCACCTCGAGTTGATTTTTGTTTTGCCGTAAGGATGGGGTCCAGCTTCCGTCTTCTGCATATGGCTAGCCAGTTATCCTGGCACCACTTATTGAACACAGAGTCTTTTCCCCATTGCTTGTCTTCATCAGCTTTGTCAAAGATCTGATAGTCATAGATGTGCGGCCTTATTTCTGGGCTCTTTATTCTGTTCCATTGGTCTTTGTGCCTGTTTTTATACCAGTGTCATGCTGTTTTGGTCACTGTAGCCTTGTAGTATAGTTTGAAGTCAGGTAATGTGATTCCGCCAGCTTTGTTCTTTTTGTTTAGGATTGCTTTGGCTATTTGGGCTATTTTTTTGGTTCTATATAAATTTTAAAACAATTTTTTCTAGTTATGTGAAGAATTTCATTGGTAGTTTGATAGGAATAGCATTGAATCTGTAAATTGGTTTGGCCAATATAGCTATTTTAATGATATTGATACTTCCTATTCATGAGTATGGGGTGTTTTTCCATTTGTTTGTGTCTTCTCTGATTTCTTTGAGGAGTGCTTTTTAATTCTCATTGTAGAGATCTTTCACCTGGCTGGTTAGCTGTATTCCTAGGTATTTTATTTTGTTTTTGGCAATAGTGAATGAGATTGCCTGTCTGATTTGGCTCTCAGTTTGGTTGTTGCTGGTGTATAGGAATGCTAGTGATTTTTGTACATTGATTTTGTATCCCAAAATTTGCTAAAGTTGTTTATCAGCTGGTGGAGCTATTGAGCTGAGACTCTGGGGTTTTCTAAATATAGAATCATGTCATCTACACAGAGAGATAATTTGACTTCCTCTCTTCCTATTTGGATACCCTTTATTTCTTTCTCTTGCCTAATTGCTCTGGCTAGGACTTCAATAACATGTTGAATAGAAGTGGTGAAAGAGGGCATCCTTGTCTTGTGCCAGTTTTCAAGAGGAATGCTTTAGGCTTTTGTCCATTCAGTTTAATGTTGGCTCTGGATTTGTCATAGATGGCTCTTATTATGTTGAGGTATGTTTCTTCAATACCTAGTTTAGTGAGAGTTTTTTTTAACATGAAGGGATGCTGAATTTTATCAAAAGCCTTTCTGCATCTAATGAGATAATCATGCAGTTTTTTTGCTTTAGTTCTATTTATATGATGAATCACATTTATTGATTTGCATATGTTGAACGAACCTTGCATCCTGGGGATGAAGCCTCTACTTGATCATGGTGGATTAGCTTTTTGATGTGCTGCTGCATTTGGTTTGCAAGTATTTTGTTGAGGATTTTTGCATCAATGTTCATCAAGGATGAACACCCTTGGGAGGGTGTATGTGTCCAGGAATTTATCCATCTCTTCTAGGTTTTCTAGTTTGTGTGTGTAGAGTTGTTCATAATCATTTTTAATGGTTGTTTTTATTTCTGTGGAGTCAGTAGTAACATTCCTTTTGTCACTTCTAATTGTGTTTATTTGGATCTTCTCTCTTTTCCTCTAAATTAGTCTAGCTAGTGGCCTATTATATTAATTTTTTTAAAAACCAACTCCTGGATTCATTAATCTTTAGAATTTTTTTGTGTGACTTGATTTCCTTTAGTTCAGCTCTGATTTTTGTTATTTCTTGTCTTCTGCTAGCTTTGGGGTTGATTTGTTCTTGCTTCTCTAATTCTTTCAGTTGTGAAGTTAGGTTGATAATCTGAGATCTTTCTAACATTTTAACGTGGGCATTTAGTGCCATGAATTTCCCTCTTAACACTGCCTTAGCTGTATCCCAGAGATTCTGATATATTGTATCTTTGTTTTTCTTATTTTCAAAGAGCTTCTTGATTTCTGCCTTAATTTCATTATTTACCCAAAAGTCATTCAGGAGCCTGTTTAATGTAATTGTGTGGTTTTGAGTGATTTTCATTGTATTGACTTCTATTTTTATTGCTCTGTGGTCCAAGAGTGTGTTTGGTCTGATTTCCGTTCTTTTACATTTGCTGAGGATTGTTTTATGTCCAATTATGTGGTCAATTTTAGAGTATGTGTCATGTGGCAATGAGAAGAATGTGTATTCTGTTGTTTTGGGGTGGAGACTTCTGTAAAGGTCTATCAGATCCATTTGGTCCAATGCTGAGTTTAGGTCCTGAATATCTTTGTTGATTTTCTGCCTCGATGATCTGTCTAATACTGACAGTAGAGTGTGGATGTCTCTCACTATTATTGTATGGGAGTCTATGTCTTTTTCTAGGACTCTAAGAACTTTCTTTATGAATCTGGGTGTTCCTGTGTTGGGTGCATATATATTTAGGAGAGTTAGGTCTTGTTGGATTGAACATTTTACCATTATTTAATGCCCTTCCTTGTCTTTTTTGATCTTTGTTGATTTGAAATCTGTTTTGTCTGAAATTAGGATTACAACCCTTGCTCTCTTCTGTTTTCCATTTGTTTGGTAGATTTTTCTCCATCCTTTTGTTTTGAGCCTGTGAGTGTCACTACATGTAAGACAAGTCTCTTAAAGACGGCATACCATTGGGGCTTGCTTTTTTATCCAGCTTGCTACTCTGTGCCTTTTAAGTGGAGTATTTAGCCATTTACATTTAAGGTTAGTATTTATATGTGTGGATTTGATCCTGTCATTGTGCTGTTAGCTGGTTATTATGTTGGCTTCTTTGTGTGGTTGCTTTACAGTGACACTGGTCTGTGTGCTCATGTTTTTGTATTAGCTGGTAGCAGTCTTTCCTTTCTAAATTTAGTGCTCCTTTCAAGATCTCTTTTGTAAGGCATGTCTGGTGGTAATGAAGTCCCTCAACATTTGTTTGTTTGAAAAGGATCTTATTTTCTTTCCCTTAGTTTGGCTGGATATGAACTTCTTGGTTGAAGACATTTTTTCTTTAAGAATGTTGAATATAGGCCCCCAGTCTCTTTTGGCTTGTAGTGTTTCAGCTGAGAGGTCCACTGTTAGCCTGATGGGGATCCCTTTGTGGGTGACCTGCCGTTTCTCTCTAGCTGCCTTTAACATTCTTTCTTTCATTTCAACCTTGGAAAATCTGATGATTATGTGTCTTGGGGATGATCTTGTGTAGAATCTTTCAGGAGTTCTCTGTATTTCCTGAATTTGACTGTTGGCCTCTCTAGCAAGGTTGTGAAAGTTTTCATGGACGATACCCTTAAATATATTTTCCAGGTTGTTAGCTTTCTCCCTCTCCTTTTCAGGGATGACAATGATTCATAGATTGGCATTATTTCAGAGAACCAGTCTTCAAGTTCTGAGATTCTTTCCTCAGCTTGGTTTATTCTACTGTTAATACTTGTGATTGCATTGTGAAATTCTTGTATTGTGCTATTCTGCTCTGTCAGACGCATTAGGGTCTTTTTTATACAGGTTATTTCGTCTTTCAGCTCCTGTGTCACTTTATTGTGATCCTCATTTTCCTTGGACTGGGTTTTGCCAACCTCCTGAATCTCAATGATCTTTGTTCCTATCCATACTCTGAATTCTACTTCTGTCATTCCAGCCAGTTTAGCCTGGTTAAGAACTCTTGTTGGAGAACAGGTGTGGTCATTTGGAGGACATATGACAATCTGGCCATTTGAGTTACCAGATTCCTTGCATTGGTTCTTTCTCATCCTTGCATGTGGGTGTTCCTTTAACTGCTGTGTAGACTGAGTACAATCAATACAATTCTTTTCTGGATGTTTTCACTGGGATGAGGCTTTGTGTAAGGTCTTTATTTGAAGCTGACTCCTTGTCTCTGGTTTCAGAGGGGAGTTTGAAGTATTTTTGTTGTTGAGGCTTTGGGATGTGATCCAGCAGGTGACACTGAGGCATATTTTTCAGTTGGTAGACTCTTGCTTGGTTGTATGGCTCCCCCATGTTTCCTCACAGTTGCAGCCACATTCCCTCTCAGTTCTCTGAAAGTGTGAGTTCCTTTCCCTCTTAAGTGCTGGCTGTAGTTCATGATTTGGCACTCCTGGGCTGCCCATTGCAGCTTTGGGGCAATCTCCGTGTTTATGCTCCTTCCCCAGCTTAGAGGCAGCAGAGGAAGAGATCTTAATAGTACTTGTGGCCAAGGGTCATTTGCTTGACTCTTGGGGGCTCCACCCCAGAGAAATGCAGGTCAGCAATCACTCAGCGCAGTCAGCCCAGGATGGAGGGTTTGTGCTGTGGGCCCAAGGCAAGGGTTTCCTATCCGGTGATGAGTTGTGTGGGGGTGTGGGACCTATGGGAGACAAACTGGTCTCCTGCCATTGGGTTGACTGCAGCTTGTTTGTGGTGTGGACAAGGCACTTAGGGTCTTTCCTCCTTCATTAGTCTGAGGATGGCCAGGAAACTTCCACTGTGAAGGCAGTGGCAGAGAGGCTTTCAGTTGCCCCTGGAGGTGCTATCCAGGGAGTTGCTGAGTTGGTAGTGGCTTGATAGCTCTGGCAGGTGGGTGGCTGGAGGCCCAGACCTGGGGGACCTGCTGGTGAGGAAATACGGGAATGAGCACTCACTTAACAGTCTAGCCACCTTTCCGTAAGGCTGCTGTGGTATGCTTGGGGCCCATTCCAGTCCTTAGTCACCTCGGATTTTCCAGAACCTGGAAGTGTCACCAGTGAAGGCTGAGAAACAGCAAAGATGGCAGCCTGTCCCTTCCTCTGGGAACCTTGTCCCAGGGAGAAACGGACCTGTTGCCAGCCCAAAGGCACCTATAGGAAGTGGCTGGAGACCCTGGTTGGGAGGTCACACCCAGTGAGGCCGAACAGGATTGGGAACCCACTTAGAGCAGCATCTGGCTATGTTTTGATAGAGCAGCTGAGCTTTACATTTTAAAAAACACATGTGCACACCCTATGTCATAGAGTGTCTTTTAGTGATAGGATATTGCAACTGGCTACGGATCTGGCCCAAAATAACATTGCTCATGGAATTCAACCAAGTTAGCAAAGTCATGGCTCTGATTTGTGCTGGAGTGAGTGAATGACTGAGGTAAGCTTTCAACTGAAATTTGACTGTGGTTTAGTTCCTTGTAGAACATGAGATTTTTAGAGATATTCTGAATAAAGAAAAGTCTTCCAAGGTCAAATATTTTTGGAAAGTGCTCCTCCACTCTTGAAGATTCACAATGGACATTAGCATATACGTGAATGGCTCTTCAGTAAAGAAAACTACTTATCTTTCTGTTTGTTGAGCCCAACAGGTCTTAACATAATTTCATTATATATATATATATATATATATATATATATATATATATATATATATATATTTTTTTTTTTTTTTTTTTTTTTTTTCCCCTCATTTGGAAGCATTAGAATCCTCTGAGGTTAAATTAACCTGACAAACCCTGAGCAGGAAGTTATGCATGGAAGTGACACCAAGTGTGTTTGGACAAGACTTTATCCCACATGTGAAGGTACTCTTCATTCAGACACAGGAGGAGACTCCATCTCTCTCTTCCTGGTGACATAGCTTAGAGTTATATTTTGTTCAGATGTAGAAATTGATAGAGCCAAAATAAACAAAATTGCAGATGTAACTAAAAAAGCTCTTGAGGTGACTCCTGTTCTGTGCCTAAAGCAAAAATTCCACACTTAATCACTTTTGTAAGTAGCTATTCCTACCTGGGCTTCCCAGGGGAATAGGAAACCATTTCACTAACTGCTGTAGTCTAAAATTCCAGAGATATAATTTATGAGCTGTTCCAGAGGCCAAGAACAGAATTATTCCCAGCAGAAGATGCAATGTTTTAAGAGCAATGAAATCCATACTCTGAAGAAAAGAGGAAAAGCAGATTCTAAGAGTCTTAGAGCCTATTAACAAAATATATTAAGTGCTAGTGGACCTGAGGTGATGGCTAATGTTATAGTTGGTCTAAGTCACCTATTGATGTTTCCATGTTTGGATTAGTTGGATTTTTTCTCATGTCACTTTCTTGTAGTTAACCTTGACTCTGTTGTTGACCTAACCTGAGCCCTGCATACTTTCTGCTAAGTCATGAAAAGGTTAAGAATTTATAAAGAAAAGACAAACAAGCCTCTAAGATTGGTTACTGAAATGGTTACTTTCCTGTTAGGAATTTTGCATCTCAAACAAAATGAGAAGAGTGGGCTTATGTATGCCAGGAGGTTTATAGGTCTACAACACGTGCAAGACACAGAAGAAAATCTGCAGAAATGGGACCAGCTCTCAGTATTCAGAGGGCCAGTGTGATTCTCTCAATAGCACAAATATTTCTGGACACATATCCTAAAATGAATTAAACATATAATGACAGGGTATTAAGTTCCTTAGATACAAGCAATTTCGAGAGGAATGGGAAAGGGGAGGCATGGAGAATGTATCCATAAACACAGTTCTAAAAAATACAAAAGATCTCTTTCGTTTCTAAGAGGTAATTATTTAATGGAAATATTCATGAGAACACAGCCCAAGGACTGTTGTAAAAATATAAAACTTACATTAATTATCATAAAGAATCTATTCAGTGCCATGAATGCAAAATGGCTGTTTTCATGAACAAAGCCAAAAGCAATTTAATCTTCCCTCTTTGAAAACAGGGATTGGTATTTGAGTACCTGATTTAGCCTGGGTCCTGAGCAAGCTGCTGAGAGAGTTGCAGTGGAATTCATGGGTTCATTAGAGATTGCTTATTTTAATAATAGGCATCCCCTTGCTTTGTTTGTACTAACTATTCTTAATATGTAAGAAGGCCAAAACATTACTGGATAATCAATTACCAAGCCTCAGAAACAAGTGAAATAGGTGAAGTACACAGTCCAATTTTTTTGAAAGTGTTTCCTTTACAAAATTGCTTTCGCTCATGCTCTGATGTTTTTAATTCTGTAATTAGAAATATGCCACCTTGGGTTAACGTGTTGATGTTTATTTAAAAGTAAACAGAATAACTAATACAGTATATTAAGCCTTTTCTGTCAATTGAAATATGACTTAATGTATTACTGCAGTAAACTGTTGCAGTTACTGAAACTCAGGAGGATGAATTTACCAGATCCCTTCCTAAAACCAGGCTTTGACATGGAAGGGGGTAGAGTGATCTTGAGGACCGTGAATGGTGAGGAATTCCCAGAAATAGGAGGTGACAACATCTAAGGCCATCTTTCCTGCTTCACAGTATTTTTTCAACTGTGCTTATTATAAATAGTTTTGTCCCCTCTTTATAGAAGTTGACTCTAAAAATTCTGTAAGATTGCAGAGCAATTGTACATTTTCAGAGCCATCATATTCTCAAATCTTCCCAAGTAGCACCAGTATTTTCATCCAAGAAACTCTTTAGATCCCCTTAGTATCATTCTGTGCCTGGGGTTTTCCGCACTTTTGGACACTGCCATTCATTCAACAAATTCAAGGACGATAAGACGCTGCTGTAGCCCTCCCGCCTGGAGTGTGGAAGACAGTGGGCGAGACAAACTCAATAGCAATGCATTGCTATCTTTATAGACCCAATTTCTAGTTATCTCTGAAACTATGGTATGTGGCTCTTTGAACGTTCTATTTTGTCTTATTTTGCTTTGGAAGTGCATTCTTTCAAGTCTAATTAGACTATTTGTGGCTTAAAGAAAAATACAAAGCTTTTCCCAGGACACTTTGGGCTTTCATGTTTACCATCAAATTAGCAAAAAACAAACACACACAATTCTAAGGCATTTATTTTGAAATTTAATTGTATACACACTTGCATATAATTTCAACTTCACAGTGAGTTGTCCCATAGGCATTTTCTGCAGAAAATTTTTGGAAAGACCAAAAGAATGTTTGTGCCTACTGGCTAGATCCAGTTCCCTCTGGGAGGACATTACAGACTCCAATTCACGTGAGATGCTAGGCAGGCTAGGACTGAGGATACCCAGGAATCCTCTCGCTGAATTTCCTGGTGTGGAGCTCATTTGACAAATGTGGTTTCCATTTATGAAACTGCTTAGCAACCATCCTGTATTTTAAATTCTGCTAATGTCAAAAATCACAAAACTGAGAAAGAGGAGGAAATTTGAGGCTTGCTTGATTGATGAAGAAACCAGGGCTCAAGTAATTGCATAACCAAAACCATCAACTGGGCTTAGAGCTAACACAACTTGTTCATGCAAACCAGCATCAACAAACCCCAGAGCCACACAATTTGCCACCCAGACTTCTGGTTAACGCCCAGCAAAGAGGCCTTGATTCCTGAAGGTTGCAGGCTGATAACTCCAATAAGACCAAGAAACCTTGTGAAAGTACCACTCACCAACTGATTGTACTGCTGGAGCTCCCAGAAACCACGTAGATGAGGAAATTCAACTGGCAAATAGCAAACTGCCTCAATGATATTTGAAAATTGATTTAATGTTATTATAATTCCCTGAATAACCAAAGATCGTCTGGTGAAGGGTAATCACTACAGAGGGAACATATGTTGTTTTAAAAATTATGTCACAAGCTGTAATTCTTTTAACTCTGTTTGTAAAATTAGGTTATATCCCTGATATTACATATTTTATTCTTCCTTTCTCCATGGGAACAAGATATCTTTAACTGTCCTTAGGACTGGAATGATTTTGGGGTAAACTAAATAGAAAGGTTAGAAGAAGAATAAGAAAGAGGAGGAGGAGAGAGGGGGAATGGGAGAGGAGGAAGAGGAGGGGGCAGGAGGAAGGAGAAGGAGAAAGAGGAAAGGGAAGCAGGAGGAAGAAGAGGAGGAGGAAGAGAAGGAGAAAAGAAAGAGAAAGAAAAGAATAACAGCAACAACAACACTCAAGAGAAGAGCACTAAAGGATGATAGAACCTCCCTGCAATACTAAAACACTGGCCTTAGGGTAAGTAGAATGATTTTTTTTTTTTTTTGATCCGTATTCTTCCATTTTTTCAGTCTTCACATCCTAATGCTGAGACATCAGATGGGTGAGGAATTCAACTGTGGGGTAGTTTCTATGAAATTAGGGTGATGTATTATTTGCCAGGGGTCTGTGAGAGAAGTAAATAGCAATCTAGATACTCCAATATTAATTAGAGGTGAAGATAATAGAGATGGATTTTGAATTTGATTTTTTGAGTCCTTTGGATAAAGATGCAAGAGAATCCCTCAGGCAATCGCTCCTTATGTTCCTCAAGGATTTTCTCACATGGATTCTAAATCAGGGTTTATCTTAGCAAGCAGTCTCTAAAATCTTGGATATTTAAAAAATGTTCTGTAAGATAATGTTTCCCATAAGTTTCCAGCAGATAAATAAAAGGAATGCTCCAGAAGACAGTTCAGGTAGTATGGAGCCAGTGAGATTTGGCTGTCCAGTCTTTTTTCTCACTTAGACTCATTTCGTGGTTTCAGACAAAATTCTTTCCTCTCTCCACTTAACTAAAGAATACTCATCACGTGTATACATATGTAACTAACCTGCACGTTGTGCACATGTACCCTAAAACTTAGAGTATAATAAAAGAAAAAAAAAGAATCCTATCTGAGGTTGCTTGATGCAAACCTTTTTCTTTATTTTCATTATTTTCTTAGTATCTTTTATTTTGTTTTTGATTTTTCTTTTTTGTTTATTTCATCTCTTAAAATTTTTATTAATCTTGAAATTTTTAGCATTTTAATAGCTGGGTTTTTTTTCTTTTGTGGTGGTTTTTTGTAGAAGCATCATGAGAAATGTCTAGACATTGAAAGCCTTATCCCTATCATAGCCTGGTTTTAATCTTATTAACTCCATGTTTTCCCAGTATGAATGCTCTGTTAAAACAGTATTTACAAGCAAGACAGGACAGTGGCCCACCCAGGAATGACACAAAGCCAGGGGAGCCTCCCCCACCTAGGGAAGCGGTGAGCAAATGTGCGACCCCGGAAAACCACGTTTCTCCTACAGATCTTCGCAACTCTTGGGTCAGGAGATCTCCTTGTGAACCCAACAGGGCCTTCAGTCTTGAGTCAGAGGGACAGAGCTAGGTGGAGTTTCGGCAGAGCTCAGGCTTGCGCGCAGACCCTGGAGCCTTAGATACTTCCGCTTTCCAGCAAAAGCAGCTGCAGCTCTGGCAAAGTGGGAGGTTAGACTCCCACACATATTTCTAGGAAAGAGCCTGAATCCCGGGAGCTGAGCAGCAACAGCCCGAAGATCCCACTTCCACAGCATCTCACAAGATAAGACCCACTGGCTTGGAATTCCAGCCAGCTACCAATAGCTGCATTGCAGCCCCATAAAAAGAAGCTCGGCAAGGGGGTGACATCTTTGCTGTTCGGATGCGTTAGTCATTCCAGCTTTCAGGCTTTGGAGAGTCTGAGCCAATCCAGGGTGGAAGGGATCCCCCAGCACAGCACAGCTGCTCTACCAAAACGTGGCCAGGCTGCTGATTTAAGTAGGTGCCCGATCCCATTCCTCCTCACTGGGTAGGACCTTCCAACTGGGACCTCCAGTTGCCCGGCTCAAGCTCTCCACGGACAGAGATCTAAATTCCCCCAACATGGTACGCCCAGAGAGAGCGGGGCGGGGCCGCGGGGGTGGGGGTGCTAGCTTTGCTGTTTGGGTGACTTAGCCATTCCAGCCTTTGGGTTTCATAGTGTCTGAGGCGACCAGAGCCTGAATTTTTTTTATCTTCTCTACTGATTTCCTATTTTAAATGTCATCTTCAATTTTATGATTTATTTTCTCCTGCTTATTTTGGATTAGTTTGCTCTGCTTTTTCTAGTTTCCTAAGGTGGAAGCTTAGATGATTGATTTTAGAACTTTCTTCTTTTCTAATATATGCATTCAAGGCTGTAAATTTCCTTCTAAGCGCTGCTTTTACTGCATCCTACAAATTTTGATAACTTGCATTTTTATTCTCATTTAGTTCAAAAATATTTTAAACTTTTTCTTGAGACTTCTTTGACCCAAGTGTTACTTAGAAGTGTGTTCTTCACATATTTTCAGATTTTCCAACTATCTTTCTGTTAGTGATATGTAGTTTTAATTCCACTGAGGTCTGAAAGCAACCGTTTTATGATTTGTATTATTTTAAGTTTCTTAAGGTTTGTTTCATGGCCCAGAATGTGGTCAATATTGGTGAGTTTTCCATGTGAGCTTCAGAAGAATGTGAATTCTGCTATTATGAAGCAGTCTATAGATGTCAACTATATGCAATTGATAGATGGTGTTGTTGAGTTCGGCTATATGTCCTTAGTGATTATCTGCCTGCTAGATCTGGTCATATCTGATAGAGTGATGTTAAAGTCTCCAACTATAATAGTGGATTCATCTATTTCTCTTGGCATTTCTATTAGTGTTTTCCTCATGTATTTTGATGCTGTGTTGTTAGATGCATACACATGAAGGATTGTTATCTTGAAGAATTATCCCTTTGTCATTACATAATGCCCCTCTTTATCTCTGGTAAGTTCCTTGATCTGAAGTCTGCTGTATCTAAAATTAATACATAGTTACTCCTTCTTTCTTTTGGTTAGTATTTACATGGCAAATATTTCTCCATCTCTTTACTTTTAATCCATAAACTTATTTAATGTGTAAAGTGGGTTTCTTATAGATAACATATAGTTATAGATCTTTTTTAAATATCTACTCTGATATCTTTATCTTTTAATTTGTGCATTCAGACCATTGATATTGGGAACTTTTTGTAATGGAGATTTTATTGGTTGTGCTGAGGGTCAGTACACAGGCATTTCAATTTGTACACAATTCTTAACATACATACTGAAAATCTAAAAAGCCATGTATTGTAATTCTTTTTTAAACAGTTATTCCAGTGACCTTACAGCTTAAAATTTAGAGGCAAATAGTCCTTAAGAAAATATCAAGTACCAGTGTCTTCGATGTTGATAAGCTGTTACATAAGTCCCACCAATTCACAATTTGGTATCATATACACTACATACTCAAATTTTCAATCTGTCCCATTAACAAAGTTTTTACGAAAACGGGACTACCATAACCAAAGATGTTACAGAGGGCACACACTTCTGAGAGGGAGAGTCATGATCAAGGAGTGATTTTCTTTAGGAAACAATCTATTAAGAAACTAACAGGGGAACGGAAGTAATTTAAAATGTTCAGGACATTAAATCAGGGTTGTGACTCCACATTGCCACTTGGCATGCTTTGTATTATCAAGTAAAAAAAAAAAAAATCTATGGAATGTTAAGCTGATACCCGAGACAATCAAAGCCTATGTAATTCAAAATCCTATACTATTTTCTGGTGGGATTCTCTCCTTCTTAAAAATGTCCCTACAGCTACTAAAAACTTGCATTTACAAAATAGTTAATAAAAATATTTCTCTGGATTGTACCAGAAGGGAGACAGGGACCACTAGTAAGACATGGTATATGATGTTAATCAGACCGGGCTTCTTTCTCTACCGCTTCATCAGAGGCTGGACTCTCCTTGGTTTAGTTTCTCCATTTTCTGCAGGTAAATGGTCTTTGGTTTTTAGATTAGCCCGTTTTCCCTTTGCTCCCCTTTTCCCTTTTGTTTGCACTTTTTTTTGTCCGAAGGTTTATTCTTTCCTGCTGCCTTTTTGGCCTTGTTTCCACTTTTTCAGGAGCAGGTTTAGTTGACAACTGCACCAATCTCCTCTTGGGCTCTTCCTTCACCATCCCTTCAGTTGAGCTCCCCTTCCTCTTGGGCATCTTGACATGGAAAATACATGCTGGGTGCCTGTGGGCCGAAGCATGCCTAGAGCCTTCCTGATGCTGGGCTGCCTGGCTGCCGCCACTCCTCCTGCCCTAGACCATTGATATTGAAAGTGCTTACTGATAGAGCTGGATTAATATTTCCCATATTTGTTACTGTTTTCTGTTTGTTGCCCTTGTTCTTTTTTCCTATTCTTGTCTTATACTCTTTTTCTGCCTTTTCTGGTTTTGAGCATTTTATGTGATTCCATTTTCTTGCCTTTCTCAACCTATCAGTTATACTTCTTTCCTTTTTTTAGCGGTTGCCCTAGAATTTACAGTATACATTTATGACTCATCCAAGCCCACTTTCAAATATCACTATACCATTTCATGGATGGTGTACTTTATAATAACAAAATAATCTGCCAGGCGTGGTGGCTCACGCCTGTAATCCCAGCACCTTGGGAGGCTGAGGCAGGCAGATCACGAGGTCAGGAGATTGAAATTATCCTGGCTAACACGGTAAAACCCTGTCTCTACTAAAAATACAAAAAATTAGCCAAGCGTGGTGGCAGGAGCCTGTAGTCCCAGCTACTTGGGAGGCTGAGGCAGGAGAATGGCGTGAACCCGGGAGGCGGAGCTTGCAGAGAGCCGAGATCGCGCCACTGCACTCCAGCCTGGGCGACAGAGCAAGACTCCATCTCAAAAAAAAAAAAAAAATCCTAATTCCTCTCTCCTATCCCTTGATACACATAATACGTACATAAATAAATTGTTGCTGTTATTATTATTAGTAAGAAAGATAAAAGGTTTTATTTTACCTTCACTTATTCCTTTTCTGATGCTCTTCCTTTATTCATATAGATCTAAGTTTCTGATCTATATCATTTTCCCTCTCTCTGAATAATTTTTTTTCTTGACAAGGTCTCGCTCTGTTGCCCAGGCTGGAGTGCCATGACATGAGCACAGCTCACTGCAGCCTTGACCTCCCAGGCTCAAGTGATCCCCCAGCCTCGGCCTCCTGAGTAGTTGGGACTACAGCCATGCGCCACAATGCTCAGCTAATTTTTTATGTTTTTTGTAGAGACAGGGTTTCGTCGTGTTGCCCAGGCTCATCTTGAACTCCTAAGCTCAAGCAATCCACCCACCTCAGCCTCCTAAAGTGCTAGAACTACAGGTGTGAGACACTGCACCTAGTCTTCTTTCAATATTTATTACAAGGCAATTCCACTGACAACAAATGCTCTCAATTTTTGTCTGAGAAAGTCTTCATTTCTCCTTCACTTTTTAAAAGATAATTTCACATTGTACAGAACTCTGCATTGCTGGGTTTTTCTCTCAACACTTTATATATTTCACTCCATTCTATTTTTGCTTGCAAAATTTCTGAGAATTCAGATGTAATTCTCATATTTGTTCCTCTACCGTCACCAGTAAGATATTTTTTTCCAGTGACAACTTTCAAGAATTTTTTTTATCTTTGATTTTCTTCAGCTTGAATACAGTAAACTTCTAGGTCTAGTATATTTTGACATTTATCCTGCTTGATGTTTTCTGATCTTTCTGGATTTTTGGTTTGGTGTTTGACATTAATTTGGAGAAATTCTCAGTCATTATTGGTTTAAATATTTCTTCAGTTCCTTTCTCCCTTCATTCTCCTTCTGGCATTTCCGTTGCATGTATGTTATACCTTTTGTAGTTGTCCCATAGTAATTGGATATTTTGTTCTGTGATTTTGTTTTTTCATATCTTTTTCTTTTTGCTTTTCAGTTTGGACATTTACATTGAGATAGCCTTAAGCTCAGGGATTCCTTCCCCAGCTACTTATGTCTACAAAAGAGCCCATCAAAGACAGTCTTCATTTTTGTTACAGTGATTTTAATGTCCAGTATTTCTTTTTCATTCTTTTCTAGAATTTCCATCTCTGTGCTTACATTGTCCATCTGTTCTTGTATATTGATTACTTTACCCATCACTTCCCTTAGTAGAATAATCATAGTTGTTTTAAATTCAGTCTAATTCTGGCACCCTTCCCATATCCGAGTCTGTATCTGATGCTTGCTCTCTCTTCACACAGTGTTTTTGCTTTTATTATGCCTTGATAGCCAGACATGATGTACTGGGTAAGAGGAACTGCTGTTAATAGGTCTTTAGTAAGGTGGTAGTAAGGTGTGAGGAGGGGGTAGTGTTCTACAGTCCTATGATTAGGTCTCAATCGTTCAGTGAGCCTGTGCCTCTGTGAACTTCACGAATCATCTTTAGTGAGCCCACCCTGACCCATCCTCAGGTGGGGCAGGATGGGTAGTTGGGTTGATACTGCGTATTTTCCTTTTCCCACGTGGAAGACCAGAAGGGGCCGGAATTGAGTATTTCCTTTCCCCTAGGTCAGTTAAACTCTGCAAAAGCAAAAACAAAAAAAAAAAACCCAATAGTTTAGGCTCTCATAAAATAGGTTATTCTGAGGGCAGGCCTTGTTAAGAAGAACAAAATCCCCTGGCATTTTTCAAAATGGTTACTTCCTCCTTCCCAGGCTGGAAGCATGAGATAATTTTTCACCATTATTCACTGTGAAGACCTGGTTGAGCTCCTGGAGGTAAAACTCACAAAAATACAGGAGATCTCTCTCTAATCCTCAGTCTCCCTAGAATTTTTAACTCTCAGACTTGTCCACACTGAGCCTCCAACAATTTTTCAATTATAATTTAGGTTTTCCTACCCTAGCACTGGTTCCCACAGTTTTCTGCTCTAAGGTTTTTGCTCCAATTAAATTAAGATTCTCAATATTTACCTGGAGAGAACATTCTGTCCAATTTTGAGAGCAATGATTTTCCCTGTGACCTCACTTCTCTTTTGGATCTAAGGAGAGTTAAGGGTTCTTGATTTTTTCAGTTTGTTCAGCCTTTTACTTGCTGTTAGTATGGAGTGATGACTTCTAGCTCCTTAGAGGACAGAATGGAAACAGAAAGACTTGAATATGTTCTTTCTTCCAGTTTGGATGGTAAACTCACCTGGTGATGTTTTCAAGATGGCTGCCTAAGGGGACAGTTTGAGGCCATGAAAGAGAGAAACTAAGAGACCCATGTAAGCACCGAACTCATGACCCTTAACTTAACGTGGTCTAGCCAAATGAGTTTTCAGGTAAAAACAAAAACAAAATCTTTTTATATAGTGCCTTTAACTGTGGTTTATCATTAGAGATTCAGTTATTATGGGATCATTAGTTTCACCATCAAATTTAGTCAAAGCACTTGCCATGGCCTTTCTTTCTGGTTCAGCTGTATTGAATTCCATTTTGTTTTTCCTAATTAAAAAAGAAAAATCTCAACCGT
Organism: Homo sapiens; assembly: GCF_000001405.40. Classification (NCBI taxonomy): domain Eukaryota; kingdom Metazoa; phylum Chordata; class Mammalia; order Primates; family Hominidae; genus Homo; species Homo sapiens. Next base: position 56,378,468 of record NC_000005.10, on the reverse strand, counting down.
GACTAGAAAAGGGGAGAGAAGAAGAAATCAACCACTGAAACTTTCTAATATCTGGGCAAAATTCAAATAACTTTTCAGATTATAAAATACATGTATATTGCTGGCTTGATTGAGGATGTGTGTACTGTAAAGCCCAAGGACTTGAAGTTATAGATGACAGAAAAAAGGGGTGGATGATAAGGCTGTCTCTGCTTGTTCCATATTGAGGTCTGATACCTGGCACTTTCTTTGACTATGACAAATTCTTATTATTCAGGCTTTAACTCAGCTTCAGAGCATTTATGTTTCTTATGTTGGAAATTTGTTTCCCTTTCCTGTCTTCCTTTACTCAGCTTCAGATTCCTACATTGTAGTCTGACAATACAGCAGGAATAATAGAAAAAAGAGTTACACTTTTGAGGCTCTGTTGCCTAACTATGCTTTACAGAAACTGGGCTGGTGACATATTCTCTAGACATCACCCATAACACTGGATTGCCTCTCCATGAATAGTCATTTGCAAAGATTGGGCTTCCCTAGAATTAACCAAAATGTTCCTGGAGCTTCTATGTGGCTTATTTATTTTTTAATTGAGATAAAATTCACATAACATAAGATTTACCATTTTAAATATTTTTCAGTGTACAATTCAGTGGTTTTCAGTACATTCACAAGATTATGCAAACATCACCACTATCTAGTTCCAGAACATTTTTCATCACCATATAAGGAAGCCCCAGGCTCCTTAAGCAGTCACTCCTCATTGCCCCTTTATTCTAGCCCCTGGAAACCACTAATATGCTTTCCATCTCTATAGATTTGCCTATTATGGACATTTCATAAAACTAGAATCATACAATACATGGCCTTTTGTGTCTTGCTTCTTTCACTTATCATGTTTTGGAAGGACATTCATGTTGTAGCATGTACTGGTACTTTATTCCTTTTAATGACTGTAATATTCCTCTGCATAGATATACCACATTTTATTCATCCATTCATTAGTTGATGAACATTTGGGTTGCTTAGACCTTTTGGATATTGTGAATTGTGCTGCTGGGAACATTCATGCACAAGTTTTTGTCTGAACATCTGTTTTCAATTCTTTCATATATAAGCCTAGCAATAGAATTTCTGGGTCATATGGTAATTCCATGTTTAACTTTTTGAGGAACCTCCAAACTATCTTCCACAGGGGCTGCACTATTTTCCATTCCCGTCAGCAATGTATGAGAGTTCCAATTTCTCCACATCCTTGTCAATACTTGTTAATTTTTGTTTTCTTGATTATAGACATTTTAGTTGCTGTGAAGTAGCACCCTGTTGTGATTTTGATTTGTGTTTTCTTAATGATTAATAATATTGAGCACTATTTTCTGTGCTTACTGGCCATTTGTATATCTTCTTTCGGGAAATCTTCATTCAAGTCCTTTGCCTATTTTTTAACCACGTTTTTGATCTTTTTTTTGTTGAGTTGTAAGAATTTTTCATATATTCTGGATACTAGATCCTTAGCAGATATGATTTTCTCCCATTTTGTGGGTTGTCTTTTCACCTTTTTGATAGTGTCCTTTGATACTTTGATACGAACAGGAGGCTAGAGGGCAGGGTCCCTGGCAAGGGCTCACCCTCAAGTCTGGACCTGCAGCCCTAAATGAGAACAGGCATTCTTGTTTTCATGCCCAAATGTTGTATTTTGGCCCACCATGTCCCCCTATCCTGTACCCACGTAAACCCCAAACCCCAGGCTCCATGAGCAGAAGAGCAGCAGAAAGGCAGAGCAGCAGAGCAGCAAGGCAGAGAAGAAGAAAAGAGAGGAAGCATCTGAATGTCGAGAGGAGAATGTCGAGAGGAGTTTAGCTGGGGACAGTCATAGATGAGATAGGCCTTGGGACAGCCAAACTCCAGGGGAAGATCATCTTCCCACTCCATCCCCTCTCCAGCTCCCCATTCTGCTGAAAGCCACCTCCATCACTCAGTAAAATCCCTGCATTTACCATCTGGATTCTTCTTGGATGCTGGACAAGAATTCAGGACCCACTGGGTGCAGGAACTCAAAAAGGCTGTCACACTGACTCTTCACTGAGCTGTTTAACACTTAAGCCATCCCTAGACAGCAGGGCTAAAAGAGCATTGCAACACCCCTAGCACTGCTGTGGGGTCAGAGCTCAAAAGCACTCACCCCAGCTCACCTGCATGCTCCTCATTCCTTAAGGGGTTTGGGCATGGTGACCAAATAAATGAGCCATACCCCTGTCACACGTCCTGCGATAGGGTCAGAGAACTTTTCCATTTCACTTTGATGTGTTCCTATGTGAAATTTGAATTAGAGTCTTTAGTCTCTTTTTTTCTCCATCTTTTATAAAAATGCCTTTGCCCCCTCTCACTTCTCTTCACTCACTTCAGGTTCTTTGATCTCCCTTATACAATGTTCTCCAAGGGCCAGAAGAAAATGCTTTAGGATCAATTCTTTCACACTGGGGTACATTCACAACATGTAAATGACTGATAAGGCCTAATGACTTATTCTCCCATTCAAGGTATCAGAATCTCAGTAGTTGTCAAAGAACCAAAGAAATCTATGAAATCCCAGGCATGGATGAGCATAGTCAGCTGGAAGCATGGATGCCTTGCTGTTGCTTCTGCAATTGCACTAAGTTAACACTTCCAATTCTACTTAAAATAAATATTTTAATCCTCAGTCTAAAGTTTTAAAAGTCAATGATGCACTCTGTAAAACTTCCTACTTAGCCTCTGGAGTCCTTGTGGGCAGCCACTGTGCTAAGCACATTAGTAATTAAAACTCCACGTGTTCTGTTCTTAAATAGTCTGTAGTTCTGGTGCTTTTGGAAAATGAATTATCTTCTCGAGACTTACCTGTAGGACTCCTAAGATAACCTCCAAGGTATCAACTGTATGTTAGTCAGATATGCTTTCAGAGCACCATAAACTCCACTGAACATGATTGCTTTTCCCCCCAATATTTTTGAATTAGGTTGTTCTGGGGTTGAAATGAATCCGCTGCCTCTTAGCCTTCTATGTTCGTACAAGCATTCTTTTGGATCTTCTGTGTCACTCTCTAAATATGATTCTTCATTTTAGCATCACTGATGCTGCTGACAGCTCTAACAATTATGCTTGAAGACAAAAACCTTAATTAACCTAATCGGCCGGCCATGGGGCTGACAGGTATGCCATGCTGTCACTGTGGTTCATGATGTACAATCTGTCATGAATAGAGCACTTTTCCAGCTGCTCTGGCAGGGCCACCTGCTGTCTGTGCCCCATTTCCTGCCAGGCAGCTCTACGACCTTCAGCAGCCAAAGCCAAGTGATTAGCGAAGTGGTCACAGTTGTGCCAGCTCAGTCTCCGTGGGTTTTGTTTGGATGGCAGAGAATTGGGAGGCTCCAGAAAAGAACCACATGGAAGTGTTGCCTTTATATAAAGATATCAGGAAAGGATTCTGCCTGCATGAAGGTAGTGAAAACAGACTCAGGTCCGATCTTTCCTTTCCCAGGCCCAAGCAAGTAGGATTTGGCCAATATGTTTCTAAAAATAAATAAGCACCCTTTAGCTGCTCACCCAGTAGTAATGAGAGGATACAGAAATATCTAATAAGACAAATCTAAAAGTTGAAACCCAGACCAGCTTAGCAATGAATATTTGGAAATACAAATTTTTTAAATTACCATTATTAGCATCAAAAATATGAAATGCATAAGGGTAAATCCAATAAAATATGTACAAGATATATGCAATAAAACCATAAAACATGGTTGAGAAAAAATAAATTTTGAAATAAATGGAGAGATACATCATATTCATGAGTCAGAAGACTCAATATTGGTAAGACATCAGTTCTTCCTAAAATGACGTATACATTCAATGCAATCTCAATTAAAGTTCCAGTAGGCTATTTTTGTAGAAATTGACAAGTTGATTTTAAAATGTATATAAAAGTACAAAGGACCTAGAATAAGCAAAGCAACTTTGAAAAACAAGAACAGCATTGAAGGACTAATGGTCTCTGATTTTAATTTATAAAGCTACAGTAATCAAAACAGTGTGGCAATGGTGTAAAGATAGGTCAGCAGAACAGAATGGAGAGTCCAGACATAGACTCACACACATATGGACAACCAACTTTCAACAAAATTACAAAGGCAATTCAGTGAAGAAAGAATAGTTTTTTTACAACAAAATATGCTGTAATAATTAAATAACCACATAAAAAATAAAAATTTTGATCCACATTCTGCACAATATACCAAAGTTAATTTAAATGGATCATAGGCCTAAAGATGAAACCCACAAGTACAAAACTTCCAGAAGAAAACACAGGAAAAATCTTTGCAATCTTGCGTTACACAAAGATTTCTTGGATATGGCAACAAAAATAGGACTCGTTTTTTAAAATTGATCATTTGAATTTTATAAAACTTAAAACTTCTGATTTTTGAGTATGCTGTTAAGAGAAATGAAAAGACAGGCCACAGACCAGGAGAAAATATTTGAAATCATATCAGATGTCATAAATCTGATAAAGGACTTGAATCAAGACTCTATAAAGAACTCTCAAGCTCAATAGTAAGAAAGTAAACAACCTGATTTCAAAACTGCACAAGAGATTGAATGGGTGATAAAGCCCAAAACATTTAAAAAGAGGGTCATTATCATAGTCACTGTCAAGAAAGAGCACACCCACCTCAGCCCTTTAGTACCATTGTCTAGAACAGCTGAAGCAGGAAACTTCACAAGTAGCTCTGACTTTGGGAGAGTTTTTACCCAAGCCATTGTTTCACCTAAGTGTCCTCAGTCTTCCCAAAGAAGATACAAAGATAGCAATAAGCACATGAAAAAATGCTCAACATTGTTAGTCATTAGGGAAGTGCAAATTAAAGTTGCAATGAGATACCACTGCACACCTATCAGAATAGCTAAAGTTAATAAGATTGACCACACCCAAATGATGAGGATATGGAAGAAATGAAACTTTCTTTTTTTTTTTTTTTTTTTAATTGATCATTCTTGGGTGTTTCTCGCAGAGGGGGATTTGGCAGGGTCATAGGACAATAGTGGAGGGAAGGTCAGCAGATAAACAAGTGAACAAAGGTCTCTGGTTTTCCTAGGCAGAGGACCCTGTGGCCTTCCCCAGTGTTTGTGTCCCTGGGTACTTGAGATTAGGGAGTGGTGATGACTCTTAACTAGCATGCTGCCTTCAAGCATCTGTTTAACAAAGCACATCTTGCACTGCCCTTAATCCATTTAACCCTGAGTGGACACAGCACATGTTTCAGAGAGCACAGGGTTGGGGGTAAGGTCACAGATCAACAAGATCCCAAGGCAGAAGAATTTTTCTTAGTACAGAACAAAATGAAAAGTCTCCCATGTCTACCTCTTTCTACACAGACACGGCAACCATCCGATTTCTCAATCTTTTCCCCACCTTTCCCCCCTTTCTATTCCACAAAACCGCCACTGTCATCATGGCCTGTTCTCAATGAGCTGTTGGGTACACCTCCCAGACGGGTTGGTGGCCGGGCAGAGGGGCTCCTCACTTCCCAGTAGGGGTGGCCGGGCAGAGGCGCCCCTCACCTCCCGGACGGGGCGGCTGGCCGGGCGGGGGGCTGACCCCCCCACCTCCCTCCTGGACGGGGCGGCTGGCCGGGCGGGGGACTGACCCCCCACCTCCCTCCCGGACGGGGTGGCTGCCGGGCGGAGACGCTCCTCACTTCCCAGACTGGGTGGCTGCCGGGTGGAGGGGCTCCTCACTTCCCAGACAGGGCAGCTGCCGGGCGGAGGGGCTCCTCACTTCTCAGACAGGGCGGTTGCCAGGCAGAGGGTCTCCTCACTTCTCAGACGGGGCGGCCGGGCAGAGGCGCTCCTCACATCCCAGACGAGGCGGCGGGGCAGAGGCGCTCCCCACTTCTCAGACGATGGGCGGCCGGGCAGAGATGCTCCTCACTTCCTAGATGGGATGGCGGCTGGGAAGAGGCGCTCCTCACTTCCTAGATGGGATGGCGGTCGGGCAGAGATGCTCCTCACTTTCCAGACTGGGCAGCCAGGCAGAGGGGCTCCTCACATCCCAGATGATGAGCGGCCAGGCAGAGATGCTCCTCACTTCCCAGACGAGGTGGCGGCTGGGCAGAGGCTGCAATCTCGGCACTTTGGGAGGCCAAGGCAGGTGGCTGGGAGGTGGAGGTTGTAGCGAGCTGAGATCATGCCACTGCACTCCAGCCTGGGCACCATTGAGCACTGAGTGAACGAGACTCCGTCTGCAATCCCAGCACCTCGGGAGGCCGAGGCTGGCGGATCACTCACGGTTAGGAGCTGGAGACCAGCCTGGCCAACACAGCGAAACCCCGTCTCCACCAAAAAAAATACAAAAACCAGTCAGGCGTGGCGGCGCACGCCTGCAATCGCAGGCACTCGGCAGGCTGAGGCAGGAGGATCAGGCAGGGAGGTTGCAGTGAGCCAAGATGGCAGCAGCACAGTCCAGCCTCGGCTCAGCATCAGAGGGAGACCGTGGAAAGAGAGGGAGAGGGAGACCGTGGGGAGAGGGAGAGGGAGAGGGAGAGGGACAGAAATGAAACTTTCATGCACTGTTGGTTGGAATATAATTTGGTATGTCCACTTTAGGGAAGAGTTTAGCAGTTTCTTAAGAAGTAATTGTATACTAACAGATATTTCCACACCCATGTTTATAGCAACACTATTCACAATAGCCAAGAAGCGAAGCATCCTAAATGTCCACTGATGGGTAGATGGATAAACAAAATGTGATATAAACAGACAATGGAATATTATTCAACCTTGTAAGAAAGGAAATTCTGTCACATGTTAAAACACAGATGAACCTGGAGAATATTATACTAAGTGAAATAAGCCAGTCACAAAAAGACAGATACTGTGATTCCACTTATATGAGGTATGTAAAGTTGTCAAATTCATAGAAACAGAGAGTAGAATGATAGTTACCAGGGGATAGGGAGGAGGAGGAAAAGGAGAGTTGCTGCTTAATGGCTATAGAGTATCTGATTTGCACGATGAGAAAAATCTGAATATCTATTATATTTCACAACAATGTAAATACACTTAACACTTCTGAACTATACACTTCAAAATGGCTAAAATAGTAAACTCATGTTATATATTTTTTGCCACAATAAAAAATGCAAAAAAAGGTTAAATATACACTTACTATATGACAAAGCCATTCCACTCCCATGAGAAATGACAGCATGTTCATATAAAGACTTGTAAACAAATGTTCACACAAGTCTTATTTGTAATAGCCAAAAACTAGAAGCAACCCAAATGTCTGTGAACAGATGGATGCATTAACAACTTGTAATATAATGTATGGGTTTCTTTCTGGACTCTCAATTTTGTTCATAAGTCTGTTAGTATGCCAGTGCCACACTGTCTTGATGACTACAGCCTTGTAGTAAGTTTTGAAGTCTGGAAGTGTGAGTCCTCCAGCTTTGTTATTCTTTTTCAAGATTGTTACCTATTCCAGGATTGCATTAAATCTATACATCAATATATCACCAAAGAAAGAAATCCAATAGTATCTCCCAGGAACCTCTCTAAGTATTAAATAAGCTCTTTTACATTGAATCGCTCTATTAATATGAGCCATTTTCTTTTTACTTTGTCCCTAAATGGAATAGAAAATGACATAGCCCCAACTTCAGGATAATCCCCCTCATGGACTTAAAGAGCTTTCTTAAATTGACTTTTATCTTTCTTGTTTCGGATGATTTATCTCTATTACTTTCCTATTTCATTAAAAACCTAGTCTGACTTTTAGTCATCTTTGCGTTTCCCTTGTGTATTTGTTCTTTCTCGCACTGCTATAAATACCTGAGACAGGGTAATTTATAAAGAAAAGAGGTTTAATTGGCTCACTGCCTCACAGGCTGTACAGGAAGCATGGCAGCGTCTGCTTCCGGGGAGGCCTCAGGGAGCTTTTACTCATGGTGGAAGGCAAAGTGGGAGCAGGCATCTTACATGGCAGTAACAAGTCCTAGACGGGGTCAGGGGGGCACACACTTTTAAACAACCACATCTCGTGATAACTCACTCGTTCACTGTCATGAGATCAGCATGGAGAGGATGGTGCTACCTTATTCATGAGAACACTGCCCCCATGATCCAGTCACCTCCCACCAGGCCTCACCTCCAATGATGGGGATTACAACTGAACATGAGATTTGGGTGGGGACACAGATCCAAGTCATACCACCTTGGAATTGGTCAGAAAACAACATGTTGATAAAGAACACGTTAAAATAGACCTCTGAAGCCCAATACCAGAGTTTCTTCTTTGTAGCTGTGTTGCCTTGATTTGAAGCCTTTAAACAAAAGGATAATCTGAGAAGAGCTCTAGCAAATCCAGCTCAGATCTTGCAATGTTACTAAAGAATATCTGGAGAATACCATACTGATGTCTGCCAATCCTGGCCTTGCCCAGGCTGCTCTGTCTTTCTGGAGAAGCCTTTTGACAGCTTTGGGCCATGAAAGTCACTGGGCTGTAAAGGGAGTTGGTGAGACAAGGAGATCTGCACTAATGGGGGCATTCTCTTAAAGTTTTTGTTCTTCCTTCATCCACAAAGCTGCAGTGTCCTTACTATCTGTCCTGTGTCAACAGAAACCACAGGACAAAGCAGGCTGCCTAACCAGGAGGCTGGAGTAGCAGAGGGGCGAGCCCAGAGCTGGGGGACTGAAGGGAGCTGCATGGACAGAAAATGAGCCCTTGTGAAACAAGAATACCACCCCTGCCTCTGCTATGTGGGATTTCAACCCAAGCCATGAGGCAATTGTACAGAAATAAGAGGGCTTGTTGTTGGCTAGAAGTCACCAAAAATAGAAAATTCAAGAATGCTAATGTGCAAAGCGTGATGATGAAGTCCAAAACATTTAAAAAGAGGCCCTTTACATAGTCAGGGTCAAGAAAGAACTCACCCACACTCAGCCTTTCAGTACCATTGTCTAGAACAGCTGCAGCAGGAACATTAACCACAAGCAGCTCTGACTTTGGGAGAGTTTCCACCTAAGCCATTGTTTCACTTGAAGGTCCTCAACCTCCCTAACCCGGAATTGCACCATCCCTTGCTCAACCTTCATCTTAGCCTTAAGGAGGCAAGCTGCAGTCTGGGACGTGGCCTGACAGCTTTGCTTGGGGAAGATGCACTCAGAGCCCACTGAAACTTGGGATCCTTTCTTTCCCTGCAGGGGTTTGCCAGGCTTCCATGGTCCCACCACACCGTGGGCAGACCCTAAGCTAGTCTTAGGTGGCACGTTGCCTCTATTCTGGATCAGCGGGCCCTGAGCAAAACTTAGAAGTTTAATTTCAGTGCCCGTCTTGCTGCTCAGCTACTTCCCCCTTTAGGGCCTCAGTTTCCTCAATGAAGACATTAGCCTAAGTCCGCTGTAAAGTGCTTGGCTCATCATGTGTTCTGTGATATTTGTGAAGTGCTAGGCTATTGCCTGGCTGCCCCAATCAGCTTGATTTACACCCTAAGCTTCTGACCTGCCCCCACTTTCCCTTCAAAACGTGTTCCTCTTGTGGGCCTTTCTTTCAGAGTCTTACTCAAAATATTCCAGTAACTTATTACCGATGCCTTCTTCATCCTGCCAATGGGTTATCCAGGCAAGAAGCAGATCAGAATATAGGAAATATCACTCTTTTGACATGAATGTAGTTGAAATCCATTTTTAAGTTAGTTAAGGACTAACTTAAAAATACCTACAAAATCCAGGGAGACTGACTTCAGTATTTGTCATGGATCTTCAGAATACTGAATCCCAAATTTCAATACTCGCTTCTCAAACAGGGAGAACTGTTCTAAGGTGACCCAGGAATGCCAGCCATACAAATATGCTCAAGACATGGAAAAAAACATTAAAATGGATTTGCTGCAACTGATATTCTGTGTTCTGCAATGCTAGGTGTGCCCTTGTAGTCCAAGAACTAACACTGCAGACTGCAACTAGAATGTGGTCCCTGGTCATGTCACTTCCAAGAAATATCAGGTTTAAGAACTAAGCAGTATGTGTAAGCTGAAAAGGGATTAAGAGTGAGGGATGAAGGAAGGAGAGTATATAAGGCACGTTACCTCCTATACCTTTGTGCAAGAAAGAACCTGCTGTTCTCCATTTCATTAATCTAATTAACAAAAATTTCTAAGAGCCTTCCAAATGCCAGTCTCTGTTCTAAGCACTGAGAATACAGCAGCAAAAAAGGAATAAAAAATCCTTCCCCTCATTGATCAAGCATTCTAACTGGGGAAGTAGAAAATAAACACAACACATAAATAAAATACACAGCATGCTGGCATTACCATGAAAGATATAAGGCAAGGGTGGGGAGATGGGGAATGGTGGGGGCATCACCATTTTAAGTAGGGATGTCAGGGTAGGCCTGATTGGAAGGGTGACAGTGGAGTAAATCCCCAAGGGAAGGAGGGAGTAAGTTGTGTTGTGTGGACATTTGGGAGGAAGAGCTTCAGACAGAGGAATGTGCAAAGGCCCTGAGGCAAGAGCATAACCATATTCGCGGATCAGCAAGGAGGTGGGCCAGGATATGGCACATGTGGTCAAGAGGGAACCTGGTAGTAGATGAAGACAGAGAAATAATGAAGAGTCAGTTTATGCAGAGTTTTAAAAGCCTTTGAAGGTACCTGGCTTCTGTGGAGTGAAATGGGGGAGCCCTGGGGGTTAAAGTAGAGGAGTGACCTGTTCTGACTTACATATTAGCAAGATTAAACACCCCAAAGTGGGATACTTGCTATATCCTTGCCTTTGGCTGCAGCACAATAATTGACTAAAGTGGGCAGGGGCAGAAAGCCCAACAGTGAGCTTATTGTTGCAATACTGCAGGTCGGCCCTGCTAGCAGCTTGGACCAGAGCTAGAGCAGTGGAGGTGGCCAGAAGCAGTTAGATGTGGGATATAATTTAAAGGGGAGTAGCTGGGTGAAAGAGATGTTAACAAGAGAAGCCCTGGCATTAGAAAATTGAGAGCAGCCTCCACAACCACTTTAGCTGTTCTCTGAGGGGGGCAGAATTATGCCCAAGTGTTATGGAACTGAATGTATGTGTTTAAATCCAAACTCCCAAAGTGATGGTATTAAGATGTGGGGCCTTCAGCAAGTAATTAGGTCATGAATGGAGTTAGTGCCCTTATAAAAGAGATTCCAGAGAGCTCTCACACCCTCTTTCTGCCATGTGGAGATATAAGAACTCAGCAGTCTGCAACCCAGGAGAGGTCTCTTACTAGGACCCCACCATGCTGGCACCCTCATCTCAGAGATCTAGCCACCAGAATGATGAGAAAGGAATGTTAGTAATTTAAGCCATCCAGTCTACGGTAATTTGTTAGAGCAGCCCAAATGGACTAAGACACCAAGAGAAGAGCACTTACTGATTTCCCACAAAGCAGAGGAAATTATCTTAAAAAAAAAAAAAAAAAAAAGTGCACCATCAGGCCAGGCACAGTGGCTCACACCTGTAATCCTAGCACTTTGAGAGACCGAGATGGGTGGACCACTTGAGGACAGGAGTTCGAGACAAGCCTGGCTAACATGGCGAAACCCCGTCTCTACTAAAAATACAAAATTAGCCGGGCATGGTGGTGGGTGCCTGTAATTCCAGCTACTTGGGAGGCTGAGGCAGGAGAATCACTTGAACCTGGGAGGCGGAGGTTGAGCCAAGATCACGCCATTGCATTCCAGCCTGGGCAAAAAGACTGAGACTCCCTCTCCAAAAAAAAAAAGAAAAAGAAAGAAAATGCACCATCAAACAGAGGTGCCACTGCAGTGCTAATGATGGGGGGTGTATTAATAGATAACAAAAGAAATAGATCTTTTGTTTCCCTGGATAGACACAGATTCATTTTGCCGTTTTTGCACATATAGCCACTGTGTTTGAGACTAAATTATTCACACTTCGGAACCCCTCAGAAAGATTGCCAATGACTATGATTCCACCTTTATTTTATGGGTTTTCAGAAACAAAGCTAAGATCCTCTGGGGACAGGATGCTGGAACTATCACATAAAAATGTGTTCATCCTGAACAATTACCCTCATTGGTAATAAAAGACATTTTAAAATGTCATGTTATCAAAAACTGCAAGACTTAACTTTCATGTTACTAAAAACTTACAGAAAAGAACGGTCTTTATTACACTTTTTTGCATCTTCCAAGGAGCAGGGGCCATATCTCAGTAATCATTTTAACACTTACAACTCTTGAACAGGGCTTTCTTTGTCCACAGTAAAATTACGTTTGGGGCCCAGGTTGATTGGTGCTCACAGCTCTAGTCCCTTAGTTCCAAACACTACTTGTTTATCTTCAGCTTTCATCCTCATCTTCCAATAGCTAATAGTATGGGAGAATTAATGGAACAGGGGATACACAGATTTTGTTTCTGAATTAAGGCAACTTTATGGTCTTTCCAGAGGATATTTTTCCCTATACCATATTTATATTTTCCTCTTTTGCTGATGATGAAAAAAAAGTTGCTTGCCAGGAAATGCTTGTCTTCTCCTATGCCTTATGATAGTTGTAATGAAAATAGAAATTAGAATGACCTTAAATCCCTGTACCATATTGTATCTTTACGTCAACTACATATGGTATCAAGGGATAGGGGAGAGGGAGAGGAAAGTTGTTAGAGTGATGTGAATTTGGGATAGACTTTCCAATATAAACACCTTTTGATTTCTTCTACACTGACATGAATTATTTGAAATAAATTACTGTTATAACAAATGTTTATTTGACCAGGCTACATAGAAGAGATTTATTTTCAAATTGAGATAGAAATGTGGGGCCATAAACAAACCTTAGGAGTGTTTGGTGCCCTTCAGAACATTGCTGATGCCACCTCTTCAAACTCCTATGGCCAATACAATACAGCAGGTCCTCGGATAACATCATTTTGTTCAATGTCATTTTGTTATAATGTTGATGAGAAAAAAAATCAACTCTCAGACAGGGCCACTGTTTGTGTGGAGTTGGCATGTTCACTCCATTTCTGGAGCGAGTTTTCTCTGAGTCTTCCAGTTTCCTCCCAGTCCTAAAGATGTGCCCGTGAAGTGAACTGGGAATGAGTGTGGGTGCGTGTGAGTGTGCCGTGCGATGAATGGCATCCTGTCCAGGGCTGGTTCCTGCCTTGCACCCTGAGCTCCTGAGACAGGCTCTGGACACCCTTGACCCTGAACTGGAATTAGTGGGTAAATAATTATCTTACTTGGTTTTTTTTCATCTTTCTTAAATGTTTGAATAGCTCACATTTATTTTAATGTTTAATACTAGAAACATTTTAGGTCTTTATTTATAAGTTTAGGGATGTTTTTGTGACCAGAAATGACCAGAACTTAACTCTTGCTTATATCAACGAGGCTATGGTAAAATTGGTTTCATTATACCTAAGTTCTCCTAAAGTCACAGTTTCCAAGAACATATTGATAACATTAAGTGAGGACTTACTGTATATATTGAATTCATATAGTCAATATATTTCAGAGAATCTTGCCCTCATATATACCTATACACAAGCATCCACTTCTAATCAGTTGCCTTAAGGCAGGAATGGGATATCTATGGAGCTGCTTTCAATAGAAAATATTTGCAAAATAACTTTGCCTTGGAAGTAGTAGAAAGAGAAATAATCATTTTCTTTTATTTAATAGATATTGGGGTACCTATTATGAAACAGATACAGTGCTGGGATTAAAAAATAATAAATAAGACATGATTCCTGCCTTGAAGAGCTGTTATCTGAGTTGGTCTTGGAAGACTGGTAGGAACTAACAGCAAGCAAAGAAGAAAGAGCATTCCAGATAGAGGAAATATCATTTTCAATGGCACAGGAAATGTAAAAAGCCCTAGAAAGCAAGGAGAATCTTCAGAATAACTTGAGCACATGGTTCATGTAGGAAAACATAGAAGTTGAGGCCAAGATGATTCAAGAGGTACCTGAGTGTAATGGTCAGTAGACAAGAGTCTGGCCTGTGTTCAAAGCCTAGCTCCTTTATCAACTCCATCACTTAATCTCTGTGTACCTTCATTCTTCATCTCTAAAATGAGGATGATAATACCTCATGGGTGCTAAGAAGAGTTCCAGGCATGGTTTGCCAAGAAGAGTTCCAGGCATGGTTTGCTAGAGTTTGTCCTGAGAGATGATGAGGACCAGTGCTAAGAGTGTCAGTGGAGACCAATGGCTAGAGATGTCTCTCAGATGTATTTGAAAGATATGTCACATGATTGGATTGGGGAAAGTGAGGAAGAGAACAGCAAGGAAAAGATCAAGCGTGGTGTATTAGTCCATTCTCATGCTGCTAATAAAGGCATACCAGAGACTGGGTAATTTATAAAGAAAGAGGTTTAATGGACTCACATGGCTAGGGAAGCTTCACAATCATGACAGAGGATGAAGGAAGAGCAAAGGGACATTTTACAAGGCAGCAGAAATGACAGAGTTTGTGCAGGGGAGCTCCAATTTATAAAACCATGAGATCTCATGAGACTTATTCACTACCATGATAACAGTATGGGGGAAACTGCCCCCATGATTCAGTTATCTCCAGCTGGCCTGGCCCTTGACACACGGGTATTATTACAATTCAGAGTGAGATCTGGGTGGGGACATAACAAAACCATATCACATTGCAATCATGTTTCTCACTTGAGAAAACCTAGATGGTAGGGGCAGTGATCAAGATCAGAATATAGGAGGTTCAGAATATTACTTTTTAATTTATTGTGTTTAACATTCCCAAATGAAAATCAGGTAGAAGTCTCTGTTAGGCAGTTAGCAACAAGACCATGGAGCTTTGGAAATAGCAAATATAGATTTAAAGGTTGCCAGCATAAAGATAGTAGTTGAAATCAAAGAGAAACTTTAAAGTGAGAATATATAGAGCAGGATTTCTTAACCTTGGTGCTGTTGACACTTGGGGATGGATGATTCTTTGTGTGTGTGCAGGGAGGAGGGGGGTGCTGTCTTGTACATTCTAGGATGTTTAGCAGTACCATGGCCTCTACCCAACATAGGTGCCAACAGCACCTTTTAGTTGAGACAACCAAGAATGTCTCCAGATAGTCCCAAACTTCCCCTGGGGGGCAAAATCGTCTTTCCTTGAGAACCGCAGGTATAGAGTGAAAATGGTAGAGAGGGAAACTTGGGCAAATCACACACACACACTGAGCCTCAGTTTCTGAATCCATTAATTGCAAATAATTCTAGAAATAGCACAGATAATAAGCAGTGTGGGGAAGGACTCCTTATTCAACAAATGGTGCTGGGATAACTGGCTAGCCACATGCAGAATAATGAAACTGGACCCCTTCCTTATACCATATAAAAAAGTCAACTGAAGATGGATTAAAGACTTGAATGTAAAACCCAAAACTATAAAAACCCTAGAAGACAATCTAGGCAATACCATCTTGGACATGGGAACAGGCAAAGATTTCATGATGAAGATGCCAAAATCAATCACAACAAAAGCAAAAATTGACAAATGGCATCTAATTAACTTAAGAGCTTCTGCATAGCAAAATAAACTATCAACAGAGTAAACAGAAAACCTACAGAGCAGAGAAAATTTTTGCAAACTATGTATCAGACAAAGGTCTAATATCCAACATCTATAAGGAACTTAAACAAATTTGCAAGAGAAAAACAAACAAAAAAAACATTAAAAAGTGGGCAAAGGACATGAACAGACACTTTTCTAAAGAAGACGGGCTGGGTGCCGTGACTCACACCTGTAATCCCAGCAGTTTGGGAGGCTGAGGCAGGGAGATCACTTGAGGTCAGGAGTTCAAGACCAGCCTGGCCAACATGATGAAACCCCATCTTTACTAAAAATACAAAAATTATCCAGGTGTGATGGTACACGCCTGTAGTCTCGGCTCCCCAGGAGCCTGAGGCACAAAAATCCCTTGAACCCAGGAGGCAGAGGTTGCAGAGAGCCAAGATCCCACCACTGCACCCCAGTGTGGGTGACAGAATGAAACTCTGCCTCAAAAAAAAATAAATAAACATGAAAGTTAACAAAATAAAGACATACATGTGACCAAATATCATATTTAAAAAAAGCTCAATATCACTGATCATTAGAGAAATGCAAATCAAAACCACAATGAGATATCATCTCACACCAGTCAGAATGGCTATTAAAGAGTCAAAAAATGGCCGGGCACAGTGGCTCCCGCCTGTAATCCCAGCACTTTGGGAGGCCGAGCACCTCAGGCGGATCACCTGAGGTCAGGAGTTCAAGACCAGCCTGGCCAACATGGTGAAACCCCATCTCTACTAAAAATACAAAAAAAAAATAGCCAGGCATGGTGGTGGGCACCTGTAATCCCAGCTACTTGGTAGGCTGAGGCAGGAGAATTGCTTGAGCCCAGGAGGCAGAGGTTGCAGTGAGCCAAGACTGCGCCAATGCACTCCATCCTGAGAAACAAGAATAAAACTCTGTCTCAAAAATGAATAAGTAAATAAATAGTCCAAAAATAACAGATGCTGGCCAGGTTGTGGAGAAAAAAGAACCCAAAAGAACACTGTTGGGGGGAGTGTAAATTAGTTCAGTCATCGTGGAAAGCAATGTAGCAATTCCTCAAAGAGCTGAAAACAGAACTACCTTTCAACCCAGCAATCCCATTACTGGGTATATACCCAGAGGAATATAAGTCATTCAACCATAAAGACGCATGCACTTGTATGTTCATTGCAGCTCTATTCACAATAGTGAAGACATGGAATCAACCTAAATGCTCATCAATGACAGATTGGATTTAAAGACTGTGGTACATATACACCATGGAATATTATGCAATCATAAAAAAATGAGATAATGTCTTTTGTGGGAACCTGGATGGAGCTGGAAGCCATTATCCTTATCAACTAATGCAGGAACAGAAAACCAAATACCGCATGTTCTCACTTGTAAGTAGTTGCTGAATAATGAGAACTCATGGACACAAAGAAGGAAACAACAGACACTGGGACCTACTTGAGGGTGGAGGATGGGAGGAAGGAGAGGGGCAGAAAAAATAACTATTGGGTACTAGCCTTTGTAGCTGGGTGATAAAATAATCTGTACAACAAACCCCCATGACACAAGCTTATTTACATTACAAACCTTCACATGTACCATCAAACCTAAAATAAAAGTTAAATAGAAAATGTGATATATATACACAATGGAATACTGTTCAGCCACAAAAAAAATGTAATTCTGTCATTTGCAGCAACACAGAGGACATGATGTTAAATAAAATAAGAGAAGCACAGAATGATAAATACCACATGTTCTCATGCATGAGAGAGCTAAGAAAAAGTAGAGTACAATCGTGGGTATTAGAGGCGGGGAAGGGTGGCGGGGCAGGGAGGATGGGGAGATGCTGATTAACAATTACGGAATTACCGTTGGATAAGAGGAATGAGTTCAGGCGTTCTGCAGCATCACAGGGGGGATGTGGTTAACCAGAATTTATTGTACATTTTCAAAAAGCTAGAAGAGAGGATTTTTAATGTTCACAACACAAAGAAATGATCCAAGTTTGAGGTGATGGATGTGCTAATTCCCCTGAATTATTATACATGGTATACACATATGGAAATACTACTCTGCATCCCATAAATATGTACAATTATTACGTGTCAACTAAAAATTAAAGAAAAAAGTGGAAACAACTCAAATGTCTATCAACTGATGAAAGGATAGATAAAATGTGTTATATCCACACTATTATTGGGTAATATGATAAAGGACTGATGCATGCTACTATATGGATGAAATTTGAAAACATTATCCTAAGCAAAAGACAGACCCAAAAGACCACAGCTGTATGATTCCATCTATATAAAAAGTCCACAATAGGCAAATATATAGAAACAGAAAGTAGATTAGCGGTTGCCTAGAAAGGGCTGAGGGTTGGACAGGCATCGGGAATGACTGTTAATGGAAAGGGCTTTTCTTTTGGGGGTGATGTAAATGTTCTGGAATTAGATTGTAGTTGTGGTTACACCACAAATATACTAAAAACCATGGAACTGTACACTTTAAATTGGTGACTTTTATGGTATGTGAATTATATCTCAATTAAAATGTTTTTAAAAGTTGAAAATATAAAAGAAATAGCACAGATATCGTTGTGAAAGGCATTCTGAAGCAGTCAAGTGCTAAGCAAATGGTACTCATCACTGCTAGCCAAAGTTTAAAAATTTATGTATGAAACTGGTGAAATGGTGGGATTTTTGAGATCCCTTCTAATTATTGGTGTAATACAAAACGTATTCATCCATCTCCACTGATGTCAGCAGTCACTCCTCACATCACAGGCAAATTCTCAATTTCCCAGATGACAAAGCCAAAAATCCCATGCAGTTTTATAGGAGGATCCTCTGGCTGTTTTATGAAGTACAAGTCCCACTCGCATTCTGATTTCTCTGTTCTTTCTGCTCCTTCTTTAGCCCCAAAGGGAGAAAACTGATGTTAATGACAAACAACACATTCATGGCTATTCATGAATCTTGGTTGTTACAATCACGTGAGACTTGAGGTATCATGTATTTTGGAGTTACTTGGAAACATTTTTTAAAAAGCAAACAAAAGCAAAGTCTGAACCCGGGGTCCTGTTTTCAGCAGCAGTAAATAATTCCC